>NC_000002.12:126239618-126864618 GCF_000001405.40 Homo sapiens
CAGCACTCAGGCAATCACCACCCATCTATTAGGGATGACATGACAAATGAAACCAATCTGATATCCCTTGTCTCACCGGTGGTTGTGAAAATAGAGAATGCAGAGCATTTAGGAAGGCGAATTATTGTCATATGCGGTAGTCAGCAGAGAATTGTGACATGGGGGTCCCTCATGTGGCCACAATATTAATATTCTCTTGCTTCAGCTGGTGTAACACTAACCCTGATTTTAAAATCACATCAATGCTGGAGAAAGCAAAACGTTGTTCATAAGTTATTCCAGAGGAACTGATCCTATGATACTCTGCTTTTCAACAGCCCCATCCCGTTTGGCTTTCAAAAACCGTCCTTGTCCAGGCTTCTCCCGAGACTTACTAGGAATGCCCAGTTTAATCAGAAATCTTGAGGAGGAAGTCTAGATGCCCGCTGGACTTTTCTGTATAGCTCCGCAGGAGATTCAAAATGTGCATTCATGGTAGAGCACCAGTGTGCTAGGCTGTTCCCTATCAATAGTGTCAATGAAAAGTTCCTCCTGGAGTACTTAAAGGAAGATTCTTGGCAATCAAAATTCTTAGCAAACTTCAACAAAAGTATAGATAATAAGATTTTAGGCCACACAATTCTGGGCAATTCTTGGGCTGTGCACATGAGGGACTGTCTTCCCAGCACTTATCTGCCCACACCTGACCACAAGGCATTTGTCCCAGAGGCATACATCACAGGTGGTAATGCATTCCTAAGGTCACAGAGTCTGTGAAGTCCTGAGTTATTCATAAGCATTTCCACATAACATTTGGCCACTTTTTTCTGTGCTATTATAAACTTTGCCCAGAGGGAAACAGTAATTAGTTGCTTCACATTCACAAATTTCCTTAAGGTGCTTTCTTCAACTTGACACTTGCATTTCTCCTGGTAGTTTGCGGTATTTAGTCTTAGTGAAGCTTTAATGTTTTGTTTTGTTTTGTTTTGTTGTCTTGAGAAAGGAACATCTTAAAGCTTTCATGAAGAGTAAGTTTTAGAAAATTATATTTGGGATTGGGATGTTTTTCCTCCCAGTGCAAAATGCACAGAACTGCTTTTGATGTGACTGGTGTTTGTTTTTGTTTGCTTGTTTTAAATAAAAATAAAAAAGTTGTTCCAAAAATGTGTACATCTCACCACCATAGATTGTCTTCATTGACTATATTTTCTTTATCAGCAGTGGCTTTGCCTGCACATAAACTAGCAGGGTCAGGAAGCCACTACCAGAAGGCAACACAAGCTTAGGCCACAGGAGTAGAAGCGCAGTGTCCAGCCGCGCCCCCTCCTTCCTTGCTCTGACCGTAGCACACTGAGCCCACCACTAATGCCTTCTCCAGTTACTGCAATCTCATCTTCTATTCTATTACTCATAGCTAATGTTATTGGCACTTCTTTCTGTAATCTTGATGTTTGTTTCTTCACATAATTTCGATCCACCTTCCACAATTTTGCTCTTGTCCTTGAAATGCTTGGACAAATGTTTTAGCTCCAAGTCAGCAAACACTGCAAATTTAGGCTCCCTCCTCTCCTCTGGCCCATACTGACTGTTTAACACTTGCCAGTAAATAATGCTGAAAGAAGAAGTGAGAACTGTGGAGTGGATCCAGAAACACAACTGGAGCAGTATGATGTGATAGCAGATGCTGAAGAAAGAAGATAGGAAAAATCATGTAGAAATTATTTTGCCTAAATATAAAATAGGATTTTCATTAGGTCCAGCCACTCCACGGCAGATGCAATGCCTTATTCCTGCTTATAGCCCAAAAGGATGTCAACAACTTCTTGAGATTGAATTTGCACAGCCCCTGAGAGAAGTGACTTCCTACAACCATCCTAAGTTTAGGTGGAAGCAGCATGCCCAGCCTCAGAGGGTCACGAAATCCTCTTACTTTCGGTTGGAAGATGCATTGGTCAGTCTGCAGCTTTGGAATCAGTCCAGGAGCAAATCTCAGCTCTGACACCTGCTGCTTGATACTGTAAAAGTTGACAAAATATCTCCACAGAATTCTCAAGGAAATTCTTCCAGGAAAGTATCCAATGGCTATGTAATTTCTGAGTCACAGTGCCTGGTCAAGAAGCTAAAAGTCTATTGCAGGACTCGGATGTATAAATAGACACATGTGGTAAAATTCCTGATACGGAAAGGCACAGGACCTTGTATGGAACCAGACAAGACACATGACTTACCCTGGGAGCTAAGAACCGCTTTTCAGAGAACACTAGCACCTACACAGAGTGAATTGAGCAAAGATTGGGGCTGGGCCTGCTGGAAGGTCTGCACTTCATGTGCAGATGCCCAAAGATCTGGATCCTTGCAACAAGCTATAATTTTGCTCAGGGCTGGGAGACTGATGCCAGTTGAGAATTGCTGAGCTAGCCTCTCAGCGAGATTGTGCAGCTTTCATCCTTCTCATTGCTTAAGCACAAACTGTGGTGAAAGTATGAAGACTTTATTTCTTTGCAGAAAATGACCCTGAAGAGAGGGCCAATTGCTAATGCTTGCAGTGCCAATGAATAGACAATGCTGATTCTTAGCCAGAAAATAGCTTAATAAATTACTTTGGTTCTATATTTATACAACAGTTTAGGGTCTATGGGGTTCAATTACATTTTCCAGTTATATTTACTGCATCTAAGGTTGGAATTACATGCTACAATTTATGCAAATTTAGGGAATTTAGAATATTGTAGAACATTTCTTATAAATGACAAGGGTATGCGCTAGTTCAAATCATTATGGCTAACGTATAGAGAATATCATGCACTGAAACCCAACTTTCCTCTTTGTAGTCTGGTCTGATGGTTATTCCCCTGCTAATACCATAGCTTCTGTGATGGTCTGAGACTCCAGGTAGAGAACAATGAGAAAAGCACAACCAGACGCATGAACAAGGACCAGTATAGACGCATGGACAAGGACCAGTATGGCTTGTTGCTCTTCTTCATGCATACGCCTCTTTAACAAAGCCAAAAGTAATTTTCTGAAAATAAATGGGCACTCATTCAAATAAATTATTGAACAACAACAAAAAGCACATATCAAAAACATCTATGATGGTTTCAAGGAATAATGTGTCATCAGGTCAATGCTTATTGATCTCTCAAGGTTGGATACTTAATGAGACTGGTTATGTGACAGATGATACAGAATGAGGCCTTTGTGCAGAAATCTTTACAACTGCAGTTCTTTTTTCTATTGTACACTGGAGGAGATTACAAAGTATATTCAGTCTCAAGACTTGATGCTTATCCAGGGGGACACTGGATTGTGGCAACTGGGGTCCCTGGGGCTGGAATAGATTATGGGTGAAGTTAATTTGTGGTGCTCAATACAGAAGTAACCCACAGGACCACAGTGAGAAGAAAGGAAGAAATGAACCCTGACGGAGGCAGGAGTGAGATAAACATGAGTGTGAGTGTTTCACTGTAGAGTGGAGACATCACTCTGAGAATGTCACTTACGTGTGTCAGGGGCTTTAGCCTAAAATCACTTTAGAGCGATTTTTCTCTTACTACAGGTTTTCCTCTATGTTGGGGTGAGGGTGGGGTTCAGTGATATTGAATCTCACTCACAGAGCTCCTACTCCAAGATGGTAGAATAGTGATCTTTTAGAAAACTCAGAATTCTGGATTCTGCAGAATTCTCTCCCAGATGCTACTTGTTAACAGAATTCTATTTTCCCTTTTGGCGGCACAAAACTCCTCTTCATTGCACTGAATCCCTTGTAGTATGATGTGAATGTGTAACCAAACTGTCTTTAAACAAATGTGAATGTGAATGATACTTGCCAATTCCAGGCATGGCTCTTAAGAAACCTTACACAGATGTGTCTTTATGCCCCTTTTCCCTTCCGAAGGTGGGATGGCAACACAGACGATGCCCCAGGAGGAGGGGAAGTCACCAGCTGGAGCAGTCCTGAGTCCCTGAGTTCCTGAGTGGAGTAGAGGCACCCACCAACCAGGAAAATCCATTCTGGACAATTATCTGAGGAAAAAATAGACTTCTATTGCATTTGAGCAGTAGTACCTCAGGGCTGATTTCTTCCAGCAGCCATCCTACTGTGCTGGTGATGCTTTGATTGCCTCTTGGATAGACCTGAACCTTTCCTGCCTTGCTCTTTGTCCGGAGAGGCTGATCTCCATGCACTGCATCAGGTGCACCCCCTTGCCTTCCAGCTTTTGGTTGGCTATAGATAACAAGATGTAGCACTGCAGATGAGAAGATGGGAGGAGCCTGTGGGAGATGAGCAGAGAGCAGAAAGGAGGGGGAATCTGTGTATCCACATGTTCCCTCATGGCTTCTCTGGGCAGTTTCTCTAACACAGCTACAACTGTCACCAGTGCTGGTGACATGACCCTTCCCATTCTCCTTCAGACCAAGAGTAGGAACAGCTTCCCACTGTCACTACTCTCTGGTTGTTTTGCCATCTATTATTTCCTTAGCTCCACCTGCATCTTTGGGTCTTTCCAAAGACTCTATTCCATTTCAGGTAAATGGGACTTTCCTTACAAATCTATTTAATTAAAAGCTGTGTTGATCATGTCATGTATTCCTTCTGCAACTCTGGAGGATACAGACACCATAACCAACCTTCTATCTAACCATACCCTTATCCAGCCTCCAACCCTTTGTACTGTTGGTTTCAAAGAAATAGCACAAGCACATTCCCCAGGCTCCCATCCTCACCTTAGAAATGGGAAATAAGCACCCAGAGAAGGAAAGGGACTTTCCAAAGGCTTCATCATTTTCAGGAGAGAACCAGGGCTTTGGTTGAGAAGAAATGAACTTCAAGGGGAAAGCTTTCTAAAGAATAGGTCTGGAACTGGAAACATGACAGTTCCGTCTCCACTGCCAAGGAGGAGTCACATTGGAAAACATTCCTTGGGATCTGCCCTTAGCTAGTTAGGGATTAGGGTTGGCAAGAAAAGTGTGTTGGGACATTCACCCCAAACCCAGGAACCTGAGACTCCTGTTCTGAATCCACAAGAATTCCCCAGAGCCACGGCCCCCTGCATTGATCTCCTGTGGCCGGTATCCCTGAAAGCAGCATGCCAGGTTGGCCAACACCTCTTCTAGTGAGAATACCCAATTCACATTTATGAAAATAGAGACACTGCTGTCCTCATCAGCAGTGAACTTCATGATTCAATCTGCTTTGGGTAAATATGCTACTCACAAAGGCAATCTGAGTTAGCTGGGAGGGAAGAGAGGCAGAGGTGCAGGGAATCGCATCCCTCTTGGAGAACTGCAAGCAGATAGGAAAGCATGGGATGGAGGTGGGAAACTCATCCTGTAATTCTCAAAGGAACTGTGTTGCATTTTCTCCCTTGGCCTACCTCATCACCAGCTTTACATCTCAGGGGTCCTGGGGCATTGGAGCGCTAACATGGTCCCTAAGGAGACTTCCAGTGCCTTCTCTTTTAAGTAACTCATTTTTCTAGTCCTGCCTCCCTGGTATCTTCCAAACAGCACTCAAAGTAACTCCTGCAGGAGGCGCTGTGGGATCTTTGAAGGCAGGGCCTGTAACTAAAGAGACTTTTACCTCCAGCACCACTTTGTGGCCTGGCAGATAGCAGGTGCTCATGGAAGGTTTGTCCATTTCATGAAGGGAGGTGAGCATGCCCAAAGCATCACGAGGCAGGAGCTATTTTTTAGCACATATTTTCCTCAAATTACAAGTTTTAAAATTTAAAATTTGCCTATCTTGAAGGCCACATTTAGAAAACCCCTTAAGAAAAAGAAAGATCAAATACCCTTTCCCAGGAGATTTAATGCTTTAATAAAGTATAAATTCAAATGCATTAATAGGGAACAAAACTGCAGTAATTTTTCTGGTGAGTCAAGTTGTGAAAAATTGTATTACAGCTAATATGCCAATTAATTCATCATTGGGTCAATTATCAGGTATTTCTTTATTCTTATTTGATATCTGGAGGTGCCCTGAAACTATAAATTCCCTGCATCTTTATTAGATTGTCAGATAACTCCGAGTGTCCCACCCCACCCGAATCCCTGTCCCTCCCAATCATGCCTACAAAATTTTTTATTTCTAAATCTTCACAAGACTCTGAATTGCCTAAGCTTCACAGCAAACCTCAGCAATCTGTGTGTGTGTGTGTGTGTGTGCGCGCGCGCGCGCGCGCGCGCGCGCACGCAAAACTTATCTTCTCTGACCTCTTAGCTTATTCCAAGCTTCAATCTAAGCATCTAATCAAACAGTTGTCCCTCTCTATTAGCCCCTTCTTCTTCTGCGGCTCACCTGTTTATCTTCTCGTCTCTCTGGAATAGCTCTTGGAAAGGGTTCCAATTCAATCTCATCAGAGGTTCAAGTAATATTTTTCCAGCTGAATTTATAATAGATGTCCTACTTTTCTAAATAGAATGTGGGTAACAGAGAGAGTGAGAGAGAGAGAGAGAGAGAGAGAGAGAGAGAGAGAGAGAGAGTGTGTGTGTTTTGTTGTTGTCATTGGAAAGAAAAATAAGATTTAGAATACAATTTTAGAACTGAAATAGAGCTAAAGGACCAGGGAATCCAGGTCCCTACTGGATAAGTAAGCCAGGACGCAGAGAGGTTCAGTGATGCAGTATGCTCACACCTCACGTTACTGCACATTTAAGATTATACTGAGATTTGATAGCGATTATGTTGAGTCCATAGGTCAATTACATATTAACAACCTTAAGTCAGCTGACTCATGACTGTAAAATATCTTTTTATTCATTTAGGTTTTTTATAATTTTTTTCAGCAACATTTTATATTTTTCAGTATATTGTTCTTGCACATATTTTGTTATATTCATCCCTAAGTATTTTGCATTTTTATTGCTATTACAAATTATATTATTATTTTTAGGTTTTATTTCCAGTTATTCACTGTACATATGTATAATTTCAATTAATTTTATATACTGAACTTTTACCCTGCAACCTTGCTAAGCTCACTTACTATTTCTAGTAACTTTTTTGTATTTTTTACATAGACTATAAATAAAGATAATTTTACTTCTTGCTTTCCAAACTGTATTCCCATTATTATTATTATGGGCCTAATTTCATTTATTTCCTGACTTCATGCAGGTGATTTTTAACACATATTTGTAGACTTTTAGATTTTTTTAAATATGTGATTATGTTTTAAATTCATAGCACTGTACAAATACATATTATTGTTGCCTTTATCAAAATAAATAAACTAGGACTCACATTTTATACTGATTTAGTATTAATTCATGTTTCATTTTTCCAAAAGCTACACATAATCATTAAAGCCCTATTCCACATGACCCTACCATGCTACAAACACAGTTAGCCCTAGTGGTCTATGACGTATCCTTTCCCCTCTGAAATATGAAGTACCCTCTTACTGCTACAACATTAACATTCACGCCCTCGCAGAATCCTTCATTCCCTATCTCCTTCCTTCTCTCCATCCTCTCTTTTTTCCACACATGTATACAGGGCACCTGCTCCTACCACACAGCAAGCAAATCAGCCCTTGGGAATAAATAAAACCCATGCTAGCTGCCCTCAAGTTGCTCCACAGCTAGTATAGAGATTGTATATTACTGAGGCGATTTCCGGAGACACACGTACGATGTAGTGGGTGTAGAGAGGAAGGTGTGTGCATACCTGCAGAGGGCAGTCAGAACCGACCTCCTACAACTAGGGAAGAAAATGTGCAAAGAGGTCAAAAAAAGAAAAAAATCCCCCTTTATTACTGTGCTTCAAGGAAATTTTCAATGTCAAGTAGAGAGTGATGAGAAATATGTTTGGATGATGTGTTAGTCATGATTCAGACAGAAAAATGGAAATGACTCTAGGTGTTTCAAACAAAAATAATTTAATGCAGGGAATTAGTTACAGAGGGACAGCAGAACTTAGCAGCTTCACAGAGAATGGTGAAGCCTTCTTGGGCTTAGCAAGCAGCAGGAACCTCTGGTACTCTAGGGTTGGAGGGATCAGACAAGAATGCTGCTAGCAGGATTCAAGAGCCAGGGCTGCCCAGAATGAGCTAAAACTGGGGTGAGACTGATTAGGAGGAGCTGGAATCTCCCTGAAAGCACTTTTTCTGGGGCAGCTGGTGGGAAGAGAGAGAAAGTACAAAGAAATACCCTCCCTCTGCCCTGCCTCTGTCCTCAAACCTCCTATTGAATGAATTTAGCAGGAAGACAGAGGGCAAGAGATTCTGGGTAATGGAACTTCCTACGATACAGAAACAGAAAAACAAGGAACTAGCTTGAGACCAAACAGGCAAATGACAGGCATGGAGGGGTGGGTAGAGACCGTGGAAAGGAGGCCAGGCGGAGAATCATGAAGACGCTGAGCTTGTTGCTCTGCCTTCTCCTCCGCCTTGTGCATCTCCCAGCTGCTGAGGCTACAGATGGCCAAAGACACACTATTAAATAAGGTCTGAAAAGTGGATTATAAGGTTCATATCATGACAGGTAGTTAGATAATACATATCAATATACCAAAGCTTCCAAAAAAAACATAAATGCGATAAAGTTCCAATTAGAATGTCAGTAACATATGCAGGGATTGAATAAAAGTGCTGGAAAGATTTCATGAAAGTATAAATCCTGGAGAATCAGTGAGGGCATTTTGAAATGTCGTTTGAATTTTGAATTGCTGGTATAACAAATCAGTACTACAGAGCTACTGAAATTATATGGCTGTGGTTTGGTCTAGGAATACATAGACACATTGATGGACTAGAAGAGGGAATAAAGTAAAAGACCACATTGGTTGTGAGAATGTGATAAATGGCAATGATGGCATTTTAATTCAGTGGTAAGGAATGGATTGTTTAATAAATGGTACAGTCACAGCTGGTTATCCATCTGGAAGAATATAAAACTGGACCCCCTTCATACATCATGGCAAAATATAAATTCCAAATGGATTAAAGTCTTAAATGTAAAAAAAAAAAAAGGAAATCCTGGAACCTCGATGGACATTCTCAAGGCAAAATAGATATGAACCTACCTGAATTGACTTGAAAAATTAAATTATATATAATGAGAGATGCCAGATGCATCTCTTATATGCCATAAGCACAAAACATAACAAAAATACTTGGAGAAGTATTTTCAATGAGGACAGATGTCAATTATTAATAATAGACAAATATCTTTTACACATTTGCAAAAAGAGAACAAACAAGGTAAGTGGGAAAAATGGGCAAAGGATTAGAAGAGACCATTTACACAGGAGCAAATCCAAATGGCCAGCAGATATGTGAAAACATTCTCAGATGTAACAGTTATGAGTGAAGTGCAAATTAATGCATCAATGACTATTTCTTTACATTTATGAATCTGCCAACTTTTTTCAACAAAAGGAAAAATTACTGATGGCAGATATGTGAGGATAGGGCACCCTCACATTGCTGGAGTAATCTGACAATGTTTTAAAAACAGTTTATAAGACTCTAAAATTAGAAACATATATTCTCTTTGATGCAGCAAATACAACTCTAGGAGCTGTCCTATAGAATTAAAAAGAGTTCACAAAGGGACTGCCCATCCGTAGGGAATGTCTGGAATAAACTATTGTATATCCATAGCAGGGAATGCTAAAAAAAAATCAACAAATGAATTGGAGTTATGCCAATGGAATTGGAAGATTTCAACAAAATTTGTTTTCAGTCTGTATAAGATGTCTTTTGTGGAATAAACAATAATATTGAGCAGAAAAAACATTTCTATATATGTGTACCTACAAAAGATAATATGAGTACAGAGAAAAATACAGACAAATATATAAATTTGGTTATATGGAGGCTATGAATTTGGGTTTACTAACAAGGGAGTGGTCTTTTAGTGGAGAAAAAAAGGAGAATTGAATGAGGAGGCTGGTGTAAAGTATGGGGAAAAGATTAAAGCTGTCTATTTCCCATCTTCATATATGATACGATCATGTTAATGTAGTCACATGAAGTCATATTTGTTACATAAAATATCATTATACCATGCATAGTGTTTATAGTTACATAAAACTATATGCATGTGTATGTTCACACATACAGACTTACATTTATTCTATAATTATATATGATACATATATATGATTGCTCATGAATACAAACAAATGCCTCCAGCATAGGGGCCTTCCATGGACTCAGCAGGTCCGCATCCTCCATTGCCTGGTGGCTGATGTCATAGTGACTTTTGCTGCACAGGTAGAGAGAGGTTAGCCAGAAAGCCTGCTTCTGCAGTCCACAAGGCTCTTTCTAAACTAGCTATGGGATTAATTAGAACATGTGACACTGTTTATCTTTTTCATTTATTTTAGTTTGTGGTTTTTCTTTTTTTTTTTTTTTTTTTGAGACGGAGTCTCGCTCTGTCGCCCAGGCCGGACTGCGGACTGCAGTGGCGCAATCTCGGCTCACTGCAAGCTCCGCTTCCCGGGTTCACGCCATTCTCCTGCCTCAGCCTCCCGAGTAGCTGGGACTACAGGCGCCCGCCACCTCGCCCAGCTAATTTTTTGTATTTTTAGTAGAGATGGGGTTTCACCTTGTTAGCCAGGATGGTCTCGATCTCCTGACCTCATGATCCACCCGCCTCGGCCTCCCAAAGTGCTGGGATTACAGGCGTGAGCCACCGCGCCCGGCCTAGTTTGTGGTTTTTCTAAGTGATTGCTCTAAGGCTGAGTCAATTACATTTCCCTTTCCCTTGGGTTTCCCTGGGAAAGAACCACTGCATCCATTTCAGAAACGCTGAGAAAGTAGAAATTATTTAGCCTGCCTGCCTTAGCCTTAGTTTTTTCATCTGTGAAATGAAGGTAATGATACCTACTTTGTCCCTGTCTCATAAGGGTAACATGGAAATTAATAAGATAATTAACTGGATACCAGCTCCTACTAAAGATGTACTATGTATGTAAAGCTTCTTATTGTTCATAAGTTTTCAACTCTGGATTGCGTGTGCCTTTCACTTTTGTAACAGTGGCTTGGAGGGAAAGAGAGTGCACCTGATCTTCTGTAATTAAGCAGAAGGTAAAACACTGCAGTGATTAAGAGAAATCAAAGTCCATTTTATTTATAGATGGATAATCAACTATTTTGCAACAAGGCTTTTGGTACTTGGAAAATCAACTTAAATTCAAAGAATGACTTTGGTAGTCCCACCAAAAAAAAAAAAAAAAAAAAATCAGCTCCTCTTCTTCATCTTCATGGATGTAGGTTGTAACTCCTGACCCTCATTTTCTGTTTCTTTTGTTGCTACCATCAACATTTACCTCCCATAGCATCTGGATACAGCCTATTCACTGTGCTTGCATCAAAGCAATCCTGTTATAAACTCAGAAGGATATTTCCAAAACACAAATCTAGCCCCTCAGAAAACTTTGACTGGTTCTTCTTTGTTTTCCAGACAAAATCTGCAGTCTTTTAAATGGTATCAAGTGATCCTCCATGCCCTGACTCCTCCCTACTTCCCAAAGCTCACATTAGTGTTCTGTTGACCGCTCCCTAGCCATTGTTCACTGACAACTGTAGGGAGGATGGGAAGGTGGCTTTCACCACCGGGTCTGCATAGTATCTGTGCTGCCCACTATGACCTCCACCCACCCCACCCACAACAGTCATCAGTGATGATGGAGCTGGGCCCCAGGCAGCAGCAGGAGCTGGGGTTTGGACCCCAGGGCTGCAGCAGCACTGGCCCACAGCTGAATGGCTGGGAGGAAGGTTGGACTGACCAAGGCTATGTGTAAGAGGAAGGGCACTGCAGGGTTCTGGTCATTAAAAATCTGGAAAGGGAAGGAACCACTAGGTGCAGAGTCGAGTTGGAGGTAGGAAGCAAGGACGTTTGTAACCCAGAAGAAAAGTGAGACTGGAGGGATGCCCTCAGGAACGCTGGATGGAGTTCTTTTTAGATGTCTCAAGTTTACTTTTGTTTTGTTTTTGTTTTTGTTTTTTTGAGATGGAGTCTTGCTCTGTGACCCAGGCTGGAGTGCAGTGGCACGATCTTGGCTCACTGCAACGTCCGCCTCCAGTGTTCAAGCGATTCTCCAGCCTCTGCTTCCTGAGTAGCTGGTATTACAGGCACGCACCTCCACACCCAGCTAATTTTTTTGTATTTTTAGTAGAGACGGGGTTTCACTATGTTGGTTCAGGCTGGCCTTGAACTCCTGACCTCGTGAACTGTTGGCCTTGCCCTCCCAAAGTGTCAAGTTTACTTTTTGAAAGACACATCTTCCATTGTCCTTTTGTTTTCCTCAAAGCAAACAGCAGGCCTACCAGTCCCTTCCCCTCCTCATCTCCCTAAAGGCTGTGCTTGGGCCTCAGAGTGTGCCTCACCTGGTGTTTATAGCTCTTGAGTCTCAGCGGGGAGCAAAGCAACTCTTAACCCTGCATGCACCAGTGAGAATCAAAATGGAAATGGATGTTCATCTCACCTGGATATGGATGCATGTGTGGAAGTTAGAAAGCGTGGCTAAGCTGACACAGATAGAGGCTTCACAGCTGGCTCTTGGCCAGGACAGGTAGTAGAGCAGGGAGCCCCGATTGGTAGCTTCTGCAGATTTCCATGGTGTCAATGTACTTGGGAATACGGTAACATGGCCAATAAATATCAAGCCACCATTTTGTTTGTTTGTTTTTTAATGGCTTTCAGAAGTCACAATAACTTAAAATACAGCTCTCCTGACCCAGTACAAACCAGCAACAGCACACCACCCAGCAAAAACAAGCAGCTTCTGGGACACACACATGACTCTTCCAATAGTTAGGAACTTCCTCTTAGTTAGGAACTATGAAATTAAATGAACAGTTAAATAAACACAGACCATAACTGGAGCCAGCACTAACCTAAATCTCTAGGAAGCATGTATGGAGTGTGTTCTAGGAGAAGACAGCACATGTGACATTTTATGAGACTAAGTCCAGGCATACAAATCAATTTCCTACTGATGCTCAAAGGCAACCATGAACTTGCTGATGTCAGTAGGTCTCCCTTCATCACTCCAGTTTTTTAAGGACTACTCGGCTGACTGGGCTTCTAATACAGATATATCAAATACCTCATCTCTTGCGAACTTCATGGCTCTGAGATGTAGGAATCACTCTTCCCACTTTGTCAACAGGGAAATTGAAGCTCAAAGAGCTCAAGGAGCTTTCTGTGGTACCCTTGCTTACAGACAACTAATGAGTAAATTAGGATATCCAGATGCTCATGTAGACATCATGGGAATGTTTCAATCTTATGTCATATGCAATTTGATTAACTCTCAGACCTTGAAATTAGCAACTGTTGTCCACTATACAATAATCTGTATTTAATCAATATTTTCTAAAGAAATGAATTTTAGATAATTTTCGAAGAAGACAATGATAAATAACAGCCACTTGACGATAAAAATCACCCCCACTGTCCTCCTGAGTAGATGGGAGGGACAGGTAGATTAGTTGACAATTGCTGTTCCTTTTAATGCTGAAATCATTTGGAAAGCTTTGATTTTATTATATCTGCCACTTTTAAGCCCCTCCCCATGTACAAGCTGTTTTATATATTGAGCCTCACTTCATCTGCATCTTAAAAGTAACAAAGCCCCATTTCCACTGTACAGCTGAAAAAAAGAGTTCAGGCAGTTAAGTGATTTGCCTAAATTTGCACAAATTATAGAGGACAGAGTTGGCACTCATGTCCAGTTCTGCCCAGTGTCAATTTCCACACTTGTTCTCCTTGATGACAGAACCTCCCTGCTCCCTTGTCCTCTGTCACCCTACTCTCAGACGCACCACTGGGGTCACCTCCTGTCTCACTCTGAGGGTAGCACATGTGTGCTGTTGCTAGAACTGAGGGAAAAACCCTTTCTTCCACCTGGGCTCTGGTGCTTTCAACATATTTAAATCGAAAATCCAAACATGTGCCACTCAGCACAACAGTCACCTCTACCCATTTGATTCCAAATGCGAAGCTGTTCAATAATGCTGCTTAGAAAGTTCAGGGAGTTATGACATACCATGACCCACTGGGCCCATGTCGTAGCCTTAATCATAATTGGAGCTTGTCTAGAATCTCTCCATTCCTTGGTGCTAACATACAGGATTTTAATCACAAATTTGCAGCTCCATCTCATTATGAAGAGGAGCAATCCCTCACAATGTTGTTAATTGACCTTAATCTAATGTGATGTGTAATACACTCAGCTGGATCCTCAGGCACTCTGGAAACAGAACAGTAAAACACCTCTTAAATCTAAATTATATTTGAAATAGTAGATTAGATTATTCCCAGCATCTGCAAACAAACCGTAGCCTGCTGAAATTTATCTTGCACTTTCCAAACAAGGCAAAGACTCCAGCCTGACATGCTGAATGCTTTATGAGTTCATCTACCCTGAAAGTCACACGCTTGTCTTCCTAATGCACCAAATGGCTGCTGCCTGCAAGGGGATGAGTCCTCTGGCAGAAGAGTGTGGACCCCACACCTGTGCTGGCTCTGAGGCCAGGCTGACCTGTGAAGGGCAAGGTTGCATGTCAGACAGACTGGGCTCATTACCACGTTGGCATTTACCAGCTCTGTGATCTTGGGCAAGTGATTTTAACATTTCTGAGCCACTGACTTCTCCTTGGTGGAGTACTGAGGGACTGAGAAGTTTAGAAAAATCTGCTTACAGCTACAGGAAATTCGTGAAAGTTGATGATATGACCATGTAAAATCTACTCTTCTTCCGTTTTTGTTTTTAATGAACATTTCATTTTAGATAATATAGATAAACATAGAGGTATGATAAATAATACAGAGACCTCTCATTTACCTGTTACCCAGTTTTCCTCAATAGTAGAATCTTGCAAAATTGTATTACAGTATCACAACTAGGATATCATCATCGTTACAGTCAAGATAAAGAACAATTCTGTTATCACCAGGATCCTCACATCGCTCTTTGATAGAATCCCCTAGCACCTCACTTCTGCCGTCCTTAATCACTGGCAGCTACTAATCTATTCTCAATTTCTATAATTTCATCATTCAAAAGTTTTATAGAAACAGAACCATTCAGTATGTAAGCTTTGGGGATTGACTTTTTCACTCATGATAAGTCCCCGGAGACTTATCCAGGTTGTTGCACGCACCCATTGTTCACTGCTTTTCATTGCTGAGTAGTATTTCACAGTCAGGATTTACTAGCTTGTTTAACCACTTACTGGCTTAAAGACAACTGGGTTGTTTCCAGTTTTTGACTTTTACAAGTTAAGTTGCTATGAATATTTGAGTACAGGTTTTTGTGAACAAATAGTTTAATTTTTATTGGATGAGTGACCAAGAGCACAACTGCTGGACCATTTGGTAGTTGCATGTTCGGTTGCATGAGAAACTGCCAAACTTTTCCCAAGTGACTGTGCCTTTTCATATCCCTCACCGACAATATATCACTGATTCAGTCCCTCTACATGCACTCCACATTGCTGTTATCACTACTTTAAAAAAAAAAGCCATTCTGATAAGTTTGTCATGATATCTCACTGTGGTTTTAATATGCATATTCCTAATGTCTAATGATGCTGTGCACCTTTCTATTTGCTTATTTACCATCTGTATATCCTCAAGTGAAATTTCTATTCATGTCCTTTACCAATTTTCTAATTGAAATATTTGTATTTTTATTGTTGAGTTTAAGACTTATATTCTATATTCTATACAGGTCCTTTGTTAGATATGTCATTTGCAAATATTTTTCTCCAGTCTGTACCTTGTCTTTGCATCCTCTTATTAGGGGTTTGCAGTGAGCTCAAGTTTTTAATTTGATGGTTTCTAATTATACATTTCCTTGAATGGATTGTGTAGTGTCAAACCTAAGAACTCTTTGCTTAACTCCACATTCTGAAAATTTTCTCCTATGTATTATCTATAAGTTATATAGCACTAAATTTTTTTAATCTAAGTCCATGATTCATTTGGAGTTAACGTTTATATAAGCTATGATATTTAGGTCAAGGTTCGTTTTTAATCTATGGATGTGTAATTGTTTTGGTATCATTTATTGAAAAAGCTATCCTTCTTCCATTGAATAGCTTTTGCACTTTTGTCAAACATCAGTTGAGTGTATTTTTGTGGGCTTATATCTGGATCTTTATTCTGTTCCATTGATCTATGTCTATGTGAAACCAGCCCTATAAAATTTAGAAAATTAATCAGGGAAGAAGGGAGGGGGAAAACAAAGGTAAACCAAGCTTGCAGCACAGTCACATTGATCACTAGGTCAGCTTGCTCCCCAATGTGCTTCCTATTGTCCTAGAACCACACAGACACAAGCCAGGCATGGTGGCTCACACCTGTATTCCCAACACTTTGGGAGGCTGAGGCAGGAGGATCACCTGGGGTCAGGGGTTCAAGACCAGCCTGGCCAACATGGCGAAACCCTGTCTCTACTAAAAATAAAAATAAAAATAACTAGTTAGGCGTGGTGGTGGGCCCCTGTAAGGGAGGCTGAGGCAAGAGAGTCGCTTGAACCTGGGAGTCAGAGGTTGCAGTGAGTGGAGATCACGCCACTGCACTCCAGTCTGGGCAATAGAGCAGGACTCCATCTCAAAACAAAAAAACAAACAAACAAAAAAAGAACCACCCAGACACAGTTACATAATTATAGTTCTCCTTACCTGCTCTATAGATAACAACTTGAACATCATGAAATGTTAAATTTTCCCTTTGAGCTATTCTTTCATCTTCTGCATACTGCTGAAACTACTGACTCAGTTGGTATGAAGAACCCCACTGATATCAGCTGGTGTAAAGGACCCCACTTATACCACCTGTCTGTGGGACCCTGTGAGAAGCTGACTCATCAAAGAATGGGGTCACCACATCCTGATGATTTCATTCCCCTTATCCTAACCAATCAGTGATCTCAATTTTCCAGCCCCTCACCCTCCATGATCCCCTTAAAAGCCCCAAGCAATAACTCCTTGGAGAAATGGATTTGAGGGTTTCAAATTCCAAAGGGTACCATCTCCTTGCTTGGTGCCCTGCATTCATTAAATTCTTCCTCTGCAGCAAACCCTGCCATGTCAGGGTATTGGTCTGTTACTGCACAGTGGCATAAGAACATGATGCTCCTATAATCTGTTTCCACCAATAACACACCACTGATCACTGTGGCTTTGTGGCAGGCCTTAATATTGGGGAGAGTGATTCTTCCACTTAATTATTCTTTTATAAGAATTTTTTAACTAAGAACTTTGCCTTTTCATATAAATTTTAGGATAAGCTTATCTATGTCCATACAAAACCTTCTTGGAATTCTAATACGAATTGAATAAAACATATGGATTTAGAGAGAAGTGACATCTTTACTATGCTGTGTCTCCCAATCCATGAATATGTTATCTCTCTTTATCTACTTAGGTCTTTTTCTTTTCTTAAATAGCATTATAACAATTTTACATATATTAATTCTGCATATGTTTTGTTAAGCACATACCTAAGTATGTCATTTTCATTGCAGCAATCGTAAAAGGTATAATGTGTTTAATTTTGGATTCTGCATGTTTATTTTTAGTTTAGCTTTATATGTAAGTAAAATTGATCATTTTGTGTTGATATATCCTGTAACTTTGCTGAAGTCACTTAATTAGTTCTAGGTGTTGTTTTGGAAGGTGGATTTTAAGTGGTGGATTCTTTGGGGATTTTCTGTATAGACAACCATGTCAACTGAAAATAGGAGCTATTTCTTTTCTTGTTTTTCATTCTGTATCCCTATTATTTATTTTTCTTGCCCTATTCCTGTGGACAAAAGTTTTCATACTATGTTGAATAAGAGTGATGAGAGCTGTCATCCTTTTATGGAGAAAGCATCCAGTTTTTCCATGTAAAGCTTGGTACTCCTTCTTCATTTTGTATGGACCTGAAGCATTGCCCTAGCTAATCCAGGATACTGACTTAGTAAAGGTCGGCTGTGCCCACTCTCCCGCTGTTTCATCAAAATTTATACACAGTAAATGTTTAAGTTTTTTCCCTCCATATACCACAGCTTTCAGATTACTAAAAGGAAAAGGTGAGTCTATTGGATCTTGTACTTAGATCATAAACAGAATCTCTTTTAAGGACTCCAGGAAATTGTATGAAATCTTCACAGTTGTTCTCTTCCCTGTTAACATGGGACAATGCCCAATATACTCTGAAAATATTGAAAACATCAGGAAAATGTTATAATTATGACAAAAGTAAATTGTTATGAGTTCAATTGTGTTCCTTAAAATTATATGTTAAAGTCCCAGTCTCCAGTACCTCAAAATATGACCTTTATTTGGAATAAGGTCATTGCAAATTTACTAAGTTAAGATGAAGTCATACTGGGGTAGGGTGGGCCCTTAAACCAATAGGATTGATGTCCTTATTAGAAGAAACACAGAGACACAGACTCACTGGGGACAATGTCATGTGGCACTGGAGGCAAAGGCTGAAGTGCTGCAGCTGCAAGCCAAGGGATACAAGGATTGCCCACAAACTGCCAGAGCCAAGACGAGGTGCACAATGAGTCCCCCCTCCAGGTGTCACAGGGAGAATGGTACCATGGAAACCTTTTTTGGGGGGCTTCTAGCCTCCAGAACTGGGAGGCAATACATTTCTGTTGTTTTACTACACTCACCTTGTGGCACTTCTTCATGGAAGCCCAAGAAAACTAATAAAAAATTCTGACAAACTCATGGGAGGCATCCATTGCACTTTACTTACTGTTTCTAATGCCTACACTTTATCTCCTTAATCATCCTAAAAGCTTCTTGAGGATGAGTAACACATTTGAAACCACTCAAAACATCTATTACTTAACCCAGAACATATAATATGCTTCACATTTGCCTGTGGGTCCTGGAAGAATGTGTGTTCAGCCAAGGACATGGGGTCGGGAGGAAACAGAAGACAGCACTGCCCATCTCCGTCCTGGAGAATGAGAGCCAGTCAACCAGATGGAGCCTCCTTCCTCATCTCTGCAATCCACAGCCCACATCATTTCCTCAAGACCCTTCTTACCTTTTACTGATTTTCTTCTAGCTAAGAAAAATGTTATTTTTAACCCCTTCTCGCTTGCAGGTCTAATCTTGCATGCTCCAAATTCTAATTTGTGCTTCCCTTCCTGGATTCGTTTTTGCTGCTTTAAAAGAATTCCGATATTTTATAAGTAGAAATACAAAGGAAGTCCACTTTACTGATCTACTGTAAATATTAAATGACAAAAATCATATGAGGTAGCTTTTTGAGCTTATAAGTTGTTCAACAGCTGTTATCAATTGTGGCCAGCCCAAAATACCTTCATCCCTTACATTCTCAACTGCAGGACACAGGGCAGTGGGAATATGTCTTGCATGACTAGAGATGCCAGAGCCTTAGAGACTCTCTAAATGCTAGCCAAATAAAAGTCTTTCTTTTTTTTTTTTCTTTTGAGACAGGGTCTCATTCTATCACCCAGGCTGGAGTGCAGTGGCACAATCATAGCTCAGGCTCAAGCTATCCTCCTAACTCAGCCTCCTGAGTACTGAGCAGATGAGAGCACAGGCATGGACCACCATGCCAGGCTAATTATATATATATATATATGTGTGTGTGTGTGTGTGTGTGTGTGTGTGTGTGTGTGTGTATGTGTGTGTATATATATATATGTGTGTGTGTGTGTATATATATATATATATATTTTTTTTTTTTTCCTGAGACAGAGTTTCACTCAGTCACCCAGGCTGGAGTGCAGTGGCATGATCTCGGCTCACTGCAACCTCCACCTCCTGGGTTCAAGTGACTCTCCTGCCTCTGACTCCCGAGTAGCTGGGATTACAGGCACGTGCCACCACGCCCAGCTAATTTTTTCGTATTTTTAGTAGAGACAGGGTTTCACCAAGTTGGCCAGGCTAGTCTCGAACTCCTGACCTTGAGTGATCCACCTACCTCGGCCTCCTAAAATTTTTAATATTTGTAGAGCCAAGGTCTCAGCCCAGCCTGGTCTCAAACTCCTGGGCTCAAGCAGTCCTCTGGCCTCAGCCTCCCAAAGTGCTGGGACTACAGGAATGAGCCACTGTACCAAGTCAAAAGTATTTCTTAATATATAGGAATCTCCTGAGAAGGCTTTGTTCTCTTCAAATTTACATATGTATATGGTAACATTAAGAGAGTAGAACAAATTAACATAAAAATCCTATATTTAATCAAAAGACCATAGTTTATCCCCCTACTTAGGAATTTTCTAAGTAGACACTAAACTGAATGAAGACACTATAAAGCCTGTAAAGGAAGATTTCAGCAAAGGTAACTTTATTTGGGAGTTTTTTTTTTTTCTTTTTAGCCCATTGAAATCCCGAAATTCAAAGACAAATTATATCAGCATCATCTGGAAATTTTTTAAAAAGCAGTTTGTGAGACCCTGCCTGCCACCTCCTTCCATTCCATTCTGACTTGTTAAATAGGAATACTGTCATGGGATCTTCATTTTCAATGAATTCCCAGGCAACTCTACTACACAGACAGGAGTCTAACAAGGCCAAGTTCAGATTCTCAAAGGTGGGAATCTTACATGGCAGGCCAAGTGTTCTTATGACTGTTAAAGAAAAACTTATTCAGTGATTATTGTTAAAGCACAGTAAGGAAGACTTTATTCAGGATCATTGTGATACATATGGGAGCCACTGCAATGGGATCTTGCAATGGGAGAGAGAGATCAGGTTCAACTGCAAATACAACATAGACAAGTGGAAATTTGTAGCCACTTGTCTATGTGTAGCTAGAGAGGAGCCAGATGCAGGTCGGTGGATACAAGATTACTAAAAGAGGTAAAGGGGATTTTGGTTAGACAGACCTGAGAACATTCTGGTTGAAAACAGACCTGAGTGGTGGTACGTCACCTGGGGGATGGTGAGGATTAGGAAACTGATCAAATATCAAGGATGGGAAGTACTTGCTAAACTGACATAACAGAGTTCTTTGCTGTTTTATAAGGAAGTGGACAGATAGGCATAGGACAAGATTCAAGAGCCTGAGTCAAATTGGCCAAAGAATCTTTGTCATGGGTAGGGACAAAATTCAGGGCACATGGAGATCTGGGGTGAGTACAAGGAGGACACAAAGATCTTAGTGAAGGGCCTCAAAACAGAATATTAAAGAGACCAAAAAACTCTTTTTCTATTTTATAGAATCATAATATTCAAAACGCTCACCTGGTCTGAACATGCTTTAGAGGAGGGCCCTGTGCAGTGACTTCTGCCTTTCTTTGCTTTCTTTTCCAAAACTACCTCTAAAGGCAAAGCTGTAAAATTCGGGGTTTGAGGTCTGACCCTCTGCTGGAATTAATTTTCCTGGGCAAATATTCCCCAATAAATCACAAATAATTTATTAAGCTCAGAAGGAAAATAACTTAAGGAGATGAAGGTGTAAAGTTTAATTTTTTTTTAACAACAAAAAAATCTCATCTCTTTTTTGTGAACACCAAATTTTCTGTGTAAGAAAAAGACATAACGCATATGCATGGAAATCAATACATCCATATTGTAGTCAAACAGT
This sequence comes from Homo sapiens, assembly GCF_000001405.40. Classification (NCBI taxonomy): domain Eukaryota; kingdom Metazoa; phylum Chordata; class Mammalia; order Primates; family Hominidae; genus Homo; species Homo sapiens. The sequence continues at coordinate 126,261,126 of NC_000002.12, forward strand.
GCCGATGGAACTAACAAATGCATAATCAGTCTAGCCCATTCCTTTGAAAATAAATTGATTTTTCAGCACTTTTCCCCAAACTCCAGTTGCTTTGAAAACAAAAATCATTTTCTTTCTTTCTGACAACGGTGCATTTTAAATGTGAGCATTTTCTCATCTAATGATTGTTTTTGTGGGTTTCTCCCACTGATTGGACATATCTAATTATCCAAATAGCTATCTAAATAGAATATACTTTCAGTTGTGCCTTTAAAGTGTAGCTTGAGGAGATGTAGTTTTCTGTGACCTTTAAACCACAGCCACCTTCCTCTACTCAGCTCTGAATGAAATATGGCACCACAAACAATCTCGACTCCAGCACTTATGGATTGTTATTGAAATCTACATGTTATAATTTTTTAATTGCCAAATGCGGCAGCTACATGGCCATAAAAGGTGATTGAAAGTGTTTGTACAAGATGTAAAACTGGTTGTTTTCCTCCTGTAATAGGATATGAACCCAGATTTATCACTGATGCTTCTTTTCTGTTGACATTTTTATGAAAATGGAGTTTGGGAGACTTTGCCCCACTTTGTTCAGCCTTGACTGGAGACCTTACTGTAGTGTTTGTCACCGATGTGTTACCCACTTTTTGAAAATCATCCTAGATGGAAGTATGATCATTTATATAAAATCCTCTAGTGTGACTTTATGGTGAGGATCTGACTCAGTTGGCTATTCAGATATATTATATTTGTTAATTATTTTGTACATATAGTTTTGCCAAAACCCACTATTTCACTAAGCACTTGAATTGCAATCGTTTTTCTCTTCCTTCATGTGTAACTGATATAATAATTGCCCTTAAAAGTACTGTATTTGACATACTATACATAAATAAGTGAATATGGGACTATATAAGTATTGCTTTATGATACTGTAATTGGGATATTACTACATCGTCTTCATTTTGAACCAAAGGATCTGAATTGAATTTCAGTTTTTGGGTTGTGTAATTTTAAGGACTGAAATGTATAGCAATAATAACAACCTTCTGATTTTTTAAGCAGCTTCCTCTGATGGCATTCTTTTCCTTTCACTTGGATGCCAGCCTCACCAGCCTTCTCTAAGTTCTTTGCAAAAGTCAAACTCCTCTGGCCATAGAAAAACCCTATGCAAATGTGCAAATGTTGTTTCTTTTACTCAGAATGCCTACCCTACTCCTACAAACCACCTTCTACACTTCACTTAATTAATTTCTACTCAGCTATAGATTTAAGCTCACATGTGATTTTCTCAGGAAACCTTTCTCTCGTGTCCATAACCACATAGTCCATCTCACTAAGTCTTCTCCGTAAACAGCACTTGTCACAATTTCACATAGTTTGCATGAGATTTTGAGGCCAGGGTGAAAATGGAATGGCTGGACCTAACCAGCAGGGACTTAAATGCATAAATTTTATTTGCCATTGGTGATTTTCAACAGAGATATGGCATGACAGATTTATCTTTTAGAGGGATCACTCTGGCAGCAATAAATAGTAGACAAGATGTGATTTATTTAAGAAACACTAGAGTAACTTGGGGATTAAGATTTGGTGTTAAACTTGATATGGCTAAAGGGACAAGAAGTGTGAGGCAACCTGTGGTTTTCTGGCTGGGCGACTGGGTAAATGGTCAGGTGCTCAGACAAGAAACAATGCAAATGAGGATGGACAGAAACAGGTAATTGTTCTGTCTAAAGCAGGATGAGCCTGAGGTCTCTGCAAATTAGCCAAATGGATGTAAAGATCAGATATAGATATGTAAAAGTCATCAACACAATTAATTGGTAGTCTAAATTGTGAGAGCTTTTGCGCTCGTCCAGAAAAAAAAAAAAAAGATGAACAAAAAGATGAACATTAAGACAGCCATGAGTAGAGTGTAGAGAATCCATAAATACAGAGGTAAAGAGAGAAAAAGGACTGTGGAATATAGGCTGAGACCTCCAGAGGGTATGTTGCCAAAGCTGTTAGGATAATGGATTTCCAAGAAAGATCAAGATCAAGGGACAAACAGTAGCTCAGGGAGAAGACAGACAGGTTCAGTGAAATAAATGATGCAACATATTTATTGGACAAGGCCTAGTTTCAGTAGCAATGTAAGGTAAACATGGTTAACAATAATTTAGTGTATATTTTTAAAAAGCTACAAGAGAGAACTTTGAATGTTCATATCACAAAGAAATGATAAATGTTCAAGGTGATGACTATGCTATGCCAAATGCCCTGATTTGATCCTTACACATTGCGTACATAGATTGACATATCACTCTATATCTCATAAATATATATAATTATTATGTGTCACCTAAAAATAAAAGGAAAAAAATATATTTCTAAGAGTAGTGTTTGGGGATTGGTGAGAGGCAGAAGCCCAACAATACAGACAAGGTCAAGTTCCTTTGCTCCGGGTGTCCCAAGCACCAGTACAGTGGGTAGTGTAGGTTGTCCCATGATATAAGAAGCTCTGATAGGCATTTTTATTATTTTTTAATTTTGGATATATGGGACATACGGTTATTGCACAGATCAAGGAACTGAGACATAAAAAAATGTAAGGAGTTTCTCCAGGATCACATGACAAGTAACTAGCAGAGGCCTCAGCTTGGCTCTGTTATGGAACTCCAAGGAGCAGCACATTTCTCCTTCCCCCTCAATGACATGGCCATTCTAGTAATCACATGGAGCTCTGGAGACAGCCAATTGCCTTTCCAGTCTCAGCAGATTTCACTGTCCTCTTGACTATGTTGGTACCTGGAAGTTGACTTGACACAGAATCAAGCCATAAATAAAGAGAAAACCTTCCGGTGAGATTTTGTGAATATCATTACAATGTTTTCCTAAAAAATATTCTACACATTGACAACTCCTTATCACTACTGCAGCTCCTATTCTGCTGTGAGCAGCTGATATTATTAGCAAAAAGGCAGGGAATGAAGATTTCCATAACTGCATTTCAAGGGATCTGTTAAAACTTTTAACATCTTCATTAAGAGATCTGCCTTTTCAAGACTATCTCAACCACCAGTTTTCCAGCTGGACATTCAGAGTTTTAAATGTCCAGTGATATTAGTTCCATATCGCTACTTCTCTCACATCTAACATTTTACACAAAAAGACTAGATTTCACATAAATTCCTACAGCAGGGATATGGAAGACAAAGGAAAGCAAATGCAGGATGCAGATGCTAAAATCTGTTCAACAAACCACCATGACACACGTTTGTCTATGTAACAAACCTTCACATGTACCCCTGAACTTAAAATAAAAGTATGAAAAAAAGAAAAATTGGCCAGGTGATGTGGCTCCCGCCTGTAATCCCAGCACTTTGGGAGGCCAAGGCAGGTGGATCACCAGAGGTCGGCAGTTCGAGATCAGCCTGATCAACATGGAGAAACCCCGTCTCTACTAAAAATACAAAATTAGCCGAGCGTGGTGGCTCATGCATGTAATCCCAGCTACTCAGGAGGCTGAGGCAGGAGAATCGCTCTAACCTGGGAGGCAGAGGTTTCGGTGAGCCAAGATCATGCCATTGCACTCCAGCCTGGGCAACAAGAGCAAAACTGTCCAAAATAAAAAAAAGAAAAAAGAAAAGGAAAAAGGAAAGAAAAGGAAAAAGGAAAGAAAAGGAAAAAGGAAAGGAAAGGAAAAGAAAGGAAAGGAAAGGAGAAAGGAAAGGAAAGGGGAAAGGAAAGGAAAGGAGAAAGGAAAAGAAAGGAGAAAGGAAAGGAAAGGAGAAAGGAAAGGAAAGAAGAAAGGAAAGGAGAAAGGAAAGGAAAGGAAAGGGAAAAATTTACTGAAATTTTGCTCATCATAACAAAACTTTGGAGATACTTTAAATGTCTTTCAATAATAGACTGATTGCATAAATTAAGCCACACACATACCAGTCAGTGTGCATATACTCACATCTATCACATACACACAAGCATACACACTGGAATACAAAGAAACCATTAAAAATACCTATACCTTGTTAAATTTTTAAAATGCAAATTGTAAAGCTCATGTAGAACTAATATTATTTTGTAAAATTATATACATATGTATATATGTGCCTAGAGATGTCTCTAAATAGAATCTCATGAAAATGTGAGCTTTACTGAGCTCTGCCTAATACAATTTGAGGCAATTTTTAGTTTTTTTCACGGTATTTTTTGGTATAGTTTGAATCATTTAGAAAAGTATATGCCATGTTTACAGAAACAATAAGATGGTTTTTACATAAAACATATTTTTAAAAAAGACTTTGTGAGTGAGAAGCACTTTCAGAATGTTAGAGTAAGGACCACCAAAAATCTGATCATCCATGAAAGCAATAAAGACAGTGGCAACAATTGTCCATTAAAAAATCAACTTTAAAAATTATTGATTTATGTGTTTAACTTGCAAGTAAAAATTACATATATAGTTATATATAATTATATAGCTATACATATATATATGGTATACAACATGCTTTCTTGACATATGTATACATTGTGGAAAGGCAATACCAAGCTATTTTACAAATACATCCTTCACATACTTCTCATCTTTTGTGTATGGTAACAATACTTAAAATCTACTGTCTTAGAAATTTTCAGATATACTCTATTTTGTTACAAACTGCAGTCACTGTGATGTACAATAGATCTCTTGAAGTTATTCCCACTAAGTGAAATTTCGTACCCTTTAACCAACATCTCCCTATTCCCACTACCGCAGCCTATGGTAACTATCACTTTACTCTGTCTCTGAGTTTGACTTTTTGACACTCCATATATAAGTGAAATGGTGCAGTATTTGTCTTTCCGTGCTTGGTCTATTTCACTTAGTATAATGTCCTCCAGTTTCATCCATGCTGTAGAAAATGTCAGGATTTCCTTCTTTTTAAAGGCTGAATTGCATTCCTTTGTGTACATTTACCACATTTTCTTTATCAATTTACCTGTTGATGGACACTTAGGTTGGTTCCATATCTTGATTGTTTTGAATAATACTGCAATGAATATGGGAGTGTGGATATCCCTTTAAAATACTGATTTCATATCCTTTCAAAATAAATCCCATAGTGAGATTGCTGGATCATATAATAGTCCTATTTTTAATTCTTTGAGGAACCACCATACTGTTTTCCATAATGCCTGTGTTTATTTGCCTTCCAACCAACAGTGCACAAAGGTTCCCTTTTTTCTACACCCTTTCAAACACTTGTTATCTTTTGTCATATTTATAACAGCCATTCTAATACAATTGAGATGAAATCTTATTATCTCATTATAATTTTAATTTTCATTTCCCTGTTATTAGTGAGAAGCATTTTTTTTTCACATACCTTTTGGCCATTGGTATGCCTTTTTTAGAGAAATGTCTACGCAGATCTTTTGTCCATTTTTTTAACTGGATTATTTGTTTTCTTACTATTGAGTTGTCAAAATTAACTTTCTCAGAACTCTGCAAATTAACAAAAGACTTGAAACAACCTAAGGAGTGTTTGTTCAAAACAAGTGGCTGAGTCTCAGTGAGCTTTATCATCTTTCAGCTCATCTCATTCCCATCTTACTCTCCCCAACTACTCAGTCACCTTGAAAACCAACAGCCTCTCAGTTATGGTGAAAACTAGCAGCCTGGTGGCAACTGTCATGGACAGAGGGATGTGGAGCTCCAAAAAAGTTTTATTATCAGAAAATTGTCATTATTTGACCTAACTGGCAGCTCCTTGGAAATCCCCAACACACACGCACATACACAAGATCGTGTTTATTTGATTTTACTTAGAACTGACTGTTGCTCAGTGACAACAGCTACTTCTCCACGGTGTATATATATATACATATATATATACACACACACATATATATATACATATATATATGTATATATATTTGGCAATATAAGAGGCAATTATTTAACATGAGAGCTGCCTGAGTTGATGATAAAAATTGGATCAAACAAAAGCATGACTAACAACTTAGAAGGCGAGCCAGAGAAAGAGCTATTCATAGGAAACTTTGGAAAGCTCCAACATATTTCTGAAAATCTAGAAGGCCAGGCACATGCATAGGTTGCTTGCATGCCTGGGAGAAGGCCCTAAGTCTCACCAGAGTGACTTTAAAGTTCTTTGCAAGTAGGAAGTGAATTCTAAGGCAGGATTCTAAACCACCAGTGTTGCAGTTTGCCCCAATATGCACACAAAGGCTCTAAGCAAATGATGAGAGATTGAGTCAAGTGAGACTTTTAACAAAATCTCTGTCCAGTAATTTGCTGTCACCTAAGTTAACTGAGTAGAGACTAGAGTGGCCACACATGAAAAAGAATACAGGCTTTACAGAATTGACTCAAAAGTCACTTTAAAAAAAAGCAACAATAACAAATCCTGGAGATAGGGAGGAATTTTGATTTCCAGACTTGCCAAATTACACTATTTAAATGTCTATTTTTCAACAAAAATCATGAGACAGGCAAGAAACAGGAAATGCTGGTATAAACACTAATGTTAATATCAGGAGCAAGACAAGATTATCCACTCTCATTTCTATTCAACAAAAGACAATAAAATAAATAAATATTGGAAAGGAGAATCAAAACTGTCTTTACTTGCAGATAGGTCCGTATATAAGACATGATCTTACATATACAGAAAATGTTAGTGAGCATAAAACAACCTGTTGGAACTTAATAAATGAATTCAGTAAGGCTGCAGGATAAAAGATCAATATACAAAAACCAATTGTATTTCCATACACAAGCAATAAACAACCAAAAATGAATTTTTAAAAATAGTTGCATTTACAATATATCTAAAAAGATGAAACACTTGATAATACATTTCACAAGTACAAGACTTGTACAATGAAGACTACAAAATAGTGTTGAAATAAATAAGACCTAAATAACTGGAGATATCCCATATTTATGGATCATAAGAATATTGTTAAGATGTCAATTATCCAAAACAAATCTACAGATTCAACACAATCCCTATCAAAATCTCAGCTGATCTTCTCATACAGAGTAACCTATCTATATAGAAAAAAATATGAAAATGCAATGGACCCAAAATAGCCAGAACAATCTTGAAAAACAATATATTTAGACAACCCACACAACCTGATTTTAAAACTTAAAAAGCTGAAAAGCTACAATAACCAAGAAAGTGTGGTACTTGTATAAGGCTATATAAATATAGTCAAATATAATTTGGAAGCCAGAAATAAACTACTATATAATGGTCAATTGATTTTAAACAAGGATATCAAGGCAATTAAATGGGGAAAAATAGTCTTTTTAAGAAATAGTGTTGAGACAAGTAGATATTTACTTAGAAATCAATGAAGCTGAACCCCCACCTTAAGTCATATGCAGAAATAACTCAAAATGGCTCATAGACATAAATGTCAATGCAAAATTTAAAGTACAATTTTAGAAAAAACAAAAACATAGCTGTAAATTGTTGTGACCTCAGATTAGGCAATAATTTCTTAATGAATGATAGATATCAAATGCCCAAGTGACCCAAAAGAAGTAGATCAATTAGGTTTGATTAAAATGTTTTGAAAAACTGTGCTGCACAATCAGGAAAGTAAAAAACAACCTACAGAATGAGAGAAAGTATATGCAAATCATACACTTGGTAAGGATAAGGTATCAAGAAAAAAACAGGTTACATTTCTATCTAGATGGACACTCCCAGCTGATGAACTCATTAGCCAAAAGATAATTGCAAGTAACCCAGTTAAGCAACGAGTAAAGTATTTGAATAGACAGCTCTTCAAAGAAGATATACAAATGACCAACGATCGCAAGAAAAGATTCTCAATACCATTTTATTAGTCATTAGGGAAATGCAAATCAAAATCACAGTGAGCTATCTCTTCACAATCACCATAGCGACTAAAATAAAAAAGATGACACTATATGATATGAAAGATGTGGAGAAATTGGAAGCCTCAAATATTCCTGTTGGAATTGTAAAATTGTGCAGCCATTTTAGAAAACAGTTCAACAATTTCTGAAAATGTCAAGAACAGGGTGTTATCATATCACGTACCAATTTCACTCCTAGACTTACACCTGAGAGAATTGAAAGTATATGTTTATACAAACCCTGTACACGAATGTTCCTAACAGCATTATTCTTAACAGTTAAAAGTAGAAAAACCCAAATGCCTATCAACTAATAAATACTTAAATAAAATATGATCTATCCATACCATAGAATGTTATTTAGTAATAAAAAGGAATGAAGCACTGATACACACTGCAACATGAGCCAACGTTGAAAATATTATGCTAAAGGACAGAAGCCACGTATGGGACATGCAATGAATGATCTCATTTATATTGAATGGCCAGAATAGGCAAGTCTCTAGATACACAATGTAGATCACTGGTTTCCAGGAGATGGAGGAAGGGGTAAGTTGGGAATGTATGCCAACGTGTACAGGCTTCTTTCTGGAATGATGAGAATGTTCCGAAATTTGATAGTGGTGATGGTTGTCCACTTCTGTGAATACACTAAAAACCATTGAATCATACACTTTAAAAGGGTGAACTTCAGGGTATGTGAATTATATTTCAATAAAACTGTTATTGGGGAAAAAAGATGGTGCGATGGGCACTCTCTGGATCAAGGAACAGAAGAAAGACACTGCAATCCTTGTTACAACAGAGTGACATGGAAATGGGCTGGTGATGGGAGTTTCCTTCAGAAGCTTCACCTCAAATCTGTCTGACATTAGGCAATAATACGGTCCTTATTTGCTCAAAAATAAATTTTCAGTGATACGCATCTTATCTTTACCCTTTAGGTTTTTCTGGGTAACATTTTACAGTAATCCACATGGTCCTCTTTTGCTGCCTGATCTCTCACATTCTTTCCTAAGTTATTGTGGGGGGCCCTGCAAAACACAAGCATTGAACAGGAAAGTTGTTCTTAAGCACAATCTTGATATTATACTTTTTTATCTGTAATTGCAAATTCAGCATAAATCTCTGTTTTATCACACTAATGATTATTATAATTTGCTTATTTTAAACCCGATTATTTTTCAATTAGAAACTCAAATGATTTCCCAAGTTCCTACGTTCACCCTTAAATGGCAGAGGCACTCCACATAGACAATTTCAGTTACAATTTAAAATACTGTGTAATGAGGATTTTTAAATGTTAATTAAAATATTGTGATAAGAAAACCAAACTTATTAACGATAAGATGATAAATATCCAATTATTTCTTGACAAAAATCTCTACCAGCTGCTTTTAATATTTCATGAATATGTGAAAGAAACAGAATAGAGGAGTTTTTTAAGACTTTTTTAGAACTTTTGGTAATTTCCCTCTATCCTCCAAAAACTGACAGTTCATTCACAATCTGCTTGGTCCTGTTATTAGCAGGTTAAGCAGGGAAAGGACTTTGAGGCTGTAGAAACAATATATGTAAGGGGACTGAGGACAAGGATGAAAACAACTCCAGAGAACTCAGATTCGTTCAGTATAATTGGGATCCAAGTTATATAAAGAAAAGCACCATGTACCTTATTATTTATCTCATTTAACCCTTTAATAAAACCTGTAAGCTTGACATGATACATGTACACTAAATACATGTACATTATACATGCACATTAATCATTAGTGTGATAAAACAGAGATATGCTGAATTTGCAATTACAGATAAAAAAGTATAATATCAAGATTGTGCTTAAGAACAACTTTCATGTTCAATGCTTGTGTTTTGCAGGCCCCCCCACAATAACTTAGGAAAGAACGTGAGAGATCAGGCAGCAAAAGAGGACCATGTGGATTACTGTAAAATGTTATCATCCAGAAAAATCTAAAGGGTAAAGGTAAGATGCGTATCACTGAAAATCTATTTTACATTATACATTATACATGGCTCAGCCTGAGAGGTGGCTTGCACCAACTCACAAAGCCCTGAATGAGTAGAGCTGAGTCTCAAACTCATTCTCATCATTCCAAGTCTTCTGTACCATAAAGAAGAGTCTTTGTCTCTACCATGGCTTCCTCTCAATGTTACTGCTGTGAAGAAAAGGTCCTGAGCAGACAGAGTTGTAAAATGAACAGAGGATTGAAAAACAAGGGACACCAGATTGGATGAAGGATCTGTGTCTCACTCTTTCCTCACAACTTTGTGGCTGATGCTGCTTTCCTGGGCTCACAGATCCCATCCTTATGGGAACCTACTGAACTAAAGGGGTATTTCAGGTTGTGTTTCTGAATAGATGGACACCTCAGCAGGTGAACCCTTTGGCTAAAAGATAATTCAATGCAATGATCGATGACTATGCCATGACTGACTTGCTATTTGATGAATGATCAGAGTATCTTGCTGACCAGAGTTGAAATAGATGTTCACACAGAGACAGCCCCAAACTTTCAAATTAAGCCATCTCTTAGTAATAGTTCAGTATATGTCAAAATTTTTTAAACCAAAACTGAGGAATAGGAAAGAAGTATTTGAATGTGAGGAAAAAACACCACTTACATCACTGATCAGTCTTTCAAAGTAGAAATTAAAATATTCATGAATATTCTCTATGAGCCTTTCCTAAAGGCTGCATACCCAGCAGTGAATTAGTGTTCTGTTAAATAAATAAAACATAAAAGGCCCAGTTCACCTGCACTATAGCCAGCTAGTAAAATTCAGAACATATGAGGGGGACAAAAAGAAGTAACAGACCAACACAAGTGAATAATTAAAGGAGTTGTGAAGTGTTAAGAATGGTGGACCAAGGCTACACCATTTATGGCCTGTGAGACTTCAAACATGCTACTTAGCATCTCTAACTCAGTTTTCCTGTCTAAAAAATGGGGATGATACACTCAATTGCTTATTTTGTTATTACCATAAATGCTATTATGTATACAAAGCATCTCACACAGCTTTTGATAAATATTAAATGTTCGATAAAAGCTAATCATTATTTAGCAATTGAGAAATTATTTGTAATTGCAGCTAAAATGTTTGTTATCTCAAATAAGTCCTTCATCCTTGGTTAGAATCTGGTTAATATAAATGTCACAATCAATCTAGACAGAGCATCCTAAAATCTTCTGGCCTCAATTGAAAGAATCCAAAAGTTTGTGTAATAGCATACGTCACTTTGCCTGTCTGATTATCCATACGCTCATCAGGGTTTTGAGCATTTTTTACCTTCTTACTTCTTTTGGTATACTAGATTAGTCAAACATCTGCCCTTGTGTGCTGATGAGAGTAACTTGAGCTAGGACACAAATTACCTTGACACCCTGTTCCAGAGATCAGAAATGCTATTTTCACGTATCTGCTAATAGCTGTCCTCCCCAGTAGTGCCCATGTGACCTTTAAATATCACAGAAGCTAAGTGTCAAAGGAGAATAATAATGCCATTTTAATTGATTGGTAAATTATTGAGCAGCGTTGGCTAATACTCCGTAACACCTCTTTCCTCTCCCTTTCCCACTCCATCTTACTGGAACAAATCATTATGCTCTCTGGAGGGTTCCTGCTTTTCTTACATGTGAATCTATGATCCATTTGACCCTGTCTGCTATGATGTAACATATAGGTTAGCTGAAAGAATGTGGAGATAAATGTAATGCAAAATAACTGTGAAAATTGTAAGCTAAAAAATGTCCTTGTAGACTACATTTCACTGCAGTTCTAACCAGTCAGAGCAAAATGTAATACTACTTTGAATTTTTTTATTGCTATTTTTTAAACAATAAGTTGAAAGTTTCTTTGATCAGGATTTTTTGGAGTTTTGGAATGTCTGATGTTGGGAGTGATAACAAAACTTTGATACTGGTCACAAGTGAGTGACTGTATAACCCTGGTCCCATTACATAGCATTACTACTTTTGGAAACATTTGTTTATAGAAATCCAAACATCCACCCAGCCCCCTCGATCATGCCCCTCTCTGCATTATCCTGTTTCTCCTCTGATGAGATCCTTCAAGGTAACATCTCTACAAAATGCCCAAACCTTGCAGTTCTCCCTTCCATGAACACTCACATCCATCACCCCCAATAACATATGCATGGAACAGCTTGGGATGACCCCAAATCCTCTCAGATTCCTTTGCCCTGTGTAGTGCGTTGTCTTCTCTTAAGATGCTATAATGTGTATTTTTTACTTCCTTAAAAATTTAATTCTACCTTCATGTCTTCTGAAAAAAATTTCTTGGGCCCCTTACTTTGTGTTTGGTGTTCCATGACACTCTGGGCCTCCTCCCTAATGTAACCATGGTGCTGTGATACTCATTTTTGTGTTTCCCTCCCCCATTTGTCTCTAGACTCATTTTGGGGATGAGAAGGATGAAAAGCACACTCATCCCTGTAGCCTCAGTTCCTTGCTCAGAGCCTTTGGTGTGTTAAGCATTCAGAATCATTTGTGGAAAGACTAGATGAAAGAGCAAGTGAATTAATGAACAAATGATACTTTTTCAGAGTGTCAGGCTGTTCATCTTCCTAGACTTTCTTTACTTACTGCTACCATTAAATAGTATTTTAGAATTCAAAACCCTTCAACAGTATCTGAAGAGGAAAGAAACTATGTTTCTTTACATCTGTCTGTCTAAAAATCAAGCAAGAAAGTCCATGCAAAAAAGATGAGAGGAAAGCAGTGACCACGTGATAGCTTAGCCTGCAGAGTGTTAAAAATATGTGTCCTCATAGACACACTTCCGGTGCTGATGTGTCTCTGTGGCCTTCTTCCTGGCTTGATTATGAAATTAGCTCATTTAACAAATAATTCAACCCCTACATCTTATACAAGCTCAGCATTACGATGTTCGGATTTAGAGCACGCTGGGAGCAACACCCAGGAGATGAGGTCTATGGTGGATTCAGAGGGTGCGCACATGCTCAGAAATGAATTAAAATGCAAAACAGCGGGGCAGCATCAATGCAGTGGGGTCAAGATGGCAAAACAGGAACAGAAGCAGAATAAAAAGTCCAGTAATTACTCGCTGTGTAACACTGGATAAATTAGTCCCTCTGAGGCTTATCTGAAAATGGGAATAATGATACCTAATTCACAGCAAGCTGATGAGGATTATTGAACCTGTGTGGCGGAATTGGAAATATGTTTGAAATTATTAGCGCAAGCAATATGACAGTTACCGAATGCCTTCTACCTGTCTGATAACAAGATAATCAAGAACAACTTAACTTCCCAATTCAGCTCAGGAACAGTTCTGTATGTGACCACGCATGTTTGGTCCAGTGTTTCTGACTTTGAGAAGTTGAAAGTCTTGCAAGGCAGGCATTGCCAATAAGATCGTACTTCTTCCTACAAAATGGGCAGGAGATTTGTGGAACACTTTCTCCAACTGGTCACTAACACTTAAGAAAAGGTGTTCTCTCCTTGAAAGCAGACTGACTGACTTGTCTTGATTCTTCGAGATTTCCCTCGGCGTATTTATCTGTGGGTGTGAAGAGGATTCCAACAACAGCTCAGAAGTCCAGTGCTGATCTGTAAGCCTCCAGAGAGTTAAGGCTTGTTCTTCACTACTGAGCCCCAAGGGATAAGAGATCTGGGCTCTGATGGCCCCCATGGGCCATGTATAAAGTGTAGAAAATCTTTCCAACTTATGTGTAAGAAACACAAATGGAGGAGATAGAAATTCTGGCCCTCTCATGGCCCAGTTACCAGGAACCAATCAGAAGACCAAAACCAAACAAATAAATAAATAAATAATAAAAATAGAGTAAAGGAATAAAAAGTATCTCATATAGCACTTGATTCTCCTTTTCAGCCCATATCCACCAGTGAGAATGATGATAGTCAACTCAGATAACCTGCAAGCTGCAGAGTCACCTGTCTGCTCTGCCTCTGTCAATTGGTTGCAGGCTGGCAGTCTAGATGGCAGTTGATTATGTCTCCATTCCATATTTACAGCATCGAATGGGGAGGGAGAGTTGTGCAGAGGGATTTGACATGGGCTTGAGTAGCTAATACAATTTCCAGCTTCACAGAAGCTAAACCATGGATCCCTTTAATGTCAGATGCAACAACTGACCCTGAACATTTGCTAAATGCCAGACACCAGTTCTGGCATTGGGATACAGAGGGGAAGCACCATGGTTTGGTTAAAGGCTGAGACTCTGAAGGCTGTTTGCCTGGAAAGAGCCCTGTCTTGCCCATAGGCATGTTGTAAGGTTTGCGCAACCCACTTCCACTCTATGCCTCAAATCCCTCATCTGTAAAATGAAGATAAGAAAAGTGTCGCCCACAGGTTTGTTGCAAGGATAAATGAATTCATACAAATTAGGGGCTTAGAACAATGTTTCATAACTTCTCAGGAAGTCATAGCTATTATAAAAATCAATGAAGAGAAAGATAGGCACAGTCCTTCTGCTTCCTCTAACCTCCACTGAGCTCCAGATACTGACCTGCCCATGGACCATCCCTCCTCTCCTCCCCTGATGTGCCATTTGGTGCCCCTCTGCCTATCTTTGCCTTCATCGGTGGCCTTGAATTCTGTGTGCTGGTGTAGCTGGCTCCACGTCCTGCATCACCATCCTCCTCAATACCTGGTCCTGCAGGTGTCCTCCCAAACTCAGCTCCTTCCTCTCAATCTACTCAGGTATGGCATTTCCAGGCTCTAATTCTGACAGCCTCTGTCTTCCTTTCTATGACCTCAGATCCATCACTTACCATAATATGACCTCCATTCTTTATCTATAATAGGGGATCTAGAAAAGCAATTTATCTAAGATCATTTTCAACTTCAACTTCTTGTGTTTTATGACTATAATCTGTGAATCATAGAAAAATTCCAGTTTCACCTACTGAATCTAAGACAAACCCAGTAGACACTTCCTGAACATGGAAGTAAAGTTTGATATTATCAAGCTAGAGGGCTCTGGACCCAGGTCATGAAGAAAGAGGCATTTCTCCATGGCAAATCAAGGCTTCACTACCATAGGGTGAGCCCAACTCAGGGTCAAAGGAAAGCCAAGGCCAAAGAAAAGTGGCCTGGCCACGTGGGCTTGACCTGGCTAAGAAAATGCAGGTTAACAATGAGTCAGATGCTGAGACAGCAAGCAACACAAGAGGCGACCTGGAAGCACGTGCTCTAAGAAAAAAAGCAGTGAACACTAGGGAATAAAAAGGAAGAGGAGAGGAAGGGAGGGGAGGGGAGGGAGGGAGGGAAGGAAGGAGGGACAGAGGGAAGGAGGGAGGGAAGGAAGGAGGGACAGAGGGAAGGAGGGAGGGAAGGAAGGAGGGACAGAGGGAAGGAGGGAGGGAAGGAAGGAGGGACAGAGGGAAGGAGGGAGGGAAGGAAGGAAGGAAGGAGAAAAGGAAGGGAGAAGGAAAAGAAAAAAGAAAAAAGAAAAACATATCTGAGTAACTCTTTGAGTTAGAGGTTATTCATAGGCAAAGATTTTATTTTCAAAGAGATGAACAGAGCTAGGAAGTGCTGCTTTCATTCCCAGGATAAGAAAAATCACAATTCAGTCAGAAATCTGAAAGACAAAAGTACTGAAAAACAGAAGACAAAATCTCCTTCTGGATCTCATAGCATCAAGGTCCTGGGGCATGTGTGTGTTGGGATGGGAGCAGGGTGCAGGCACAAACTCTTAAGCTGGAGTCAAATGAGATAGATATATTTTAAAATTTTATATATATATGTATATATATATTTTAAAATTTTATATATATATGTATATATATATTTTAAAAATTTATATATATATATATATATACAAAAAAAAATTCAAGATGAAAATAATTTAGAAAACATTAAATAGTGTTGAGCCTGAATCAGGAGCCCTGATGTTTTGTTGTTTCTTTCTCCTTTTAGCCTCAATATGATCATTTTATAAATCTCCACAGTATTCGATACTTTAATTTTCTTCCCTGTGTACAAGACAATTTGTTTTCAGATTGAAGTAACATCTGTTTCTGTAGATAATTAAGTTATTAGATGCTGATCAATTTAATAAAGCCACAAGGCTTTCCTGACCTCTTTATGCATAATCAATGAATTTAGATGCAAAATGTGAAAACCTTACTTTTTAAAAAGTGAAGAAAATCTTCCATTAACATAGTCATTTTGTAATTACTTGATACTTGCAATCAGATGGCTATGCAAACACAACATTCTGGAAACACAGATTATTCAATCATTTCAGGGTAGCAAGAGAAAGGCCTGGGAAATGGTTGATCTTCCTTTTGTCCTTGAACCAACAATTTCCATCCTTTATTACCTGAAGTATGTTTATTTTATACCTACTACAGTTAAAGTTTCTATTCCACCTGCTATAACAGGTATCACTTCTAGAGTGTTCTAGACATTTTGCATACATCCTTCACTCAATCCTTTCAGTAATCTTACAAGTAATTATTAATAATTATTAATATACCTACACTTTACAGATGGCTGAGAGAGGAGGTAACTCATGGGGTCTTCCAAGGTGGTGTCAGAATTTAAACTTCAACCCCTGGACTCTGGTCTCCATCCTAAAACAAACTCTTTCAAATATTTATTGCACCACTAATTGGACAAGTTTCTTCAGGGATATTACCTCTGTCCTCAGCTTCTTGTATGTTGGTCTGTGATAGTATTTGAAGAAGCAAGCAGCATTGATTCCCATAGATTTTGAGACATTATTCAAGGTCCAGAATTCTCTGTTTCCAGAGTTTCGTCAGTTAGCAGATAGATCAACTTTACTACATTCAGTGGGAATAGATTCTCAAGTTGACAGGGATGCCAGTGAAATAATTAATCAGGAATTAGATTAAACAGTGCGGGTAAGACTTGCACCATGATCATCTTCTCGTCATTTGAGAAATTAGAAAATTTCTATTTTAAAGCCGAAATACAGTTTACAACTTTAAACTTAACTTGGGTGCCAAACAAACATGGGAATGAATATAAATTAGCACAAAAGCCTATTTGTATTTTTGCTGTCAGATTGAAGATGTTTCTGTTTCATTTAAGACATTCTTTTTTTTATTTATGACATTAACAAAGGTAATAACAATAAAAGCCGCAAAACACAGTATAATTGACAAGACAGAAGACATGTGGATGTGAAGTTACTTCACTTAATGTCCTTTGAGCCTCTTTCATCAAATGTGAAAATCAAAGTGCTACCTGTCTGTCACATACAATTATTTTGTAGATCAATGAGAGAGTGTATAATGCAGATACTCTGAAAAGTATAAAGAGCCTGATCAGTATGAAGTATTATTCAGTAATAAATTGTTTTGTTAATTTCCATGTGACTTTAGACCTCCATCTAATGCAACTCATCACTTTCATGTGCTCATCTAAAATCAATTAACAATGATTTCCTTCAGTGAAGTGCAGATGAAGCTGTACTTTTATTAGTAAATACATTTTTTGTCAAAACAGCAATGTAAATGAAACACTAACTCCTAACTTTGCTAGTTGCTCTTCCATGCTCTACCACCATGCCACATCTTTCAGAGGCAGTATGACAGAGTATGGCCACAGTACCATGTTACCTTCTTTTTTATTTTATTCAACTATAGTATTAGAATATATAAGTCTTTGGAATTATTAAGTGGTGCCTACAATTTGACATGTAAATGAATCTTACTCTAGGCATTTAATATAAAGAAGATTTAACATATAATTTTAATACTAAATATTAGATACTGTTTTAAAGATGAATAATCTTGGCAGTGAATTCCTATGACCATGTAGTACTATAGGTAAATCCCCAATTAGCCCTGACATTTTTGTCTTATAAATTTGCAATTTTATTTTTGGTATTTCTGGGTTCCATAATATGAAACACATCTGTATATATAAAGTTTATTTATTGTTTTCTTATAATGACTTTCATTTATTTTTTGCATGTGAGATGACAGAAATTCCTTTTTGTGTTGGGTAGGGTACTGAAAAATTGAAATGAATCGTTAAGAAAAAAACATAAACAAAACTTTTTTGGAGCTCTGTGACTCTTCTTGATAAATAGGAAAGATGGGCGTAATTCCTGGATAACTCTTCACTTAAAACAGTCTGGATTTTAGCAATAAGACTTTGTGCCTGTTGCCCTGGTGCTCCATCTGGTTTAGCACCATTCCACTGACTCTTCAATCTTTCATTATATTTTTAAATTAAGATATAACTTACATACAGGAAGGTCAAAATTCTTAAATGTACAGCTGAATATGCTTGTACATTCACACACATGTGTGTAACTGCTGCCCAAGTAAAGGCATAGAAAACTGTCCCAGCCCCATTAAAAACTCCTTGGGCCTCTTCTAGTTGATGGCCCCTCCACAGGAAATCAATATTCTGCCCTCCAACACAATAGATTAGTTTTGCCTGATTTTGAACTTGATGTAAGTGGAACCATAACCAAGTAATACTGCTAAAGTTACATTAAAATAGGCCGGGATGCATTTGTCAGACCTCCACTTGGTACTTCCAGCTTCTTCCACGGTCTGCTCTGGTCATGTATAAGACACGTGCAGAAAATAATTCTCACTTTATGCATGATTACATTTGAAAGATGATCAGACATATGCATTTTTCTACTCCACATCCCTTCCAGACACAGGTTAACTAATAACCACCTTTCAAGGAGACTATGCAGAGGACACACATCAAAACAAAGTGCCCATAGGCAGAGGCCAATGACCACATCGAATTCCCTCAGCAATCAGGATGTGGTATGCAGAAGTATTCATTGCTGTTGTCCCTGATGGTCACTTGTCCCTGATGGCCCCTGTTGCAGTCAGCAAGATGAACAGAGCCACTAGTCCTGTACTAAGAGTGTCAGTGGGAAGTGAGGGGAACTTGCTGTTCAAGTATACATGAACTGTGGTGAGGTAAAACAGAAGTGCTGAACAAACCTGCTGTAGAGATGTATAGAGATTAATGTGAGCAGTCTTGATCATGTATTATATGCATATAATTACAACTATTCTAGCCAGAAATAGGCTGTGTGTCCCAACAAGGGCTCTGTCACTTAACATGCCTCGGCTCATCTTGACTCAGCTTGGATAGTTTCTGGCTCTACCAATGAACAATCGGTCACTCAGGTCATATTTTTGGTAATTTTTGCTTCTGTTTAATCATGTCTTCTCTATACTCATTGCCCATAATTATTTATTAGTGTGTAAGAACCCTAAAACTCACTGACGTAAAACAACCATTTATTATGTTCTATGATTTTGGGGGGTATCTTGGCTGTGATGCATGGTTTTTTGGCACCATGCAGCATTGACTTTTTTGCATTCGGCTACCCTAGGTTGTGAGGTCTAAGAAGTTTTGTCTCACACATCCGGTATCTCAGTACTTCTCCATACATCCTCTTCTCCTTCACTATCTTGGGCTTTTATGGTGGTTGCTGAGTACTTAGACATTTTACTTGGCAGACTGCAACAAGAGCAGAAGTGGAAGATTCCAGGCTTCCTCTTATTATATTCATCAAAATAAGTGATAAGGCAAACATAGATACATGGGACAATGAGGAATAGATTCTGTTTCTTTGTGTGTCAGACAAGCATTCACATACAAAGAGAGAAGGGTTGATGATGCATCTTTGGAGAATGAAGCACACCTCATTTTATTGCATTTCCTTTATTTCACTTCAAAGATATTGCATTTTATTTTTACAAATGGAGGGTTTGTGGCAACCCTGCATTGAGCAAGTCCATTGGCACCATTTTTCCAAAAGCCTGTGCTCATTTCCTGTCTCTGTGTCACATTTTGGTAGTTATCACAATATTTCAAACATTTTCATTATATCTGTTAGGGTGATCTGTGATCAGTGATCTTTAATGTTACTATTGTAATTGTTTTTGGGGACCGCAAACCACATCCATATGACATGGCAAACCTAATCAATAACAGTTGTGTGTGTTCTGAGTGCTCCACCAACAGGCTCTTCTCTATCTCTTTCCCTCTCCTTCGGCCTCCCTATTCCCTGAGACACAACAGTGTTGCAATTAGGCCAACAACACAATGGCATCTAAGTGTTCAAATGAAAGGAAGAGTCACATGTCTCTCACTTTAAATAAAAAGCTAGAAATGATTAAGCTTAGTCAGGAAGGCCTGTCAAAATCTGAGATAGGCTGAAATCTAAGTCTCTTGTGCCAAACAGTTTGCTAAGTTGTGAATGCAAAGGAAAAGTTATTGAAGAAGAGTAAAAGTGCTACTCTAGTGAACGTAAAAATAAGAAAGCAAAACAACCTTACTGGTGATAAGGAGAAAGTTTTAATAGTCTGGAGAGATCAAACCAGCTACAGTCCCTTAAGCCAAAACCTAACATAGAACAAGGCCTTAACTCTTTTCTATTCTATGAAGGTTGAGAGAGGTGAGGAAGCTGCAGAAGAAAAGTTTGAACCTAGCACGGGTTGGTTCATGAGATTTAAGGGAAAAAGCTGTTTCCATAACACAAAAGTGCAGCTGAAGCAGCAAGTGCTGGTGTAGAAGCTATAGCGAGTTATATAAGATCATTGATGAAAATGGCTACAGTAACAACAGATTTTCAATGTAGACAAAAGAGGCTTATGTTAGAAGAAGATGCCATCTTGTACTTTTATAGCAAGAGAGGAAAAGTCAATGTCTGGCTTCACACCTTCAAAGGACCGGCTGACTCTGTTATTAGAGGCTGAGGCAGCTAGTGACTTTAAGTTAAAGCCAATGGTCATTTATCATCCTGAAAATCCTACATCCCTTAAGAATTATGTTAAAGCTCCTCCATCTGTGCTCTAGAAATGAAACAACAGAGCCAGAGTCACAGCACATCTGTTCATAGGACTATTTGCTGTAATATTGTAAGCTCATTGTTAAGACCTGCTACTCAGAAAAAGTGATTCCTTTCAAAGATCACTGCTCATTGACAATGTTTCTGGTCACTCAAGAGCTCTGATGAAGATGTACAAAGAGATTAGTCTTGTTTTAATGCCTGCCAACACAACATCCATTTTGCAGACTATGGATCAAGGAGTAACTTTGACCTTCAAGTCTTATTATTTAAAAAATAAATCTTCTAATGCCCTAGCTACCATAGATAGTGATTTCTCTGTCTGAGCAAAGTAAATTGAAAACCTTCTGGAAAAAATACAACATTCTTGATGTCATTAAGAATATTTGTGATCCATGGGAAGAAGTCAAAATATCAAACTTAACAGGAGTCTGGAGGAAGTTGATTCCAAACCTCTTGAATGACTTTGGGTGATTCAAGACTTCAATGACAGAAATAACTCCAGATGTGGTAGGAATAGCAAGAGAACTAGAATTAGAAGTGGAGCCTGAACATGTGACTGGATTGTTGCAATCTTGTGATAAAATATTAATGGATGAAGAGTTACTTCTTGAAGATAAGCAAATAAAGTGACTTATTGAGATGGAATGTACACGTAGTGAAGACGCCATGAACATGGTTGAAATGACAAAAAAGCATTTAGAATATCCCATAAACTTAGTTTATAAGGCAGTGGCAGGGTTTTAAAAGATTGAGTTTAATTTCAAAAGAGGTTCTACTGTGGATAAAATGCTAGCAAAGTGCATTACATGCTACAGAGAAATCTTTGATGATAGGAAGAGTCAATTGATGCAACAAACTTTATTGTATTATTTTAAGAAATTGACAAAGCCACCCCAACCTTCAGCAACCCCACCTTCATTAGTTAGCAGCCATCAACATCTAGACAAGACCCTCCATTAGCAAAAAGATTAAGACTTCTTAAAGACTCTGATGACCATTAGCATTTTTTACCAATAAAGTATTTTTAGTTCAGGTATGCACATTGTTTTTATAGATATAATGCTATTGCACACTTAGTCTACAGTATAATGTAAACATAACTTTTAGATGCACTGAAACAACAAAATTGTGTAACTTGCTTTTTTGCAATATTTGTGTATTGTAGTGGTCTGGAACCAAACCCACAATATCCCCAAGGTATGCCTATAATTTAATTTATTCCTGAGTTTTCTGTGATGGGTTGCTTTTATCCCATCTCATAAAGAGAGAGACTTCAGTTTAGCAAAAGACACTTTTAAAGAGAGAACATTAAAAACTGTGTAACTGTATAATCAATGCCTCATTTTGGTTCATTAGTCAAGAGACAACATGCACAGAGTAGGCTATTCAAGCCGTGTGCCTTGATCATTGCATTTTTCTGAGGGAAATGACCACTTCCACAAACGGCTGCTCTAATGAAGCAATCCATGCCTGCCCTGTTCTTACCTCTGGGGCTACAGATGGTTGGTTGATAAGCAGTATCAAATTCAGGAATAATTAATTCATATAAACTGATCAATGGCATATAAGGGGCTTTTATTTTTTTTGAAAGTTGATCCCACATAGGGGAGAAAGGAATTAACTTAATTATTACTCTGAAGAATTTGAACCAAAGATGTTAGACTCTTTAGCTGATTAGGGAAAAAGGAAAAGCTAAAGAACACACATAGAGAAGTTGGAAACTGTGGACCATGAGTAAGCTGTAGTCAGGCAGAGCCATGAATATGTGTGTTGGAATTCTGAATAATCAATCACAACTTTACAGGAGAATGTGGGAATAGTGAGTGGTAGAAATAGGAGGGGACATGTGAGTGATGATGTAATTTTATTAGATTGGTGATAATTAAAAAGGGTTTAGCTTTCTGCGAATTTATTAAATAAAATAAAATTATGTTAATTTATTTTTGAAATAAAATATCTATTTTGTGTACTTTCCTGTATATTTGATATATCAATTTAGAAAAATTAAAAACATGATGTGCTGTTTTTACATACAGGAACATGAATGAGGACTCTAGACAGAGAGAGAAACATAAGCCAAGGAAGAGATGATAAGTAGCAAAGCCCTCACAGGAAATTTCAAAGACTTCATCATGAACAGACATGAGAGGATACAATACAGTAGAATTTCACTTTTTTTTAAGAATAGGAATCTTTAGCTGTATGAAGCTCAATTGAGAACACAAGTAATGAACATCATTATTCTCCAGATTTTTAATATCACATACCTATCAGTAAATATTCTGTGCATGTGCCCTCTGTATATTGATTTTGTAATTCATAAATCTTATACATACTATTGCTAATACACAATATAATTTTGTGCATGTTTTATGTGCATCATAAAACATATATAAAAATAGAACGTCATAAAGAAACACATGAGTAGAAATTTTACCATTTTCTTTTAGCGCCTCAGATCACCTTTAGCATGCCTCTTTGGAGAGTGGACTATGAAGTCAGCCTGAACAGAGTTTCTCCATGGTTCTATATATTAATTTAAGGGCAGAATCCTTGTTATAAGAACTAACCTTTGAAAGCACTCAGAGGAAGACAGCGTGAGTCTTTGACAAGCATCCATCCATCCATTTTAATTAGAAACACCTCTTCCTTGGATTTACTTTTTGGTAGAAAGTTCATGGAGGAAATAAATCTTGATTTGAGTCTTGAGAGGCTCGTTAAATTGTTAAAGGAACAATATCAAACCAGCGATGGTTTGGATGTTTGTCCTCTCCAAATCTCATGTTAAAATCGGATCCCTACTGTTAAAGGTGGGGCCTAGTGAGAAGTGTTTGTGGGGAGATACTTAATGAATAGATTAATGCCTTTTCTCCAGGGCGAGTTAGCTCTCACTCTTAGTTCCCTCAAGAGCTGGTTGTTAAATATAGCCAAGCATCCCCACTCCCACTTCTCCTGCTTCCTCTCTCCCCATGTGATCTCTACACACACCTGCTCCCTTCACCCTCCACCATGAATAGATGCAGCCTGAGACCCTCACCAGATGCAGATGCCCAATCTTAAATTTTCTATCCATCAGAATTGTGAACCAAATTTTTTTTTAAATAAACCACTAGCTTCAGGTATTCTTTTACAGCAACACAAAATAATTCAGGTATAATACTAATTTAGTATATGAGTGGTGATGTAATTAGATTTCTTAACCTTGGTGATAATTAAAAAGGGTTTAGCTGGACACAGTGGCAAATACCTGCAGTCCCAGGGATTCTGGAGGCTGAAGCGGGAGGATCACCTGAGTCCCAGGAGTTAAAAGCCAGCCTGGACAACACAGTGAGACCTGGTCTCAAAAATAATTCATTTTAATTTAAAAATAAATAAACTAATCAAAAATTCAAAAATGTTTAGCTTCCTGTTGATTCATTGAGTGGAACATCGATGTTTTGTGCACTTGTCTATATATTTGATACATCAAAAGTGGAAATTTGAAAATGGAGAAGTTTGGAACATCTCAAGTCACAGATTCCATGGGGAAATAATGTTGAGGACATTTGTTAAAAACTATCATATATGCTTTCCTGGAAAGACTAGCAGGACAGCAAAACTATCTGGATAGTTGAAGAGTTAGTAATATGGCAAATAAGTGGGCTTCAACGTTAGGATTTTCATTTACATAAAACAAACAGGAGATGCACCTCATGCTACTACCACATAAATGAGTTTCATAGAGAATGTTTTAGAAGCTAGAGGAATCCTTTGAATTAGTTGCCATCTCTATATCAGCAGTGGCTGAATTATGCATGAAGGTAATAGTAACTGAAATGAAGACTCCACAGCTTGCTCAAAGAAAATAAAAAACATACAGTTTCAGAAAGATACAAACATATCTGCTCTTACTTAAATAATGCTGATAACATGCACATTTTACTTCAGTGATTAAACAGTATCTTAAGTCAGCACTTAAAAAAAAAAACACTACTTCTGGTTTCAGTTCTGACACATAAAATGCTTAAAAATCATCATACTCAATCCCAGCACTTTGGGAGGCCGAGGCAGGAGGATCACGAGGTCAGGAGTTCAAGACCAGCCTGACCAACACGGTGAAACTCCGTCTCTACTAAAAATACAAAACTTAGCCAGGCCTGGTGGCACACCCCTGCAATCCCAGCTACTCAGGAGAATCGCTTGAACCCAGGAGACAGAGGTCGCAGTGAGCCGAGATCGTGCCACTGTACTCCAGCCTGGGCGACAGAGCGAGACTCCGTCTCAAAAAAAAAAAAAAAAAAAAAAATCACTCATTCTTACAACAAGAAAAAGCAGAATAAACTGAATGTCAATAACTTCTTGGACTGACTGAAGTTTTAATACAAAGTGTTGCCCTGAAATCGTGAGAAACAGGTGACTCTAGAGAGCCACAGCTGAGTTCTTTTTACCTGGAGCAGAAGCTGCTGAATCCATTACCTGGGAAGAACACTTAAATGTTAACTTTTACAAATTTCTGGAGGTAAAGTGTTAAAAGAGAAAACAGCTGTTTTTCTCTATTTGCACAAAACACATCTGACAGGAAATTGGTGAGAATTTCCCTCACATTAAGCAATTCTCCAACTTTCAGGGAACCAAAGGGCGTCTTATAATTCAATTATGACACTAAATACCAAGAGTTAGCACAGACTCCACAGCTTAAGGGTTCAATCCCACAATATTGCCCCTGCTTCAGATGTCAGGTGCAAGTCCCAGGTTGTGACCTGTGTTTCTGACCAACCAGCTATAAACTGGGAGTTACCCTTCCCAGTTTTGGTAATTTACTAGAATAGCTCAAACATCTGAGGATGGCACTTTACTCACTATTCCCAATTTATTATAAGAGAAACCACGACTCGGGAGTAGGCAAACTGAAGAGATGCATGGGACACCGTAGGTGGGAGGGGCATGGAGCTTCCGTGCTGTCTCTAAGCATTACCCCTCCTAGCATCTGAATGAGTGTATTTGCCAACACAGAAGCCCTCTGAACCACATTACATAAAGTTTTAATGAAGATCTCATTATGTAAACATGGTCAATTAGATCATTGGTCATTGATGATTGGACCTAATCTCCTGCCCCTCTCCCTTCCATGGAATTCTAGAGGTGGGCCTAATCACGTAACTGATTCCTCCGGCCACCATCCACCATCCACCAAGAGTCAGCAATTTGTATAAATTCAGGTATTGTTGAAAAGGAATTATAATAAATAATGAAAGACATTCCTCTCACTCTATCACTTAGGAAATTCCAAGGGTTTTAGGACTCGGGGTGAAGTCCCCGAGTGCTAGACACTCGGGGTGAAGATCAAATATGTTCTTCTTCTTATATGAAAATTATCACAACTGTAAACTAATGTGAGAGACAGAAACTACTGGGGGTCTCTGCCCTAGAATATCCCCTGACTTTTGGGGTTTTTACCTCTAGAAATCCTACCAGGTTCTTACAATGAGGACCAGAGAAATATTTCCTTGTCGCTTTTTCAGGGGAAGGGAAAGAGAAACCATTGTGAAATGCTCAGAGTGGTATACATAACCAAAGACTGCATGCCAGAGGAAAATACTTTTACCAGAGCTTTATCCCATCTGGGGAAAGGTCATTTCTCCCACTCCACCCTTCTTCAGCCTTCTTGCCTCATCCATGATGGAGATAAGGTACCACTGGTGGGAGGAAACAAACTTGCAAAGTTCACAACTGAGAGACACAGGCTTACTAAAAGATGGAGATTTACTTTTTAATATTGTAGAACCCTTCTGCTTTGATTATTTCATTTCACCCTCTTGGTAAAAGAAGGCTTACACCTTAGAGTTAGGAGAATGTTAGAACATGCAACATCCAACATGGGACAGGTGAAATCAAAAGCAATTTACTAGTCACATATACCCACAGCCTAGAGGAGGAGGACATTGTAAGACATGCAAAGTCACGTGGCGTTTGTACTCAGTAATATATTGAATAAGCGGGGTCTATGGGTACCAGGCTTTGTACTATCAAGGGGGTTAAGGTGCCCTCTGGTTCCCACGGAAGATGTGATTGGCTTCTTCAAATTATTCTGCAGGCTGGCAGGGAACTGAAGCCCATGCAGCAATAGGCAAGCATTGTTACAAGAAAAACTTGAGACCATTACATCCTCCTCCAAATTGGGAAGAAACTGAGGGACCAAAGAATGACCCAGGCAACTCCAGCATGAAGAGTAGATGAACTTATTAGGACTTATATACAGGGCATTCCTGGACAGCAGTAGGACAGTCAAGAGGTCCACACCATCTCCTGACTCGAAACTGCTTTTAAGCTAATTTTCTAGTTCTTTGCCTACTGTGTTTGAGTGATGAAGCTGTTTTCTTTGGTAGGTTCTCAGAAACTCTCTGGGATGTTTGGGTTCTCAAGGACACCAGCTCTTTGGCTGAGCAACATAGCCTTGGCTCATTACCCAGCCTTCAGACTTCAGGCAGCCAAAGTACACCCTTAAGTAACCTGGTGGGGGACTCTTCATACTGTAAATGTCATGCTGTGTCACTGTGGCAAGGAGGGTTATTTGACTAGTGGACTTTATCCACAGGAGCACAATGGGTAAGGGGACTGTGATTAAAACATTCACAACATATCCAGTTTCAGGTGCCAGGTAGTACATGGTATTAATTTTAGGCCATGTACCACAACTTCCCTCCCCACATCTTACTACCACACCAACAGAGACTCAGTATAACAGTAGTGAATCACAAGTGAAACAGCTGCAAGAGACACACTCTCTCTGATGAGGGTGAGTGCTCAGGGAAGCTCACAGTCAAAATTGGAGAAAAAAAGACTCTAGAGAAACTTGAAGCCTTTGACACTCATAACTACAACAAACGTCAAACCCAGCACAACTCCTAGTCTGATTAAAATAAATTCTCACATTTTTCCCCAGTTTCTATTACCTGATGAACCATACCTGGTCTTCAACACAAAAAATTAGTTAGAATGTCAAAATATAAGAAAAAAATTGTGATGAAATGAAGCAAGCAGCAGAGCCAGGCTCAGATATGCCACAGACAATGAAATTATCAGAAAATCAATGTAAAACAACTGAAGTTAATATGGTAAGGGCTCCAACGGAAAAAAGCAGCAACAATCAACAACAGATGAATAATGTAAGGAGAGATACGGAAATTTTAAGAAAGGCAATACTAGAAATCAAAAGCACTGTAAAAAGTGAAGTATAGCTTTGAAGAATGAGCTCATCAGTAGACTGGACACAGCTGAGGACAAACAAATGAAAAAGTCAATGAACTTGAAGATAAGTCAGTAGAATCTTCCCAACCTGAAATACAAACAGAAAAATATAATTTTAAAAAAATATAATACATCCAAAAATGGGGCACTAATTTCAAAAGGCTTAACATAAATGTTATGAGAATATCAGAAGGAAAAGAAGAAATAATCCAAGTAGAGAAAATATTTGTGGTAATCCAGGCTGATAATTGTCCAAAATTAATGACAGACACTAAATCATAGATCTAGGAAACTCAATGAACAAGAAGCAGGAGAAATAACACAAAAAAAGCTACACCTAGAGATGCCATATTCAAAATACAGAGACAACACAAAACCTTGAGAGAAGAGAGAGGGGGGGAAATTAAACACCTTACCTAGAGAGGAAAACGGACAAGTACTGATGTGAACTCATCAGAATTCATGAAGGTAGGAATAGAATAGAGTAAACTATTTTAAAGTTTGGCAGGAATACAACCACCATGCTAGGATTTATGAATTTCTGGAGGCTCAGTGAGGGCAACAGAGAGTTAAAATCTCCAGAGGTCCCCAGTCATAGGAAGGCCCCTATATTTTTGTGAGTTTTACCTCCAGGAGCTCTACCAGGTCTGCACAGGAAATATAAGAGAAAAATCTTCTCATCCCTCTGGAAGAGATGAGGGGAAAAGGAATGATTTTGAAATACACCAGAGCATTCTGTTTTCTTACAGTATCCCCTCGGAAAAGAACTATTTCACCAGAGCCTAAACTTCTGGACTTTACCAAGGCCTAACTGACCTGGGGAAAGAAGACCAACTCCAGCCCCCTCTAAGCCTTGTATATGGAAAAAGGGAAATACCCACTCCAGCCCACTCCAACCACCCTATCCCACCTAATGAGGGAGGGATGGTGACTAAGGAGCACATACGAAGTTCACATTTTAGAGGCACAGGCTACTAAAAGACTGAGATCACAGGATTATAGAACGTTTCCCTGCCCCCCACACCTTACCCTCATTACTAAAGCTTATTTACAGCACTTCCTCTCACCCAGCACATCATGTCTGGATATCAAGAGAAAACTATGAGACACACTAAAAGGCAAGAAACACACAGTTTGAAGAGACAAAGCATGGCATCAAAGCCAGACCCAGATATGACAGCGGCATTGGAATTAACAGCCCTGAATTGTAAAACACTGTGATTACTATGCTAAAGGGTCTAATGAATAAAGTAGACAATATGCAAGAGCATATGGGCAATGTAAACAGAGAGATGGAAAGACACAAGACACACATAGAACAAAATGTGAGATGGCAAAAGTAAATCCAACTATATCAATACTAACATTGAAAGTAAATAGATTAAGCAACCTAACTGAAAGGCAGTAATCGTTAGGCCAAATAAAAATCAAGATACAACTATATATTGTGTACGAGAAACATACTTTGGTCTCAAAGATAAATAGACAAAAAGTAAGAGGATAAAAGAAAATGCCACATAAATAGCCACCACAAGAAAGCAGAAATGGTTATAATAATAACAGTAAGAAATAAATGTTAAAGTAAAAAGGAAATATCAATAGAAATAAGAGGGACATTTTATAATGATAAAAGGCTAAATGTGTTAGAAAAACACATTAATTATGAGTATATACACACCTAAGAACAGAGCACCAAAATGTATGTAACACAACCGACAGAATAAAAAACAGTTTAACAATGAAAGTTGGAGTCAATAATCTGGTTTTAATAATGACAATCATATTTTCTTAGATATGAAAAAACAGGTAGGCAGAAAATCAACATGTAATAAAAGATTTTAACAATATAAGCCAAGTAGGCTTCACAAACATCAATAAACCCTCCATCTAACAACTGCAGAATATACAATCTTCTCAAGTGCACATGGAACATTCTCTAGGAAATGCCATATGCACATAGCACAAATATCAATAATTTAAAATGGAAACAATATAAAGTATGTTCTCCGACAATAATGGAACAAAATGAAAAATCAGTAACAGAAAGACATCTGGGATACTCACAAATATGTGGAATTGAACAGTACACTGCTAAGTAACACATGGATCAAAGAAGACATCCAAAAGAAAATTAAAAATACTTTGAAATGACTTAAAATAAAGACACACTTCAGAATATTTATGAAATGCAGCTGAAGCAGTGTTTTGAGAAAAACTTATAGCTGTAAATGCTGACAGTAAAAAAAATAAAAGAAAATTCAAATCAATAACAACCTACTTTAAGGCACTGCAAAAAAAAAAAAATGAAAAAAAAAACTGAACCCAAAGCAAGTGGAAATAAAGAAATAATAAAGGTTAGGCAACAGAATTATGAAACAGAATAGAAAAGCAGTAGAGAAAGTTAATGCAAGCAAACATGTTTCGTTGAAAATCTCAACAAAATGGACAGAATATCAAAAAATACTTCAGCTAGACTGACCATAAAAAAGGCTCAAATAAATTGGAAATGAGAGATCATTAATATAACCTTACAGAAATAAAAAGAATTTCAAGAAATGCTTGAAAAATTGTATGTTAATAATTAATTCAATAAAATGGACAATTTCCTAGAAAAACACAAATATAGAATAATAATAATAATGATCCAGACAGAAAAGCCCAGGGCCAGACAGCCTCCCTGGTGAATTCTACAAAACATTTTTTAAAAAAATTAATGGACATAGTTTTTTCAAAAAAATCATTTAAAAATAGAAGGGGTGTGACCGCTACTCAGTTTATTCTATGAAGCTAATAGTACCTTGATACCAAAACCAAAGCAATGTATCACAACATAAAAGACTGCAAATGAATATTCCTTTTGTATATAGACATAAAAATCTTAAACAAAATACTAGCAAATACAATTTAGCAAATTAGAAAAGCCTTGTGGAATTTATCTCAGAAATGCAAAGTGGCTTTAATAACCAGACATCAATTAATTTTATACACCATATCAATGAAATAAAAGTTGAAAGTCACATAATCATCCCAGTAAACACAGAAAAAGCATTCACAAAATCCAACATCCTTTTATAATAAAATCCCTCAACAAATTAGAAATAGATGTGAACTTCCACAACTGGATAAAAAAAAATTTCCCCACCACGCCAAAAAAAAACCATAGCTCACATAATACTTAATGCTAAATGACTGGATGCTTTCCCCCTAAAATGAGAAAGAAATTGTACAATTTCATTGTTTCTATTCAATACTGTAGTAGAGATTCTAGCCAGGGTAATTAGATAAGAAAACAATGGGCACTCAAATTAGAAAGAAAGAAAATTATTTCTACTTGCAGATGATATTATATTGTATATAAAAATCTTAAAGAGTCCACTAAAAAGTGATTATAAACAATTAAAAAGGTTGTAAGATGTAAGATTAATAAATAAAAATCAATTGTATTTCTGTGCATTAGTGATGAGGAATATGAAAATAAATTAACAGAATAATTTCATTGACAACAGCATATAAAAATACTTAGAACTTAATTTAAAACAAGTGCAAAACTTATTTTTACTACTTATATTTCAGGAAGTAATGATACCAATTTACTACAATGTATTACAGAATATGAACTCTATGATCTATCATTATCATCATATAAAAACTGGATAAAGACAAATAAAACTACAGAGATATAGCTCTCATAAACATTCATGTAAAAATCCACAACAAAATAGTAGCAAGTTTAATCTAACAAAGAATAAATAAATGGTATTATACACCATAAGCAAGCAGGATTTATTCTGGGTATGCAAGGCTGGTTAAACTTTTAAAAATCAATTAATATAATCCTTCACATCAATAAGCTAGAGAGGAAATATCACATAACTGCATCCATACATGCAAGAGAAAAAGCATTTCAAAAAGTCTAACACCCATTCATAATAAAAATCTCTCAGCAAAGTAAAAATAGAGGGGCACTTTTTCAACTTGATGAAGGACGTCTGCAAAGAGCCTACAGATAACATGATACTTAATGAAATAAAAGGCATTTCCTATAATACTGGAATAAAGCAAGACTCTCTTTGCTCACTACTCCTATTCAAAGTTGCACTAGAATCTTTGATAGGGCAAGAATACAAGAAAATAAAATAAAAATTACGCAGATTGAACAGGAAGAAATACAACCATCTTTATTCTTAGATTACATAATTGTATATATAAAAAGTCGACAACAAAAAATATTTGGAACTAATAACATGTATAGCAAGGTCACAAGATCCAAGATTAATATACATATTCAATTTTTTTATATTTCACTACCGAAAAATTAAAATTTGACATTTTAAAAATATTACTGGCCAGGTGTGGTGGCTCATGCCTGTAATCCCAACACTTCGGGAGGCTGAAGTGGGTGGATCACGAGATCAAAAGTTTGAGACCAGCCTGACCAATATGGTGAAACCCTGTCTCTACTAAAATTACAAAAATTAGCCAGGCATGGTGGCGTGCGCCTGTAGTCCCAGCTACTCGGGAGGCTGAGGCAGAAGAATCGCTTGAACTCGAGAGGCAGAGGTTGCAGTGAGCTGAGATTGTGCCACTGCACTCCAGCCTGGGTGACAGAGTGAGACTCCATCTCAAAAAATAATAATAATAAAATAAAATACTCACAATAACATTATAATAATAAAATAGATATGAATATAACAATATATTAATAGGATCTATTAGTAGCAAATTACAAAACTCTGATGACAGAAATCAAAGATCTGAAGAAATGGAGATACCTTTTTTAAAATTTTTTTATTATACTTTAAGTTCTGGGATACATGTGCAGAACATACAGGTTTGTTACACAGGTATACATGTGCCATGGTGGTTTGCTGCACCCATCGACTCATCATCTACATTAGGTATTTCTCCTAATGCTATCCCTCTCCTAGCCCCCCACCCCCGACAGGCCCCAGTGTGTGATGTTCCCCTCCCTGTGTCCATGTGTTCTCATTGTTCAACTTCCACTTATGAGTGAGAACATGTGGTGTTTGGTTATCTGTTCTTGTGTTAGTTTGCTGAGAATGATGGTTTCCAGCTTCATCCATGTCCCTGCAAAGGACATGAACTTATCCTTTTATATGGCTGCATAGTATTCCATGGTGTATATGTGCCACATTTTCTTTATTCAGTCTATTATTGATGGGCATTTGGGTTGGTTCCAAGTCTTTGCTATTGTGAACAGTGCACAATAAACATACATGTGCCTGTGTCTTTATAGTAGAATGATTTACAATCCAATGGGTATATATCCAGTAATGGGATTGCTGGGTCAAATGGTATTTCTGGTTCTAGATCATTGAGGAATCACTTTGTCACCCAAGTTGGAGTGCAATGGTACCATCTTGGCTCACTGCAATCTCCGCCTCCCGGGTTCAAGCAATTCTCCTGCCTCAGCCACCCAAGTAGCTGGGATTACAGGCGTCCACCACACCTGTCTAATTTTTTTGTATTTTTAATAGAGACAGGGTTTCACCATGTTGTCCAGGCTTGAACTCCTGACCTTAGGTTATCCACCCACCTTGGCCTCCCAAAGTGCTGGGATTACAGGCTTGAGCCACGGCGCCCAGCTGAAATAAAGATATTTTTTATGTTCATGGATCAGAATATTCAATATTGTTTCAATTTTAACCTTCTCAAATTGATGTATAGAGTCAATGAAATCTCAATAAAAATTCCAGCTAGCCATGTTGTAGATATTGATGAAATCACTCTTGAATTGTAATAAAACTCAAAGAACCTACAGTAGCCAATACATCGCTGAAGAAGGAGAACCAGGTTATAGGACTCATACTATGCAAATTTAAGACTTCCTATAAAGCCACAGTATTCAGCCAGCATGGAATTGGTGAAAGTATTAGACACATAGATCAATGTAAAGAGACTGAGAACCCAGAAGTAGATCCACACAAATATAGTCAATTGATCTTTGACAAATGACCAAAAGCAATTCAATAGATAGCCTTTTCACAAATAATACTAGAACAGTTGGACATCCAATTAAAAAAAAAGAAAAGAAAAGAAAAAGAAAACAAATGAACCTAGACACAGACCTTAAAAGTTACAACTTTCGCAAAAATTAACTAAGAATGAATAATAGGATTAAATTTAAAATGTAAAACTAAAAATATGTAGAAAAAAACATAGGAGAAAATATATGTAGCCCTGGATTTGGTAATGAGATTTTCATGCAACAACAAAATTACAATTTATGAAAGAAAAAAACAATTAATTACACACTTAAAACTAAAAACTTCTTCTCAAAAGAGTCACTGTTAAGAGAAGAAAAGGACAAGCCACAGACTAGGAGAAAATATTTGCAAAATACATGCCTAATTAAAAACTCATTCCAAAATATACAAATAACTCTTAGAAGTCAAGTAGAAGAAAGCAAACAACTCACTTTTAAAATGGCCAAATATTTCAAAACACATCTCAACAAAGAAGATAGGCAGATGCAAATAGTGTCAGAAAACATGTTCAATACTACTTGTTGTATTAAAAATGAAAATTAAAATAACCATAAAGTACCACTCCATACCTATTTGGCTAAAACCTAAAAGCCGACAGGATTAAACACTGGTGACGAATCAAAGCAACTAGAATGTTAATTTATTGCTCATGGGAATGCAAAATGGCACAGCCTTTGTGGAGTGGAGTTTGTTAGTTTACAAAGCTAAACATTGCCTTACCATTTAGTCCAGCAATCAGGTTCCTAGGTATTTACCTATCTAATGAGTAAAGTTATGTCCACACAAAAACCTTAACATGAATATTTATAGCACCAGTATTTATAATCACCAAAACCTGGAACCAACTTCAGTAGGTGTAAGGATAAACAACCTGTGGCACATCCCACATCCGTAGAATGGAATATTTTTGGCCAGAACATTAAGTGAACAATCAACTCACAAAAATATGTGGATGTGTCTTAAATTTATATTAAATGTATATTGCTGAGCAAAAGAGGGCAATCAGTAAAAGTATTTATAAGATTCTTATGATTCCAATTATATGATATTCTGGGAAAGGTAAATTATACAGATACAAAGAGGGTAAAATGGTCAGTGGATACTGGGGATTGGGTTTAGGGAGGGAGAGTTGAATAGGTGCAGCACGGGAATTTTAGGACGATGAACCTATTCTGTATGCTACTATAAAGGTGGAAAAATGGCATATTGCATTTGTCAAAACCAATAGAAGGTTATAGCAGAAACAGTACACTTGAATTTTTAAAAATTCATTCAGTAGGTCAGAGGATTCCAGAAAGGAATGTAGAATATGACAAAAGAATCTAACAAAATATTACTAATGTATAAAGCAAACTCACTAAAGGAAGTGAGAGGGAAAGGCGCTAATATAAGTAATTTCTGAAATGAGTGGAGTCTAGAAGTCGAAAAGTAAAAGAAATTGTACAAAAAATACTATACTCTAGTTGGAAAAGTTGTTTATTATGGAGATAAGGGATAATAGTTTTCATACCAATATATACATGTATGCTGAAATCAAACAATTAAATGACTGAATGGTGGATGGCAGAAGCTGGGTTTCTCACTGTTGAAGTGGGAGGTTACAAATAAGCAAGGTAATAAAGCTAGAACGATATATGTGTGATGGATTATAGTTGGAGACATCAGTATAACTTTATTTTTAGCTTAATATATCCACAATATATGCATCGATATGGATCTTTACATATGTGTATATGCAACCCATTGTGTATATATGGATCTATATAATCTGTATGTGAATGTCTATAAATATACAACCCACACATGTGTTAGTATACGTGCACATATTTCTTTGCTCTGTTGGCTGAAAGGACCTAGAAATAAAAAGATATGCAATATTAAGGAGTATAAGTAGTGTCGAGATCTTGGTTTCTAATCCCACTACCAGTAAAGGGAACCAGTTTTCTAAGGAAAATGGCTGATACTAGGACTGGGGCAGTGTCTTGGTCTGTTTTATGGTGATATCTGTCTTACTCAGATGTGTGATAGAACATCTGAGACTGGGTAATTAACAAAAAGAAATTTATTCTCAGGGTTTTAGAGGCTGGAATGTTCAAGATCAAGCCACCAGCATCTCGTATAGGCCTTCTACCTGTGTCCTCACCTGGGAGAAGAATGGAAGAGACAGAAAGAGGAAGCACCCATTCCCACCCTTTTTAATAGCATAATTAATCCATTCACGAGGGAGAAGCCTCATAACCTAAGCACCTCTCATTAGGCCCCACCTTCCAATACTGTTGAAATTAGGCATTAAGTTTCCAATGCAAGAATTTTGGAGAGAACAAAAATATTTAAACTATAGCAGGCAGGAAATATGCAAGATGAGCCTTCAGCATCTTAACGTGCCAGAAAGTAAAGAAACAGCAAACACAGAAAACATGTCAAAGGGACAGAAAAGCTAACTGAAAGAGTACTCAGCCAATCTGAAATAATTTGAGCAACAAAATATTGTTGAATTATAACCTGAAGTATAAAATAAATATCTATGAGTTCATGCTGACATAAATAAATGTGGGATAAAAAATAAACAGGAAAGAAGAGAAAATTTTCAAGTGAAGAAAAATTTCAGATAACTTCTGTAATACTTTATCTTCAAGGAGGAGGAGCTTAACTCCCCACTCCTTAACTGTGGACTAAACACAATGACTTCTTTCTAAAAGTACAATTTTGAAAATGAAGAAAAGGGTAACTTTACATTGAAGAAACATAGCTGACACTACCTCGACCAAGTAATCAAGGTCAAAATCAACACTGATAAGTCATATAGATAGCATGAACTCTTGATATGATGTCATGAAAATAGCACTTTACCTTTCTGGTCTCCATCCTAAAATGCTGTAAGCCCAATCTAATCAGACAAATCTTAGTTGGGCAAGATTCTATAAACTATCTAATCTTATTATAATTCCTCAAAACTGTCAAGGTCATCAAATACAAGGAAAGTCTGAGAAACTGTCACAGCCTATGGAGCCTAAAAAGCCAAAGCCAAAACTACTAAATGCGATGTGGTGGTATCTTTTAGAGGATCCTAGAACAGAAACGAGACATTAGGTAAAATATAAGGAATTCTGAATACAGCATGGACTCCAGCTAATAATAATTGGCTACATTCCTTATAAATGTGCCAATATAGGTTCGTTAGCTATAATAAATACACCATATTAATGTAAGATGTTAATAAAAGGGGAAACCAGTTGCAAGGTGTATGAAAACTATCTGTACTACCTTGGCAATTTTTGTACTATCTTCATAAGAAATATTTTAAAATAAAATATTTATTAGAAAGAGAGAGAAGAGAGGAAGGGAGAAAGGGAAAAAGGAAAGAAAGCAGTGGAAGGAAGGGAAGACGGAAAGAAAAAAGAAAAAAGATGGAAGAAAGGAAAGAAGAAAGGGAGGGATGGAAGGAGGGAGGGGGAAGAGCAATCTTACCATGGCAAAGACTTACATCTTAGACTGTGAAAATGTAGTCTAAAGGGATTTTAATGTTTTTAGCAGACACAAATTGGAGGAATAAGGTTTATTCCACAAACCACTCACTAGAAGCTTACTAGTGAGTGGTTTGTGGAATAAACCTTATTCCTCCAATTATTTATGGAATGTTCCCTTTTCCAGTCTCTCGGAACCTCTTTGTCTTTACATGAATGAAAGATCAATGGCAGTTGTCTAATTTAGACATTCTCTTGAGACCCTGGTGTGTACTTGAGATTGGTCAAAAGGTTTGAACTCATGCAAAGCAAATATGTTTATTCTTACAATCTTTTTACCCATCATGAGTGTATTTACTTTGCTTTCAGTAATGTTCATTCCACACTTTATAGTCCAAAGCTTATTCTTCTTGACAGGGAAGAAAAAAAGCAAAATAGGAGTCAAGCAGTTTCATTGCACCAGTATAGTTCAATAATGTTTAGTTAATGTTTTGTTTGTGTGTTTCTCTAAATGTACCTAAAAGGTACATGTATATGCATGTACATGTATGCCCATGTATGGAAACATTCTTTTTCGGAACCATTAAATTACCTTGGCGTCTTAATCTGTTTGTGCTGCTATTAATATAAAGGAATATCTGAGACTTGGTAATTTATAAATAAAAAAGGTTTGTTTTACTTATCACTGTGCTGGCTGGAAGATCAAGAATCTGATGAAAGACTTAGGCTACTTCCACTCAAGGCAAAGGGGAGCCCATGTGTGCAGAGATCACGTAGTGACAGAGGAAGTGAGAGGAGAGGTGCCATGCTTTTTCTTAAACAACCAGCTCTCCCAGGAACTAATATAGTGAGAATTCGCTTGCCCCTCTTCATAGGGAGGGCATTAATCTGTTCATGAGGGCTCTACCTTCATGATCCAAGCACCCCAATCATGCTTCACCTCCAACATTGGGGATCAAATGTCAACATGAGGTTTGGATGGTACAAATATTCAAACCATAGCACTTGGACATAAATCATTAGGCATTTCTTAAATGTACATGTTACCCATCTATATTTAGCATTGCACATCAAATATCTGGGTATGACCTTTTAAGAATTTGATCTTAGAGAAAGAAAATTCACTACTTCATCATCACTATCACCATCATCGTCATCATTTCTCATTACATTACTATGAGGTAATTTCCAGAATGAAGTCATATTACAAATCACCTAGTGAGTTATTTCTAAAGTCAGATCACAGAGTCAAAATGAGGTACATTTCACCAACAATGCAGAGTATATATGGTTTTCTGTTCACTATTTCTTGAAGCATCTGACAAACCAGATTTCCGCTTCAACATTACAAAGAATTGATGCTATTGTGAATAAAGCCATTGGCTTATGGGAATAAACCAAATTTATATTTAAACACAAATTCCTTAGTAACCCTTGTACTATATGAAGTATTTAAATAAAATAAAATACCATGACATTCTTTATCCCAATTTTCAGACAATAAAACTGAGACTTTGAGAGGTTATGGAACCTCAACCAATTAAATAAGGTTATATAACCATGTGTGTGTGCATCTGTGTGTGTATATATGTCATTATATATTACACATATATAAGAATGCCTATATTATATATATATGTGTATGTAAAAAAACACTTCTATACACACATATATGGCTAAATAAGGTTATTTATACGCTAAGAAAGTTCAAAAAGTTCATGAAAAATGCCTACTATGGGAAAATTGTACATGGTTTTGTTTTTGAAATAAACAAAAATAAATTTGCCAACTTTTAATAACATCTCTGAGCAGAATCTAATTTGAGGTATTAAGAAGGATAAGATATCAGATTGAAAAGAGCCCCTATCAGAGCAATAAAAATCCTGCTAAAATTGAAGCAAGGGCAGATATCAAATTTATGATACAGCTTGAGTGGAAGAATGATGAAATCACTGATGCTTTATGAAAAGTTTGTGGGAACAATGACACATTTTACAAATGAGTAATTCATTTTAAGAAGGGACAAAAGAATGCTGAAGATGAAACCCACAGCAACACATCATCCACATCGATATGCAAGAAAAAATTAATTTTGTTCATGCCTGTATTAGGATTCTCTAGAGGGACAGAATAGGATAGATGTATATATAAAGGGGAGTTTATTAAGGAGTATGACTCACACAATCACATGGTGAGGTCACAATAGACTGTCTGCAAGCTGAGGAGCAAGGAAGCTAGTCTGAGCCCCAAAACCTCAAAAGTAGGGAAGGTGACAGTGCACCCTTCAGTCTGTGGTCAAAGGTCCAAGAGTCCCAAAGCTGAAGAACTGGGAGTCCAATGTTTGAGGGCAGGAAGCATCCAGCATGGGAGAAAGATGTAGGCTGGAAGACTAAGCCAGTCTAGTCTTTCCACATTCTTCTGCCTGCTTTTATTCTGGCTGCACTGGCAGCTGATTAGATGGTGCCCACCCAGATTAAGGGTCTGCCTGCCTATCCCAGTTCACTGACTCAAATGTTAATCTCCTTCCGCAGCAACCTCACAGACACACCTAGGAACAATACTTTGCATCCTTCAATCCAATCAAGTTGACACTTAATACTAACCATCAAAACGCCCTAACTGAGGAAGGCTGACAATAAACAGCATAAACAGACAACACTATACATATATTAATTGGTTTGGTATTACACAATTCTGATTAAAAAATTATCATTGAACAAACTTTTCGCTTGATGGGTACCAAAACTATTGCACCAGATCAGGTGCAGACCAGAGCAGAGCTTTCAATGAAAATTTTAGACAAGTAAGATCAAGATCCTGAAGCATTTCTTCAAAAAATTTTAATAGGAGATAAAACTTGGCCTTGCCAGTGTGATCTTAAGACAAAGCACAATCAAAGCAATGGCTACCAAGTGGTGGAAGTGGATTTGTCAAGAGCAAAGACATTGGCAACAGTTCTTTAAGATGCTCAAGGCATTTTGCTTGTTGACTTTCTGGAGGGCCAAAGAATGATAACATCTGCTTATTATGCATGTTGTAAAAAAGTTAACCAAAGCTTTAGCAGGAAAACTCCTAAGAAAGCTTCACCAGTGAGTCCTTCACCACGAAAACGCACCTGCTCATTCCTCTCATTAAGCAAGGGCAAATTTGTGAGAGTTTTAATAGAAAATCATGAGGCATCCATCATACTGTCCTGATGTGGCTGCTTCTGACTTATTTTTGTTTCCTAATCTGAAAAAGCTATAAGGACACCCATTTTGTTTTTCAGTTATTTTAATGTAAAAGTGACTGCACTGACATGGTTAAATTCCTAGGACTCTCAGTTCTTAGGGATGAACTAAATGGCTGATATCATGGCTTATAAAAGTATCTTGAACTTGATAGATCTTATGTTGAGAAATAAAGTTTGTAATTTTTATATTTTATTTTTCACAAACTTTTTGAAATCCCTTTATATAAATATGTATAAACTTATACACACACACACACGCTGTAAGTTGTCAAAGTTCCAGTTTCTGTATTTGTGTGTGCATGTATGTGTGTAAATATAAATTCAGGCTATCTGACTCTGCTCTGCCACTCTGAAGTGTCAAACAATAAAATTTAAAAAATGATAGTGAGTAGGTGAGTGAGGAACAGGCTATCACGGAGCCAGAAATGGTCTGAGTGCAGGGTGGGGACACAGAAAACATCTGGATTCTGGTCTCCTGAAGAGGCTGGCCCTGCCCTAAGGAATTCTGAGTGGTCGCTCAGCTGACTAACGCCCAGGGATCTGTGCTTTTTGAATATGCCATGATTCTTCTGAAGGACTTCTCTGTTTATAAACCCCCTGAGAGGAGACAGATCCCTGCTTCCCCACCTTTGAAGTCATCATTCCTGTTCCACTCACCACTAGGATCTGTGGGGATCTTTAGTTTCTTTGCCTGTAGAATGAGAGATGAAGGAAATTCCTTAGAGGAATATTTAAAGGAATAGTGCCATGTGTGTAAGCTGCCTTGTGTGGCATCTGGCTCCTACAAAGTATTAAAGGAGGGAAAAAGAGGATCTTTAAAGAATCTGAAAGAAAGGGGATGCTGGAAATTGGGGTGAGCAGGAGGGCTTCTCAGAGGGGCAAAATTGGAGGTAAGGCCTAAGAAAGGTGGCCCATGTTTGAGAGCTTCAGGGGGCATAATTGAAGGGAAGACAGTGGCTCAGGCTGTACGAGCAGAAAAAACTGGGGGTCTTAAAAACCAAGAGATGACTCAGACTTCCTGCTGAGAAGTGTGTCT
Source organism: Homo sapiens (assembly GCF_000001405.40). NCBI lineage: Eukaryota > Metazoa > Chordata > Mammalia > Primates > Hominidae > Homo > Homo sapiens. The sequence continues at coordinate 126,302,804 of NC_000002.12, forward strand.
TGCTAGCATCTCTCCATCACTCCCACATGGTGACAGCTGAGAAAGGAAGGCAGGAAAGAATGTTGACCTGCTCAGCATCCCCTGGAGAAGAGAGAAGCGACATGTGCTATGAAGCCATGTTTCAGGGGGTAGGGCCCAGGGGACAATAATTTGGGGAAGCCGTTTTAAGAAAGTCACACATCTCTAAATGTGAAGAAACAGAAAGCAAAGATGAAGAGATCAGTTAGAAAGGAGATGAATTAGAGATGGAGGATGTTGAGAGAAAAATAAAACTGCAAGGGGCAAAGAATGGAGACGGGGGGATCCAGAGGCAACTTCACAACCGGAAAGCAAAAACCATGGGCACTTCGTATTAAGGGACCATGGTCCCTTAAAATATTTCTGAATCTGACAATCGGTACCAACAGCCTCAGTATCTGAGTCTAGATACAACAGAACTCAGGCCAAAAGCCTCTCCCAGCTGCTTGTATTTATAATCAAATATGCCGGGAGCCTCCAGGGATAGCCACGGTAACCTGCAAGCTGAGAGGCTCAAGCCATGTGACAGTTCAGGAGTCTCCTCAGGGAACAGCAGGGCTTTTATTAGCTCAAAATCAGCCTGGAAAAATGTCCTTAAGCTATAGTTATGGAGGTGTCAACATCTTTGCAAGTCACTATAACAGAGTTTTAAGACACAAAGTTTTAAGTCCAGCACCCCTATTTGAAAACCTGTTACATATTAGCTATATGAGCTAACCTTTACTGCCTTCCTGAGCCCCAATTTTCTTATTTTTAAAATGGAGATAATAACACCTACATCTCAGGGTTGTTAAAAGGATTAAAGAAGATGAGTGTAACAAGGGCAGAATGTCATCCAACTACTGAATGCTCAATGAATGATAACCTGTTAGTAGTTTTAGCATAACAGTTACTTATAATATCATTAGAATTAAAACTAGCATTGCTTTTTTGTTGTCCACATTTGTCTTTGTCTTCTATGTATTTAGGAAGCATTTCTTAAAATAGTCATCTATTTTTTCTCTGGAACAAGGGTACGAAACACCAGAATTCAAGGTTGCCATATAGCCGACTTCATTCTATTATACTAGGGGTCTCCAGGTCTTTCTCTCTCCCTTCTCTCCCTCTCTCCTTTCAATGGTGAGAAAACTGGGAGTAAGGCAGACAAGTCAGGGCATTAAAGCAAGAAAAGCCAGATTTAGACCAGAAAACAAAACACCTTCCAAACAAATTATTCACCTACATCAAATAACTCTTCTTATCATTCTCATACAGAAAACTTTAAGAATTTATTCCTTTGCTCTTGTCCCCAGATCTGAATTTTCCATCAGAGTCCCACTGCCATTTTATTATAAAGTTCTGACACCAAGATATGGGATCATTTATGAGGCCATTTTATGGATAAAAAAATGGCTAAGAAAATTAATGGCTCATTTTGATTTAGTCTTCTCTCCTGCCCAGTAATGACTTTGGATGCAATCCTATTGACCTTCTCTGCTTTTGTTCCCATCAAAATCGATACAGTATGCAAGGTCATAAATTTGCTTTGGCTGGCTTTCAGTTCATTCCAGGACCCAACGCTCCCCCTGCAAACTGGGTGATAATGAAGTTATGGGTGAGGAGGCCTCCTTTAATCAGCAATCATTACATTGGGGCCTGGCTTTAAAGTAAATGACAAATTGGCAGCCTCAGAGCCAGTGGGGTTTGGGGAATTATTGATCAAGAAGCAGCTTTGGAAACTTAAAACTTTACCTGGAGCTTCATAGACAATGAGTAGCAGCTGCTAGGTAACAGGTTCAAACCATTTTCTTAATAAGGTTTATTTCCAGCAGCATCCGAGTGAATACCATTAATTTGGTTCCTCATGGAAGTGGGTCCTATCCAGCTCCAAAAGTATATGATACATAAAAAGGACCATACAGAGTATCCATATACATTTTGCAGATAATAAGACTGAACATGTACTTACCCTCCACCAACTTAAGAAATAGAATACTCTTGTATCTCAAAGAATCCACAACCCTCACTCTTGGATGTAACCACAAATCTGATTTTTGTGATAATATCGTCTTTTCATTATATTTTATCACTTGTAGATATGTTCATGAATAATATATTGCTTTATATTGGGTTTTTAAATTTAAATAAAAATGTAATTTGAGTTCATAAGTGAGATCAACATTAGTTGTCTTCTGTGACTTTCTACTTTTATTTGGAATATTTTTTGAGACTCACTAACATTATGCAAGTGACTGGTTCATTCACAATAACTGTTTTATAATAGTCTGTTATTTGAATAAACCACAATTCATGTTTTCTTTCCACTGCTGATAGACCTTTTCAGGTTTTGTGTTAGTTCATTTTATTATTATTTAAAAGCTACCGTAAGCCTCTTCCTGCACATCTCTTAGACTGCACAGGCAAGAGTGTGAATGAATACATCCAAGAGCAGTTTCTGATTCTTAGGATACACTGAGCTTTACTGCATAATGCTGGTTTATACCAAGTTGGTTTATACCCATTTTCACTCTTATGAACAAGAGATTCCACTGCTCTCTGATATCCAAAATGCTTAGTATTTTATGGCTTTAAAAAAAACTTGGATAAATTTCGTGGATGTAAAATTATATCTAATTGTGGCTTTAGTTGGTTTTAATTAGAATCTCAGAAAACTGAAGAGATTGAGCGTCTTTTCATTCATTTATGGGCCATTTGTATTTTTTCATCTACACAATATCTGTTTATATGTTTCACCCATGTTTACACTAGGTTGTCTATTTCTCATTGATTTCTAGAAATTTTTAAATATATTTTGGATGCCAAAACTTTGTCAGTAATATATATTGCAAATACTCTTTGTAGCTTGTCTTTTCATTTTTCATTTATGGTACCTTTTTAACAGGGAATTTTTTTTTTTTTTTTTTTTTGAGACGGAGTCTCACTCTGTCACTCAGGCTGGAATGCAGTGGTGCGATATCTGCTCACTGCAAGCTCCGCCTCCTGGGTTCAAGCAATTCTCCTGCCTCAGCCTCCTGAGTAGCTGAGATTACAGGCATGTGCCACCACACCCGGCTAATTTTTGTGTTTTTAGTAGAGACAATGGTTTCACCATGTTGGTCAGGCTGGTCTCAAACTCCTGACCTTGTGATCTGCCCGCCTCGGCCTCCCAAAGTGCTAGGATTACAGGCGTGAGCCAATGTGCTGGCTTTTTTTTTTTTTTTTTTTTTTTCAGTTATTCAAGGGTAATGTGATTTCAAGTTTAGTAACCCGGCCAAGACTTGAATATCAATCCTCAAGTTTTGTTTGCCTTGTTAGTGGTGGTAAAAAACACATAACATTAAATTTATCATTTTAACCATTAAGGATGCAATTCATGAGTATTATTACCTATACTCACATTATTGTGCAACTGATCTCTAAAAATGTTTCCTCTTGCAACATTGAATCTCTATATGGCCTAAGCCCTAATCCCTTCTACCCTCCCCAACTCAGCCCTTGGTAACCACCTGTTTTCTGTTTCTATGATTTTTGACTACTTAAGATACTTCATATGTGTAGAATCATACAGTGTCTGTCCTTTTGTGACTGGCTTGTTTTGCATAGCCTAACGTCCTCAAGTCTTATGCATGTTCCAGCATGCAACAGGATTTCCTTCCTTTTAAGGTTGCAGGAAACTCTTTTGTATGTATATGCCACATTTTCTTTACCCATTCATCTCTCAATGAGCATTTAGGTTGCTTCCATTTCTTGTCTGTTGTGACTGATGTTTTGATGAACACAGGTGTGCAAATATCTCTTCCAGATCGTGCTTTAAATTATTTTATACATAAAATAATTTTTATATAATGCCACAAGTACCATAATTATATGGTAATTTTATTTTTAATCTTTTGAGGAACCTCAGTACTGTTTTCCATGACGGTGACGTCATGTATATTCTCACCAACAGTGTACAAGGTATTTTCTCATAGTTCTGTAGAACAGAAGTCAAATTTCAAGCTGTCAGCAGAACCATGCTTCCTCTATAACTTTGAGGAGAATCCTTCCTTGCCTATTCTTAGCATGTGGTAGCGGCTGTAGAAACTTTACATTTCTCTCTTGGCCTGCACCTTCATTATTCCAAGACTGCAGCTACACTGGTCATCACATGATGTTTTCCCTCTGCTTATGTCTCTGTGTCTCATCTCCTCTTCCCATAAGGACACCAGAAATATTGGAAGAAAGCCCACCCTAAAGACTGCATCTTAACTGGATTATATCTGCAAAGACCCTGTTGCCAAACAAGGTCACATTCATACATAACAGGGAATAGGACTTCAATATGTCATTCTGAAGAACACAGTTCAACCCATACCAGCAGCATTGTTTAAAATTACATTTTTTGTGGTATTCAGAAATGCAAGTGACTTCTGCATATCGATTTCAAATGCAGGAAGCTTGCTCAATTCCCTTTAAATTCTAATGATCAATAGATGCTAAATAAAACATGTTATCACCTACAAATAATTATTTTTTCCCTCTTTTTCAAGTTTTAAAACTTTCCTGTTCCTTGACTTACTGTATTGTTTAAGAATTGTATTTTAAAAAGAAAAATAATAAGCGTCTTTAACTTGTCCTTGATCATTAGGAAAATGGTTCCAACCATTAAGTACACTACTTGCTATAAGTTTTTCTTTGTTTAGATATTAATCTGAGGAATTATTATTTATCTAATTAATTAGTATTATTTATCTAATTAATTAGTATTTTATCTAATTATTAAGAAGGGTTTTTTAAATTCCTAGTTCATTAAAAGAACCATTTTTGGAAAATCATAAGTAGGTATTATATTTTATGAAGCACGTTTTAAAATATGTTGAAATAAACATAGTTTTCTCCTTTAATCAGTTAATACAGTAAATTATAATCATTTTTTAATAATAATGAAACAGGAAAAGCTCCCTTATCCCCCTCGCAGGACGTGAGATGGGGGTGTGGCTCACTTCTGCAGTGCTATCCTGCTCAAATCTCTAGGGGAGCTTACAGACCGGCAGGCTGTGGGGCTCCGACCCCACAGCAGTGTCTAGGGGTGAATGTTTACAGCCGAAGCCCCAGTGGGTGTGTGTTACAGTGTGCTCTTTTAGTTTAGCCTTAGTCAGCTTAAGTAGACCCCTGCCTTATGGCAAGGACAGAGGGCTTTCTGTATCCTGGGGTTCTTACCTTGGTGTACTGGAAGAATCGGATCACACGTGGTCTTGGAGAATGAGTTCAAAGTTTTATTGACTGGAAGTAGCTCTCAGCATACGGGGGAGCCAGAAGGGAGATGGTTTTTTCCTTGGAGTCAGGCTGCTCCCTGGCCCGGGCTCTCCTCTGACTGTCCCAGCCAAACTCAGCCTCTCCTTCTGCTGGTCCGTGGCCTGCCCGCATCCCAGGGCCTGCTGATGTGCTTCTCTTAACATCCAGCCACCTGTGTGTTCCTCCACCAATTCGCTCCTCTCCACGTCCAGATGTCTGGGTTTGCAGATAGGCTCCTCTGCAGGTCCAGCAGCTTGTGTGCCTGCCTGCTAAGGTCTGAGGGCAGTTTATAGGCACAGGATGGGGGTGTGGCAGGCCGGGGTGATATTGGGCAATGCAATATTTGGACAGGAAATGCCTATCCTCACCCAGGTCCGTGGGGGTGGAGCCCTAGCCAGGGACCACGCCCTCTTCTACCCAGCACTTCCCTTCCACACTTCGGTATCATTTGAGGGGACCACGCTCTTCACTCCCCTGCACTCCGTATCAATAATTCCTGCTTCTGGCCAGGCGCGGTGGCTCACGCCTGTAATCCCAGCACTTTGGGAGGCTGAGGTGGGCGGATCACAAGGTCAGGAGATCAAGACCTTAGTGGCTAACACGGTGAAACCGCGTCTCTACTAAAAATACAAAAAATTAGCCGGGCGTGGTGGCGGGCGCGTGTAGTCCCGGCTACTCAGGAGGCTGAGGCAGGAGAATGGCGGGAACCCGGGAGGCGGAGCTTGCAGTGAGCCGAGATCGCGCCACTGCACTCCGGCCTGGGCGACAGAGCCAGACTCTGTCTCAAAAAATAATAACAACAATAATAATAATAATTCCTGCTTCTCTGATTAAATGCAGCTTGGCCTAGCTGTCTCCTGATATTCTGTGGGGTTTTTTGTTTTGGGTTTTCTTGGTTGCTATGCTAGTTATTGCCCTCTAAGCAGAGCTTCTCATTTTCCACAAGTTTTGGTTATAGCATTTTTATTTTCAGGTAGTGCAAGACAGTTTCTAATTTACCTTTGATTCATGAGCTTTTTAGAAGTTTACTTTTTAATTTTTAAATATATATGTGTGTATTTTTATTTCCATTTTATTTTAATTATGTATTTTTAACTTAATTACATTGTAGTCAGAAAATGTGGTTCTTATAATGCAAATCTTCAAAATGTATTGAGAGTTAAAGCACGTGGAAAATTTTGAAAAATAATATGTTTATAAAAATACATTTTCAAGTTATTGTGTAAAACATTTTATATATGTTTGATAAAGGTTATTTTCCTACTCAAAACCTTAAACTTCCTTCTTTTTTTATTTTTTCTTTTTCTTTCCTTTTTTTTTTCTTTTAGTCACCCTGAGGAATAACTTACTGAAGGATATTTGTTTAAAACTCATTATGTAAAATTTTCAATTATTTTTGTAGCCTAACGTATAATTAATATTGTATATATCCCAAGCCTTGCTTTTAGATATATCAAGGTCTGAATTGTTATATCTTCCTTTTACATTGAATGTATATAATTATAGACTCATTTACTTTAACTATATATTTTTAAAATATCTATCTTATCTAGCTACACGGCTTTTCTTCTGATTGATATTTTCCTGGTATGCTTTCTTATCCTTTAACTCTTTACATAATTGTAATTGTTTTGTCTTGAGAACAATAGATACCTTTTCTTGCTTTTATTTTTGCACATCCTGAAATGTAGTTGTATTTTAACTGAAAATTTGGTTTATCCTTTTTTTATTATTATTAGTATATTTGTATCTATCTCTAACATTAAGTGCTTCCTGTCAACCTGGTTTTAAAGTTTTCTTTACCTTTGATTTTCATTTTTGGATTGTTACAGCCTTCTTTATCTTTATTCTCATTATATTTTATTTCCTCTGCTTTTTTGGAAGTTACATGTTCTTTATTTATTCTTATAGTGGATAGCCTAATTTTTTAAAAGATATATAATATAGTATAAATTAATCAAAATCTTTATTTTCTTTTCAATAGAACCTTAAAATATTTTAATTTTCATTACTTCTTTTATTTCAAATTACATTATTTTCCATTTTTTTATTTTTTAATGTTTATTCTGTCACCACCCCTACCACATACATACACATTAGGAATTACCGTTTTTAATACATCAATGAATGCTTAGATTATATTCTATATAAAAATATATTTAACTATATATAATACATTAATGCCTAATATAATATATTAATGTCTATACCCATAATGTCTTTCAAATTCTATTTTAAATCTTTTGAGATTCTATTTCTGCCAAATATATGTCTTTTTAATTTTTCTTATAAAAATCTGTTGATGGTAAAGTTTTTTCTTCCCCAAAAGTATTGTTTTCATTTTTATTCTAAAAAACCATGCAGAACCTGGAATTCTGGGATAGAACTTATTTAATTCCAGCACATTTGAGATAATATTTCCTTCTTCTCTGGCATTAATAGTCGTTTCTAAGAAATCAGATCACTCTAAATAATGTTATCTTCTGGTCGACGATGTGGCTATGAGTAGAAAGCTATGATACTATGATGTGGCTAGGAGTAGATTTTTTAAATTTTCTTTTTTCTGTTTGGAATTTATTGGGCTACCTGAAGTTGAGTTTAGTGGAATAAATAAAATGAGATATAGGGCACAGTAGAACTTTACAAAATGAAAGAGATTCATTATACACAGAGCAACATAAATGAAAATTGAAAAAAAAAGGTAAGATAAAAAAACCCTAAAATATATAATGTAATAGCATTTAAATGCTTTAAGAATTTACCACCCAAAACAATATAAAATCATGAATAGTTATGAGTAAAGATGTACAAAACCAACACTTAAGAATAGTCACTTCTGATGTTGGTAGAAAGGGGAATAGGAGTATGGAATAAAGATAAAGGGCAGACACAGCAAATAAAGCAAACAAAAAATAAACAAATTAATAGAGGGGCGTTGTATTGACCAATATGATAACATACACTTAGCTGAGAAGTATTACTTACTTAAACCTTTATATCTGAGGTCCAAAGTATATATTTGTATAGGTATATATATATATCCCTTTGTACATTTCTTAACCAAAATCTTTAATTTCAATGTACTTGAGTTTATTACTTTATGATTTACACTTTGTGTTTTTCAAGTTCTCTAAAAAGTCCTTCCGAAATTTTCATTCAAAATGATATTCTCCTGTATTTTCTTCTATTAAACATACACACATGCGTGCGCACACACACATACACACACACACACACCCCACTATACAAATGCAAACTTGTATATATTTTTTATAATTAAGTCTCTAATCCACCTGGTGTACAACTTTGTATGAGGTATTAAGTGAGATCTTATTCTGGTTTTCCTCTGCCACCAACAGTAGGAATTTCCTGGTCAAGTCTCTTTTATTTAAGGATCTACTGTGCCTTTTTATTTCTCCCCATGATGTCCTTCCAGGTATGGGCTCTAGTTGAAAACTGTTTTACAGCAGCTTACAACACACAGAAAGATGTTTCCTTCAGCCTGAATTATTTCTATGATAGCCATAATTGAAATGCAATAATACAGAAAATAATCATACACCAGCCTTGAGCAACTTCTCAGTCAGGGCACAAGATTTTGGCATAATCAAGTCTATGATATTTCACTAGTGTCCAGATAAAAATTGCAATAAAAATAATAGGCATAATGTCATATAGACATAATGACAAACCAGCAAGTTTTCCACTGCAGCAGGAATATCCACCTCTGTTCCATTATCATTTTTATATCTTCAAGGAATCTGTTCCCTCCATAAACCCAGATGATTCCTATTAGTTCCAGTATAGTTGCAATCAAAATGTCCCGTTCAGTACAGAAGTGGCCAGTCAGATGAGCCACTAAATTCCAGCCTGAACCACACGGGTGACTTCTCTCTCTTTCTCCCTGTTTCTCTCTCTCTTTTGCTCCTTCCTCTCCTCCTCCCTCCTCTAGTAGGTGGACTCCAGACATACTATCCCTTTGTCTATCAAGACTACTGTGCCTGTCTTCACATATCTAACACTCATACATGGTCTCAGCTTTAAGATTTACTTCGTCTGGTCTGTGGCAATTCTAAGTGCTCATTAAGCTCCTTGTGCTTGCCCCATGAGAGCATTCATCAGTAATATGTAACTATTCCAGGGTACATGGGGACCATTGCTTTACATTTGCCTGGCAGCATTTCTCTTTCCACTTCTAATATTAGACCCCTCCTTTCTGATCCTAGGCATGGCCCATGTCCCTGGGAACAGTAGAGACTGAGGCCTGGGTCTCAGTGGCATCAATTAGAGCCTTTCCCTGGGACTGATGTACGAGTGTCTCTTTCTGTTGGCATCTTTAAATGAGAAGATAAAAATCCAGGTTATCATTAGCCACATTCACTGGTCAAGAAAAAGGCCTCTGCAGAACACAGCTGAGCAGAACCACACAGAAGTGGAAGAAGCAAAGAGGTTTCCAGAAGACTGTGAGTACTTGATTCCAATCTCTGAGCTTCTATTTCAGGCAGTTCTTCCTTTGATCCTTCCCAAGTTCTATAAATAGAAATTTCCACTTTTGCTTGTGTTAATGAATTGCTCTTTATCATGCGTAATAGAGTTCTGACGAATATACCTGATTATTCATCTGTGTGTCTTTCAGCGTTGCTCGACAGGATAGCAGCATCAGCCTTGCCTGAGAATTTACTAGACATCCAATTCCCAGGCCCATCCACAGACCCACTCAGCTCAGGGTAGACACACATACACACACACCCCTCTATACAAATGCAAACTCAGGGTAGGACCTGAGATTCTGCATTTGAACTTGTCTTTCAGGAGTTCTTATGCATGCTAATGTTTGCGAAGAACTCAACTAGTTTATAAAATAAGAGAGATCCAACCACAACAATCAGCCTGTCCAACTAGTTTGCCAATTCCATAGAGACGTTCCATCTCTTATTCAGTCTTATATTCACCACCTAGAAAGTGCCTAGCACACAAATTGGTATTGGAGCATATTGAACAAGAAACACAAAGGCAGAGAAAGCAAGGTAGGATGGCAAAACTCCTGCATTCAGCATAGAATCAGGTTAAGCAAGGTGTTTGGGGACATGGATCTGGGGATGAAAGGCCTAGAGCTGAGACTTTGGGATTGGAGACTGGGAAATGACACAGAATAAGAACAGGAACTCTGGGCAAGTTCACAGGCTTTGAGACTCACGAGTATGGAATCCAGCCCGTCATCTTTCTCCTTGGAAGTGTGTTATTAACACATTTTTCCTCATTAAAAGGTAGACAAACAAGAGAAACCTCTTTCTATAGCCACAATTTCTCCATTGGCTCTCAACGCCTGCCCTGGGACCATCTTCACTGCTACCCTGGTTGGACTCATCCCTGCACCCACCACATACACACGGTAGCAAAAGCACCGCATATCAAATTCCCTTTGCCAGATAAATGGGGTCTCTAGTCTGTACACGGACCTAAAAGTTTGGGCCAGAGGTTGGCGCATGAGGAATGGTGGGTGTCTTTTTTCTGGGAGCCACGGTGCCTGGTGTAGCAGGACCTGTCCTGGAGTCCCATCCAAACAAGGAGGGAGGCAGGTTACTAGCACGCATCACAGAACCCAAGGTAGAGCAGAAAGGGACTTCTTGATATAAAACATGCTAGCATATTATCAAGTCTAGTTATTTGTTTACTTTATATTATCCCTCTGTGGAATGTTAGCATAACAAAGGCAGAGATATTATTTATATTATTCATTCTATATCCTTAAAAGAGTGTATGAACAGAGAAAATGCCCAAGAATATTGAATAAATAAAGGAATAAAACAGACATGGCAGAGAGGAAGACACTTTAGGCAGAAAATGAGAGGCAATTAAGCCACATTTGAACAAATAAAGGCTTTTTGTTTGTTTTTTAAGATGGAGCCTCACTCTGTTGCACAGGCTTGAGTGTAGTGTTGCAATCTCGGCTCACTGCAACCTCCGTCTCCCGGGTTCAAGCGATTCTCTTGCCTCAGCCTCCCCAAGTAGCTGGAATTACAGACGTGTGCCACCACACCCAGCAAATTTTTTTTTTTTTACTTTTAGTAGAGACGGTGTTTCACCATGTTGGCCAGGCTGGTCTCGAACTCCTGACCTCAAATGATCTGCCTGCCTCAGCTTCCCAAAGTGCCAGGATTACAAGCATGAGCCACCATGCCCAGTCAATAATGGCTTTTTTAAGGAAGGCTCGGACGAGCCATGGGGAGGGATGGGCTAAAGAGCCAAACCAGCAAGCATGCACATGTTCAGCGTAAACTGTCCGTGAGCCCAGTATACTGGGCAAGCTGAGAAATAATTATGTCCTCCTTCCTTGATCTTGCCCACCAATTTCTACCTCTCATCCTACTGTGGTATCCACTCCCAGTACCTGTGGACTCCTATCGCATCATCACATCTATTGCCTGGCTTCACAGATCCTTCAGTCCAGGCCATGTAGACCCTCACACTCAGGTTTGCCTTCCTTTGGCACAGTCTCACACCCCTAACTCTTCTACTTATCACCACTATAAAAAATATATGACCTCTCACAATGCTCTATCCTCAGAGCTCAGAGAGGTGCTTCGTAGACAAGGACACTGCGGAAGCCAAAGGGCACAGTACAGTTTAAGATGCATTCCCAGCTCATAAAAAATTAGCAACTAATTGATAATTTATCTAAGGTCATTTGCTTCCAGGGTTATTTTGAAAAATTATACTTAAGAGAACAGTAATTTAACCCAAAATGAATGCCTCAGCAGTGGAATCTTAAACCAGTCACAGGCTGTTGAGACATTTTTGGAGTAGAGCTGGGTGATGGGGTGAGGCAGGTGGTGCCCTGCAAATCACATCTGAAAAATGTCAGTTCTTGGCCACACCCCCAGAAGTGTGATTTCCCTTTTGCTGCAGTCATGGTTAGAACTTTAGCATCAACATAGTCCCAGGAAAACATGGACATACGGTCTTCGGGTGTTTTCTCCTCTAGGCGAAACACTGATCCACATAATGTTTATGTGAATATTAGCACTTACCTTTTCATTCGGGATAATTCAGGGATATGTAGAAAAAGAGACACAAAATAGACACCACTCTAAGCATTATTCTGGAGCTGAAGCATGACATTCTGCTTTTCTCTCTCTTATATTTTTTTTTTTTCTGAGACTGGGTCTGGCTCTGTCGCCCAGGCTGGAATGCAGTCTCCGCTCACTGCAAGCTCCGCCTCCCGGGTTCACGCTATTCTCCTGCTTCAGCCTCCTGAGTAGCTGGGATTACACGCACCTGCCACCACGCCCGGCTAATTTTTTATATTTTTAGTAGAGATGGGGTTTCACCATGTTAGCCAGATGGTCTCAATCTCCTGACCTCGTGATCCACCCGCCTCAGCCTCCCAAAGTGCTGGGATTACAGGCGTAAGCCACCATGCCCGGCCGACATTCAGGTTTTCAATAGCTCCCCATCTTAATAATTTCTATGAGGCACATGCCATCACTTCCAGAACTTGGTTTCATCATGCACCATTGTTGACGTTTCTATCTGGTTAAATGTGCAACACTGTGTTTCCTCTCTCTGGAAGTTACCTTTCTTCCATGTCTTCCTCCAGACTTAGATTTTTCCATCTCTGATAGTTGCTTGATGGAATGAGTGTAAATTTCATAGGTAAAGAAATAGACATGAGGTTATATTCCGAGCTCCTAGGACAGTTCCTGGAAGGAAGAAGGTACTCAATATTTACTGGTTGAATAAATATGATGCATGTCTCTTTTGAATATAATTTTTCTTCACTTCTCATGCCCAGTCTTTCAATATATTTTCAGCTGAGCCTATTTTCTCACAATTCTTGTAAGAGTAAATCACTGGTACCAAAAGGAGGATAAACATCACAGTTCCCATTGCTCACTACTCACCCTTTCATCCTTCTCCTGACACTCCCTCCTTAGGGGAAAAGAGTCACTGCTGTAAAAGTGAGCTATTCTCTGTGCATTTTTTAAAACCTCGTCATTTCCCCCAGCAAAATGTCAAGAGCTATTTGGCTGGGAACCCATAACTTGGTAGGTAATAAAATAAGCATAGATTTGAAAATCATGTCTTAGGACTAAAGGACTCCAAGGAATTTTAAATAAATGATTTATCTAAATGAGTGATTGTATTAATTGCTATATCTAGAATTTAGCTTATCTGTTAATACACCCTGGTGAATTCAGTAATATGGCTCTTCCCCAAGGTGCCTGTGGCCATCAGGATGTCATTCAGACAGGACGAAATATCCACCCCCAAGGCTAAATGAGAAACATTATCTCAGCAAAGCTGCATTCTAGCCTGGAAACATATGGGCAGAGAAGAAATTAACAATGGGAGCTGGAGGGGCAATAAGCATATGACATTATCACTAAGAAAATCCATTTAGATATTTAAGTTACACACTCTAGTGTCAGGCTGTTTAAATGGACCTATTGATCTTTCAGTTTCAGTAAAATTGCTCTCATTTTGATTATACTGTTTAACCTTGAAGAATTGTAGGAAACATCTTAGTTCCAGAACTTTCCTTTCTCCCTACATATTACATTTTAATCGTTTCTTACTTTCCAGCTCTCTCTCTTATTCTCTTTCCTCCTTCCTTCCTTCCCCACAACCCTAAAGCTTATGATATTATTTAAGGCGTCCTGAGTATCTACTACATTATATGAATACAAAAATAAAGATTACACAATATTCACCACAATCTAGTGCTGTAATTTTAGCCAATTCTTCAATTTTCTCACTAAAAAATATTTTATGATACATATGATATGATTATTATGAAGAGTAAATGAGCTAATATGTATAAAAGTTATAAGAAGAATTAGAGCAAATAATACGCTGTATGTAAATGTTAGTTGTTATTTAAGTGCAGTGACAGAAAGAAGGGATATGAGGCACATACCACTTGTAGGATGGAGAAGTGACATGCTAGAAGACCATTTCTAAGTGACATTATTTGAAATGGGAACTTAAGAATTTGTGTACCAGCGTACTCATTTATTAAATATACTGAGTTATTTTAATAGGCCAAGGCCTGTGCTAAGCACATGTGATGAGATAACGTGTGTGTGTGTATGTATGTGTGTGTGTGTTTGTATGTGTGTGTGTTGTTGTTGTTGTCATATTCCTTGGTTCTAGGAGGGGCTCAGCTGTGTAGATCTCACCTGGGACTTTTCATATGTTTACAATCACTGGAGCCACAGTCTTCAGGCTTATCCACTCATCCGTGTGGTACCTGAGCCAAAACAGCTGAGGTGTCAGGGGCTGCTCAGGCATCTCTCTCTCCATGAAACCTCTCTGCATAGCTAGTTTGAGCTTCCTCATATCCTGGAGATCCTTGGGTGGGTGTACTACTTATACAATGAATGTCTTCTTCCAGAGCAAGCATTTCCAGGAAAACAGACAGAAGTTGCCAATTCTCTTAAAGGTTAGGCCCAGAACTTGTAGGGATCCCTTCCACTGAAGTCATTGTTTGAAGCAATTGCTAGTCAAACCAGCTTCAGGGGATGTGCTTTTGTAATCACCCCGTGGGTTCTTCCTGCCCCCTGCACAAAGTCCATTCACTGAGACCATGGCATTGCAGTAGAGAAAGTTTAATTGATGAGAGTCTGGCCCATGCAAGAGAAATGGAGTTAACACTCAAATCATTCTCTCAGGCTTGGAGCTTAGAGTTTTTGTAGACGATGTGGTGGGCAGGGAGCTATGAAATGGGTGCTACTGATTGGTTGAGGATGAAATCATAGGGGTGTAGAAAACTAGCCTGGTGTATTGACTCCACCTCTGGGTGGGAGCACAGGACAAGCTGAGTCATGAGTCATGAGTCTGGGTGAAGTTAGTCTGAAATAATCTAAAAAAAAAAAAAAATCTTAGTTTTCACAATAGTGATGTTATCTATAGGGCCAATTAGGAAAGTCACAAGTCTTGTGACCTCCAGCCACATGACTCCTTAGCAGTAAGGGATTACAGAAACTGACTACATTTCAACAGAGTTCAGGCCCCTCTCATAATCCTAATCTTGTGGCCTTTAGTCTTACAAAGGTGGTTTTCAGTCCCTGAGCAAGGTGGGGGTTAGTTTTAGGGAAGGACTATTATCATCCTTGCTTTCAAGTTAAACTGTAAACTAAATTTCTCTCGTGGTTAGCTTGGTCTTTACCCAGGAATGACCAAGAACAGCTTCGAGGTCAGAAGCAAGATGAAGTCAACTATGCCAGATTTCCCTTACTATTATAATTTTGAAAAAGCAGTTTTACTTTCAGGGAAGTACAGAATTGATGGTGGCCATTTTACAGGTAAGTCTTCAAAGTAATGGCTTACTATCCTCATTCTACAGAAAAAGAGGTTGAAGTTAAAGAGAAACCCGTCCAAAATCAAGCCATAAAGTAGCAGAATTGAGATACAAGCCTAAGTTTGACCCCAAAACTTTATGCATAACCACTGTGATATTCCTTTCCTGGGATATGATGAAGGAATGAGAAAAGTCCTGGGTTGAGATCTGATCCCAGCACCACTCCTATTTTGCTGTGTGATGTTGGGTAAGTCTCATCCCACCTCTGGGCCTTACTCTTCTCTTCCGTATTGTGAGGAGGTTAGACTCAGTGATGCTGCAGGCAGTCTCAGCTCTAAAATTCTGCAGGTCTGACAATCTTTGCTTTGCCCCTTTGGCTATGGATTGAAAGACTGTCTCCTTCATTTATGGAGAAGCCTCACCATGTCAACTTCACGCCCATGTGGGTTATGAGCCTCTCTGATTCCCCTTCAAGGAGGACTTGCTGCTGAGACTTTCAGGGATGCTGCCAGACACTTCAGGGTCTGCCTCAGCTGCAGAGAGCTGCTTAGACCAAGGTTCTGCACTTCTAGGGTGGCCCACATTCAAGGGCCAGTCAAGGCATGAGTGTAAAGACCTGGCCATTTCAACTTAACAGAGGAATAGCTATTTTAACTTTAGAACTCTCCTGGTAGGTAACTGGGGTTGTCATTAGGCCTCACATCTCAGCTTTGGTCTCTAACAAATCCTGCTTCCTCCTTCTCCCCAAGGGCACTCCCTAATAAATATCCTTTAAGGAAACTTCATCTCTGAGCCTGCGTCCCAAAAAAACACAACTAAGATCAACTCAGCTGATCACTAAGATCCACCTCCTAACATAGGTTCCAACAAGCTGGATTTTCTAAGAATAATTGATGGGAAGATGGGAAAATACATATTTTCCAGTGTCCCCAATTTTATGTGTGAAAAAAACTCAGTCTTAGAGATGAGAAAGGGCTTTCTCCTATAATAGAGGAAGAAATGACAGAGCCAGCGTTCAAATTGTGTTCACCTAACGGCAAGACCCGTGCTCATCCCAGTATTCACAGAGAAAATCTGAAATTTTCCAAGGTAGTTTTGATGTAATATAATTGGGTTTCTGCAGGAACTAAGTAAAATGTCATGTTTACACATTTTTAAGCATTTAGATTTAAATGCTTCTTCAAATCAGAGAAAGTTCTTTCATACTCCAGGTGTCTGAAAGTTTTCCACAGAAAATGTAATAAACATAATTCACATGTGGGACCCACTGTTTATATTTTCCAACCAATTCTATATTTATTTGCACTGTTTTTCCCTATTTATGATTTCTTATATATATAAGAAATCAATACATATGTTAATCAACTATTATCTGATATTCCTTACTGGAGGAAAATGGTTTAGGTCAGTGCTTCTCAAACATGACAACACTGTTTAATCTCCTAGGAAGCTTTTCAAAAACACAAATTCCAGAACTCTCTTCTCCCAAGCCAAGTAAATCAGAATCGCTGGGGAAGACACATAGGCATTTTATGTTTTGAAATCTCCCCAGAAAATTCTGAAGTTAGGATTAGAAATAATGGGTTTTGTTGTTGCTGCCTAATACACATTATATTAGCTTCTTTTAAAGCTGCATAATAGCTTATATTAAGACTATAACATTGATCTGTCCACATTCACTCCTTTAAAAATTTTTTTTTGCCTGAAACAAACATTTCCTGAGTACCTACCATGTGCCAAGCCTTTAGCTAAGGCTTGGGGATTCAGTAATGAAAAATACAGCCTTTCATTTTGAGGAGTAGAGTTTATAGTGGGAGTGAGCCAGGTTAGAGACATGTAAAAAAGCAATTTGACTTCAGTAAATGATAAGTTTGTGCAACAAATTAAGAAGGCCCAAGAATGGTAGATTTTCTAACTCATAATACTGGCTTAGAGAGAGCATTCATACACAGGTTGTACTTGAAATTACCTAATAGAAAGCGTAGGAATTATCTATGGAGACTGAATGACTGAATGGGTGAGGTGTTTTTTGTTTTTTGTTTTGTTTGTTTGTTTTTGTTTTTGTTTGAGATGGAGTCTCACTCTGTTTCCCAGGCTGGAGTGCAATGGCACGATCTCGACTCACTGCAACCTCCGCCTCCTGGTTTCAAGCAATTCTCCTGCCTCAGCCTCCTGAGTAGCTGGGATTACAGGTGTGCACCATCACACCCAGATAATTTTTATATTTTTAATAGAGATGGGGTTTCACCATGTTGGCCAGGCTGGTCTTGAACTCCTGACCTCTTGATCCGCCCGCCTCAGCTTCTCAAAGTGCTGGGATTACAGGCGTGAGCCACCATGCCTGGCCAAGTGAGGTGTTTTAGGCAAAGGGAACAGATTCAGAGGACAAAACACTGTGGTTTTTGAGGCAAGTAGGGCCAATTCAAGTAATTGAAAGACTGCCAAATTCTGAGATCATATCTTGCAAATCAAAAGCAAAGTATTAGTTTATCATTCATGGCAATTTATATCTACAGTTCCTACAAAATTGTAGAAATAAGATATCTGCTGCTCTATGTGAATTCAAATATTTATTAAAATGTTTACATGGGGGGTAGTAAAAAACAGTTTTACAAAAATCAAATGCTAGGCAGTGGCACCAATTTTGAACGATGTTTCTACCTCAAGGATGATGTTAGGGCTTTACATATATTATTTTACTCAATAATTCTGTAAGGAAAGCCTTCTCATCCCTACTTTTTATGTGAGATAAATGAGGCTCAGAGAAGATAAAGTACTTAAACAAGGTCATCTCTCTTAGGAGTGGTAAAACTAGGATTCAAGATCACAGTAAGAATACAAAAAAGTAAAAAGTAGAAGTGCTTGCATTTTTCTATCCTCAGTCTTATTTTTACAATCATGAGCTTAGAATTCTGAAAAATGCTAAATCAAAATACATGTAAAATAGAAGGTTGCTCAATGGTATCTTGCAATGAAGATATAAATGACTGTGTTATATGTTTATTGTGATAATTGTCATAAACAATGCAAATAAGATACATCAGATTATCTGACTATAGTTGTGCACAATAGGTGGTAGCCATTGTTGTTGTTGTTAGTGCCACTAATAACTTGCAATCATATTTTGTAGGAAATTTTAGGTTAGATAGTGCTTTCAAGAAAGTCACCTTTTGTTATATTACACCACCTCTATAAAATAGACTATCCTTATTTTACAGATAAGGAATCAAAAATATCTTCTGCTTAAGTAACTTTCAAAAGCTATAGAATTAGTGGGCAAAAAGATGAAATTCAAAACAGTATCATGCCTCTTTCTTACAATTATAATTCATCAGTTTTTATGAAGCCAACCCTCCCACCAGGAGCAAGTGGGGAAGCCTTGTAACCCAAACACACATCCATGCACATATGTGCACACAACTGTTTCAAGGCTTCAGGGGATTACTAAGAAATATAGGATTTAAGGAGTTAAAATCTCACAAAAAAGAGAAAGGTGCTGATGTGAACCTCATGTTTCATCTGGCCTTTCCCCTCCAGGCATTCGCTGGTTGCCAAACTGCACAGGACTAGCGTCTAAAAAGCCAAACTAAAGCTGCTCCAAAGAAGTCCAAAATCCAAACAAAATTTTTGACAATTACATGGGATTGGAGAGATAAAACTTAGAATTCAAGGTTCCCAAGGAAACAGGGGTACCAGAAAGGAGGGAAGAACACAGCAGGTGAGCTCAATACACAGCCCCAGGTTTCTGTTAGGGGCATTTGAGAAGACGAAACACTAAGCACAGCTTTGGAGAGCCTCACAGTGTTACGTATGCAAAGAAATATGGGTCCCAATAAGGAGAGTTCTTGTATAAGCTCAAAGTTTGGGCTTTTGGAAGAGTTCACACTGGGAGTAGGTGCAAACCAGAAAGAGAACATGATTAAGATATAGAAACTCAATCTTTCTACAGCTGGATATCAGAGAGCGGTGTTGGAATCTGCTCCTTCTCTAGCTGCCTAGCAAAAATTAAATCGAATGAAGTCATCTGTGAAGGTAGAGAACATCATTCAGCACCTCTATAACTTGTCCATATACAAAAGTTAGGACTCAATTATAAATTACCATTCTGAAACTGAAATAGTGCCAAGAGGAAAGAAAAAAGGAAAGAGAAAGTAGCAATATACTCACAGATGATTCAGATATTGAAGTTCCCAGAAATGGATTCTAAAATTGCTATGACTTATATGTTCAAGAAAGTAGATGACAAGATATAACATTTTACCGCAAAGGGAAAAGCAATAAAAAAGAAGCAAATAGCAATTATAGAACCCATAGCTTCTGCTTCAGACCAGATTGGAGTAAAAGGAATCAGATTTGACCTCCCACTGGAAACAAATTTTAAAATGAGTAAATATATGAGAAAATATATTTTCAAGACATTGGAGATCAATAAATGAAGAACAGTAATCCCTAAGAGTTATGAATGAAAATAATGGAAGCTCTACAATTGTCCATATTATCTCTTTGAGAGAGATTCTAGGCTGTGGCTCAGGAAAGGGAAACTCAGGAGTCCAGGAGACTAGGGTTGAAAGCCTAGGGAGACCAAGTAGATTGAGTTTTTAGGGCAATGGACCAGGAAAGGTAGAACTGCACACAGAAAGAATTATAAATAGGACTCTGGGTATGTGAAGATGACACCTACTTTGAGTATTCAATAACATACTAATCAATGAATGCATGTGAGAAAACCATCCAAAGTATCTGGGAAGGAATAACATGAAAGAATTAGAAAGTTGCTTAGAGTTTACGCAAGGGCAGGGAATAGTGCCTGTTTCCACTCAACAGACTGGAAAATCTACTGAGTCACAGGGCACTGGGTCCAAAGCAAGTTCACTTTGCACTGGTATTAATCCCAGGGAAAGACCCAAAACCCCCCACCCACTGCACGCTGAGCTATGACAGTTTCTATCACTTGCACAAGTCTGGTGACCCAGAACACTTGCATACAACCCTTCATGAAGTAGGTTTATTACTTACAGATAGGCAGCAAGGGACAACAGAAGCCTAGAATTCATGACAAACCAGTCCCCCAAGCTTCAGGAAAGCTACCCAGGGCAGATGGAACCTATGCGTATGTGCCCCACTTGCACTTCAGCTGAGGGGCCCTGGAAAGCAGCCCACAGTGGATTCTATACTCCGGGGATTATATGGTTACCGGGCTAAAGCGCTGTAGGACATTCTGTTCTAGGAAGGACTTGGAGCAGCCCCTGGCCTGTTCTAGCCAATTCCACTATATGTCAGAATGTTGCATTCCCAGCACATTCTAGTTATTCTTGAGAACTATAGGCAAGAAAAGGGGAGAAGACAGCGTTGGCCCAAGACACCTGGAGAACTGTCCTGCGTTGGATAGAATACTCAGAAGAAATTTGTCGAAGTTGTAGGAAGAATTCACCCTAGACTAAAGGCTGCAAACAACCTATGTGTCTATCAAGACATGAATGGATCAACACACTGTAGCATATCCCTATAATAAAATAATGCTTAGCAGTGAAAAGCAATGAACTATTGATTATGCAATTACAAAATAATCATGCTGAGTGAAAGAAGCCAGTCAAAAAAGAGTACAGACTAATTATATGTATAATTATTATGCATCATTTAAAAATAAAAAATAAAATAGAACTCAAATTAGCTACCATTCTCATATGCAAATATTATTGCAACTCTTTGTAAGCTTTTTGCATATACCAAAAGATAATTTACAAGTTAAATACCAGATTATTTTTTATTTGTTAAAAAACTCTTCAAAAAACTGATTGTATAGAAACTAATAACATATAAGGTTAGAGAATTACAAATATCAATATAGTTTTTCTTATTAGGATAAAAAAGTCCCTTTAAATCAAAAAGCATATAATTGCAATAGTAATTGCATGTTAATTAATGTAATACAAACTGACTATTAAAACATGGATTCATTTTTTACTATTATATGGAATAAGAGCATATCAAAGCCTTAGGTAATTAAAATTTACATTGATGAGATGTCCATGCTAAGCTTAGTGCAGCAATATC
This sequence comes from Homo sapiens, assembly GCF_000001405.40. Lineage (NCBI taxonomy): Eukaryota > Metazoa > Chordata > Mammalia > Primates > Hominidae > Homo > Homo sapiens. The sequence goes on from NC_000002.12 coordinate 126,324,432, forward strand.
AGGCTTATAATTGAAAAAACAATTATATGCATGATTATATATGTATAGATTTATGATTATTGTTTACATATTATAATCCACAATAATCATAAATCTGGTGTGGGGGGAAAACTTAGGCTTTACATGTAATGTAGAAAGATGAGATGTATCAGGAATGAGTGGACTTTTATATAAACCTTAAAAGTCATAAAAGTGCTTTTTGAGGCCTTTTGAAAATCAGTTGCTCCAGGGGAGGGCATGATGGTCAGAACTTTGGTAATTAAAGGGTAGAAAACATGCAGAATTGGATACACATTTTATAACTCTATTTTTATCTTCACGATTTTTGCTAGCAATCATGTTTCAAGGTAGCCAAAGGGCTTTTGAATCACAATTTATATCCAAGTCAACAGGTTTATATTACCTCCAATTGTAATTAGAAAATGATAAGCATGAAATATTTTCTAGTTCTCTTAAAATTAGTAATACTACATGTTTTTCTGTGTGTCCTTACTCCAAAAATAAAATTTACCAAAAAAGGAAGAAAAGTCTTCCCACCCCATCATCATGAACATGTTAACAGAAAAATTAAACGAGGCAACATATCCTGAAGACATTTATGAACTTAAAGTGCTATATGATTATGTAAATGTAATTAATAACCTATATCTTTTTCCATAGCTAGTAATATAACGTTTTAGAGCAGGAGAAACTTAAGAAATTGCCTTGTCAAATGCTGACATTGTACAAGCCAGGCGATCAGTGCTTTGCTTGGTGAGTTTACCTATCCAAGACTCCACAGCCTCTTTGTGGCAGAGAAAAGTCCAACCTCTTAGCCCCTAGTTTTAACTCATGTGTTGTCTCTCCACCAACTCCAACTTCTCGTGCTGATTTATAAGTGAAGTTCATCGTAGATTCTCTGTAGATATTTATAACCACGCAGAGCTCAGGTCCTCGCTCCTGAGCAGGTGCTGCTCGGCTGCTTGCCATGACTCCTCTCCTTGCACTCTGAAAACAAGGTCATTTTGTTCACAGGCTGAGTGCAGAGAACCTTGTACAGATCAGGGGTTTTAAATATGACAAACAGGAGTGTCTAATGCTGAACATTTCAGAATTCATTAAATGTTGCTGTTTTAGTAATCAAAACCATTAATTGCAATAAATAAATTTACCCATTCCCCATGTAATCCAGGGTGATATGGAGTAATTAGTACTTCATTTCATTGCTTGGAATTGATATCAATTAATTTACTTGCCAGGTAATTTGTTCAACCTGTTTAAGAATTTTTCCTTGTAATTCTGTTATTACCTTTGTCTAATAATGTTTAAAACATAATGTAATTAAATGATAACTAAAACTACTGTAAATCATATTTAGTGAGTACAGTGATTGACCATCTTTTTTTTTCTGTCAGTGCAGTAATTTTTTTCTTTTTTCGAGACAGAGTCTCGCTCTGTCGCCCAGGCTGGAGTGTAGTGTCGTGATCTTGGCTCACTGCAACATCCACCTCCTGGGTTCCAGTGATTCCCTGCCTCAGCCTCCCTAGTAGCTGGGATTACAGGCTGTGCCACCATGCCTGGTTAATGTTTTTTAAATGTTTTTAGTAGAGAAGGGTTTCACCATGTTGGCCAGGAGGTCTCAGCCTCCCAAAGTGCTGGGATTACGGGCGAGAGCCAATGCGCCCGGCCCAGTGCAATAATTAAATACACAATCTATGTCATATGTCAGGTGGACTAGCCTGCCCTTTTTTTGAGGTCATCTTTGGTTTTCAGAATTAAAAAAAAAAAAATCCCTTGAGCATTGACAGCAAGAGTGACAATATTCTTCTCCCCACTTACCAGCACATAAACCCACCCAGTCCTTCCTGGTTCTATTCCCATTACCTCCTCTTCATTCTGTTTTAGCCACCTCCACCTTACCCTTCTCTTCCCTCCCTCACTTATCTTACTTGCTCCTCAGATGGGTAGGTCCTCTCTCTATCCTTCCTCAGCCCTGTTCTTCTTCTGTCATAGTACTCCTCATCCTACATAAGAATCATTTATCTTCTGAACATCAACAAGTAGCCACTGTACTCAGGTTCCAAAATCTCTGCTGGAGATGTAGTGGTTAGAATGACCAACACAGCCCTTCTCCTCACAGGACTTCCGGTAGAAACAAGCAGGGGACTTGAATCATCAATCATATTTTAATCATCAGAAGCATGCGAAATACTATAAACTAGAAATACAGGGCAGTACCAAACTAAATGACTGCTGTACTGTCTTCAGTATCCCGATCATATCTACAATATAAGCAAGTACACAAAAAAATACAAAATGTTTTGTTTTCTTCAAGCATTGTATATACACAAGATACAAAAATATTCTTGGGAAAACCGAACACACAAATGACTATTATCCTAGAGTCCCCTCCGCTAGGCTCATGTGGAAAACTGAAACAGAATTTTACTTCTCTACTTACCCTGAAACCCCACAACTTTCTCAGACTGTCACTAAAGTTGATGAATTTTGGTTCTCATTTAAGGGCTACTTAAATGTTTCTTTCATAGAGCATGAGGTTCTTGTCTTTCTCAAGGCTGTGCCTCACTTCCTTCTTGCACTCTGTCTTGAAGATGAGCAGGAAAGCTCCTCAGAGCCATCTAAGGTAGCCATCATTTCTCCTTTGCCAAGGAAACCTTTCTCCAATCTGTTCTTGCCTGGATACCAGGACCAACTCCCTACTAAGTAACTGTGTCCCCTTGGAGTGTTGTGCAGTACAGATCAGTGTCTGCCAAACATGTATCCAAATGATTTCGAGATCATTTAAAAGTGCAGTTGGATTCAGTAGGTCTAGGGTGGAGTCTGAGATTATGCATTTCTAACAAAATCCTGGGTGATGTCAATGTTGCAGGTCTGCGGACCACATTTTGAGTAGCAAGGATGATGGAAACAAAGAGATTAATCTGCATGAAAAAAATTTTGGAAATTTATTGGTGTCATAATATCTACCAAATCAGGGCCAAATCTAGAGATATCTACAACTGTGACTCAACATAAAGGCATATATTTTTGAGCAGGACCTTCAGAGGTTCTAAAAGCTTATTCTATTACAAAGTTTCACAATATGCTCCTACTTTGGATCTTGTTTCTAACTCCATAGCAGCGCATGTCACTAAAGAACTAATGGGGGCATTATCAAAAGAGAAGTCTGACCTCTGTCCCAGGTTAGCCCCCAAGGTCTTATCACAGCTTTTTCATGTGAGCTCCCAGTACCCTATGGCTGCGGCATCCCCTATAAGAATATGTTCTGTGTTACGACCAGGTTTCCTTCTGCATCCTGTACCAGGATTATCATGGGATTACTCCCTAGATTCATCATCAGTGAATGTGATAAATACCAAATGGCCAGAAAGATTGCAAACTACCTGTGTGAAAAGAGGTCAAAGGTTTCAAGGGAAGGGGAGTTCAGTTATCATCAGGCAGCTTTTTAAAAGCTCATTAAAGCACAATCATACAGGGTTATAACAGTCTAATTCTAAAGAACAGAGGAGAAACTATTGACCAATAAACTTTGACTTAAAATCATATCAATTAAATGGGGGAATCCCTAGTGACAGCCCAATTCTAATTGAAGTTTGCTCAACAAAATCCTTATCTGGCCCTTATTCCCTTTATTACCTCTTATCATTTTTCGTTCTTTTCATTTTGAATTCTATGAAGACAAAGAGATGTTGAGCACCAGCTCACCACAGGACCTTCCCTTTGTGACAGACCCAGTGGGCCCTGCCACATTTCTCTTAGTTATTCTGTTTGTTATGTTACCTGCTTGCCGCTGGGACGCATACACTATCCCCATCATGCCCTCCCAAAAATGCCCATTACAAATTTATGAAATAGGGGCAAGGACACAAGGGCTGCAAAAATGAGCCACAGTCACTAGTTTGTGAAAAAAAAATTAGTGTTGATGCCAACTAATCTTTCTCTTTACCTATGAGACAGGAAAATGGCCTTTTGTCCCCTTTTTTTCTCAGCTCAGGTACTTGGCTATTGCTTTGCAGTCTCTACTCGTTAAATAGAGATACCTACTAGAATTTTTCATCCTCCTTCAAAGTGTTATGAGAAACAGAGATAATGGCCTAGAAAGTCATTTGAAATGTTGAAAATCTTGATTCAATGTGAGACAGCTGTTTAAATCATAGTTTATGAATAAGAAAACAACAATGTAGCAGGTTTCCAGCATACTAAAAATAGTAAAGTTTAGTTTCCCTAGGAAAAGTTTCTACACAGTTTTTCCTTCAAGGGATATGTATAATTTTGATGCGCTTTGGAATATCCTAGTCCCAAGCTTTTTAAAATCAGCTTTACTTAAGAGCACTTAGCTTTACGAGAACCTAGCATAGCACAGACATGGTTTCTTTATTTTTCAGAGGATGGTCGGCAGAGAGTATCCGAATTATTGCTCCATGCTGCGAGATCCCTGTTCCTAGGAAAGCCGAGGTCTGCCTTCCAATGTGCAATTCTAGCTTAATAGGGAAGTTATATCACTGTTGACAGTCTTGTCCTTTCTTAATAAATCTTAGGAGTTATCCCATAAGGAATATTCATTTTCCTTCAGACATGAAGTGACCATTAAGATGCGCCAGTAAAGAATCCATGGCTTTCAGTGTCTGGCCCTATTTCTTCTAGTTCAAGAATTTTAAGAAAAAATATTGCAATAAAAGGTATATTTTTATTAGCTACAAAGTGGATACATTTCTTGTTTCTCAAAAAAAAAAATGTGTTATTCTGAAAATGTTCAAATAGCCAGGATTTATATTTTGCTAAAGTTAGATTTTAAATAAAAGATTCCTGCTTAATTATAAAGAGAGAATATTTACTGATAGAAAATGTCTCTATAAATGGAAACATGTTTTCATGCTGCCCCTGACACCCGTCGGGGGTGGCAAGAGAGTGGAGAGTGGAGATTGCTCAACACCAAAGGTGAAGCTGGGTCATCAAAGGGCAGGAAGAATTATGATGGCTGAAAATAACAACAGAGGGGACCCACAGCAAAGTCCAACCTTAGCCTCCACCAATAAATAAATGTACCACCAATAGATAAATTAAAAAAGTGACCTTCTCTGTGTCTGAGGGTTATTGACTATCCATTTTATTTTTTTTCTGCCACTTATTAATACCTGTTTGCATAGAGAGATACTTGCATTTTATGCAATCAGGAATAGAAAGCAGTTCCCTTTGAAAATATTACAAGAGAAGGTTGATAAGCATATATGTGTATGGAGAGGCATGAAATCAACATTTATTGATACCTACCATGTGCTGGAATCTGAGCTAAGATGCTTTTGTATGTGTTTTCCTAACTAAATAATTATATCCCTACCATTTAAAGATCTATGATACTAAGAAGTTAATTAACTTGCTCCAGATGAGATAGCTGCCAAATATGAAAAACAGTCCCAATGTCCTGTTGTGATGTTCAAGTCACATCACACTATATTTTCTCACTTATACAATAGACCAGCACTTTCCAATCACAAGTTTCGCAATGATGGGAATGTTCTATATCGATGCTGCTCAAAATGGCACTAGCCTCATGTGACTATTGGACCTTTGAAATTTGGCTACTGTGAGTGAGAAACTGAATTTTACATTTAATTTTATTTTAATTAATTAAAATAAAATTTCTGTCACCCAGGCTGGAGTGCAGTGCCATGATTATGGCTCACTGCAACTTTAAACTCTTGGGTTCAAGTGATCCTTCTGCTTCAGCCTCCCAAGTGGCTGGGACTATAGGTTTGCACCACCAGACTCCACTATTTTTTTTTAATTTTGTAGAAATGAGGTCTGGCTATGTTTGGCCAGGCAGGTCTTGAACTCCTGGCCTCAAGTGATCCTACTGCTCAGCCTCCAAAAGTGCTAGGATTACAGGCATGAGCTACTGTACCCACCCTAAATTATATTTAAGCAAACACACGTGGCTACTATATGAGATAACAAATGTCTAGCCAGAAACTTTGTTTTAATGAGAATTGTAAAGGTTCTTTCAACTCTTATTTTTCTCCCCAGTCTGGCATCACTGTTTCTCCCCAACTCTTGTTTATCTCTCAAAATGCAATCCTTAGATATCAGCAATAAAGACATCTGCAAAGTATATCTTCCATGAAAGCAATAAGAATAGCTCAACAAATTGCATGTAGGATCACTCAAAGAGATCTATTTCTAGATATTACAATTAAATTGTTGAAAGCCAAAGACCATCTTGAAGGCAGAAAGGGAGAAGTTATGGATCGTATGCAAGGGATGCTCAATAAGATTAACATATGTCTCATCAGAAACCGTGGAGGCCAGCAGGCAGTAGCATGGCATGTTCAAAGTGCTGAAATACAGACTGCCAATCAATAATTTTATAGCCTGCAAAACTATCCTTTAAAAATGAAAAAAAAAATTAAGATACTCCCGGGTAAACAACAACTGAGACAATCTGTTGCCAATAGACTTACTCAAAAGAAATTTTAAAAGGAACCTGAAAGAAGGCTGAAATGAAAGAACACTAGACTGTAACGCAAATCCACCTGAAAATTCAAGGAGCACCAGTAAAGTTAAATACAGAGGTAAATATAAAGCACAGTATACATGTATATTTTTTCTACTATCTTATTTTTAAAACAACTTTCTAAAACAATAATTATGAATCATTATTGATGGATGCCCAGTATAGAAAGATGTAATATGTATAACAATACAACAAAGGAGAAAAGATTAAATGGAGGTAAGTAAGAGCAAAGCTAGTACTTACTATGGAAATTAGATTGGCCTTAATCTGATCCAGATAGTCATAAGCTATGACATTAATTGTAACTCTCAGGGTAACCACTATGAAAATAACTCAAAAATACATAGTTAAAGAAATGACAAGAGAAGTAAATTGCTACCGTAGAAAAATTTATTTAACATATAACAGACAGCAACAGAGGAAGGCGGGGAAATATGTAGAAAATATGTAGAAATATGTAGAAAACAAATAGAAACATCATGGAAATAAATGTTACATTACCAGCAGTTATATTACAGGTACATTTATTAAACATTCCTAAAATGGCAGAGAATAGATAAAGAATTAAAAAGAAAACATGATCCAACTATATGCCATCTGCAAGAGACACACATTAGAATCAAAGACACAAATGAATTGAAAGTAAAAGGATGTAAAAAGAGATATTATGCAAATAGTGACCAAAAGAGAGCCAGATTAGCTATATTAATACCAGCCAAAATAAACTATCATCTACTTTGTGGTAGATAGAATCATGAAAGAGAGAAATATTCAATTCAACAGTAATGGTTGGAAATTTTAATATACCATCTTCAATGATGAGTGAGTCAACTAGACAGAAAATAAGAGAAAATCAAATACTTGAACAACAATATAAACCAACAAAGCCTCACATATCTATAGAACATTCCATTCAACAGCAGCAGAATGAATATTCTTCTCCAGTGCATTCTTCATATAGACCATATGCTCGGCCATAAAATATATTTCAGCAAATTTAAAAGGCTTCAAATTACAGAAAGTATATTCTCTGAACGTACGGAATAAAACTAAAAGTAAATAACAGAAGCAAATTTTGGAAATTCATCAACATGGCAATTTCACCACACATTCCCTAATAACTAATGCACAAAGAAGAAATCACAAGGACATTTAGAAAAATGCTTTGACAGAAAGAAAAAGGAAAGCACAATACATAAAAATTTTTGAGATGCAATTTAAGGAATACATAAAGAAAAATATATGACTATAAACACCTATATTAAAATGAGAATAATATCAGTAATCTAACCTTCTACCTTAAGAAACTAGAAAAAGAAATGCAAATTAAGTACAAATCAGGCAAAATAAAGTAAATAATAAGGATTAAGGCAGAAAAAAATTAGATGATATAATTGCCACAAAGAAAATCTACAAAACCAAAAGGCAGATCTTTAAAAATGTCAATAAAATTGACAAAACTCTAGCTAGACTGACCGAGTTAAAAATGGAGAAGACTCAGATTATTAGGATGAAAAAAGAAGAGGAATATTATTATTCACCTTGCACAAATAAAGAGGATTATAATAGAATACTATGAGCAATTACATGCAACAAATTGGATAACCTAAATAAAACAGAAAATGTCTAAAAATACATAAACTACCAAAATCGACCAAAAAAGAAATAAAAACACAAATAGATCAATAATGAGTATACTGTTAATCAAACACTTTTCAAAAAGAAAAGACAGGAACCAAAGCTTCAACTGGTAAATTCTGCCAAGCATTTGAGAAGAATTAATACCCGTTCTACATCAACTCTGTCAAAACATAGAAGAGCGAACAACTTTCACAATTCATTTTATGAGGACAATAATCACCAAGACTAAAACCAGACAAATAACAAACAAGAAAATCACAGATTACTTTGCCTATGAATATAGTTTTTAAAACTCTTTAAAAAGTACAACCCTAAATCCATCAAAATACAAAAAAGAATTATACATTATGACCAAGGGGGATTTATTTGAGGAATGCAAGGTTGGTTTAACATGCATTCAACAAACCATATTAATTGAACAAGAGATAAAAACTATATGATCATTTCCATAGATCCAGAACAAGCATTTAATAAAACATAACACTTTTTCATGATTTCTTTTTCAAAAATCAACAAACTGGGAATAGAAGAAAAATGTCTTAATCTGTTAAAGGGCATCTACGAAAAATGTACAGGTGGCATCATATTTAATGGTGAAAGACTAAATGTTTTACCTCTAACATAAGGAAATAAAGGGATAGCCCCTCATCCCACTTCCATTCAGCATTGCACTGGAGGTTCTATCCATGGCAATTAGGCAAGAAAAAGAAATAGAAGTCATCCAAAATGTAAATAAAGAATTAAACTGTGTCTATTTGCAGAAGACATGGTCTTGTTGTATCAGTTTTCCAACTGCCATGACGAAGTACCACAAACTGGTTGCCTCCAAATATATAATTTTATTGTCTTGCAGTGCTAGAGACTAGAAATCCAAAATCATGGTGTCAGCAAGATGTGTTCTTTCTGAAGGTTTTGAGAAAAGAATCTGTTCCAGGTATCTATCCTTGGCTTTTAGATAATCATCTCCTCCTATGTATCTTTATATTGTGTTTCTTCCATGGTGACTCTGTGTCTAACTTTCTCAATTTTTATTAAGACACCAGTCATACTGAATTAGTGCCCAACCTAATAACCTGATTTTAACTTGATATCTCCAGTAAAAACCCTGTCTCCAAATAAAGTCATATTCTGAGGTAGTGGGAATTAGAATTTCAATTTATTATATGATTGGGCAGGGTACTGAAGCACAAATCAACTCATAACATTTAAATATAGAAAATACTAAAAAATCCACTTAAATAGATTAAATGAGTTTCAGAGGAGTTATAAGACAAATGATTAATATACAAAACTTAACTGTAAAAATAGTCTCAAAATACTGTAGCAATGAAAAGGGAAATGAGAATCCACTGGAATAATGAAGGACACCCCAGATCTGAGGGAGGAGAAGGTGAGCAAACAGCCCCCGCAATGATGTCTGGCTGATAAAAGTGAGTGAAACCCCAGTACACAAGAGGGGAAAATAGTCTCCCTCTGTGACTCACCTTTCCACTGGGGATCTGTGCAACCAAGGCCAAGGGAGAGCACTTTGTTTCTCCCAAGCCCTGGAGCTAACTTGGGAGGGTCTTAGAGATGCTGAGAACGAAAGACCCCAGAAAAAGCTGCAGGTATTTTCCTAGACCTGGGACCAAAAGCAGGACATCATTTTTAATCTAGGTGCATACAAAGTCAGTCATTGTTAGGTGACCTGGCAGCATGGCCATGCTGGCTTTTTAGTCTCAGGCCAAAGAGCAGAGCACTTGCACTGAGGAGATGTAGATGCCTCCACAAGCAGAACTGTGAAAAGCACACCAGCAATAGGCACTGAAATTGTGCTCTACCCCTTCACAGGTCTGGGACAGGAGGGGAATTGCTGCAGCTACATTGTCTCCTGGGCAATGAGACTGCAGCCAGGAACAGCTCGGTGACTTGGAACCAGTCTGCATATGTCACTGCTAGGTGATCCAGCCAGCTCCCCAGAGATTAAGGTGCATAATCTCCCTGCTCCATGCCGAGGCAGATCTCCAGGCATTCAGAGCACCCATTCGCAAGGATCAGCAGCCTGAGTTGTCCCACCCTCCCTTTGCTGAGATGCTCATGCATGGGTGGGGGGCCCTCTCTGCTCCAGGCCCTGACAGACTTCTGGGCATTTGGAGCACTGACTCCCCTAGATCAGCAGCCTGGGCAGCCACACTTATCCTATGCAGAGATAATGGTGCAGCAGGGTCACCTCCACTCCACACCTGGGCAGATCCTCAGGCATTCAGAACACTCATTCACCTACATCAGCAGTCTGAGCCACCCCATGCTTCCTGTGCATAGATCATGGCGCAGGGAGGCCCTCTTCACTGTACGTCCAGGTCTATTTGCAGGCAGTTTGAGCACCCATTCAACTAAATGGGTGGCAGCCTGAATCACCCTAAGTTTCTTGTACAGAGATCTGGGTGCAGGGGGTGCTGAGGGAGATCTCTGGGCATTGAGAACACCTGCTCATCTGGATCAGCAGCCTGAACCACCTTATCCTTCCTGTGCAGAGGCTGTGATGGAGCAGGGCCTACTCTGCTGCATGCCCAGACCAGACCTTCAGGGATACAGAACACCAGCTTGCCTGGGTAACAGCCTGAGTCACCCTCACCGTTTTTGTGCAGAGATTTTGTTGCACCTGGGCCCTCTGCATTCCATATCCAGACAGATCTCCAAGCATCTGGAACACTCACTTCTCCTGTATTAGGTATTTAGGCCAACCCTTCTCCCTGTGCAGAGAACTTGGGACCAAAGAAGTTTCTTAACTTCGTGCGTAGGCACTCCTCTGGGTACTTGGTAACTGCCCACTGGATTATAACTTTGTGCTGGTGTTTGTGCCTGCCTAGTCTGACACCACCCATCTTGGTCTTTCTCTCACCCCCCGACGATGCACTTCACAGATCTACCCATTGCCTGAGGCAACACAGAGCTTCTCCCAGTAAATAAAGAGCTACATTGGCTGCAGCCAGCTCTTACCCATAAGCACCATCTAATAGCTTGTAGGTCAAGCCCCAAACCTAGAATAAAAATGGGCTATAGAAGCAAAGCCAAAGACTCTATCTTACATTCTTTACAGTCACAGCCCCTAGAGAGGGGGAGAAAGATAAAGAATAAAATAATATTATATGGAAAAAAAGAAAAAAATCCTATCCACATGAAAATAATTACAAAAATTAGAAGTGGCTGCATTTTCAGATGAGAAAGCACCAGTGCAAATGTTACAGCACCATGAAAAATCTGAATGTTGTGACACACTAGCTCTCTAGTAATGCTCCTTAAACAAAATGGAAACTCAGAAATGAAAGATAAAGAATTCAAAGCATGGATCAGAGAAGTTCAGTGAGATCAAGACAAGTTGAAAATCAACACAAAGAAACTTCTAAAGGAATCCAGTAAATGAAGAAAGAGATAAACAGCTTAAAAATAAATCAGTCAGAGCTTTTGGAATAGACAAACTCACTTAAGAAATTATGAAATGCAATTAAAATATTTATCAATAGACTGGACCAAGCAATTCTGAAAGAATTTCAGAACTTGAAGACCAATCTTTTGAACTAACCCAGTCAGACAAAAATAAAGAAAAAAGAATTTTTAAAACTGAACAAAGCGTTTAGAAATATAGGAGTATGTAAAGCAAGAAAATCTACAAATTATTGGCATTCCTGAAAGGGAAAAAGAAAAAGAAAACAACCCGAAAAACACATTTGAAAAAATAATTCAAGAAAATTTTACTAATCTTGCTAGAGAAGTAACTATCCAGATGTTAGAAATCCAGAGAACACCTGCCGGATACTATACCAAATGAACAACACCAAGACCTATAGGCACCAGCTTGTGCAAAGTCAATGCTAAGCAAAAACCTTAAAGGCAGCCACAGAAAAATGTTAGATCATGTACAAAGGAACCCCATCTGGCTAACAGCAGACTTCTTAGCAGAAACCTTACAAGCCAGGAGAGATTGGGAGTCTATCTTTAGCATTCTTAATGAAAGAAAATTCTAACCAAGAATTTCATACCCCACTAAACTAAGCTTCATGTGAAGGAGAAATGAAGTCTTCTCTAGACAAGCAATTACTAAGGGAATTTATTACCAGTAGACTAATTTCACAAGAGATCCTTAAGGGAGTTTGAAACATGAAAACAAAAGAATAATATCTGCTACTACAAAAACACATTTAAGTATATAGCCCAGAGACCCTATGAAACAACTATACACCTAACAGCTAACAACTTCACAATTTGCCACTCTGTTCCTTTTAAGTGGGGCCTTTAGACCATTTACATTCAAGATTAATATTCATATCACATATTAAAAAAACAAGACCCAACCTCCTGCTGTCTTCAAGAGATTTATCTCACATGTAATGATAGCCATAGGCTCAAGTAAAGCGTTGGAGAAAGACCTATCATGCAAATGGAAAACAAAAAAAAAGAGGGGTAACTATTCTTAAATTAGTTAAAATAGACTTTACACCAACAATGGCATAAAAGGACAAATAAAGGAACTACATACTGATGAAGGATGCAATTCAATGAGAAGACTTAACTATTCTAAATATATACATACCAAACACTGGAGCATTTAGAGTCATAAAACAAGTGCTTCTAGACCTATAAAAAGACAGCCACACAATAATGGTGGAGGAACCCAATACCTCACTGACAGCACTAGACAGATCACCAAGGCAGAAAACTAACAAAGAAATTCTGGACTTAAATTCAATACTTGATCAACTTGATTAATTGAACCAAAGAGATATCTATAGAACATTCCACCCATCAACCACAGCTTATACATTCTTCCTATCTGCTTCTGGAAAATACTCTGAGATCAATCACATTCTCAGCCATGAAGAAAATCTCAATAAAATAAAAAAAAATAAAAATCATATCAATCATACTCCTGGAACACAATGGAACCAAAATAGAAGTCAATTCCAATAAGATCTCTCAAACCACACAATTAAGTTGAAATTAAGAAAGTTGCCCCGGATGACTTTTGAGTAAACAAAGAAATTAAGACAAAAATAAGAAAAATTATTTGAAGTAAATTAAAAAAGAGGTAGAACACTTCAAAATCTCTGAGATGCAGCAAAAGTGTGTTAAGAGGAGAGTTAGTAGCACTCAATATCGATTTCAATAAAATAGAAACATACCAAATTAATGATCTAACATTAATGATCACATCTAGATGAACTAGAAAAATAAAGACAAGCTAACCCCAAAGCTATCAGAAGAAAAGGCATGTTAAAATCAGAGCAAAACTAAATGAAGTTGAGATCCAAAAATCCATAAAAAGTATAAGACCAAAAGGTGGTTTTTTGAAAGGATACCCAAAATTGATAGACTGCTACCTACATTAACAAAGAAAAAAAAGGGAGAAGATCCAAAAAAGAACTGTCATAAACAACAAGTGTGACATTAAAACTAATCCCACAGAAATACAAAAGATCCTTAGAAACTTTTATGAACACCTCTATGCACACAAACTTGAAAATCTAGAGGAAATGGATAAATTCATGGGACCACAAAATCTAGTAAGATTGAATCAGGAAGAAATTGATACCCTGAACAGACCAATATTTGGTTTAAAAATTGAATCAATAATGACAAACTGACCAACCAAAAGAAGTCTTGAACTAGATGAATTTACAGCTGAATTCTACTAGATGTACAAAAAATAACTGGTACCAATTCTGCTAAAACTATTCTAAAACCTTGAGACAGAAGGACTCCTCCCTAACTCATTCTATGAAGCCAATATCATCCTGATACCAAAACCTGGCAAAAACGTAATGAATAAATAAAACTTCAGGCCAATATCTCTAATAAACATAGATACAAAAATCCTCAATAAAATATTAGCAAACTGAATCTAGCAGTACATCAAAAAGCTTATCCACCACAATGAAGTAGGCTTTATTCCTAAGATGCAAGGTTGGTTCAACACACACAAATCAATAAATGCAACTGACCACATAAGGACACTTAAAAACAAAAACCATATGATCATCTCAATAGGTGCAGAAAAAGCTTTTGATAAAATCCAACTTTCCTTCATGATAAAACCAGACATTGAAGGAACATACCTCAAAATAATAAAAGTCACCTATGATAAATCCACAACCAACATCATAGTGAATGGGCAAAAACTGGAACCATTCACCTTAAGAAGAGGAACAAGTCAAGGATGTCCACTCTCACAACTCTTATTCAACATAGTACCAAAAGTCCTAGCCAGAGCAATAAGGCAAGAAGAAATAAAAGACATCCAAATAGAAAAAGAAGAAGTCAAATTATCTCTCTTTGCTGCTGATGATTCTATACTTTAAACATGCTAAAGACTCTGCCAAAAGGCTCCTGGAACTGATAAACAGCTTCAGTAAAATATTAGGATACAAAATCAATTCACAAACATCAGTACCATTTTTATACACCAATAACATTTCAGCTGAGAGCCAAATCAAGAACACAATGCCATTTACAATAGCACCCATCCCTCCCAAAAATACTTAGAAATACATCTAACCAAAGAGCTGAAAGATCTCCACAAGGAGCACTACAAAACAATGCTAAAAAAATTATAGATAACACAAACAAATGGAAAAACATTCCATGCTCATGAATTGGAAGAGTCAATATTGTGAAAATGGACACACTGCCCAAAGCAATCTATAAATTCAATGCTATTCTTATCAAACTACAAACATCATGTTTCCCAGAATAGAAAAAACTAGTCTAAAATTCAGATGGAACCAAAAAATAGCCCAAATAGCCAAAGCAATGCTAAGCAAAAAGAATAAAGCTGAAGCCATCTTATTACCTGACTTCAAACTATACTATGAGGATATAGTAACCAAACCAGCATGGTACTGATACAAAAGCATACACATAGACCAATGGAACAGGTTAGAGAACCGAGAAAGAAAGCCACACACCTACAACCATCTGGTCTTTGATAAACTTGACAACAATTAGCAATGGAGAAATTACTTCCTATTAAGTAAATGGTGCTGGGATGACTGACTAGCCATAAACAGAAGACTGAAACTGGACCCTTTCTTTCACCATATAAAAAAGTAAATAAAATGAATTAAATATTTAAATATAAGACCTCAAACTATAAAAATCCTAGACATAAACCTAGGACGTACCATTCTGGACACAGGCCTTATCAAAATATTTATGGGTAAGTGCTCAAAAGCAATTGCAACAAAAACACAAATTGACAAGTGGGATCTAGAACTTCTGCAAAACAAAGAAACCGTCAACAGAGTAAACATACAACAGAATTGGAGAAAATATTTGCAAACAATGCACCTGACAAAGGCCTAATATACAGAATCCATAAAGAACCTAATGCAACAAGCAAAAACAAATAACTTCATTAAAAAGTAGGCAAAGAACATGAACCGACACTTATCAGAAGGCCTACAAGCAGCCAACAAACATGAAAAAAGTTCATCATCACTAATGAAATGTGAATCAAAACCACAATTAGATGCCCCCTTGCACCAACCAGGTGGAATTGTTATTTTAAAAAGTCAATAAATAGGCCAGGCGTGGGGGCTCATGCCTATAATCCCAGCACTTTGGGAGGCTGAGGCGGGCAGATCACTTGAGGTCAGGAGTTTGAGACCAGCCTGGCCAACTTGGTGAAACCCCATCTCTACTAAAAATACAAAAATTAATTGGGTGTGGTGGCAGGTGCCTGTAATCCCAACTACTTGGGAGATTGAGGTGGGAGAGTCACTTGAACCTGGAAGGCAGAGGTTGCAGTGAGCTGAAATTACATCATTGCACTCCAACATAGGTGACAAGAGCGAGACTTTGTCTCAAAAAAAAAAAAAATCAATAAATAACAGATGCTGGCAAGGCTGCGGAGAAAATGCAACATTTTACACTGTTAGTGGGAATAAAAATTATTGCAGCAACTGCAGAAAGCAGTGTAGACATTTCTCAAAGAACTTAGAACTACCTTTCCACCCAGCAATCCCATTATTGGGTACATACCTGAAAGAAAATAAGTCTTTCTACCAAAAAGACACATGCACTTGTATGTTCATTGCAGCACTATTCACAGTAGCAAAGGCATAAAATCAACATAGGATACCCATCAACAGTGGATTGGATAAAGAAAATGTAATACATATACACCGTGGAATACCATACAACCATAAAAAAGAATGAAAGTATGTCTTTTGCACAACAAGGATGCAACTACAGGTCATTGTCCTAAGCAAATTAAACCCAGGAACAGAAAACCAAATACTGCATGTTCTCACTTACAAGTGGGAGCTATAAATTGGGTACACATGGACATAAAGATGGGAACAATAGACACTGGGGACTACTACAAGGGGGAGAGTGGAAGTTGGGGGGCAAGGGCTGACAAACTACCTATTGGGTATTATGCTCACTACTTGAGTGTCGGGATCATTCATACCCCAAACCTCTATGTCACACAATACAGGCATGTAGCAAATCTGCACGTGCACCTCCGAGTCTAAAATTTAAAAAGGAAATATATTTATATTTTACATTAAGATGAAAAAAGATCTGTACAGTAAAAACCACAAAGCTTTATTGAAGGAAATTAAAGAATTCCTAAATAAATAGACTTTCCATGTACATGAGTTGGATGAGTTCATATTAATAAGATGGCAATATTCTTCAAATTGATCAACAGATTTGATTCAGTTCTTACAAAAAACACAAGGTAGATTATTTGAAGAAATTGACAACATAACCCTAATATTTATATGGAAATGTAAAGGATCTAGAATAGGCAAAATAGAATAATAATGTTGGAAGAATCACACTCAGATTTAAAAATTATTGCACAGCTACAGTAATCAAGGCAGTGTTGTATTGGCATAAGGACAGGCATATAGATCAATGGATCAGAATTGAGAGTTCATAAAAAAAGAACAAACTCATATTTTGGGACACTTAAATTTTTACAAAGTTACCAAGATGATTCAATTACAAAATAATAATATTTTCACAAATGGTGCTGGGACAATTGGATATTCACATGCAAAAAAAATTAGTAAAGTTGGACTCCTAAGTACTCCTACTCTACCATACACAAAAATTCACCAAAAATGAATTTAAGATCCAAATGTAAGAACTAAATGTAAAAACTGAATCTATAAAACTCTTAGAATAAAACATAGCCATAAATCTGTATGACTTTGGAATGGTAATGATTTCTTATGTATGGCACCAAAAGCACAAGCAACAAAAGAAAAGAAATAAATTGTCCCTTATCAAAATTTAAAATATTTGCTCTTTAATGGATACCATTAAGAAATTGAATAACAGCCGGGCATGGTGTCTCATGCCTGTAATCCCAGCACTTTGGGAGGCCGAGGCAGGCGGATCATCTGAGGTCAGGAGTTCGAGACCAGCCTGGCCAACATGGCAAAACCCCGTCTCTACTAAAAATACAAAAAATTAGGCAGACGTGGTGGCGGGCGCCTGTAATCGCAGCTACTCAGGAGGCTGAAGCAGGAGAACTGCTTGAACCAGGGAGGTGGAGGTTGCAGTGAGCCGAGATCACGCCATTGCACTCCAGCCTGGGTGACAGAGCAAAACTGTGTCTCAAAAAAAAAAAAAAAGAAAAAGAAAAGAAATTAAATGACAACCCACAAAATGGGAGAAAACATTTACAAATCCTACATCTGATTAAAGACTTCTATCAAGAACATATAAGTAACTCTCACAACTCGATGAAAATATGACAAATAACCAATTAAAAATAGGCAAAGAATATAAATAGACATTTCTCCTAAGAAGATGTACAAATGTTCAATATGCACATATAAAATGGTCAACATCTAGACCCAAAGTAAATACAAATAGGAACCTAATGCGATACCAATTTACACCTGCTAGGATGGCTATAATCAAAAAGACAGAAAATAAAAAGTGTTTGTAAGGACGGGGAGAAATTAGAACCCTCTTACACTGTCCATGGAAACGGGAAATAGTGCAGCCAGTATGGAAAACAATCTGAAAATTTTTCAAAAGTTTAAACAGAATTAATGTATGATTCAGCAATTTTATCCCTAGATACATACCCAAGACAAATGAAAACATAGTTTCACACAAAAACATATACAAATATTCATTGTATCATTATCTGTAACAGCCAAAAGTCAAATACCGACCAAATGTCCATTAACTGATGAATGAATATATGTGGCATATCCATTTGATGAAATATACTATTTCTTGGCAATAAAAAGAAAAAAAATGAAGTACTTATACCTGCTAAAACATGGATGCACTTGGAAGCTACACTGAAAGATGCCAGGCACAAAAGGCCACAGATTGTATGATTCAATTCTTATGAAATGTTCAGAATAGGGAAATCCATAGAAACAAGGGGAGATTCATAGTTGCCAGAAGCTGAGGGGAAGAAGAAATAGGGAATAAATGCTAATGAGTATGAGGTTTTATTTCAGGGTAGTAAAAATGTTCTAAAATTGATTGTGGTGATGGCTGCAAAACTCTGAAATACTAAAAAAATCATTGAACTGTATACTTTAAATGGGTGAAATGTATGGTGTGTGAATTCCATCTCAATTAAGCTATTATTGAAAAGAAAAAGAAAGAGAGATGGGTGGAGAGGAAGGAGTTTCCAAACATCTAAGGAAGATGTATCCAAATCTGGTACCTAGCCAGCATCTACATATAGAAGAGCAGAAGAAAACGACTTGGAAATGTCTTTGACATGTGCCATGCCATCATTCACAGCCCAGCTGGTTGGAATGATGTGATCAGTTCACTTCAGTAATTTCCCTTCTGTTATCTTGTTCTGGGAGCGTTATCCCTTCTAGAACTGTGACTCCTGTCTTAAAACAGTCTCCTCTGAGGCTATTTCACCTAGAAAATAGAACTAGATATAGTCCCATATGCATTGAGTTGTTAAGAGAATTAGATCAGAAAAGGTAGAAGGTGTTTAGCACAATGACTTTCATGTAGTAAAGGCTCAACAAAAGTTACGTATTTTAAATTCCTTAACTCCACCCCCACCATTTGCCCCATTCTGGCATGCATTTTTATTGCAGGTCATTTTAATGACCTAGAGTCATTCATTGATCCTTCATACATTTGTTTTTGTTGTTTTTTCTTTGATATGATTCATTTTTTCTTTTTTCGTTTTAGCAAAACCCAAGTATCAAGTTCTGCACTCAGTACTGAGATAATTGCACTACACAGAGATGAGTGCAATATGGAAGCTAAACACAGGATGCTTTGAAGAAAAGAAGAATCCCTTCTATTTTGTCCTGTACCTTCCTGTACCGCATAACCATGCTCAGAACTCAAAGAACACACAGCCTTTCTCAAGATTATGGCTGGATGGAAAAATTTCTAATAAAGAAGTGAAAGCAATTTGCCACATTAAAATCTTAGCAAGTCCACTGGCCCTCAGTGCCTCCTCGAGAACCAGTATGAGTCAGATGTTACCAAAACACAATGGAGACAACATCAAGGCTGTACACAACCTAAAAGGGATATTTTACATTGAACTAATCTTTTTTTTTTTTAGATGGATTCTCGCTGTGTCACCCAGCGTGGAGTGCAGTGGTGCGATCTCAGCTCACTGCAACCTCTGCCTCCTGGGTTCAAGCAATTCTCCTGCCTCAGCCTCCCAAGTAGCTGGGATTACAGGAGTCTGCCACTATGACTGGCTAATTTTTTGTATTTTTCGTAGAGATAGCGTTTCACCATGTTGGCCAGGCTGGTCTCAAACTCCTGACCTCAAGTGATCCACCCACCTTGGCTTCCCAAAGTGCAGAGATTACAGGCATGAGCCACCATGCCAGGCCTATACTAATCTTTATGCATACTCTGCAGATGCTTTTGGATTGCCATGTCCTATTTTTCAGCTTTAAGCAAAAGGTTGCACAAACAGGCACGGACAACTGCTGATGAAACACAGGAAGACTCTCAGAGAGAAAGTCATCACGCAAACACCAGAAGTGGCCAGGAACTCACATAGTTCTCTCTTTAGGCTGCAGTGGTAATTGAGTAAAGGGAGATAGAGGGACACTCTAGTTTGCTTCAGGAAAGCCCCAGAAACTGTAACACTTCTCCAAAACTCTGATACTATGATGTTGCCTGACCACAGAAATTTCAGTGAACAGATGACTGCTTATCTCAGATTATGAGTGCTCCATGTGTACAGAACTTATGATTTAATTCTGTGGCTCCAGCCTTATCACTACCTGGCACAGGGCAACACTTGGTAACTGCTTATTGGGTTTATTGTCTGAATTAATATTGTATCAATCATGTGAGGCATTTGCCTTTCACATTGGGGGTCTGTAATTTCTATGACATTTCTAACTGAAAACACAACAGTTCTAATTGTTTACTTTTTATTTTAATAGTAATCCAAACAATATAACACAATAATTAGGATTATTTTACAGCCACCTAAAGATGGAATTCTGACTTGGGATTCCAGAGTCTGCTTTTGTTCCTAAGATTATACTTTTACTGAGCTAAAGTGCATTGGCATCGCTATAGGATAAACTGGCTGGTCAAGACTTCCATGGGCGTGAAGTTCTGAGCCCCACCACCTGTACTATCCCCTCAGCATTTACTACAATGCCTGGCAAATAATAGCTTTTAAATCAAGATTTAATGGTGAACTCTTGAAGAAACTAAACCTTTGCAGTTTAGTGACATTGTGTCAACTTGGGTAGGCTAAAATACATTTCTCAGAATTTTTCTTGCATGGTTGCAGTTAGGGTGAACTGTAAGGGGGTTTCTTGTTAGATGTGGAGGACAGGAGGGAAGGAATAGTCAACATGTACCCCACACCCATTGTGACAAATCTGCTCACTCACCCCGTTAGTGAGGGGCTGCAGCAATGCCTGCACCTGTCCCTTCGTTCCCTGGATCCTTCTTCAGATTCCTGACTCCTGGGCCATATGTTTGTGCTTAGCTCTGTGATAAAGGGTTTCAATTTCTAAAGGGCACCCATGTGACCAATGTCACAGGCAAGAGGAGCTACTGTTTTAGTCCATACTTATGAGATTTTAGCCCATGCTGTGAGCTCCTGCCTACCCATGATTTACCCCTCTAAACACCTCTCTTACCTTTCTGTCTGCCTGTCAGGTGGACTTCAAGCTCCAGTGTCAGAAGCAAAAACAACAGCTTTACAGAGAATGCACAACTGGTTCCCACAATTGTGTAAGTCAGTTCTCTGCAATGAGTCCCTTTATCTCTCCTGGTGGTATTTCTTTGGTTGAACTGATACAGAGGTTGATGCATTACTTTGTTCTTATCTCTGTTTTACTCTCTCCACAGTTTTCCTGGTAGCATATACAGTAATAAGTAAGCAATAAGGAGTTTTATGTTCCTGACTCCATAAATAAATGCATTAAAGCAAGCTTTAATAACACTATAATCCTAACCTTATCTGCAACTACGCCAAACAATTTTTACAGTGTTATTATGTGAGGTGTGTAATACCTGTAAGCCATGTTCAAGTGCTTGGCACACACATACCTTCCACAAGCACAGTAAAACAGAATCTGCCATTGGCAGAGGAGCCTGAGCATTTGGGATGCCTGAAGTCCAGCCAGCTCACCATCCTTGCTTGCAAGCATTATCCCTTGAAAATGGTGGTATGATTAGGAACCATTTTGTGTGACAGACTTTCAGTTGTGCAGAAACTATAAATCTTACTCAAGCAAGGATATTTTGCAGTGACTGGGATCAAGAACTACAGACCTGAATGTTATCTCACCTCAAAGCACCAGCCTCTGAGCCCAGTGTTCTTCAGGATTTAGAAAAGCCCTACGGTGCTCATGCTATCAATGGCAAAGGAAAAACTCAATGGATTGGGGTAGCTGGATCCACTAAATGGGGACCCACTATTCCGGAATATTTAATGCTCCTGCACTGGGTTGAAAACAATTTTGTTTTTCTACAAACCAATAAGAGGAAAGTATAAACTCACATAATCTGGAAAGGAGGCAATGATCAAATACTGAGATTTGAACTTTAGCTTTCATTAAAATTAGCATGCAAGAATTGCTTGCTGGAAGAATTTTTGTTAAGGACAAAGGATACTTATTCTTAATCAAGCAGCAATGCTCTTATTAATATAATTTAGCATACTTAAAGGACATTATTACTGAACTCGAAATTCAAAAACAGATTAAATATAAAACAGAACCTGCAGCTATATCTTTTCATTGTAAAATCAACACTAGTGATGTTGTTTCAGCAGACCATTAGACACTAAATAAATGTTGCTAATTTGAATCACACTGGTTTTGTGGTTTTGTGTGTAATTCTTACATTTGTATTGCTTTTACAATTCTCCATCTATTTTTTGCATGTTTTAAGCAACATACAGACATTCCATTATTAAGATATCTCTTAATAATGGAAATACATTCTGAGAAGTGCATCATTTGATGATTTTATTGTTGTAGGAAGATCATAGAGTGTACTTACATAAACCTAGATAAAATAGCCTACTACACACCTGGGCTATATGGTGTAGCTTATCACTCTGAGGCTAACAAACCTACACAGCATGTTACTGTACTGAATACTACAGGCAATTGTGAGACAATGGTAGTATTTGTGTATCTATAAATATCTAACATAAAAAAGTACAGTAAAAGTACAATATTAAAGATAAAAATGCTACACATCTGTATAGAGCACTTACTATGAATGAAGCTTGAAGGACTGGACGTTACTCTGTGTGAGTCAGAGAATGACTGATGAGTGAATGTGAAGGCATAGAACATTATTGTAAACTACTGAAGACTTGACAAATGCTGTACACTTTGGCTACACTGAATTTATTAAAAATATTTTTCTTCAATAATAAATTAACCATAGCTTACTCTAAATTTACTTTATACTTTTTAATTTTTATAACATTTTTACTCTTTTATAATAATATTGGATTAAAACATAGACATATTATACAGCTGTTTAAAAAATTATCTTTGTATCTTTAGTCTATATTCATTTTTCTATTTTTAATTTTTATTTTTTTTAACTTTTTAAACATGTTCAGTTAAAAACTAAGAACAAACACACGCCTTAGCCTAGACCTACACTAAGTCACGATCATCATCACCACCTCCACATCTTGTCCCCGCTGGAAGGTCTTCAGGGGCAATAGCATGCATGGAGCTGTCATCCTATGATAATAATTCCTTCTTCTGGAATTCCCCCTTAAGAACTTGTGTGAGCCTTTTTTACAGTTAATATTTTTTATAAGTAGTAGCAGTACACTCTAAAAAATGATAAAAAGTATAGTATAATAAATATATAAACCAATAACATAGCCATTTACTATCATTATCAAGTATTCTGCATGATACATAGATGTATGTGCTACATCTTTATATGTCTGGCAATGCAGTGGGTCTGTTTACCCCAGCATCATCACAGATACCTAAGTTGTACTATGATGTTATGATGGCTGTGATGTCACTGAACAATAGGAATATTTAAGCTCCATTATCAGCTTATGTGACCACTGTCACATATATTCGTCCTTGACTAAAACATCATGCAGCACATGACTGTAATTACAGAAATGGTTTCTGCTGGGTGCAGTAGCTCACACCTGTAATCCCAGCACTTTG
Organism: Homo sapiens; assembly: GCF_000001405.40. Taxonomy (NCBI): domain Eukaryota; kingdom Metazoa; phylum Chordata; class Mammalia; order Primates; family Hominidae; genus Homo; species Homo sapiens. Next base: position 126,348,228 of record NC_000002.12, read on the forward strand.
GGAGGTTGAGGTAGGAGGATCACTTTGAGCTCAGGAGTTTGAGACCAGCCAGGGCAACATGGTGAAAACCCATCCCTACAAAAATACAGAAATTATCCAGGTGTGGTGGTACATGCCTGTAGTCCCACCTACTTGGGAGGCTGAAGTGGGAAGATCGCTTGAGTCCAGGAGGCAGAAGTTGCAGTGAGCTGAGATTGTACCACTGCACTCCAGTCTGGGTAACAGAGAAAGGCCCTAAGAATGAGACCCTGTCTCAAAATAATAATAATAATTAAAAAATAAAAAGAAGTGGTTTCTATCAACAAACAGTTTCAATAAGAATTTCCTTTTTTCTCTAGAACAGTAGTTCTCAATCTTTCTGACAAATTAAAATTACTTGCGGGGAGTACATTTCCAGTGATTTTGATTTAATTAGTCTAAGGTGGATCACTGATCTTTAGGCCACTTTAAACATCCATCTTTTAGTAACCAATAAAATAATTAGAAAAAAAGTAAGAACATTAAAAATTTGAACACCACTATTAACCAATATTAACATTTATAGAACATTACACTCAATAAATGTAAGTTTATTTTAATAACACCTGGAATCTTTAACAAGATAGATTAAATTTGGGGCCATTAAAATAAGTCTTAACAAATTTAAAAAATTATAGTATTTTATCATATAAGCTTCAGCCACAACATAATTACATTAACATTTAGTGGTATTAGTATATTTGGTGAAAAAAAACCCAAATATTTGGAAATTAAGCAAAATACCTCAAAACAATAAATTGGACAAAAAAATTGGAGATGAATTAGAAAATATTTTGAACTAAATGATATTAAAAAGAGCATTTCAGAATGTAGAATTCTGTCAAAGTAGTGTTTTGATGAAATTTTATAGATGCAAATACTTATAGAAAAAAAGAAAGGTTTACATGCATTTTCTCTCTAAGAAGTAGAAAGTGAAAAGCAAGTTAAACTCAAAATGGAAGAAAATAATAATAATAAGAGTAATAATCAATGACATAAGGAAGAGAGAAAAATTAATAGAGCCTAAAGTTGATTCTTTAAAAAAAATTAATAAAATTGAAAACATCCAAGCAACAGCAAAGTTATAAAAAAGAATTTAAAAAACACCATCAGAAATAAAGTAGACAGTATCTCTACTTATCCTACAGACATTAAAATGGTAAGTAATGATTCTGAACAAAGTTTTTTAATTTGACAACTCAGATGATGGGCATATTAGAAACACAAGTAATAAAACTGACTCAAAGAGAAATAGAAAACTCAAACAGTCTTACATTTAGTAAAGAAAGTAAACTCAAAATTTAAAACCAGCTTTTCACAAATAAAATACAAAATAATTATCCTGGTTAATGCTACTAAACTTTTAAGAGTGAAATAATACCAATCCTAAACAAACTCTACACATCTTTTCTTTCTGAAAAAAATTTTGAAGCAGCATAATCCTGATACCAAAACCTAAAAAAGTATTATCAGAAAGAAAAATAATATGGACTAATACCTCTCTTTACCAAATTCTTTACTAAATATCAGTAAACAAATTTAGCAATACAGACAGTTCCTGATTTATGATGGTTAGAATTAACAATTTTTTTATTATCAAATAAATTTGTGGCTTATGGGTCTATCTGGATGAAACGCCATTGTAAGTCAAGGAATATCTGTACATTAAAAATATACAATATATACCAAGTAAGGCTTATCTCAGGTAGTCCAGATTGATTCAACATTTTAAAAAAATCAATGTTATTTGTCACATTTAAAGAAGAAGAAAAAATTGTCTCAATAGATGTAGAATATAAAACTAACATAAAATTTAGCAATCCACTTCTGGGTGTTTATTGAAAAGAATCGAAATCAGAATCTGGAAGAGATATCTACACTTCCCTGCTTATTGCACCATTATTCATAATAGCTGAGATGTAAAAACAGCCTGAATGTCCATTGACAGACAAATAAACAAAATGAGGCATTAACGTACAGTAGAATACTGTTCAGCCTTCAACAAGAAGGACATTGAAATATGCATGGATGAATCTTGAGAACATTATGCTAAGTGAGATAAGCCAGTCATAGAAAAATAAGTACTGTATAATTCCACTTAATATGAGGTGTCTAAAATAGTCAAATTTATTGAATCAAAGAGTGGAATGATGGTTGTTCAGGGCTGGAAACAGAGAAAAATGGAAATCATAAATCAACTGGCATAAAGTTTCAGTTAAGCAAAATGAGTAAATTCTAGAGCTCTGCTGTACAACATTGTGTTTGGAGAAAACAGTGTTGTATTATATACTTAAAACATTGGCTAAGAAGGTAAATCTCATGTTAAGTGTTATCACAATAAAGTAGAAAAAGTATTTGCTAAAAGTCAAAATCCATTCATGATAAAAACAGAAAACTCAGAATAAAAGGGAACTTTTTCAATACGGAAAAGGAAATCTACAAAAACCCTACAACTACTATTATATTTAATGATAAAGTTTTTAGAAATTTTCCAAAAGATCAAAAATAAGGTGACAATATCTCCTTTCATACTTTGAATCAACATTGTAATGTACCTCCTGACAAGTTCAATAAGACAAAAAGATGTAAAAGGAATAACTAGTGAAAATGAAGAAGTAAAGCTGCTATTATTTACAGATGGCACTATTGTGTATGTAGAAACCTATATGGAATCTAAAACCAAAGTGAAACAAACTTCTAAAACTAATAGGTACATTTATTAAGCATGGAAAATACAGTATTTCTATTTATTAGCAAGAAAAATAGAAGTCTCAGTAGAAAATTATTCCATTTAAAATAGCATCAAAAGAAACTTACACCCATCTCACACCTATTGGAGTGTCTACAATTAAAAAGAAGAATAAGATCTGTTAGTGAGAATGTGGAGAAATTGAAACCCTTATGCACCGTTGATAGAAGTGTAAAATGGTAAAGCTAGTAGGGATCACTATGGTAGTTCCTCAAAAAATTGAAAATAGGATTACCATATCATCCCCCAATTCCACTTCTGGATATATAACCACAGGAATTGAAAGCAATGGCTCAAATAGATATTTATATACTCATGTTCATAGCAGCAGCATTCTTAATAGTCAAGGGATTGAAACAATCCAAATGTCTATCAACAAACACATAAACAAAATGTGCTATACACATAAAATGGACTATTGTTTGGTCTTAAAAAGAAGGTAATTCTGACACCTGCAGCAACATAGATAAACCCTGGGACATTATGTTAAGTAAAATAAGCCAGTCGAAAAAGAACAAATACTGTATGATTCTTCTTACATGAGCTTCCTAGAGTACTCAAATTCATAGAGACAGAAAGAAAATGATGGTTGCCAGAGGATGGGGGAAAGGGAAAATGGGGGAGTTATTTTTCTTTAATTATTTTTTAATGAGTACAGACTTTCAGTTTTGCAAGATGAAAAGAGTTCTGGAGATGGATGGTGATGATGGTTGTATAACAGTGTGAAAGTACTTAAAGACATTGAACTGCACATTTAAAAATGTGTAAAATTTTTATACCAGTACCATGCTATTTTGGTTACTATAGCTTTGTAGTATAGTTTGAAGTCAGGTAATGTGACACCTCTAGCTTTGATCTTTTTGCTTTTGATTGCTTTGGCTATTTGAGCTCGTTTCTGGTTCCATCTAAGTTTTAGAATTATTTTTCTAATTCCATGAAAAATGACATTGGTATTTTGATAAGGATTGCATTGAATCTGTAGGTTACTTTGGCTAATATGGTCATTTTAATAATATTATTTCTTCTGCTCTGTGAGTATGTTTTTTCATTTGTTTGTGGCATCTAAAATTTCTTTCATCAGTGTTTTGTAATTTTCCTTGTAGAGATCTTTTATCTCCTTGGTTAAGTATATTCCAAGGTATTTTTTCTTGTAGCTATTGTAGATGAAATTGCCTTCTTGACTTGATTTTCAGCTTTGTCATTATTGGTATATAGAAATGTTACTGATTTTTGTACACTTATTTTATATCCTGAAACTTTATTGAATTCATTTATTAAATTCTATAGTTTTTTGGAGGAGTCTAGGATAATCTAGATATAAGATCTTATCATCAGCAAACAAATGCAGAGAAAAGAGAATGCTTATACACTGTTCTTGGGAATGTAAAGTAGTACAACTTCTATGGGAAATAGTAAAAAGATTTCTCAAAGAACTAAATATAGGATTACTAGTCTATCCAGCAATTCCACTACTGGGTATCTACCCAAAGGAATATAAATCAATGTAACAAAAAGATACCTGCACTCATGTGTTTATTACAGCTTTACTTACAAAAGCAAAAATATGGAATCAACATAAGTGTTCATAACAGATGACTGGATTTTTAAAGTGTTATGTGTGTGTGTGTATGTGTATATATTACACACATACACATATATACACACAATGGAATACTATTCAGCCATAACAGAGAGTGAAATTGTGTCTTTTGCAGCAATATGGATGGAAATGGAGGCCATTATTCTAAGTGAAATAACACAGAGAGTCGAATACCACACATCCTCACTTACAAATGGGAGCTAAATAATGTGTATACATGGACACAGAGAGTGGAATAATAGACACTGGAGACTCTAAAGGGTAGGAGGGTGAGAGGGGGGTGAGGGATGAGGAAGTACATAATGGGTACCTTGTACATTGTTCGGGTGATGGTTACACTAAAAGCCCAGACTTTGCCATTACACAACATACTAATGTAACAAACTGCACTTGTACCTCTTAAATTTATAAAGATAAAAAATGCTTAAGATGATAACTTGTTATTTTTATTTTACCACAATTAAAATAATAATAAAACTACCTAATGTACTTAATAAATTTAACAAAAGATATGTAAAAGCTCAATAATAGTAACTACAAAATACCACTTGAGATAGAATAGATTCAAATAAAAAAGAGACATCCCACAGTCATGGACTAGAAAACTCAATTTTTTAAAAATATTCATTTTTTTAAGTTAATCTATGCTAGGGATTGGCAAACTATGGCTCACAGATCAAATTTAGTCTGCTTCCTGTTATTATATAACCTAGAAGCTAGTATTTTTTTACATTTTTAAATGGTTGAAAAGATAAAAAAACTAATAGAAACTGTATATGATCCATAAAACTTAAAACATTTACTACCATGTTCTCTTCAGAAAAAAAATTTGTCAATCCTTTTCTGTACTTAGAGTCTGAAACTCTAAGCAAACTCGTCAATATAAATTAGTAGTCTATAATTTACAAGAAAACTTTTTTTGTAGAAATTGAGTAGATTCTAAAAAATATTTGGAAACAGAAAAGCCCCAGAATGCCCAAAACAATTTTTAAAAAGAAGATCAAAGGCTTCACTACTGTCTTTCCAAACTTACTGAAGGCTGGGTGCGGTGGCTCACACCTGTAATCCCAGCACTTTGAGAGACCGAGGTAGGGGGGGAATCACAAGGTCAGGAGTTTGAGACCAGCCTGGCCAACATGGTGAAACCCCGTCTCTACTAAAAATACAAAAAATTAGCTGGGCGTGGTGGCGCACACCTGTAATTCCAGCTACTCGGGAGGCTGAGGCAGAGAATTGCTTGAACCCAGAGGCAGAGGTTGCAGTGAGCAGAGATCACGCCACTGCACTCCAGCCTGGGTGACAGAGTGAGACTCCATCTCAAAAAAACCTTATTGAAAAGTTATAGTAATGAAGACAATGTACTACATAAGGACAAAGAAATGGGCCATGGAATAGAACAGTGTATTTCTGAATACACGTGTTTCAGGTGTTTTTTTTTTAAGTGCTAAAATATCAATTGACATTATTTATTTCCTTGCTCTTACAATAGCAAAGTAATTCAATGGTAATGAGATAATCTCTTTTTAAAAAATGATGCTAGAACAACTAGATAAAAATATGTAAAAATAAGAACCTTTATTCTTGCATCACACCATACATAAAAATTAATTCAAAATGGATCATATACTAAAGTAGAATTAAAACTATAAAGCTCATTTAAGAAAGCAGAATAATGTCTTCATGACCTTGATGTAAATAAAGATTGCCTAAAATGACTCAAAGTGTATTAACTGTAAATAAAAAATAATAAATTGGAATTCAACAAAATTTAAAACTTCAACAAAATTAAAAACTTCTGCTTATTAAATACATGGTTCTGCAAGTGAAAAAGCAAGGCAAAGACTTAGAAAATATATTCATAATATATATCTGAAAAAAGAGACTTATGTTTGAAATAGAGAAATAATGTATAAAAATCAATAGTAAAAGGACAACCAATCTAATTTCAATATGAGCAAGAGATGTGAACACTTTACAAAGGAATACATAGGAATGGCCTTCAAAGTATGTGAAAAAGAACCTCAACATTGTTAGCCACCAGGGAAATTCAAATTAGCACTACAGTGAAAAATCACTACAAAATAACTAAAATTAAAAAGCCTGCTAAAACCTAACATGGACAAGTACATGGGATAATTAGAACTATCATAAATTGCTGGTGGTAGTATATAATGCTACAACCACTTTGGAAAAAACGTTGGCAGTTTGAGGCAATGTCAGCCATTACAGAAATCCTATTCTATGGCCCAACATTTCTACTTTTAGGTATTTACACAAGAGAAATAAAAATAAATGTTCACAAATAAATTGCCTCAGAATGTTTATTTTATGGCAGCTTCATTTACAGTAGCCAAAGTCTGGAAACAATCCAAGTGTACATCCACAGAAGAATGAGTCAAAAACTACCCTATTTTTATATAATGGAATACTGCTCATCTATATATATATTTAGTTATATAGTTGAGTTCTCCAAGAGAGAAGTCACAAGTATATAAATAAATCTCAGAAACAATATGTTGGGTGAAAGAAACCAGGCACAAACCACATACTATATAATTCTATTTCTAAAAATTTCAAGAGCAAACTTACCTTTGGTTATTACATATTGGGACATTGTTTCCTGTAAGAGGTGAGAATTTACAGGAATGAGGTATCAGGAATGTTTTTGTTTGATGGAAATACTCTATGCCTTGACTGTGGTGTTAGTTACATGGGGTATACATTACCAAAGCTTGCTGAATTATATACTTATAACTCATTTCACCTATGCATTTCATCATTTGTATTTATAAAATGTGTTTAAATATTTTTGTGTATTTGTTTTCTATTTTATTGACCCTGATTGATATATTTAGCCACAGGGTGCCAGGTGCAGAGAGTCTTACTCATCTTTGTTTACTCAGTGCTTGAATGTAAAAATGAATGAATGTCTGTAATGAAGAAGTAAGAAGGTAGAAGAGACCAAAACAGTGAAACTGTAATTCAGATAGACAACATAAATTAAATGTTGTACTACATCTTTTTCTTGCAAATCCTCACTGCTCTTAGGACACAAACTTCTAGAAGCCAAACAAATGTCTGTAATTGAATCCAAAATACAGTGTCATCAATTTTTGAAGTTATTTTAAATTAGAAGAAAACTGTATAAAGGTCAAATATATGAATATACTATATCTATTAGTATTAATAACTGGCACATTCAAGTAGCAAAATTGAGTACTGTTATAAAAGTTGACATTTTTTTCTCTAAGCTCTACTTTTCACTCAAGATGCATATGAAATGGAAAAGTATATTGCTTACAACCTCTACCTACTGAATAGGCTGTTCACTAATTTGTTCATTCACTCATTCCCTAAGCATTTGTTTACTGAGCATCTGCTCCATGCTGGACACTTAGCTAGAAGCCAGAAAAAAAAAAACAATTCATAAGAAACAGTTCTTTCTAAAAATAAATTGACATGCTAGTTGGAGAGAAAACTCAATAAGTAAACAAATATAAAGATGGCTAATTGAGCTATAAAAGAGATAGGTATAGAGTAACATGGGTTTTTGCCATTTCTTTTGGGGAAAAGTCTATATATATATAAAGACAGGGTGGTCAACTCCACCAGACATCTCTACCAGTGGCAAGTTTCTTCATTGTTCACCTCTTGTTCTCATTCCCCAATCTCAGAATTTTACTCCAGTTGTGTTCCCTATCTGGAAAGTTCTTTCTCCATCCCTCCCTACCATATCTAGATACCTTCTTTTGAAAAAGACCCAGTCCAGGTTCCGCTAAACACCTTTGATTCATATCTCTCTCTTCTGCATCCCTGTGGCTCTCCTGTGGTTCCATGTCCTTTCTCTACTTGCTCCATGTGAGGTTGTCTGTGCTGCATTGATGTTTTAAGCTCCTATGAGAACAGAGACACATCTCAGACTCAGTGCCTGCTAGCAGCATTGAACCATGGTTGCCACATAGCAGATGCTAAAAAGCAGAAGTTGGTTTCATTAATGATAATTGTTGAGTGCATCCTGCACAAAACACTGATTTTTTTTCTTGCTGAAGGGGCTTGAAAATATTTGGAATCCAGACTCTCTTGACCCAGTCTCCCTTCCTGTATCCACACACATTCTATTTCAGCATAGCTGCTGCAACTTTCACACAAGCAGCAGCCATGGTGTGGAAATTCTCTATGCAGCAAGTGTGCGGATGTGGAAAGTCTGTAAAATACAGTATTATATCACCAATGGCCACTTCTGGACTTTTTTGTTGCAGCAATTTGCAAATGTGTCGGTGTGACTGAGGTGACTCATGAGGGGTTGGCTGGAAGGTCAAATACAAAAACTTTCCAGATATCTCCACAAAAGTGAAACAGGCCTGTGTCTCCTTGGGAAAAACTTTTCCCCCAGTAATGGAGTGGGGATAGCTACAGAATATAACAGGGCTGTTTTTGCATAGGTCTAAAAGTTCTGGGTGCACTTTGGTCCCTGGCCAACAGTCTGGGGTGAAAATTGGCATGCCACCTGAGAAAGGCAAAATGACGATGCCTGATGGCTGGGAGCAAAGGGTCACCAGCCACATTTCAGAACAAGGGTTCTAGCTGTGGTTGTTAGCTCTGACTGCACGTAAGACTCAGACACATTGAATCAGAATCCCCAGGAGTGGGACTCGGTATTAGCAATTTTTAGAACTCCTTGGGTGCTTTCAATGTGCAACCAAATTTAAAAACACTGAGTAAAGTGATAGGAGGTAGTCCAGGGCTTTTGACAGCTTAATTACCCAGCGAGAGCTTCAAAACTGCTTGTGATGATTAATTTTGTATATCATCTTGACTGGACTAAGAGGTGCCCAGATATTTGGTCAAACATTATTCTGGGTGGGTCTGTGAGGGTGTTTCTAAATGAGATGAACATGTGAACCCGTAGACTGGGTAAAGCAGATTGTCCTCTCCAGTGTGGGTGGCCACACCCAATCCCCTGAAGGCATGAATAGAACAAAAAGGCTGACAGCCCACTCCACAGTGAGAGTAAGAGGGAACTCCTCCTGCCTGACCATCTTCAGCTGGGACATTTTCTGCCTTTGGACTTGAACTGAAATAACTTATTGATTCTTGTTGGATCTCAAGCCTGCTGGCCTTCAGACTAGAACCACTGGCTGTCCTAGGTCTCCAGCTTGCCAACAAAAAACCTCAGGACTTTTTATTCTCCATAATCACATGAGCCAATTTCTTATAATAAATATACCCCCACCCCTCAAAACTCCTGGAAAACCCTAACTAATATACTGCAGGTGCTTTAATCCCATCTCTAAGATTCAGTTTCAACTGCGAAGGTATGGTGCAAGACTTTTTAATTTTTTCTCAGGCAATTCTAATAAGGCCAGGCTTTAGAGTTTTGATACAGCTAAGTGATCTCAGACAAGTTACATAACTTTGTCTAAGGTAGTTATCACCTTGGTATTTAAGATGAGAATAACTATACTCCCTTATGAAGTTATTTCTGAAATTTGAACCATACATGGTACAGTACTCGGGACATAAATAATATGAGATAATACTCATTTTCACACATTTGTGTGCCACCAATTTGTGTGCAAAACATTTTTTCCACAGTAAATGCTCAATATTTATGTTGCTTTTTTTGTTTGTTTTTAAAAAAGGTCTTGCTCTGTTGCCCATACAGAGTCTTTCTCTCTATGATCATGACTCACTGCAGCCTGGACTTCCCAGGCTCAAGTGATCCTCCCACCTTAGCCCCGCAAGTGTCTGGTACTGCAGGCATGTACCACTATGCCTGACTTTTTTTTTTTTTTTTTTTTTTTTTTTTGTACAGATAGGATCTCACTATGGTTGCCCAGGCTGGTCAGTATTTATTTTGAAAGAAACTAGAAAATATTTCCAGATCACCAGTCACTTCATCCCCATCAGAATATAGTTTGAAAGCTATATATGTCTCTGATACATCATTCTTTTAATTTGCCCCATAACAATAAATATGTACTTTCTGTCTTTGTATTAATGATGGAAGAGCTGACCCAGTACCAATGACCCGTATGCACTGGCGCAGCTAATAGGACTTGCTGAATGTTTTTGCCTGCTCCAAATTTCTTGGAGTTTATTACCTGATGTCTGGAACTGAGTGCGTAAGTAACTTTCAGTCTCAGCTTGGCTCTTTTCAGAGAAATAAGTGGTGATAGCAAACAGCTATCAACTGACACGAGACAGGATTTAATGAAACACTACTTGAATATGATTGGTCTGAATATTAAGCTTGTATTTCTTATTCATGCTGCTATACCATCATCTGAAATTCCTTAAACAATGCGTTTAACCTTAAAACACTGCAGCGCCCATTGGCCATAAGGTCTGATTTGTATTCACCCTGTCTTTGTTTCATTGAAAACACTTAAAAATGAGCTTCTGTTGTAGGAAAGTGCTAGCATGTTCAGCTAGCCATAAATCAATGGGTATTTGAGACAGATTATCTATAACAATTATTTTAGATTATTTAAGTATCATTTTTATTTTAAAAGATTACTTTCCATGAATTTGAAACCTCAGTAATGGCAAATAACTCAGTCTAAACAGAAAGATGTTGCAGTTATAATTATCTGAATATGTTAACATTTAGGGAACAGTCATGCACATTACTGGCCTTTAGAAAAATAGTATACTTCATGTAGATATTAATTAATCAATAAAACCCTAATTGGATTCTATTAAGTATTGGAAACGACATTTCAACTTAAATATTCCATGTACAACCCTGACCCATTCCCAAGCAGCAATAAAAGCCAATTAGCATGGTATTCAAATTATGATTATGAATGTGATCACCTCCCTCATCGGCATTAATATTATAACAATTAAAAAAAGCACAGTAAGGAATGAATCAGGCAAGTCCTCCTGCACAGTTGCCTTATTTCCTTGCTGTTGTTGAGAAATTTAATATTCCACAAAAGTGGCTTTTAAAGAATGTGAGCTTTGAAATTTGAAAGCCTGAGATGATTGATTCTCATTTGTTACTAATTGTGTCTGTATCTGAGACTAATGTCCCCATCTGCAAAATGGGAATGACAGCAGCCATTTGCAGGACTTTGTTAAGATTAGAATTGCTATATGTGAAGGATCCAGCAGAGGGCTAGACACACTGGAGTCATGCAGAAAGTGGCAGCTTTAGTCCAGAATACAGAGGTCTGTATTCATGGGATATTAGAAGTAAACCCTGGGCTCATCAATTCCCTCCTGCCATTTTCAGTGTGGAAACCTATTTTACTGTGTACAAGTAGCATCTTCCAATCACTGCTTGAACACATTTATTGCTACAGAATGCATTTCCTCGTGGGGTACCACAGTTTCATTGCCAGAACAGGCAGAAATGCCCTCCTTATTGACTCCCATTGAACCAATTTTTACCATCAGCAATAATACACCTTATTGAAATGCTTTTATAGATAATTTTTTTAGGAAATATAGCCAACTGTTTGATAGCACAGGCTTTGGAGCTAAGCTGTCTGGGTTCACATCCTAGCCCCATCATTGACTAGCTGTGTGACCTTGGACCCATTAACCTCTTGGTGGTTTAGTGTTCTCATCATTAAATGTGGATAACTCCTATCTCTTATGTTGCTGTGAATGGTAGCTATTATGGAATTCTATTCATTTCATTTTCATTTTTATATGAAATATTTCAAGCCCTCTCTTAGCAGGCTATAATGTACAAAGCCCTTTCCCAGCCTAGTGAAGCATGCCTGGATGTCTGTTTAAACACCAAAACCCCTGTTAAATTGATCATTTGATCCACAACTTTGTGCAGTGCGTTACATCTTTCCATATTCACATGATAGCAAAATTCCCTTTCTTTCCAGCATGCCAATGAGGAAACAGAGGCTTAGAAGGGTGAGGTAAGGGAACTTCCTTCTCCACAGTCACCCAGCTTGTACTAGATTGGTACAAAAGTAATTGCACCAACCTAATATGTAGAGAGCCAGAAATTACAAAAAGCCTGCAGATGCCAGAGCTTAGGCACTTAAGAGGGCTCTGTTTTTGTTTCTGCGGCGTGAGCCACTGGTAGGCAGGGAAAGAAAGCCAGAAGGCTTGAGAGCAGAGCTGCGAGAGCCTGGGACCTTGGATTTAGGATTGGTTAGTGCAAGAAGTAACAGTGCTAACCAGATTTCATGGGCATGGCAAAATTGTTTCATCAGGTGGCACCCAGAAGGTTCAGACTTTGATGCTCAGCAGTCGGAGGAGAATTATGCTGATTTCTACTGGTAATGGCAGAACCTTCATGTGGACCTGGTGCTGTGATACAAGCCCTCAGCTGAAAACATCAGTCTTGACTGCACAGCACACAGAAGTGTAAGACCATATTAGCCACTAAGAAAGATGAACGTAGTTCAGCAGTGATATTCTGGAAGCAATGTCTTTATGCAAAGGATAAGTTTAATAGTCAAATTTTTGGATGCAAGTGACAGTAGAATAAATTTGAGTTGGCACTGGGTCTTATGATGACCTTCAGATCATATTATATAAGTAGTCATCTCCTTTTATTATCATTACTCTTATTACTACTATTATTATTACTCTTTTTCCTCATTGTTTTCCTCTGTTTCCTCATTGGCATGCTGGAAAGAAAGGGAATTTTGCTATCATGTGAATATGGAAAGATGTAACGCACTGCACAAAGTTGTGGATCAAATGGTCAATTTAACAGGGGTTTTGGTGTTTAAACAGCAAATAAATAAAATAAACATATTATTATTATTATGGCTCTTAGGACTGCATGGATGGAACTGCCCAGCTGAGGCTCCCTGAATTAAGACTTGTTCCTGAACCACAACCTACTAGATAGGAACATTCTAAGACTGGACCTCAAGGTGGTGTAAAGTGATCATTCTGCGGACCCCGAGCATTATCTTGAATTTTTTCCTTAGCATTACAAAGCCAACACACTGAGCTGAGGTAGATCCTAAACCCAAACCTCTTATCTCCAAATTCCACTCTATTTTGGCAGCCATTTGTGTGACGTGAATTCATGTCCAAACACTGAAACTATTTTATTAAGATACCTGAAAATTTTCCCATATTAAGTTAAAGTTTCAATCAGTTTGTCTCACAGACTTCCTACGTTCCAAAAGAATTCTAATGAAAAAGGCCATCATGTGAGTGTCTGATTCCATTTATATGAAATATGCAGAAATGTCTGAAATAAGCTAATTCATAGAGACAGGAAGAAAATTAGAGGTTGCCAGGGGCTGGGAGGAGGAACAGCGAGTGACAATTTAATGGGTACAGAGTCTCCTTTTGGGGTTATGAAAACATTCTGGAACTAGACAGAGGTGATGGTTACACAACATCATGAATATACTAAATGTCTCTAATGGTAAGTTTTATGTTTTGCATACTTAATCTCAATTAAAAATTTTTCAAAAACATTATTTTAGGAATATTGCATCCCATGGAAGTGAGCAGGATTTTGTTGGGGGGCAAAAAGGTTGGAGATAAAAAACAGACCCTTGTTCTAATCCTGGCTCTCCCATTTCCTACCTCTATGACCTTGAATAACTAGCCTGATCCCCTGAACCTAAGGGGAACATAAGCTTATCGTAGGACTGGGTAACGCAGGTCAAACACGTTGCATAGTATTTGATGTATAGTAGGTTCTTAGTAACAGTACTGGCCACATAGTCACGGTGATGCAATAGGTAAGATGATGTAGAGGGTGGTTTTATTGCAAAGAACCTTGCTGAAAATGTGCAGCAGTGATTCCCAGAGGCCTGGTTCTAGTGTGGGCATACTAGTTCATCAAGTCTTTAATCTTTTATTTCTCCCTGAGCTGGAATTCAGTGCAAAGAATATTTTGGCATTTCAATAAAATAAAACCAATAAGGAAAAATATTATCTACCCAAATTATTCTACTACTTCTAAGTCAGATATCAATACTCCTGCTTAAACAAAATAAGATGTGGGATAAAAAAATAAAGTTATCATGAACAAAATATAAGGGGTTAAGCTACTTATTAATAGAAAACTATACATTCTAGAATATATGTATTCTACCAATACTTTTTGCAGTATCTTATTTTGGCTTGATGACTGGGGCAAACACAGGTAAATTACAGCAGGTGAAAATACAGGTGATATAATTACATCCCCTAAGACATTCAGCATCTGCTATACTTCATGCATTGTCCTAAGGCAGATTATATATATTGCCACAACTCTGTGATATGGGTACTATTGTCATCACCTCATTTAAAGATGAGAAAACTGAGACAATTAGAGTTAAGTGACTTCTTCATGACTATGTAAGTAGTAAGATGTACAGCCAGGACTATAAATTGTTTTTAGCCACCACTTTATAGCTACCTCTCTAATCCATGAATGTGTTTAGGTTTAATATTGCATCAAGGAGTTTTTAACTTGGATGTTTATAGACAGCAAATGTATTTACAGATGCTTTTTAAAACATAAAATGTAAAAAGAATTTTATATAGTGTGATGCAGTTAACTCATCCATATCCATCTGCCGAAAAAAAAAACCATAGATGTTTTCCTTTACATTCTGTATAAATTTCTTATTCTTTTTAATGTAGGAACTTATGAGAATTTTCTGTATGGACAATGGAATATTGTGTTAGGCGTTTAGGGTCCCTTCCACTGCTTTTCTCTTCTAGAGTTCTGGAGTTTTGTATCACATGAAAAACACATACAAAGATCAGAAGCCAATGGAGGAATGAAGTACCACTTTAATGATCTTGAGGAGGACCTTAAAACCTTCACAAGAGCAGATTGTACCAGTTAAGATGTCACTGATTTCAAGTTGCAGAATGTGCAACTCGAACTGCCCTAAATGGTGAGAGGTTAACTGTGTTATGTAACGAGTCATCCAGAGGTAGCTAGGCTATACTTGGTTTTGTGAAAAGAGGCAAAGTCTCAAAACTGTCCTTAGGGACTCATACCTTCCTCCCTGCCTCTGCCATGCTCCTCAATATACTGTCTTTTATTGAGATGTGTCCCTTTATGGTTACAAGATGACAGCCTCACCTCCAAGCACATATCCCAACACAATTGTGTTAAAAAAAAAAAAAAAAGCCTAAAAAGAGCAAATAAAAGGGGCTTTCTTCAAACACCTGTTTATTTTTATTTAGGAAGAATATGGTTTCCAGAAGCTTTGTAATATGACTCATTGATCAGAACTGAATTCCATGGCAACCCCTAAGTGCAAAGAAGCTGAGAGAATAAATGGCATTATCAGTTTCTACAATAGGAAAAAGATTCAGTCAGTAAGAAGTAGGAGGAAAATGGCTTTTAGGAGTCTAATCATCTGCCTTAAATGTTATAGGTCTTAGGTGTAAGTGGGTTTTTGTACTTCCTCCCCACATCTAAATCCGGAGGCCAGAATGCCTGTGAGCACCAAAAGCAGACTGGGGGAACAATATCACATGAACAAGTTGCTGCTCACAGGGGACCTGGCAGACCAGTTTACTACCAATTCTACGCAGAGCAGAGATACAGCAGGAGAGACTGCCCTTTTGTGAGACTCTTCCCAGATCTGCTTTTCAAGAAATGACAGAAAGCACAAAAGCGCCCTTTATACCTGAGCACTAGATGTGAAAGAGGAGGTACAGAGCCTAATTTCTGACATGAGGCACAGGACACAGATGTGCCCCACAATGGGATAGATCCAGAGAATGGTCTGGGTTCCAATCCATCAGAATCATTGTGCCTTTTCTCAGGGGAGATGGCCAAGGGATGACAAGAGAGTCTGGGAGGTTGGCAGAATAAAAAAGCTTTCTCCCTCAGAAGAGTGCTTTTGGCTGGAATCCAATCAAACTTTTGGATTGATTGATGTGGAGTGTTGGTGAGTTCTGTTGACCCTCCTCTGTACCATTTCCTGCTTTGCCCACCTCATTTACACTGGGAAAAGGACATCCATGGAAACCTTCACTGATCTTTGAAGAAAGTACCTGGTATCTGCAGATGCAAATGCTCAAAGTTCATTTTCAACTCCAGTCTCTATCCATCCATTCCTGTGGAGGCTTGCATCGCTCATCATACTCTAAATACTGTTGGCTGCTTGCATTTTGTATGACAGTGGGGCTGTCTTCAGATTGTCTGCTTGGCTCTTTTGTTCTCTCTAGTCTAAGATTGTGATCTCTGGGTTGAGTCTCTGCAGCAACACAGGACATGTGAGGTAGGGATGAGAATGATAAGGAACTCCTCTATTTTGGAAAGAATACTTCCAGTTGACATCTGAGCAGGAAGTTAATTAATCTGTTCCCTAGAGTAGTCATAACACGTCCTCTATGACACTGTTAAGCATCACTCCTCAGACCCCCAAATCAATAGGGGCATTATTAGTTAATCACCATTCTGCACCTAAGAACCGATGACACAAAGCTGGCAATGAATGGCAATTTTTTTCCAAGATCATAGTCTAACGGAGAATCACACACAGGTAAATAAGTGTGATAGAGTATGAATTCAAGATTTGAACAAAGTGGAGCAGAGGCTAATGAATAATAGACCCTGTCTGAGAATTCAGAGTAGCCATCAGGTTTCCATACCCCAGGTTGATGGTGGTGACTGGGCATCCACCCAGACTTTGCTACATGGTATGAAAAACAGAAGACTGAGTAAAGCCAAGCTATAAGTTCCCAGTCTAAATTATTCCAAAGCAACATCTATGTTCCAGGAAGATGTAGATGTGGGTTCTGGTAAGGGAGGCTTATCTAAGATCCGAGTCCTGGAAGTCAGTCCCTGACACTTTTTGAGGTCTGTCTGTATGTTGACATTAGCTCTGTGAGTGCGGGGGAAGGTGAGGGGATGGGGTGTGTGTGTGGGGTGTGTGTGTGGTGGAAGGTGAGGGCATGCAGGGTGTAAGGGAGCACCCTCCAAGCTGACAGGCCACTGAACACCTCTGTGAGACTCACTCCATCTCAATCTCTAGGAAATAAAACTAGTTTTAAAAGATATCTTTTCAAAAAGGCACAAACCTTTTTCCCCCAAGTTGACTGCCCATTTTCTCCTGGTTCCTCTGTATTTTGTCTTTGACGCACAAACATGAAGCATTTTAACAAAGCCTTACTGTTGAGCATGAAGCATATTGGTGCCCTAGGAGATCCTGGGACACCTTCCACAAGCCCCCTCTATTGGAGTGAAAACTTAACATTTTACCCACATTTGGTGAAAAGGCTAGTAAAAAGGGCAACATTAGCTGGAGGAACACGTGGAAAGTTCATGAAGGAAAAAAAAAAACAAAGAAATAAGAGCATAACCGCACCTGGCGGCATATATTCGGGTGGGACTAATTTTAGGCAATACTAAAAATGTCTGGATTTTCCCTCTTTCTCTGTTCTCAAATGAGTCTAAACAGAATCAGGCTGTTTAAAACACTGAATATTGTTGTATTATAATATGTTTATGGGGGAATTATTTTCCATGTTAAATCTGTTAGTGCATAGAACAAAGCTAAATAATAACTGTGAATCCCATAATTGCCTTTTGTGGAGGGAGACATAAAATATCACCTTATCACAGTTGTCATGTTAATGTTACAAATGAAAAAATAATGCCTGAATTCCCTAAGCTCGTCATAAAAATACCTGACATTTGTATAGAACTTTGAAGTATTTCTTAAGTGTATTTTATGGACCAACTGCATCACAATCATCAAAGTGCTTATTGAAAACTCAGATTCCTGAGCAACTCGTTCAGCTCTCTGGAAGTGCTGTTTTGGAGTTTATATTTTACCAAGCACTGGGTGTGTATTAGCTTCCTATTGCTGCTGCCACAAGTTGCTGTGAGTTTGGCGGCTAAACAATCAAATTTATTCTCTTATTCTTCTAGAAATCATTTTCACTGGGCTAAACTCAAGGTATCAGAGCTTTCTGGAGGCTGCAGGGGAGAGCCTGTTTCTGTACCTTATTTTTTTAGCTCCTGGAGGCTGCCTGCAGGCCTTGGCTCATAACCCCTTCCTTGCATCACACCAGCCTCCTGCTTCTGTTGTAATATTCCTACTTCTGCTCTGGTCTCTTGCCTCCCTCTTAGAAGGACACCTGTGATTCACAGAACCCACCTGGATAATTCAGAAAAATGTCTCCATCTCAAGATTCTTATTTAATTACATCTGCAAGGTTCCTTTTACCATATAAAGTAACATTTCCAGGTTCCAGGGATCAGGACAGGGACATCTTTGGGGCATGGGTCAGCCTGACAAGGAATGATTCCTATGCAAGCAAACATTTGAGTAGCATGGTCACAGAGAATAGGAGGCATGCTTGAGTAACAGGGTGTTTCAATACATAAAACTTCAATAGTGGCTAAGTGACCTAGATGATAGGCCACACATACAAGACAGTTTAAGGAATTACATAATCAAATAGACTATCATTAGCCCATTTCCCCACTCAAGTATATAAGATAGCTCAATTGAAAAGTTGAGAATGAGATGTGTATTTAGAAATAGTTTGGCTAAGCTTTTGGGAGGAAGCTGAAAGGGAAAAGGGCTGTTTCTGCCCCCAACTTAGCCTAAGTGAGATGGATTTGCAAGGGCTACTCAGCTTAAAATGTATTTGAGAACATAAAGCCTAATGTCTTACTCACAAATAACAAATACAAAGGTGAGTTTCAAAACAGACCAGTCTAAGAAAAAATTTTACAGACTCTGCTCCTCTCTTTTCTAAAGTCAACTTTTTTTTTTTTTCAGTTGATCTTATCCCTCTGCCGCCAAACCTTTGGTTCTGTGAATTTACCTTACAGATTTGGTGATATTTGTTACTTTTCCTAACATTAAAAATGCTGATCTTACCTAAATACTCAGGAAAAAAAACGACTTTTTTGGCCTTGTTGTCTTCTATTCTCCTGGCCTTGGTGGTTTCCGATGAGAAGATGTCTGTAATTGTTTTTCTGTATGCAATGAATCTCCTATTTCCACTGCCTTAACATTTTTCTCATCATCTTTAAACAGTTTAAACATGATGTATCTAGGAAATCTTCCAAACTTCTTTGTCTTTCTTTTAGATATGTATTCTACTTGGATTTCTACGAGTTTTATGATTTGTGGGTGGTTTCATGCATGCATTTATTATTTTTGGAAAATTCCCTGCTACTATTTCTTCAAATATTTCTTCTTCTCTGTTCTTTCCTCTTTTTCTTTGGGATTTTAATGATATATATGCTAGACTATTTGATATTGTCCCATGGCTTTTGGATTCAGTTTTTTCTTTTGTGGTCTGGGCTTCAGCAGTTTTTAATTCTTCCAGCTGATTCTTACGTGCAGCTAAAGAAGAGAGTCCCTGTAAGATGTTGTAAGTCACTCCCACCTGAGTCTTCACAATGGTCCTCCTCTCGTGCCCCACCCCAGGGGGTTAATGCACAGGCCGTGCAGGGTGGACCCAGAGTGAGGAATCCTGGGAGCTCCACCCACGAGCCTCCTCAGATACCCAAAATACCCCTACTGGTAAATTGTGCTAGTATGGCATTGAAAGATCCTGTTAAGGTGTGTGTTGGCTTTGTTGTGTTATGTTGGGGTGGGCTACCCACATCACATCCAGGGCACGTTCCATACTTACTCATGATAAACAGTTTGCCAAGTAAGGGGGAGATTCGGAAAGCAGGGACTAGGCTAATAGAACCAGTGTGGGTTGCAGGGGACTTACTGGCAGAAATTTGGGGTCAAAGAGTAAATGTAGTGTTGAGTGTGGCTTCATGAAAGCTGGTGTAACTAGGAGGTGTCCTGGGGACACCAACCTTGAAGAGAAGGGAGCAAGGACAAGAAAGGAAGCATGTGAAAGAGGAAGTTGAGAAAAAGGAAGGTCCACATGGAAGGAGTACAGGATCCAAAGGCAAAATAGCAGCATCCCAGTGTGTTACGTAAGCAATGCCTGTGTACTGCATGCAGGCAAATCCTGCCACTCTAGTGACTGTGGGTGATTGGCACCCACCTGGTCAGGACGAGGCTGGGTCAGCATTAACAATCTTTAGCTTTTGTTTGCTACTTTGCCTTTGATGTACCTGCCTCTTACAGGAGCTATATTTGTTTTTGCCTTCCAGAGTACAGAGGCCAACATCCTTCCTATTATTAGGGGATATAAAAGTTCTAGGTGGTGGGGAACAGAATTTCAATAATACCAACACAATTAATGATGTTACCTAATCACTTAAGAGTATTTAATTCAGTGGTTTAGTGACTCAGTCAACCTGCAGGCAGTTTTTGAGCATTTATTAAATGCAAGGCACCCTCTGAGGCTCTGAGGCATCTGAATACTTCTAGACTTCAGGATCTGTAGCTGAAGGAAGCAGCTGCTGCTCCTACTTCCTCCTAGTGACTTCAATAAAACTCATTGGAGGTGGTGGAGAAACATCCAGGGCATTAGGAAGCCTGCCCTAGTCCTGGCTCAGACATGCCCAGGTCATGTGACTGAGAGGAAGCTGCCTCCTCTCTCTGATTCCCAGTCTTGTGGTATAGGCAACGTGTAGCTGTAACCAAACCCAGGTTCGGGTGCTCTCAGCTCAAAAGTCAAACATGAGAGAAGAGTTGGTGGGAGGAAAAGCAGGTTTATTTAGAGAGCCAGCAAACTGAGAAGATGGCAGACTGGAGTCCTAAAGTATCATCTTAAGTTAGTACAAATTTAGGGCCCTTTTATATTAAGGGCATGGGGAAGAGGAGGGGGTTGGGATCAAGAGGTGACTGACAACTGCAGATATCTGGACCCTGTGAGGGTCTGAGAAGGTTGGGACTTTTTTTGTCCTTGGTCAGGTAGCAATGCTCCCATAAATCTACAAAACATAGTTAATTGTTTATATACTTCTCCTTTAATCCCAGAGTTAGTTTTAAAAACTACATGACTGCTTTTGTTGTACGTTGTCTCAGGGCTCTAAAATTAGCCTGCATGCAGGAATACGTAAAGGCCTCTTAAACAAAACTGGAGTTACTTATGCTCATCGTATTGCTATTTCACTGCCATATACGTAAAACTAGTTACTCCCTCCTGGCACTGACATTTCTAGTTTCTATGACACTGTGTTCAGACACTTAGAAAGTTTGCAATATGAAAAGGTAACATTGGCATTGTTCAGACGATTCTCAGGGAAAACTAGCAAAAACTTTCCTGATAACCCTAACAGTCCTGCTATATTCCCCACCTCCCACCCCTGGAGATCAGGCTGGAATTCCAGATACAAACCATTTTTGGGCTGGAAGTTACTCAGCAAAAAGCACTCATCTTCTTCCCATAACAAAGACATATAGTGAGCACATATGGCAAATGAAAGTCCATTACAAGCTCCCTTTTGTTTATGATTTCTCCTTTTGTATCCCAAATGCAGTCAAAGAAATTTGGGATAGGGTTCGAGATCTAGGCAGGGTTTCTAGCTACATTTCACCTGAACGTCTTGCCCCGAGGGAAATGATACAAAGGATCCCTTCACCCTTGGCTTCCTGGAGACGTTTTCTAATGGCTTGGTTGTGAGGTGCAGGCTGGTTTTGGTCTCTGCCCTTCTTAGCAGGCAAATCCTACCACTCTAGTGACTGTGGGTGATTGGCACCCACCTGGTCAGGATGAGGCTGGGTCAGCGTTAACAATCTGTAGTTTTCGTTTGCTACTTTGCCTTTGATGTAACCGCCTGTCTTGCTATGATGTACAACACACAAATCAGCACACATGTTGTCACAGAAAAAATAGGTCTCCCCACTGTTGGCTAGAACCAGGGCCAATAACAAAAGGCCTCATTCATCTGATGGCAACAGAGCCAAAGAATGGCTTTCACAGGTCAAACCCAGCTTTTTATCACATGCCTCTGTAGTTTGATCACTCTCCTCTAGTGACCTTGTCTATTTCTCCTATCTGGATCTTTATTCCCAGGGCTTAGAATAGCAGCATTCATGAAACTGACTAGGAATGTTTCTTCCAAGTTTGTTATCCCCAGAGACAAGATTACTCACATCCCTTCTTTAAGAAGTGAAAATATTTTCACTTAGTGCAAACCTACAGTAATGAAAACAGTGTGGTACTGGCGTAAAGACAGACATATAGACTGGTAGAATAAGAATGGAGAGCTCAGAAATAAACCCTCACATACATGGCAAAATGATTTTCATCAGTGTTGCCAAGACCATTCAATGGGAAAGAGACAGTCTTAAATAAATAGTGCTGGGAAAACTAGATATTCAACATGAAAAAGAATGAAGCTGAACTCTTACTTCATACCACATACAAAAATTAACTAAAAATGGATCAAAGAGCTAACTACAAGAGCTAAAACTATAAAACTCTTAGAAGGAAACAGGAGAGAGCTTTATGGCATTGGATTTAACTGTTGTTTCTTGGATATCCCACCAAAAGCACAGTCAAGAAAGGAAAGATAAGTTGGAAATCATGAAAATTAAAAACTTTGTGTATCCAAGACACCATCAACAGAGTGAAATGACAACCCATTGAATGAGAGAAAATATTTGCGAATCACGCATCTTATAAGAAATTGATAGCCAGATTATATTGCCAATCCGAAAAATTGGAAAGATAAAAACCTAATTTTTTTTCTTTTAACTTTTATTTTAGGTTCAGGGGTACATGGGCAGATTTGTTATATAGGTAAACTCATGTCACCGTGGTTTGGTATACAGATTATTTCATGACCCAGATGCCACGTTCATGACTACACCAATTGTTATGCTCGGGGTTAGGTTCCACCCCATGCTGAGGTCCGGAGGGAGTGGGTGGATGAGCAGCAAGAACACTGGGGGGCCACAGGCAGGTGAAAGATGATTTCATTCAGCAGTAGCTCTCATCAACAGCTTTTCCACACTGTTTGCCCTGTCTCAGCTGCTTAGTCCAGCGGCGCCCCCACACACCTGTGCAGCCAGCTCTCCCTTGCCTTCAAGGTCAGCAGCTTACCTCTTTCTCTCTCTGGGCATGAGGAAGACGAGCTTTGTCCTGGCCCCCGTCAGTCCATCTGTAAATATGGACAGCTTTGGCTCTCTCTCTTTCTCTGGGCACCAGCATGCCTATACCATGTTGGCAGGGCAATTATACCTTTTATAGACAATAGTGGCATAGAGGCAAGCGATGGCCTTCCCATGTTATGGCTACACGGCTGTGATAACAAGTGAAGTTATAGGCCTGTGCTCTGAACTCACTGAGTCATGCAGGATGTAAACATCCTACCTCAGCCTATCCTTGACCAAGGCACAGGCATGTTCCTTACACTCCACCCCCTAGGCCGAGGGAGGCATAGGCCTTGGATACACAGGTTATACACATAAGCTTTGGGTACATAGGCTCGATATACACACACAGGCTTTATACCTAAGTTTTGGACACATCAGTTTGATGTACAGGCTTGGCACACAGGCCTTACGTTCCACCCCCTAGGCTGAGGGAGTTTTCTTAGTGGGGCTCCATGCCCATAGGGCACCGATCTGAATTCATAGGTTACAGCAGCAATACAGAAGGCAACAACCTACCATTAATATTCCTGTTATGCTACCTATGATTATTAGAGCCCAACATTGGGTAGAGCCCAGAGATGCCCACTATCTCTGCAGGGAGTCATCAGTAAGGCATGAAATCGCCTTAATCTCCCGTGACACTTCTTGTAAAGGTGTCCTGGTGGTTGTCAGGAATAAATGTACAACATTGTGTCTCCACAAGGGCACAGGTGCCACCCTGGGCAGTTGTGACTATGTCTAAGACCATTGGGTTTTGCAGCACCACCTTCCTGATCTGATTAACCTCATCAGTTAACAAACAGAGAGTCACTTGGGTATAATTTAGGTTCCGAACTACCTGCTCTGCAAGGGCTGTAACTTGCGTCTACAGAAATGACACCTGCTCCAGGCATAGTTATTGCTAAGGGGTAGAGCCACCAGGGAGCCCACCGCATTTGCAAAAAGCAGGAATGCAGATCCTCCCAGTTACATGGGCGACTGGGTAATGTGGGAACCACAGTGGCAGGCTCATAAGGCCACCCCCAGGTACAATGTCCAGTCCAGTTGGCTGGCAAATAGGGCCATCCTGTGTCCTTAAAGACCCATAAACTCCCAGGTGGCACAAAGTCCATGGGGGCCTGGCCTCGGTAAGGCCACACCAATGGTGTGGTGACATGTGTTATGTTTGCACAAACCTCAGCAGGCAACCATCCCAGTGACTTGTGCTGCTCTATGCATCATGGTACCTGCAATGTTGGCACCACGTGTTCTCCCATTAGCCAGCACCATCCATCATGGACACTGTGAGTCAGCCAGGGGTCAGGCTTGCCATGGGTTTTGCGACACTCTGACTCCAAAGCCTGCCCTGTTGCATCCCACCCATTGTCCGTGGGACTCGAAGTGTCTAGCCATATCCAGTTCTGCACTGAAGCTGGATGTATGTGCTAGGGCAAGCCATCCACCACCGCTGCTGGAAGGGTGGTGCAGATCTAAGAGTTGGAGACATTGGTCACCTGAGCGTAGGTGTGGGCCCAGTTGACGATGCTGTTGGAGCATGCCAACCTGCGGAGGGGGTATCTTCCCCTTGTTTATGTCATGGGTTCCCCAGTCCCACCAATGGCCTTCTACCTCCCCAAGGGCTGCCATAGCAGTAGTCACTTCATGTATGTGGTGCTCCACATATAGGGTGAGAACAGCAGCTAGAGAGCCAAAAGCATCCGGGGACGCTGAGCCAAGCACAAGATCCCTCATGTGGGAAGTAAAGCTTTCATCATCTGGCCCCTGGGTATTCAGATCAAACATAGCCTGCCACATACCCATCTCCCAGAGTACCTTCACCAAATTGGTATATGATTGCCATTTACTCACAATTTCTGGTGTCTCTCCGGCATCATTCTGGCATCATTCCAAACAGTCCGTATGGCTGCTGCCATTAGCCACTCCATTAATGTGTGGTCACCATGCCCTTGTGGGGACATAATGTTGTACATTTAGTCCTGATAACCACCAGAACATAATGACAGCTTTACAAGGGGTGTCGTGGGAAATCAAGGCGATTGAATGCCTTACTGACAAACCCCCACAGAGATAGTGGGGCGTCTCTCCTCTCTACCCTAAATTGGGCCCTAATGATCACAGGTAGCATAACAGGAATATTAATGGTAGGTTGTTGCTCTCTGTATTACTGCTGTAACCTAGGAGTTCAGTGTGCTTCCCTATGCGCATGGATCCCCACTTAGAAAACTCCCTCGGCCTAGGGGGTGGAACGTAAGGCCTGTGTGCCAAGCTTGTACATCAAACTGATGTGCCCAAAGCTTATGTATAAAGCCTGTGTGTGTATATCGAGCCTATGTACCCAAAGCTTATATGTATAACCTGTGTATCCAAGGCCTATGCCTCCCTCGGCCTAGGGGGTGGAGTGTAAGGAACATGGCTGTGCTTTGGTCAGGAATAGGACAAGCTAAGATGTCTATATCCTGCGTGACTTAGTGAGTTCAGAGAGTAGGCATATAACTCCACTCGTTATCATAGCCATGTAGCCATAACATCGGAAGGCCATCACTTGTCTCTATACCACTGTTGTCCATAAAAGATATAATTGCCCTCTTGACACTGGGCAGTCACTGGTGCCCAGAGAAAGAGAGAGAAAGCCAGAGCTGTCCATCTTTGCAGATG
Organism: Homo sapiens; assembly: GCF_000001405.40. NCBI lineage: Eukaryota > Metazoa > Chordata > Mammalia > Primates > Hominidae > Homo > Homo sapiens. The sequence goes on from NC_000002.12 coordinate 126,374,185, forward strand.
GACAGTGGGGAGCCAGGACACAGGCTGGTCTCTCTCATGCTGAGAGAGAGAAAGTTAAGCTGCTGACCCTGAAGCCAAGGGAGAGCCGGCCATGCAGCTGCAGGCGTCGGGGCGGCAGGAGACACAGATCCAGAGCAGACAGCCCGAATAAGGGCCAACAGTGTAGAGAACTAGTGTATGAAAGCTATTAATGAAAGCGGCTGCTAAATAAAATCATCTTTCACCTGCCTACAGCCCCCGAAGTGTTCTTTCTACTCATCCACCCACTCCCTTCAGACCTCAACATGACATTTGGCATAGTTGTAACCCTGACACCAGGTAATAAGTATAGTACACAATAGATATTTTTTTCTGATCCCCCCTTTCTGATCCTCAGGTAGGCCCCAGTGTCTGTTGTTCCCCTCTTTGTGTCCATGTGTTCTCATAATTTAGCTCCCACTTATAAGTGAGAACATGTGGTATTTGATTTTCTATTCCTGCATTAGTTTGCTAAGAATAATGGTCTCCAGCTTCATCTCTGTTGTTGCAAGGGACATGACCATTCTTTTTATGGCTGCGTAGTATTCCATGGTATATGTACCCCCCTCCCTTTTTTTTTTTTTTTTTTTTTTTTTTGAGACAGAGCCTTGCTCTGTCACCAGGCTAGAGTGCAGTGGTGCTTATCTTGACTCACTGTAACTTCTGCCTCCCGGGGTTCAAGCAATGCTCCTGCCTCAGCCTCCCAAGTAGCTGGGACTACAGGCATGCGCCACCACGCCCAGCTAATTTTTGTGTTTTTATTAGAAATGGGGTTTCACCATGTTGGCCAGGATGATCTTGATCTCTTGACCTCATGATCGTCCTGCCTCAGCCTCCCAAAGTGCTGGGATTACAGACATGAGCCACCTTGCCCAGCCCCATTTTCTTTATTCAGTCTACCATTGATGGACATTTAGGATGATTCCATGTCTTTGCTATTGTGAACAGTACTGCAATGAACATACATGTACATGTGTCTTTCTGGTAAAACGATTTATATTCCTGTGGGTATATACCCAATAATGGGATTGCTGGGTCAAATGGTAATTCTGTTTTTAATTCTTTGAGGAATCACCACATTGTTTTTCACAATGGTTGAACTAATTTACACTCCCACCAGTAGTGTATAAGCATTACCCTTTCTCCACAACTTCGACAGCATGTTATTTTTTTTATTTTTTACCTAATAGCCATTGTGACTGGTGTGAGCTGGTATCTCCTTGTGGTTTTGGTTTGCATTTCCTTAGTGGTTAGGGAAGCTGAGCATCTTTTCATACACTTGTTGGCCATGTGTATGTCTTTTTCTGAAAAGTATCTGTTCATGTCCTTTGCCCACTTTTTAACAGGGTTGTTTTTTGCTGGTAAATTTATTTACATTTCTTATAGTTTTTGGGTATTAGACCTTTTTCAGGATCATAGTTTGGAAATATTTTCTTCCATTCTGTATTTTGTCTGTTTACTCTGTTGATAGTTTGTTTTCCTGTGCAGAAGCTCTTTAGTCTAATTAGGTCCCATTTGTCAGTCTTTGCTTTTGTTGCGATTGCTTTCAGCATGTCGTGAAATCTTTGCCAGTATCTATGTTCAGAATGGTATTTCCTAGGTTATCTTCCAGAGTTTTTACAGTTTTAGGTTTTGCATTTAAGTCGTTAATCCATCTTGAGTTGATTTTTGTATGTGGTGTAAGGTAAGGGTCCAGCTTCAGTCTTCTGCATGTGGCTAGCTAGTTATCCCAGAACTATTTATTGAATAGGAAGTCCCTTCCAAATGCTTGTTTTTTTCAGGTTTGTCAAAGATAAAATGATTTCAAGTGTGCATTATTATTTCTGGGCTCTTGATTCTGTTCTACTGGTCTCTTCCGTTCTTGTACCAGGACCATGCTGGTTTGGTTACTGTAGCCCTGTAGTATAGTTTGAAGTCAGGTAGTGTGATCCCTCCAGCTTTGTTCTTTTTGCTTAGGATTGCCTTGGCTATTCAGGCTCTTTTTTGGTTCCATATAAATTTTAAAATATTGTTTTCTAGTTCTGTTAAAAATGTTACTGGTAGTTTGATAGGAATAGCATTGAATCTGTAAATTGCTGTGGGCAATATGGCCATTTTAATGATATTGATTCTTCCTATCCATGAGCGTGGAATATTTTTTCCATTTGTTTCTGTTATCTCTGATTTATTTGAGCAGTGTTTTGTAATTCTCATTGTAGAGATCTTTCACCTCCCTGGTTAGCTGTATTCCTTGGGGTTTTATTCTTTTTGTTGTGATTGTGAATGGGATTGCATTCGTGATTTAGCTCTTGGCTTGGCTGTTGGTGGTGTATAGGAATGTTATTTTTGTGTGCTGATTTTGTATCCTTGAAACTTCACCAAACTGTCAGCTCAAGGAGCTTTTGGGCCGAGACTGTGGGATTTTCTAGACATAGAATCATGTCATTTGCAAAAAGGGATTGGTACTTCTCTTTTTTAGTTTGAATGTGTTTTGTTTTTTTCTGTTGCCTGATGGCTCTGGCCAGGACTTCCAATACTATGTTGAGTAGAAGTGATGAGAAAAGGCATCTTTGTCTTATGCCAGTTTTCAAAGGGAATGCTTCCAGCTTTTGCCCTTTCAGTATGATGTTGGCTGTGGGTTTGCCATAGATGGCCCTTACTATTTTGAAGTGTGTGCCTTCAATGCCTAGTTTATTGAGAGTTTTTAACATGAAGGGATGTTGAATTTTATTGAAAGGCTTTTCTGCATCTCTTGAGATAATCATGTGGTTTTTGTATTAGGTTCTGTTTATGTGAAGGATTGCATTTATTGATTTATGTATGTTAAATCAACCTTGCACCCAGGGATAATGCATACTTGATCCTCGTAGATTAGCTTTTGGATGTGCTGCTGGATTCAATTTGCCAGTGTTTTGTTGAGGATTTTTGCATCTATGTTCATCAAGGATATTGGCCTGAAGTTTTCTTTTATTTTTATTGTGTCTTTGCCAGGTTTTGGTGTCAGAATTATCCTGGCCTAATAGAATGAGTTGGAGAGGAGTCCCTCTTCCTCGATTTTGTGGAATACTTGTAGTAGGAATGGTACCAGCTCTTCTTTGTACATCTAGTAGAATTTGGCTCTGAATTTTTCTGGTCCTGGGGTTTTTTTGGTTGATAGGCTATTTATTACTGATTTAATTTCAGAGCTCATTATTGCTCTTTTTGGGAATCCCATTTCTTCCTGGTTCAGACTTGACAGAATGTTTGTGTCCAGGAATTTATCCATTTCATCTAGATTTTCTAGTTTGTTGCATAGAAGTGTTTGTAGTAGTCTCTGATTATCTGTATTTCTGTGGGGTCAGTGGTAAGATCCTTTTGTCATTTCTAATTGTGTTTATTTGGATCTTCTCTCTTTTCGTTTTTATTAATCTGGCTAGCAGTCTATCTTATTTTTTCCAAACAACCAACTCTGGGATTCATTTATTTTATTTTTATGGTTTTTTATGTCTCAATCTCCTTCAGTTCAGCTCTCATTTTGGTTATTTCTTGTCTTCTGCTAGCTTTGGGGTTGGTTTGGTCTTTCTTCTCTAGTTCTTCTAGTGGTGATGTTAGGTGGTTAAATTGAGATCTTTATGACTTTTTGATGTGAGAATTTAGTACTATAAATTTCCCTCTTACCATGGCTTAGCTGTGTCTCAGAGATTCTGGTACATTGTATCTTTGTTCTCATTAGCTTCAAAGAACTTCTTGATTTCTGCCTTAGTTTCATTATTTACCCAAAAATCATTCAGAAGCAGGTTGCTTAATTCCCATGTAATTGTATGGTTTGAGCTATTTTCTTCATATTGAATTCTATTTTTATTTCACTGTGTTTCAAGAGTGTGAAGAACCCAAGTTTTAAAGAGTTTATTCAAGTGCAGAGTTTAAGGGGAGCCACTCAGAAAAAAGACTACAAAGGGAAGGGGTCAGTGCTCTGAAATGAAGAAGATGAGGCTTCACTTATGGGCAGAAGCAGGAAAGCTTTGTGAGATTGCAACATTTTCCATACAGTGCTAGTTTATAAGTTAAAACAATTTGATTGATTACAGTTTGTCCTTTTTCAGGAAAGGTAGATTTATCATTTCATCTTGAGCAATTTGATTATCAAAAGGTCTTCTGTCACCTGGTCTGGGTAGTGTACAAGAAAAAGGAAGGAAGTTAATCTATAATAAAGGGTCAATAATTAAGAGGGGCGGGGTCTTATCTCTGGAACCAGTTAGTCTTTTACAGCATTTTACAGGGCAAAATAAATAAATAAATTAAAAAACAAGAAATGAGTTAATCTATAATCAGATAAGCAAAGGTTACAGCAGCTTGCTGTGTGACTTGGGTCTCACAATCACATTTTCTTTAAGGCTCAAAGTAATTTAAAGTCTCAATAGCTTTAATCTAAATTATTTTCACAATATAAAGAACTCCTATCATTCAACAACAAAAAAAAACCAGTTTTAAAAATTAAATTTTACTGTTTGAAATTTTTAAAAATAATAAAATTTAAAAAGTATACTCCACTATTCAAGCATCTTTTTAAATTCCTCATTTTATATTGAGTAGAATTCAAACTTCAAGGCAATCTTCCTTCACCCTCCTCCACTCTTTGTGCTTCCCGTTGTAGTCTGTTTTCTGAGTGACTCCCCTTAAACTCTGCACTTGAATAAACTCTTTAAAGCTTGGGTTTTTCACACTCTTGAAACACAGTGAAATAACCATCAACAGGCAGTTAATAAATATTTGTGTAATTTTTACCTAGAATTTTACATTTATATTTTAAAATGAACAAACCCGTTTATTATTCCCTCCTTAAGAAACTGGCCTTTTTTTTTTTTTACTTAACACTTTTTCTTCTAATTTCTCCCTAGGGAAGCATTATCTGGAAATATTTTTCCCGAGTAGGATTCATGAGTATTGAAGCAACCCCCCGCCTTTTATTTTTAAGAAAGGAGGTGAGGTCTGTAGTAAAAATAGCTGCCTACATTAGATGGGATTGAGTGGTGAAGGGCTGTTGGTGTTGATTTCTGAAGACCAAAAATCTAATACAAGATGAGAGACAAAATCAAAGGAAGAACAATCCAAGCAAGGGAACAGTTTATGACAAAGTGCAGAAATTTGCAAACAATTCAGCACTTTTGAAATGCAAACACGTGTGAGGTCAGGGTGGAAAGAAGAAAATAGGAGAGGGGCTGAAACGCAGGATGTCTCTTGGCAGAAACAAGATAACAAAAAGCCTCGTGAACTGTACCAAGGAATTTAAGTTTATATGTACTTGAAGATGACAAGCAAGGGACTGAATGTTCACAAGATCACTCTGGCAACCCTGGGGAGACTGGAATCGAAGCAGCATCATTGTCTAGGGTAAATACCCAAGACTTGTTGTCTCATGGCCACGGAAAACTAGGATGCGGACACACAAACACTGAGGTTCAGAGTGGAAGTTTAATAGGTGAAAGAAAGAGAAAAGCTCTCTCTGCTGCAGAGGGAGGGGTCCCAACTGGGTTTTCTGCTTCTATGGTGAAATTCAGGAGGTTTTACAAATGAGCTTGAGGAGGCAGTGTCTGATTCACATAGGGCATGAAAGATTGGTCAGAACAGGTGTGCCATTTGCATAAGGCATGAAAAGCTGGTTAGGACTAGGTGTGGCATTTGCATAGGGCATGAGAGGCTGGCCACCACCACCCTAATCTTTTATTACGTAGATGGGTTCTCTACCTATCAGTGCCGTGTTGCCTGTTTCTTTACTGTACATGGTAACAAAGAAAAGGGAAGATGGAACCTCCATGTTGAACATGCCTGGCCCCAGGTAGCCCTTTTCCATTGGCACAGCTGCCAGCATTCCCCCGTGCAAGCTTCCAGCTTGCTTATCTGTGTTTGCAGCCTGATTTTTCAGGCAGCTCTTTGTTAAAAAAAAAAATAATTTCTTGGGCTGCTTTTTTGTTAGAAGGGAAGCCTTGCCAAGGACTCTTTTACCCTCACTGTCTGCCTAAATAATTTCTTTCTATCTCCTGTATCAGGATGAAGAAGAGGTGCAACTTGGAAAAGAGATCAGCAGCAATCCAGCTGGAAAATAGTGATCATCTGAGAGGAGAGTGGCCATCTGGTTGAATGAAGGGCAACAGGCGTGAATAAAATAAAAGAAGTAGGCTTGATGGGTAACTGACCACCTGTGGGGAATTAAGGATGTTTATCAGAGAGGATGAAATATTGGGATGGTTTTGTGGAGGGAGGGCAGTAGAGGGGTTCAAGCCAGGACATTTGGGCAGAGATGCCCTATCTCTTGGCTTATACTAGTGAGTTCACCTGGATAAAACTTTTACTGTGAAGCGGTGACACTCTGCCCATCCACCTTGTAAGTTCTTCTATTATAAGGCTGTAGAAAAAGACTCAAGTGGCTCTTTAATTTGATTCCTTGTGCAGGTTAGATTTTTTTCCTAGAATAACTTCAGTCTGCTAATTTCACATTAGTATTACTTAAGGTCCTCAACAATCAAAGAAAAGCTGCTTTCAGACTTCAAGTGCCCACAAGGCACTCCTTGGGAACATGTACTACTAATCCTGTGTGTTCCTTCTAAGCCGAACACTGACCTATGAAGTCCCTCAATCAAGTATCTCTGCTCTTTTCCATAGTGTCACTATTACTGTCTTCACTTTTTTTCTTTCATGTCACCCTTTCTCTCTCAGTTTACCTCTTTTCCCTGGGCAAAGATGCTGCCAAAACTATACAGCCAAACTGCCTCCCTAATCAAGACTGGGAATAATAATAGACCACTGCTCCAATGGAGCATCTCTTTCTTTTCAGGGCTGCATGACACTTTGCACGGAGCTTCCTACCTCCAAGTGACATTCTTACCTGCAGCTGAGTAAATGAGTCCGCCTCCCATACAGTTGTTTTATAGGATTTGCTAGGGATTAATTCTTTCTTTTCAGCTGTACCTTGTCAGAGACCACAAATGAACAAAGAGGAACATCAAGAAATAGGAGATAGGCTGCGTTTGGCTTTGTCTGGCATTCACTCCTATTCACCCGGCCAAGTTTCTTGATGCTGTTGTGACGAGGCATTGTTGTGGGTGGAAAGCTTGGAGCTATAATGCACGTGGCTGCCACACAGCTGGCGCTGTCGGCTTGAAGCTGGAATGGAGTGAACCCGCCTGTTAATTTGTACATGAACACACACTAATCTCTCATTCACACCCTGGGTGGCTGGTTTGTTCTGCACACAGATGAATCTAAAAAGCTTTGGCCCTCTGGCATTCCACAGATGAGATTCTCATTAGGAACGGCAGTTCCCTCTCTGACCCAATGGAAGAAGTATCATGGGCTCCAATCCCAGCTTCTCATTCTCTCCCTATTTAATACTACTAATAATATTTAGCATATTTGAGTCCTTCCTACTACTACCAGATCCATGTAAAGAGCTTTACAGACAATCGCCCACTCAGTCCCTACAAACATCTGCTGGGGAGTCACTGCCTAACAGTGGGTGTGTTCCCCATTTCTAAAATTTCCCCAGACCAGTTGCCATCTTCCTTCCTGGACACAATAATTGCTGCTCTAATTTCCCTGCTCTCTAACCCTATCTTTAGATCCATATATCAGTTCCTGCATCCTCAGGGACCCCTGTCTTAATGCTTTCTTCTTTAGCTCCATCCCAGCACACTCTACCTAATATAGTTCCATGGTCCACAGTTCCATGGTCCATGACCATGGACATTATGGTGGCAAGAATTTATCCACCAACCAGGTCACCTCTAGTTTACAATAATAATAAAATTTAAATGTAATTTTATACTTACCTCCAAACTCATCCTTATATACATTAAATATATATATAGCCTACTGTATGCCAACCATACCTTAATAAAGTAGTTTTAAATATAAATTTAATTCAACTTATGTTATTTTGATTATGAACAAATTAAATTGAATTAAGTTTAAGTTTAATTATAATTAATGTAGTATAAAATAGAAATATGATTTTTAATATATTAAATGTAATTATAATTTTCACTCGTGTCCATGTGAAGAGACCACCAAACAGGCTTTGTGTGAGCAACAAGGCTGTTTATTTCACCTGGGTGCAGGTGGGCTGAGTCTGAAAAGAGAGTTAGTGAAGGGAGATAGGGGTGGGGCCGTTTTATAAGATTTGGGTAGGTAAAGGAAAAAGGGGGGTTGTTCTCTGGCGGGCAGGGGTGGGGGTCACAAGGTGCTCAGCAGGGGAGCTTTTGAGCCAGAATGAGCCAGGAGAAGGAATTTCACAAGGTAATGTCATCTGTTAAGGCAGGAACAGGCCATTGTCACTTCTTTTGTGGTGGAGTGTCATCAGTTAAGGCAGGAACCAGCCATCTGGATGTGCACGTGCAGGTCACCGGGGATATGATGGCTTAGCTTGGGCTCAGAGGCCTGACAATAATTATTTAATGTTTTAAACAAAGGTAACAAATACTCAAAATTTATTCCTTCCTAATGATCTGACCATTTTCTATGTTCTTCAGATCATTTCCATGTATTGTAAGTCTGTGGTAGAAATATCTATCCCTGTGTTCTACTATTCCTCCCTTCCCAACTCTGCGTTCAGTGACATCACATTAATAGCTGCTTAAAATCAGCCATGGGAATAGTTACACCAGAGAAGAAGGGAAGTCCTACAAATCAAGGCTTAGTGTATCATTTTGCTGGTTGTGTAGACCAGGAATCACCAAACTAAGGCAAGTGAGTCAAATCTGGCCTAAAGCTAAGAATGAGTTTCACATTTTCAAAGGGTTATAGACAGGAAACAAAGAATATGCTACACAGAACTGATGTAGCTGCAAAGCTTAAAACGTTTACTATCTGTCACTTCACAGAAAAATTTTCTCACTCCTGGTCTAGCACAGGGCTTGACGCACTATGGCCCGTTGGCCAAATAATCCAACTTGTCACTTGTTTTGTAAATGAAGTTTAACTGGAACACAGTCAGGCTTGTTCATTTACTTACTGTCCACGGCTGTTTCCATGTCACAATGGCAGACCTGGGCGGTTACCACAGAGAAGGTCAGGACTGCAAAGCCTGAAATATTTACCATGTGACACTTCACAAAGTTTACTGAGCCCTGTCTAGACTAAACAAAGTAATGAAGAAAAGTTAATAATGCAGATTAAACTTCAAAATATGTTATATCTGTAGCTGTCACATGGCAAATAGCACACAAATTTAGAAAACATTCCAATATTTAACAACCATTATTTGAATGCACAAAGAACATACTCAGGTCATTGGTGAATGAGTGAAGTTCTGATATATGTTTTTTTTTTCACTGTTTTCTTACTTGTTAACGTAAACAAAAATGTCAGCCAACATCATTTGGGAACTATAGTTGTCTGTCCATTGTAACCTTAGGTTAGCCATAGATGTGAGTTCCACAAAGATCAGCAAAGCACTCTGCAAGAATTTATTTCCTATATGGAATTTACAATACAGCATATTGTATATTTTGTTATTTGTAAATTATGTGCCATATACATTCTTTATGTCAGTAAATGAATGTACCTAAATGTATATATGGGTATACATGAGTATATATATGTTATTTTTGGCTCAGAGAACCAGTGTTTAAACATTTACCAACATGCCATCCAGCTACTTAATGGAGCCTGGTAAAGCTACTATACAGAGGAACTATAGTACCATTTGGGTTGTTAATGGAGGATAAAAGTCCTACACAAAAGCAGGAAGGAGGTAATAATAACTAGCAGTTTTAAAATCAGAATTGCTAGAGGATAAAAGGGTTAAATTTTATAAAAGTTCTCACATGTTAGAAAAAGTGCTGATCTCAGCATGGGAGTTGTCAGTTTCTAATTTTGATACTTGCAGTATCTGAGATACCCTCTGCTCCTTAAAATGAAATCACTAAAGGATCTGGCCTTGCAGGAACTCTCTCAATTATGTTTTATTGCTGAGAGTAAAATTATCTGGAGATTCATCAAGGTTGTTGCATGTATCAATAGTTTGTTCTTTGCATTGCTGTATATCATCCCATGGTTGTTTTTCTTTTTAAACTATCTACTCATTAAAGGATATCTGATTGGTGTTTTGTTTTGTTTTGTTTTGTTTTGTTTTTAGCTAATAAGAATAAAATAGCTATGAACAATCATGTATATGTTTTTATGTGAGTATAAATTTTCTTTCTCTAGGTTGGACAAACAAAAGTGCAATTGCTGGGTCATTTCATAAGAAAAGCAGAAGAAAAACAAAAATGCAATGCTTGGGTCATTTCATAAGAAACCTCCAAACTGTTTTCCAGAGGGGTTGGTTGTACCATTTTACATTCTACTAGGAATGTATGAGTGCTCTCAGGATCCTTGCCAGCATTTGGTGTGGTCATTACTATTTTTAAAATTTTAGCCATTCTGATAAGTGTATAATGATATCATATTATGGCTCTAATATGCATTTTTCTATTGACTTATGACATTTAACATCTCATGCTTATTCAACAATTATTTTTCTTCTTTAGTAAAATGTTTCTTCATTTCATTTGTCCTTATTCTAAATGAAATGGTTTATTTTTGTTGCTTATTTTGTTTTTCTTTTACTGATGAGATTTGAGAGTTTTTATATATTCAAGATATCAGTCTTTTGTCAAATATGTGGTTGCAAATATTTTCTGACAGTCTGTAACCTATCTTTTCAGTCTCTTCACAGGGTTTTTCTCAGGATGAAAGTTTTTCATTCTGATAAGATTAATTTATCAGATTATATTTGTTTTTCTTAATTTTGGTGTATCCTAAAAACTTTGTCTAACTATGGATCCTGAAAATGTCCTCCTATTTTTCTCCTGAAGGAGGCTTAGAGTTTTACATTTTATATTTGTTTGTGATCCAATTTGAGTTAATTTTAATAGAAAGTGATATTTGTTAACTATTTGTGGATAACTTTTATATCTAACTTCACAAAAGATATTGATGTATAGTTTTCGTTTTTGTGCTATGTATGGCTGGTCATGTTATCAAGTTAATCCCAGCTTCATAAAATGAACTGAGACATTTTCCCTTCTCTTTTGTTTTCAGGAAGAGATAGTATAAACTTGGCATTAATTCTTTAAATCTTTGGTAAAATTGTGTAATTCTGCAATGAAACCACCGGGACTTGGAAATTTTTTTGAGAGTCTTTAAATTAAAAATTTAATTTCTTTAATGATAAAAATACTATCCAGGTTTTCAATTTCTTCTCATTTGATTTTTTGGTAGTTTGGTAGTTTCTTCTAAATTGTCAGATTTATGAGTGTAACATGCACAGTATTCTCTGATTATCTCCTTCCTGGCTGCAGGATTTATAATAATAGCTTCTATATTTTCTATTTCATTCCTGATATTGGTGAACTGTATCTTTTCTTATGTCAGTCTTGTTAGAGTTTTATCAATTTTATTGATTTTTTTAAAGAAGTAACTTGATTTATTTATGGTGTTTTTAATATGTCACTTTGTATCATTTTATTAGTGGTTGCTTGAGGTATTACAATATACTCACATAACATCACTGTCTACTGGCATTGATGTTTTACTACTTCTTGCAAAGTATAGAAGACTTCCTTTTAAATTTGTTTTCTCTCTTCATTTCAAAGATATAATTGTCTTAAGTATTTCCTTTTTATATATTGAGCACCACATATGATGGCTTTATAATTTTTGCTTCAACCATCAAACATAATAGGGATGATCTACTAAATTTACCCCTATTTTCATCCACTTCAAAGTTCTTCTTTCCTTTCTGAAGTGATGAGTCTTCCTATGTTAGTGTCTTCTTTTTGTTTAGAGAACTTCCTTTAGGAATTCTTTACAAGTAGATTTGCTAGCAGAGTATTATCTTTGTTTTTCTCTAAGAATAAATGTATTTCCCCTTCATTTCTGCAAGTTGTTTTTGCTGGACAGATAATTCTTGGTTGAGAGCTCTTTACTTCAGTACTGAAAAAATCTTCCATTTCCTACTGGCTTCCATTGTTTCAGATGTGAAATCCACTGTTATTCAAATTGGCATTTCTCTATAAATAATGCATCTTTTTTCTCTTGGTGTTTTGAAGATTTTCTTCTTTGGTTTTAGAATGCTGAAGTTAATTATGATGTGTCTTGGCCTAGATTTCTTGGGCTTATTCTATTTGCAGTTATTTCAATTTCTTGCATTTGTAGGTTTTTTCATTTTCCAAATTTGAAGTTTTCTTCCATGATTCCTCTGAATATTTGTTCAGCCTCAGTGTCTTTCTTTTCTTCTTTAAATTCAGTGTTATAAGTCTTGGATTTTTTTGTCATTTTCCTGCAGGACCATGAGGCTTTGCTTATTGTTTTGTTTTGTTTTTTATCAATCTATCTTCTCCATGTTGTTCAGATTGGGAAAGGTCTATTGCAGGAGTTTCTGATGTTTTGGCTTCCCTGGGCCATACTGGAAAAAGAATTGTCTTGGGCCAGAAATGAAATGCACTAACACTAACAATAGCTGATGAGCTTTTTAAAAATTGCAAAACAAAAAAAATCTCATAATGTTTTAAGAAAGTTTACAAATTTGTGTTGGGATGCATTCAAAGCCATCCTGGGCCACATGCAGCCTGCAGGCCACAGGTTAAACAAGCTTGGTCTATTGATATGCCCTCAAGTTCAGTGATTTTATCCTCTGTCAACTCCACTGTACTATTGAGCCCAATCCACAAAGTTTTGCTTTTTGCTGTTGGGTCTTTTTTCTTTCTCTCTCTCTCCCTCTTTTTTAGAATGGAGAGTTATTATGTTTTGGATTTAAATTTCTGAAGATATTGTGAAGATATTTATATGGCTTGGCTCTGTGCCCCCACCCAAATCTCATCTCAAAATCTAATCCTCATATGTTAAGAGAGGGACCTGATGGGAAATGATTGGATCATGTGGATGGATTTTCCCCTTGCTGTTCTCATGACCGTGAGTAATTTCTCGTGAGATCTGGTAGTTTGGTAAGTGTCTGGCACTTTCCCTTTCTCTCTCTTGCCACCATGTAAGATGTGCCTGCTTCCCTTTCACCTTCTGCCATGATAGTGAGTTTCCTGAGGTCACCCAACCATGCAGAACTGTGAGTCAGTTAAACCTCTTTTCTTTATTAATCACCTAGTCTCAGTCAGTTCTTTATAGCAGTGTGAGAAAAGACTAATACAGAAAATTGGTACTGGCAGAGTAGGGTACTGCTATAAAGATAATTTGAAAATGTGGAATCGACTTTGGAACTGGGTAATGGGCAGAGATTGAAAGAGTTTTTGGAGGGCTTAGAAGTAGACAGGAAGATGTGAGAAAGTTTGAAACTTCCTAGAGACTTGTTAAATGGTTTTGAACAAAATGCTGATAGTCACATGAATAATAAGTCCAGGCTGAGGTGTTCCCAGATGAAGATGAGGAAATTTATTGGGAACTGGAGTAAAGATCACTTATGATATGCTTTAGCAAAGAGACTGGCAACATTTTGTCCCTGGCCTAGAGATCTGTGGAACTTGAACTTGAGAGAGATGATTTAGGGTATCTGGCAGAGGAATTTATAAGCAGCAAAGCATTCAAGAGGTGATCTGGCTAATTCTGAAAGCATTCAGTCATATGCATTCACAAGACATTATCTGAAACTGGAAATTTTATTTAAAAGGGAAACAGAGCATAAAAGTTTGGAAAATTTGCAGCCTGACCATGAGGTAGAAAAGAAAAACCCATTTTCTGGGGAGAAATTCAAGCCAGCTGCAAAAATTTGCATAGGTGACAAGGAACCAAATGTTAGTAACCAAGACAATTGGAAAAATGTCTCCAGGGCATATCAGAGGTCTTCATGGTAGCCCTCCCATCTCAGGCTCAGAGGCCTGGGAGGAAAAAATGGTTTTGTGGGCGAGGCCCAGGGCCCCTCTCTTCTGTGCAGCGTCAGGACTTAGTGCCCTGCATCCCAGCCACTACAGCTCCAGCTGTAGTTAAAAGGGGCCAAGTTATAGCTTGGGTTGTTGCTTCAGAGGGTACAGGTCCCAAGCATTCATGGCTTCCATGTAGTGTTTGGCCTACAGGTCCACAGAAGAGAAGAATTGAGCTTAGGGAACCTCTGTCTAGATTTCAGAGGATGTATGGAAATACCTGGATGTCCAGGCCGAGTCTTCTGCAGAGGCAGAGACATAATGGAGAAACTTTACTAGGGAAATGCATAAGGGAATTGTGGGGTTTGTGCCCCTACACAAAGTCCCCACTCAGGCACTGCCTAGTGGAGCTGTGGGAAGAGGGCCACAGTCCTCCAGACCCAAGAATGGTAGATTCACCGACAGTTTGCACCATGCACTTGGAAAAGTTGGAGGCACTCAACACCAGCCTGTGAAAGCAGCCACGGGGGCTGTACCCTGCAGAGCCATGGGGTCAGAGCTGCCCAAGGCCATGGGAGCTCATCCCATATATCAGCATGTCCTGGATGTGAGACATGGAGCTATCAACCCTAAAAATTTGAGACAGGTCCCAGTTAATTTATAAAGTTTATTTTGCCAAGGTTGAGGACATACCCATGACACAGCCTCGGGAAGTTCTGATGACATGTGCCCACAGTGTTTGGAGCACAGCTTAGTTTTACACATTTTAGGGAGACATGAGACATCAATCAATATATGTAAAAAGTACATTGGTTCCCTCTGGAAAGGTGGGACAATTTGAAGCAAAGGCAGGAAGGCTCAAAGCAGGGACAGGGCTTCCAGGTCACAGATAGGTGAGACACTAACAGTTTCATTATTTTGAGTTTCTGATTAGCCTTTCCAAAGGAGGCAATCAGATATGCATCTATCTCAGTGAGCAGAGGGATGACTTTGAATAGAATGGGAGGCAGGTTTGTCCTAAGCAGTTCCCAGCTTGACTTTTCCCTTTAGCTTAGTGATTTGACAGCCTCAAGATTAATTTCCTTTCACAGAGTCAAAGAAGATTTTGGAGCTTTAAGATTTAATGACTGCCCTGCTGGGTTTTGGACTTGCATCAGATCTTTGTTTTGGCCAATTTCTCCCATTCAAAATGGGAACATTTACCCAATGCCTGTACACCCATTGTAGTAACTAATTTGGAAATAACTAACTTGTGTTTTATTTTACAGGTTCATAGGCAGAAGGGACTTGCCTTGTCTCAGATGAGACTTTGGACTTGGACTTTTGAGTTAATGCTGGAATGAGTTAAGTCTTTGGGGGACTGTTGGGAAGGCATAATTTGTTCTGAAATGTGAAAAGGTCTTGAGATTTGGGAGGAGGCAGGGGCTGAAGGATATGGTTTGACTCTGTGTCCCCACCCAAATCTGATCTCAAATTGTAATCCCCATGTGTCTAGGGAAGGACCTGGTGGGAGGTGATTGAATCGTGGGGGTAGATTTCCCCCTTACTGTTCTCATGATAGTGAGTGAGTTCTCATGAGATCTAGTAGTTTGATAAGTGTCTGAAAGAAGGTGCTTTCCCCTTCTTTCTCTCTTTCTCCTGCCACCATGTAAGCCTTGCCTGCTTCCCTTTCAACTTCTGCCATAACTGTAAGTTTCCTGAGGCCCCCAAGCCATGCAGAACTGTGAGTCAATTAAACCTCTTTTCTTTATTAATCACCCAGTCTCAGGCAGTTCTTTATAGCAGTGTGAAAACAGATTAATACAGATATGTTTACTTATCTTGATTATCCTTCTTTTTTGTCAAGATTTTCTAATTTCTCATTTGTTTCAAGAGAACTCATAACTGCTTGTTGAAGCACTTTGGGGGTTGCTTTAAAATCCTTATTAGATATTTCCAACCTCTAATTCATCTTGGAGTTTGTTTCTGTTGATTTTCCTGGTTCTTATGTGATTGTCAGTAAAATTCTGGACTTTTTGGATATTATGTTATGAAACTCTGCAATCTATTTAATCTTTTTCGGTTTTTCAGGCAGTTCTTCTGTTGAGGTATTATGTGAGGTCTAGGTCGTTGAATATTTTCAGCTACCCTGTTGGCCCCAATCACATGACAGGATAGAAGCAGAGCAGAGAGGGTGAAGGCCCTTTCTGGACCATCTCATTAAGTCTTGCTGCTGCTGGGTGGGAATGGCAGCTTTATGCACCGATGGACCCAGCTAACACAATCATAGTAGAACAATCTGAACACTCCCTGCTTCAACTGTGTGTAGAATGCAGGATTCATACTCAATCTCCCCAACACTTCACCTGCAGGAAAATTGGGTCACTGTCACCTACTTCTGCCAGGAGAGGGAAAGAAGACCAGCTCCATGCTCAACCAGGCTGATAATGTCCAGAGAAAAAACTACAGCATGCCACGTGCTTCCAAGGGTGGAGGAAAGGGAGTATGGAAGATCAACTTTCTGTTCGGCTCTGCTGAGTCTACAAGAACTGAGGAGTATCGTTCCTGTTCATATTTGACTGACGTAGACAAGTATTACCAAAAGTATTTTCTGATGCTAGGCCACCTTTTTCTTGGCCATTAACTGAAGAAAATAGGCATTTCTTGCAACTTCTTTTTCTTTTTTCTTTTTTTTTTTTTTCTGTGCCTGCTGGTGGTTCTGGATCTGAGGCTTCTTCTCTCTATCTGGGAGACATACATGGGAGGCAATAAGAAAACCCAGAAAACTCACTGCTGTGTTGTTCCTCAAGTCCTGAGTCTCTGGACAGCCCACATTCTTTCTAAAGGTCAAATAATTTCTATGTGGATTATTGTGTTAAGTCTAGGAGGTCTTTGTTGTAAGAAAGAGAACTTGGGGAAATGGGGAAACTCCACTTTGGCAGAAGCAGCTTCATGAGAAGTTATTTTTAAGTGCAATGTTTTTACTCTCAGGTGACTATGCCCACCACACCACCCCATGGATGAGTGCCTCTGGAGTTGCTGTTTCTCTAAATACCTGTCAAAGATCAGGACACAAGCAGCTAACACGGGGAAGAAATGCATGTCTTCACTTTTCTGTTGTGCTCTGTTGATGGGGTGGTCCCAAGACAGTACTGCTTGTGTACTTCTCAAGCAGTATTTTTCTCAGGAATCCACTCATTAGTGGTGATCCTGGTCAGAGCAGTCCATGCCCAGGGGAGCCTTGAACATCCAGCATGACAGTGCTGGCAGGACAGTAGAGTACAGACTGGCAGAGAATAAAACTCACGCCAGGCAATGTGCTCAGTAATATCAGACTTTTAGGGAGCATGTATCACCCCTGAAACATCAAAACATACCTGAAAGCAAAGTTCTTGAAAGCTGAAGGGCTTGTGTCAATCATGACTACTTATTCTGAAAGGTGGCTTAAGACAGCATAAGCTTATGTTATATAATATTCCTAAAGTTATTGTATTTTAGTCTTTAATATACTATATCAAATACAATACATAGGTTACCAGTCTCTTCATAACTCAACAGATGAAGCACAGATCCAATTTCTCAGCTCTATTTCAGTGACTGGTTGAATTTAAGTTTCTACCTAGTATTTCCAAGTGCCATTTTTTGAATTATTGGTGAAACATAATACAAGGAAGTATTTAACAGTGAGCATGCGAGATAATAAAGATATTTTCACTTACCTGATTTTGTAACTCTTGAATACTGGGCTATTTCACTGTGGTAGTATAGTCTACTGGCAAAATGTGATCCTCTGATGATTTATATGGACAAATTAGAATATTGTGTTCTCCAATCTTCATTTCTAAATATATCCCCACACTACTTTTCTACCTAAATTCTCTCATCTTATTAGGCCCCTAATCCGTACATCCCTCTACCTATAATTAGTATGGCAGATTGTATTTTTCAAAAGACAGACCACAGCAGTATATCTGGTTCCATATTCTTTTCCAGAATCTTTCCACTCCCCATCAAGAGGTGGAGTCTACTTACTTTGCTCTTAAATCTCAGCAGATTTTGTGACCACTTTGATGAATAGAATGTGACATAAGTGATGCCATAACCTCTGAGTCTAGGTTATAAAGGATGGCCTGGCTCCCAGTTGGCCCTCTCAGGATGCCTGCTCTTGGCTATTTACCACTAGTTTTTGCCATTGGGCTTTTCTGTAACATTCCTTATCTGTGCCTTTCACTGGGCATTCACTTAGTCCATGAGAAATACATAGGGCCCACACTTTTAAATATTTTAGCTGTAAAAAATCTTTCTAGTCTAAACATTCCAGATTTGTTTTTGTTTCTCGAACATCTCTGTTTCATCTCTATAACAATAGCAGTTAATGAAAGCGATGATAATTCCCTTCAACAAACAATTACTGAGCATCAAATTATGTGTAAGACAGTATGCTCTCGGTTTTTTATTCACACAGAGTAGAAAAATTAGAGAGAGAGACTAGCCCCTAAGGCCCTTTCAGGTCTAGCGCTTCAGTGGCTCTTCTGAATAAGCCTGAGTATGGAGAACAGCCTGAAGCAGCCATACACCCTGGGGAGAGACACACAGCAAGAGCTTGGCATCAAGAGTCCTAGTCAGGAATCCTGGTTCTGTCATTTTCTAACAGTCTGGCACCCTAATAAACCATTTGACCTTAATTTCTTGCTTCTCATAACCTTGGTTTCTACATTTTTGAAACAGGAATATTATTAACTACCATCTAGATTTTTTCTGGTGGAAAATGGGATAAGATATATTCAGCACTTAGCAGAACATTTAGGTAGAGCTAGTTCGTTTCAGTCTAGCTGCGTGCTCAGTGTTTGGACAGGATACAGTATTAACAGAAAGTCCCATCTGAGGGGACAATGTCAGGAAACAGAAAATTAGATCAGGAATCTGACAACTGATGTGGATGGTGGGGCATCAAGGGGCATGGTTGTAGGTTGGCAAACAGAACAAAACGGGATTGAGTTGAAACAGAAGGCCCTGAGCAAAGGAGGGTGTAAGAGGTGCTCTTGGAGTGGATTAGCACCAGGATTGATGTGTGCTGATAAAAATTATAATGTTGCACAATAGTAAGAATAAAAAGGTGTAGGAAGGAGGCTGGTGCTATATATCATAAGCTGAAAAAAGTGGGCTCTAGAGCTGTCCAATAGAACTTTATTTGATGATGAAAACGTTCTATTCTACACTATCCAATATAGTAGCTACTAGCCACTCATTATATGACAAATTCAACTTAGAAACTGAATTTTTTTTGCATTTATTTTTAATTAATTTTAATTAAAATAGCCACTATGACTAGTGACTACTATATCAGGCAGCACAATTCTCTGAGTCAGACTTCCCTGGGTTCATAAACTGTCTGCTTCCTTTAGTAGCTGTGTAACTTTAGAAAACTTATTCAACTTTGCTGAGCCCTGGTTTTCTCATCTGTAAAATAATCTTTTAATATTTTCAAAGCTACATAGAGGCTAAAATGAAATACATAAATTTAGTGGCTGGCACACAAAGAGGAGTCAATAAATGTGAGTTATTACTCTATGAATTCAAATATTCATAATTTTATAAATGCATTAATTATGTCATTGTATACCAAGAAAAACAATGAGGCAAGTGAAACAGATTTTATTTTATTTTTTAAAAATTTTTTATTTCCTAAGTTATTGGGGAACAGATGGTGTTTGGTTACATGAGTAAGTTCTTTAGTGGTGATTCGTGAGGTTTTGGTGCACCCATCTCCTGAACAGTATACACTGCACCTAATTTGTGGTCTTTTATCACTCACCCCCTTCTCACCCTTTCTGCCTGAGTCCCCAAAATCCATTGCGTTATTCTTATGCCTTTGCATCCTCATAGCTTAGCTCCCACTTATGAGTAAGAACATATGATGTTTGGTTTTCCATTCCTGAGTTACTTCACTTAGAATAATAGTCTTCAATCTCATTCAGGTCGCTGTGAATGCCATTAATTCATTCCTTTTTATGGTTGAGTAGTATTCCATCATATATATATCACATCACATCATATATATATACCACAGTTTCTTCATCCACTCATTGATTCATGGGCATTTCAGTTGGTTCCAAGTTTTTGCAATTGCAGATTGTACTGTTATAAACATGTGTGTGCAAGAATCTTTTGTCATATAATGACATTTTTTCCTCTGGGTAGATACCCAGTAGTGGGATTGCTGGATCAAATGGTAGTTCTACTTTTAGTTCTTTAAGGAATCTCCACACTGTTTTGCATAGTGGCTGTACTAGAGTAGATTCCCACCAGCAGTGTAGAAGTGTTCCCTGTTCACCGCAGACATGCCAACATCTATTATTTTCTATTTTTTATTTATGGCCATTCTTGCAGGAGTAAGGTGGTAGCACATTGTTGTTTTGATTTGCATTTCCCTGATCATTAGTAATGTTGAGCATTTTTTATATGTTTGTTGGCCATTTATATGTCTTCTTTTAAGAATTTTCTATTCATGTCCTTAGCCCACTTTTTACCGGGATTGTTTGTTTTTTTCTTGATAATTACTTTAGGTTCATTGTAGATTCTGGATACCAGTCCTTTCTCAGGTGTATAGATTGTGAAGATTTTCTCCCACTCTGTGTGGGTTGTCTATTTACTCTGCTGACTGTTCCTTCAGCCGCGCAAGAGCTTTTTAGTTTAATTAAGTCCCAGCTATTTATCTTTGTTTTTATGCATTTGCTTTTGGACTCTTGATCATAAAAGCCCTGCCTAAGTCAATGTTTAGAAGGGTTTTTCCAATGTTATCTTCTAGAATTTTTATAGTTTCAGGTCATGGATTTAAGTCCTTGATCCATCTTGTGTTGATTTTTGTGTAAGGTGAGAGAAGAGGATCCAGTTTCGTTCTTCTACATGTGTTTTGCCAATTATCCCAGCACCATTTGTTGAATAGGGTGTCCTTTCCCCACTTTATGTTTTTGTTTGCTATAAGTATTTGGGTTTATTTCTGGGTTCTCTATTCTGTCCCATTGATCTATGTGCCTATTTTTATATCAGAACCATGCTGTTTTGGTAACTGTGGCCTTATAATATAACTTGAAATCAGGTAATGTGATGCCTCCAGTTTTGTTCTTTTTGCTTAGTCTTGCTTTGGCTATGCTTTGGTTCTATATAAATTCTAAGATCTTGTTTTCTAGTTCTGTGAAGAATGGTGGTGGTATTTTGATGGGAATTGCATTGAATTTGTAGATTGTTTATGGCAGTATGGTCATTTTCACAATATTGATTCTACCTATTCATAAGCATGGGAAGTGTTTCCATTTGTTTGTGTATGTGTTTTTCAGCGGTGTTTTATAGTTATTCTTACAGAGGTTTTTCATCTCCTTGATTAGGTATATTCCTAAGTATTTTATTTTTGGGTAGTTATTGTAAAAGGGGTTGAGTTCTTGATTTGATTCCCAGCTTGGTCGCTGTCGGTGTATAGAAGAGCTACTGATTTCTGTACATTAATTTTGTATCCAGAAACTTTCCTGAATTCTTTTATCAGTTCTAGGAGCTTTCTGGAGGAGTCTTTAGGGATTTTTAGGTAAACAATCATATCATCAGCAAACAGTGACAGCTTGACTTCCTCTTTACTGATTTGGATGTCCTTTATTTCTTTCTCTTGTCTGATTGCTCTGCCTAGGACTTTTAGTACTACATTGAAGAGGAGTGGTGAGAATGGGCATCCTTGTCTTTTTCCAGTTCTCAGAGGGAATGCTTTCAACTTTTCCCCATTCAGTATTAAGTTGGCTGTGGGTTTGTCACAGATGGCTTCTATTACATTAAGCTATGTCTCTTCTATGCCGATTTTGCTGAGGTTTTTTTAATCATAAAGGGATGCTGTATTTAGTCAAATGCTTTTCCTGTGTCTATTGAGATGATCATGTGATTTTTGTTTTTAATTCTGTTTATGTGGTGTATCACATTTATTGACTTGTGTATGTTAAACCATCCCTTCATCCCTTCCATAAAGCCCACTCGATCATGTTGGATGATATTTTTGATATGTTGTTGGATTCAGTTAGCTAGCATTTGGTTAAGGATTTTACCATCTATGTTCATCAGGGACATTGGTCTGTAGTTTTATTTTTGGGTTATGTTCTTTCCTGGTTTTGGTATTAGATTGATACTGGCATCACAGAATGATTTAGGGAGGATTCCCTCTTTCTCTATCTTGTGGAATAGTGTCAATAGGATTTTTACCAATTCTTCTTTGAAGGTCTGGTAGAATTCTGCCATGAATCTGTCTGATGCTGGACTTTTTTGTTGGTAATTTTTTTATTACCATTTCAATCTTGCTGCTTGTTATTGGTCTGTTCAGGGTCTCTAATTCTTCCTGATTTAAGCTAGGTGGGTTGTATTTTTCCTGAAATTTATCCATCTCCTGTAGGTTTTCTAGTTTATGCACATAAAGATGTTCATAGTAGCCTTGAATGATCTTTTGTATTTCTGTGGTCAGTTGTAATATGTGCCATTTCGTTTCTAATTGAGCTTATTTGGATTTTCTCTCTTCTTTTCTTGGTTAATCTTGCTAATTGTCTATCAATTTTATTTATCTTTTCAAATAACCAGTTTTTTTGTTTCATTTATTTTTTGTATTTTTTTGTTATTGTTTGTTTAGTTGGTTGTTTCAATTTCATTTAATTCTGCTCTGATCTTGGTTATTTCCTTTCTTCTACTGGGTTGGAGTTTGGTTTGTTCTTGTTTCTCTAATTCCTGGGGGTATGACCCTAGATTGTCTGCTTGTGTTCTTTCAGACTTTTTCATGTAGGCATTTAGGGCTATGAACTTTCCTCTTAGCACCGCCTTAGCTGTATCCCAGAGGTTTTGGTATGTTGTGTCACTATTGTTATTCAGTTCAAAGAATTTTTTAATTTCCATCTTGATTTCATTGTTTACCCGATGATCATTCAGTAACAGGTTACTTCATCTTCATGTATTTGTCTAGTTTTGAAGGTTCTTTTGGATTTGATTTCCAGTTTTATTCCACTGTGGTCTGAGAGAGTGCTGCATATAATTTCAGTTTTCTGAAATTTATTGAGACTCGTTTTGTGGCCTATCATATGGTCTACACTGGAGAAAGTTCAATGTGCTGATGAACATAATATATATTATGTGGTTGTTGGGTAGAATGTTCTGGAAATATCTGTTAAGTCCATTTATTCCAGAGTATAGTTTAAGTCCATTATTTCTTTGTTGACTTTCTGCCTTGATGACCTGTCTAGTGCTGTCAGTGGAGTATCAAAGTCCCCCACTATTATTGTGTTGCTGTCTACCTCAATTCTTAGGTCTAGTAGTAATTGTTTTATAAATTTGGGAATTCCAGTGTTAGGTGCAAATATATTTAGGATTGTTATATTTTCCTGTTGGCTAAGGCCTTTTATCAATATATAATGTCCCTCTTTGTCTTTTTAAAGTGCTGTTGCTTTAAAGTTTAAAGTTTAAAGTTTTCTTTGCCTGATATAAAAATAGCTATTCCTGCACACTTTTGGTGTCCATTTGCATGGAATGTCTTTTTCCACCACTTTACCTTAAGTTTATATGAGTCCTTATGTGTTAAGTGAGTCTCTTAAAGGCAGCAGATAGTTGATTGGTGAATTCTTATCCATTCTGCAATTCTGTGTCTTTAAGTGGAGCATTTAGGCCATTTACATTCAACCATAGTATTGAGATGTGAGGTACCATTTCATTCACCGTGCTTTTTGATGCCTGTATACCTTGGTTTTTTGTTTATTTTTTAATTCTATTTTTGTTGTATGTGTCCTTTAAAGATGTTTTATAGATGCTTTAAAGAGGTTCTGCTTTTATGTGTTTCCAGGATTTGTTTCAAGATTTAGAGCTCCTTTTAGCAGTTCTTGTAGTGCTGGCTTGGTAGTGGTGAATTCTGTCAGCATTAGTTTGTCTGAAAAAGACTGTATCTTTCGTTTGTTTATGAAACTTAGTTTCACTAGATACAAAATTCTTTGCCGATAATTGTTTTGTTTAAGGAAGCTGAAGATAGGGCCCCAATCCTTTCTAGCTTGTAGAGTTTCTGATGAGAAATCTGCTTTTAATTTGGTAGGTTTTCCTTTATAGTTTACCTGGTGCTTTTGTCTCACAGCTATTAAGATTCTTTCTTTCATCTTAACTTTAGATAACCTGATGACAATGTGCCTAGGTGATGATCTTTTTGCAATGAATTTTCCAGGTGTTCTTTGAGCTTCTTGTATTTGGATACCTAGGTCTCTAACAAGCCCAGGGAAGTTTTCCTTGATTATTCCCTCAAATATATTTTCCAAACTTTTAGATTTTTCTTCTTCCTCAGGAATGCCAATTATTCTTAGATTCGGTTGTTTAACATAATTCCAGACTTCTTGGAGGCTTTGTTCATATTTTCTTATTCTTTATTGCCTTTGTTGAATTGGGTTAATTGGAAAACCTTGTCTACGAGCTCTGAAGTTCTTTCTCCTGCTTGTTCAGTTCTATTGTTGAGACTTTCAGGAGTATTTTGCATTTCTATAAGTGTGCTCATTGTTTCCTGAAGTTTTTATTGTTTTTTATTTATGCTGTCTATTTCATTAAAAATTTCTCCCCTCGTGTCTTGTATCTTTTTTTTTTTTTTTAACTTCTTTAAATTGGGCTTTGTCTTTCTCTGGTGCCTCTCTGATTAGCTTAATAACAAACCTTCTGAATTCTTTTTCAGGTAAATTGGGAATTTCTTCTTGGTATGGATCAATTGCTGGTAAGCCAGTGTGATATTTTGGGGGTGTTAAATAACCTTGTTTTGACGTATTACCAGAGTTGGTTTTCTGGTTCTTTCTCATTTGGGTAGGTTCTGTCAGAGGGAAAGTCTAGGGCTCAAGACTGTTCAGATTCTTTTGTCCCATAAGGTGTTCCCTTGATGTAGTACTGTACCCATTTTCCTAGGGATGTGGCTTCCTGAGAGCCAAGCTGTATTGAATGTTGTCTCTCTTCTGGATCTAGCCACTCAGCAAGTCTATCAGGCTCTGGGCTGGTACTGAGGTTGTTTGCACAGAGTCCTGTGATGTGAACCATCTGTGGGTCTCTCAGCCATGGATACCAGCACTTGTTCCAGTGGAGGTGGCAGGGCAGTGAAATGGACTCTGTGAGGATCTTTAGCTTTGGTTGTTTAATGTACTATTTTTGTGCTGATTGGCCTTCTGCCAGCAGGTGGCACTTTCAAGGGAGCATTAGCTATGGTAGTATGGAGAGGAACAGTTGATGGGCTAGGCCCTAGAACTCCCAAGAGTATATGCCCTTTTTCTTCAGCTACCAGGGTGGGTAGGGAAGGACCATTAGGTGGGAGCAGGGCTAGGCATGTCTAAGCTCAGACTCTTCTTGGGCGGGTCTTGCTGCGGCTGCTGTGGTGGATGAGGGTGAGGTTCTCAGGTCAATGAAATTATGTTCCTAGGAGGATTATGGCTGCCTCTGCTGTGTCATGCAGGTTGTCAGGGAAGTGGGGGAAATCTGGCTTCACCCAGCTCCCACACAACCCAAAGGGCCGGTCTCACTCCCACCATGCTCCCACCAACAGCACCAAGTCTGTTTCCAGGCAGTGGGTGAGCAGAGCTGAGAACTTGCCCTAGGCTACCCACCCCCAGCTATGAAAGCAAGTAGGGATTTCATGCTTCCCCTACCTGTGAAGTTTGCACACCAGATTCATGTCTTCCCCTGAGTTCTGGCCAGGAGACTTCTTGATCAGTTCAAATTGTTATAAAGTTCAGCTGGAGGTTTCCTTCTCCCTGAGGCCTTTTCCCAGTACCTCTAGCAACCATCCCCAAAGACCCCTGTGAGGCGAGGAAGAAATGGCTTGCCAGGGGACCCAGTGAGCCCACGGGGATTCTCCTGCTGCTTCCTCTACCCCTGAATTTCACTTGGCTCTCTAAATTGACTCAGCTCCAGGTAAGGTCAGAATCTTCTCCCATGATCTAGACCTTCCATTTCCCCAGTGAAGGTGTATGTTCAGGGGAAGACGATCCCCCTTTCTCACTTCCATAGTTTAGGCACTCACAGTATTTGAGGTGTCTGCCAGGTCCTGCAGGAGCAGTCTGCTTCCTTCAGAGGGTGTGTGGGTTTTCTTGGCTTTCCTGATTTATTCCTGCAGTTGTTCTGGAGCAGAAGTTCACAATACAAGCCTCCATACCACATACTGCTCTGTCCATCCGAGTCGGAGCTGCAATCTAATCCTGCCTCTTGTCCACCATGTGAAACAGATTTTATTATATCAATTCTGTTATGGACAAGGTGCAGAATAAGTGCCTTACCTGAAGGGCAGAGGCATATGTCCATCAAGTAGTGCTCAAATACTTGTTTTCTGGGCGCTCAGGATCTGAGCAATGCTATGCTAAGCCCAATCAGGGCTACAAGAGACACATGCAATGCAGATCTGTTCTCAAGCTGTTTAGTGCCCAATGGCAAGATGAACCCCATGCATGGGAAAAAAGAAGAAATCAATGCTTTGTCAAGTGCTGTGGCTCTGACCATGCCGTAGCAATGGCTCAGCAACATCCACACAGCTTGGGGCTTTGGAAAAGATCCAACCACTCAACAAGAATTGAGCCAGGTTTTTCACATTTAATTACTTATTAAATGCCCATACCAATCCTTAAATAACACTACTATTGTCTATGTTCTACAGATGAGCAAACCAAGAATCTGATGAATTAATAATTTGACCTAGGATATTGACAGGTCTAGGATTTAATTTTCTCAACTTACAAGTTAGTAAATTAGCTTATTACTGTTTCATGGATGCTGGCAAAAGACACAAGACTCCTGGGTCAGAGGCAAAGAACTTTATTATTCACAGCACAGCAAGCAGCACAATTTGCACTGCTTCCCCTTTCCCCCAAGCCTCTCCACAGATCAGATGAATGTCAAGCATGCAGTGGATTTGCCTCACACTTGAGGAACACTGGGCTTTGGAAATCCACCATGTTGTAGCAAGCAGAAAGCAAACTTGCTGTTGGTCTCTAATAGATGCATTACCACATCCCTGAAGGTTGCTCAAGGAAAATACAATCCTGAGAAATGGCCCAGGTAGAGAGTAGGCAGAGCTTTGCATTTTGGACCTACCCAGCTAGATGGTGTAGGGACACTCAGGGCCTGTGCTTGGTTGCCTTCCCCAACAGTACCAAGCTAAGAAGTGATGAAGGTTCTTTGACTTTAAATTCCCATATGCTCCACTGTAATCTGGTGCCTACTAAACATGGAACCAAGCTCAATAGCCCTGCCCTCTGATCCTATTGGAATGCTCTTGACATCATCATGTTCCAGTGAAATTTACATTGCCATGGTTATTCAAGGGGAGCTGTATCCTTTACCTGACATTTAAGCAATCTACATATATTATTTCTAGCAATCATTAAAATATTTATTATTTTATATAAGATGCAGAGGAAATAAGTGTCTTGCCCAAGGAAAGATAGAAACTTTGCCTCTAGGAAAACATTTTAATTTATGTTTCTCTTTCTATACTTTTTTCTTTGTCCCTTATTGTACTATCAGCTCGCTCTCTCACAAGAGAATGTGACTCTTCACAGTTGTCAGTGTCGATAAGTCAAACCTCTGACATGAGTCCATTTCCCTATTTGTCCAACATTGAGCCTAATGATACCAAGCCCAGAAACAATTAATACCACTCAGCTTTCCTTTTTTAAATTTTTTTGTGGAAGCTTGATGGGGTACATGACAGACCAGCAATTAAAAAAAAAAAAGGAAAATCTGCTCAAAAAAAGAGGATAAATCATTCTAGAAAAAAATTCAGCTAAAACTGAGCAATTTTTATAGCATTTAGAGGATTCTTTACTCTCATTAAACAGAGTATAAATGATCAAACTTGATGGATTTCTTGGAATGAAAAGTCATTTAATGGTTCTAAAAACATAAAAAAATCACATTATGTGCCACAAAGTACAAAAGGATATCCTTTTTAGTCTTTACTACCTTCAGAGAAAATCTTCTGATGCCTTCTACTGGGGCTTCCCAAGGCAATTTACCAAATCTGTGCAGAATCCCTTAACTCCTGCTTTCCCCATGGGTCCCAAATGAGCATCCAAGTAGTCGTCACAGTCTTATTGGCACCTGGGGGGCCTGGATGATGCTTGCCCAGGCTGAGGCGTGACCAAGCAGGGCCATAGCTCCTGGTGTCATTTCCTGCTGAGCACTTCACTGCAAATTATGCAGAGGGTCGATGGCTCTAGGAAGGCCTCTTGCTACCATCGAAGGCCTGAATACTAAATCAAATAACACTTTAGCATAATTTTCTAGTGACTTTTGGAATGAGGAGTGATATCAGGAACTTTCTTAAAACTCTCCTAACGAAATTTCACTAATAAGTTGCTGTATTAAACCTCTCCCTTGTGGTGTGATAACATTTTCTTGCCTTCTACTTCAGTCTTTAAAGCAAAGAAATATTTACTTTTTAAAACACTTTATCTCATCTTAACTAGCATGATTTAGGTATGACACTGTTTACTCTCACTCACTGGATTCTAAATCCTGAAGAGGAATGGAGAGAGGGCCATGATAGTTGAATATTATGTGCCAGGAGCTGTATGATCTTCATTTCTAATCCTCCGTGTATGAGGAGCTAAGTATCATTATCCTCATTTTTAGATGAGGCAACAGAAGCTCAGATAGTTGAAATCCTTGCCCAAGATCAACAGTTGGAAAGTGGAGAGGCTGGGACCCAGCCCTGAGGGTGTCTGACCCAGACCTGGTATCCTGCTCCCATTCTGCTGCCTCACCCCCTCGGCAGATAATGCTGCCTCCCTTGCTACAACCCATATGCCAGAGCGGTGATCTGTGGTCTACTTTCACAGCATTTTGTTGTCTGATTTGTATTTTAACCTCTTTACTTCATTCCCATTGGATTATCATTGCAGAAATTTTGTCCCAGACAAGCTGAGTCTGGGATTCAGAGTCAGGCTCTATCACAGGAACTGGCTACCTCTGGCCTTCAGGCATCATTTTGCACAACAGAAAGAGGCCTGGAGGCAGAGGTGACCAGAGTGCAGGAGCACCTGAGAGACAAGTGGGGCTGCGGAGGGGACCCCAGGGCCTCTGTCCCACCAGCTCAGCCCCACTCAGAGGGCCTGAGTTCTGAGATGGAGAACCATTAATAGAAACTGAAGAAGTTTTTTTCATGAGGAAATGTGCAGGACACAGAACACACGCACTGTTGTTTCAGAGCCCAGGCGACCAAATGTGATACAGCAGGACAGACAAGATCAGCTTTGTAGCAGGGCCTGGGCATGGGGAAGCAGGTAGGGAGGGCAGGGGCCCATGACAGATGGAGCTGGACAATGCTTCTTAGGTAGCGAAACAGCTTTCTTCAAGGCAGGGCCAGCGGACCAGGAGGAGGGGACCAGACAGGATTCACAGGGCCTGCAGGGAACCATGCCCAGGTGTGCATGCCATCCACAGGCCTCTTAGACAAACCAAAGACAGAGCAGGGGCTTTGTTGCTCAGCTACAGGACACAAGCCAGGAATTCTTGAAAATCAATATTATTTTAACAGCATTTGCTGCCTCAAGCCAAAGAAATTCAGTTTGTGCAACTGAAGACACATGCCATGACTTTAGATGGGAGCATATTTTAATTTGTTTTAACTTAGGAAAAGGCTAAATTAAGTTTCATTATGATAATACCCCATCTGGAAACCACACAAATCACAGACTCAGGGGAAAATGCCATAGAAACTGGAATATGGGGAACAGTGTCCTAACAGGGCACCTTATAGCTACACTTAGTCTTCTCCAAAGATCTAGTGGGAAAAGAACTGTGAGCTGTGAGACCCCAAACAATTCACTAAGTGCTACAGCATCTGGCACAGTACCAGGAGTACCCAATGTATAGAGGAAAGAAATGAAGACTGTAGTAATTCGCACGAGGATTTCTGCAAGTAACAAAGAGGCAGGGACTACCATTTATGCAAGAGTCAGGAAAGCTTTCTGGAAAGAAGTGACTTCTGCCCAGGTGTGGTGGCTCACACCTGTAATCCCAGCACTTTGGGAGGCTGAGGTGGGTGGATCTCTTGAGGTTAGGAGTTCGAAACCAGCCTGGCCAACATGGTGAAACCACATCTCTACTAAAAAAAAAAAAAAAAAGCCGGGTGTGGTGGTGCATGCCTGTAAACCCAGCTACTTGGGAGGCTGAGACAGGAGAATTGCTTTAACCCAGGAGGCGGAGGTTTCAGTGAGCCGAGATCACGTCACTGCACTCCAGCCTGGGTGATAGCCAAGACTCCTTCTCAAACAAACAAAAAAAGAAGTGACTTCTGACATTGTTACTTGGAATACGGCAGAGCTGGTCAAGCAGTATAGAGAGAAAGGTGAGATGCCACACATGGTACACTCTCCAATAAAAGCAAAACTTGTGGATACAGAAACAAGTAATTTCAGCTGTAACTTCAAAATCATGTCGTTATGAAAATCAAGAAAAATGGCAGTTGACTCTTTCAATCATCTTACAGTCACTGGCCATGCACTGATCATTTAGCAGTTAGTAGTGTGCAGGCTGTGGGGAGGGACCCAGCCCCATCCTCAGTGCACTCTAAGATGTGGGAGCAACTCTGCTGCATCGGTAAATGAAACAGGTCCTGCTAGGTGTGGGTGTAGCTGCCAACAAGGAATTAATACAAGTCTAAGAATTTATTCCGTGTGTAGCACAGAGCCAAATTCTATGGGAAACACTAAAGAAATGTAGACATGGTGCCTGCCCTCAAAGGGATTACTGGATTGCCATCTACATGGGCACTTGCAGAGGAAATACACATAATTTTAAGTGCAATCTCTCGTCCATAAAAGCAGCATGGAAATGGAAGCTCTCACTGAGGGTCATTTTAAAAGGCATTTAATCTTCCAAAATTTCAAAGTTATTATTTACAAAGAATGAAAAGTCTTCAGTCCATTAGATAGTTCTCTAGTCATATTGCCAGGACATTTGGCAGCTGCTAATATGATTTTAAAATCCTAGGTCTATATCCGACAGATAAACAGGAAAAGAGTAAGTCAGAAGAGCTAGAAATTCCTGGTCAGGGAAAGTAAAAATAAAAAAAAAAAAAAGGTGAAGCAGATTGGAAAATGAACTGTTCTCATGAAAAAGCACATTCTGAAGCAAGAAAGTTTCCCAAATGTTGCCAAGGTAAGTGAACAGTAATTTGGACCACAAAAACCAGATGTGCACAATATCACCAATTCCTCTGCGTCTTTTCCTCCTTTGCCACCGATACTGCACACCTTAAAAGTTTTCAACTTAAATCAGAGGACTTTTCTCATCAGAAAACACGTTGGATTTTATACTACCAGAGAAAAGGAAAGGCTCACTCTATAGATACATTTTCTGGAACAAATTTATTCCATAAAGCAAGGGTACTTTGCCAAGTAAAAATTATTGGCCCATTTATCTGTGATAAGCCTCATTTCATGGATCAATACAAGATAATCCAGAACACTTAAAGTTTTACAGAAACATCATCAATAATATGAAATTCTGGCCTCTCTTTGCTTAGGTCCTGGAGGGCAGGGAGGAAATCATCTTCAGTTCTATTCCCAGAATGTAAATTGGTGCTTGGAATATATTTGTTGAATGAATAAATGAACTAATAAATGAATGATGGCAGTTAGGAGCAAATTCTACTTGGAGGTGAGCATTGAAAGCAAAGTCACAAATGGATGGATTTGCCCTCTACCATGCTGGGGGAGTTCCTGGGTTCTCTCTGTTGTCTTAGATCATGAACTCTCCTTATGATTCTAAAATTAAAGGCCTATGGCAATCTCTGGCAGGGTACCTGGTGGTACAAGAAAGGCTTTCCATGTTCTGAAAGGCTTATTTGCTCCACTAAGTTCCTGCCTTGGCAACTGCTTTCAGAAATATAAAAATAGGGCAAATTCCTCAACCCAGAGTCTCTTCCATGTTGTCTTGAGAAATTAGACAAAGAGTGGAGGACTAAGTAGCAAAGGGGCTTGTTGTACAGTTGCTGCAAAACACATTTTTTTTAATCAAAGTCCTCAAAAAGTGCTGTCTGTGATCCAAAGGAACAAGGAGAGATATTGTTTCAGCCTTGGGAAGACTTCAGGGAAGAGGGCACTGCTCACCTGGGCCTTCACAGAAGCAATGAAATGACAGCATCAGCATCAGAGACACGGAAAGGACAGAGGGTGTGGAACTGGGGGAATGGCGTTTGAGGCCCTCTTCTACCACTGTGTAGGGTTACTTCAATAACTTAGGGCTGGAACCAGGTTTTGTGGGCTAAGGTTTATACTATCTTGGTGCTTCATCTTCAAATAAAAAATACAAAACGAAGTGTAAATGTGATTTTTTAAAGAATGAAAAAGGAAATCACAACAAATGACTGGAGCTGTGGACAGTCTGAACCCTTTTTCCCCTGAGATACCATAAGTGCTCACACAGAAATGCTCCCTGATGACGTCAGGCTTCCTCTCTCTACCTGGAACCCGCTGCAATTCTCAGTGGCTCCCAGTGGTCATAGGAGCTCACACAAATGAATAGCCCGGAAGTGTATGCTTCATGGTACATTTGACTTACAGCAGCCTCTTAAATTCTTGATATTCTTATATGTAAAATTAGTCATATTTCTCAGAACATTGAATTTTATAAGAATTAGATGAAAGAGCATATGTGAAATTTTTGTTTGCTTGAATGTTTTGTGGTAAGAACATTTAACGGGAGATCTATCCTCAACAAATTTTTAAGTACAGAATTCACATCTGTAGGCATTATGCTGTGTGGCAGATCTCTAAAACTAATTAATCTTGCATATCTGAAACATTATACCCACTGAACAAAAACAACCCATTTCCCCTGCCCCTAGTCCTTGGTAACCACCATTCTGCTCTCTGCTACTATGAGTTTGGCTTTCTTAGATTCCACAATTCCACATATAAGTGAAATCATGCAGTATTTATCTATCGATGCCTTGCTTATCTCATGTAGCCTACTGTCCTCTAGGTTACTCCATGTTGTTGCAAATGACAGGATTTTCTTACTTTTTAAGGCTAAATAATATTCCGTTTTATGAATTGTGCCAGAGAGCTAATGTCTTCTGAAAAGGCTGAGTGCATGTGTGCAATGTTTTTTGTGTAGTATAGTCCACACAGGAGCATGGGAAGCACTGGCATAGAGCACAAGGTGTGAATACAGAAGGCTAAAAAGGAGTCTGTGCTGGCTGGAAAAAAATACTGTAAGAAGTTAGAAACAAGAACTTTATCCCAAGAGCTAATGAAATAGGGGGAAATGGAGAAATCAATGGTTACAGCATAGTGGTATAATTATAGGAAAATTAATTTAGGAAATAGTTGTGACACATTATATTGTTGTCAGCCGGCAGTACTTTAGCTCAGATGCTAATGAAAACGTGCATCTGACATTGGAAATTGGAGAGCATGGCCTGCTAAGAATGGGGCTCTGGGCATGTGAGCTTTGATGGGGAGATGAGAAATGGTGAGAGGACATTCTAAAGATAGAAATGGTGGGCTTCTTATACCTCTGTGCAGAACTCTTGGCTCCTGGAGGGCACTCAGTGGGAAAATGGCAGGGCACTCTTGGAGGGAGAGATCCAAGGGAAAGAGAAAAGCAAAGCCACAGACCCACAGCTGAGCTCATTCATTTGGGCAAGTTGTTGACCTTCCTAAGCACTAGAGCATCAGTTTCCTCATCTATAAAGTTGCTATATAATAAATACTGGCTTTCAAGTTAGCCAATCAGCCTATCTGTCTGTCTATCTATTTTGATAGATATACATGAGATTATGTCCAGACTCAGAGGCTTGAGACACTCATCCTTCAGTGATTCCGCATTTTGTGCTCATATTCTGTATTTGTTTCTGGTGGGTAAAAAGAAGTAAGGATGCCAAGAGAGGTGTGTGTGTGTGTGTGTGTGTGTGTGTGTGTGTGTGTGTGTGTGTGTGTTTGTGTGTGTGTGTGTGTGTGAGAGAGAGAGAGAGAGAGAGAGAGACAGAGAGAAAGAAGAGATCACCCGAAGACATAAATACAGCCTTGGCTTGCTTTTGCTAACCTAGCTGATTTCTTGAAAGAAACTGTCCACATGAAAATCATGTCCTCACTCTTCCTCTTACAAACAAAGGGATTTCTTTTCTCTGATCCTCTGGTTAGTCTGGGAAAGCATTTTAAGAGACAAACAGAACTTGTTTCTGAAGTATGTCCCATCACAGTTACATTCTTCATATTTCTGCATGGATTTTTAATGGACTTTGGAGTAGAGTATCTGAATGCTCAGCCAGACAATGGAGAAAATGTCTTTTTTAAAAAATCCCTTCTGAGATACTTTCAGAATGGCCCCATTCTTCTCTGTTAGACCCTTGGTCCCCAACTCATACACGGCTTCAGCGTTCACGTGTATTCAGACGTGACTGTCACCAAAATGGCATTTCCCTTTGGGTTCTACAAAATTTGTTTCAGCAGATTTTTCACCAAGGGATGTGTGGTTTCCAGCCCTGGATGTGAAATGGACCCTTGGAACTGCTGGCAGATCTGGAATACGGCATGAAAGCTCCAGTGGATCCATGTCCCTTGCCAGTTTTGCTAAATGCCCAGGGCAAACACCACATGCTTTTCTCTCAAAGTCTTGAGGCCAGTGTGGAATGCATTTTAATTCAAATATCTAACAGAATGGTGAGGAGTTTCTATTTATGCTTTTTTTCTTCTTTTAAAAGGTTTAGAATCCAAGAAAACAGAATGTGCTTAATAATGAAAGGAAGCTGAGCCTCACAGAGAAGTTGGTGAATTGTGCTCACTCCTGGCCCCTTGAGAACAATGAAGAACAGGATTTCAGACTCTGCAAAGGAGATACAAAGTTTTGGGGTTTGGTTTAGTTTGGGCTTTTTTTTGGCATTTTCAGTTTCTATTTTTTATTTTTTGCTGTGAAGGTAAATTGCTCTGTGAAAGTATTAGAAGTGGCCTTTTGACAGCCAGATGGGACTGAAGTAAAATTTCCATTTTGGTCAAACTGGCTTCACACACTATGCAATTTTCTTTATCCCCCAGTTTAAATTCAAGGCTCCTATAGTGATATCGCACTCAATCAAAGCCGGCAGGTTATTTCTATTAAAGTTTGGGGTTGAATGGAGACTAACTAGAATGGTGCTTCTATTGCTAATATTTCATTCCAGTGGCAGAATGCAATATCTTGGATGGAGTTAAGAAGATAAAATTTCGAGTTTGGCTGAAATTGAAAAACAGCTTGTTAGGTTAATTTGGCACATTTCAATAAAATCAACGTTTATTTTGATGGCCTCCCGAATTACAGAGCTCCCTAATTCCATGGTTGCTCCTGCCCATATGCACCTTCCTGAGGATCTTAATTATTGCTCTCTCAGGTTATCAGACCTGTTGGACACCAGGCTGAGAGGACAGCGGAGATAGAGGCCATCGACCTGCCAATTCCCAGTTATTGTGCAGGACATAAATTCATTTTATTGAATAATCTCTGGGGAGAGGAAAAAAATACACGGTTCTGCTTTCCGCAAACTTCATTACCCTTCCAAACCTGTTTTGTTCAGTCCAAGTGTAATAAAAACTAATTCCCTGCAATCATACTGGCTTCTGTGAGAGCCAAGGCTGCTGCCAGGTGAGTTCCCAGGAAGATAAAGTAATAATTAATAAAGGTGCACATCTATGTATATATCAATTGCTGTTTCTTTTGGAAATAAAAGACAAAAAGTAAAGCATTAAGTCCTTTTAAAACAAGACTTCATATGTCAGAGGAACAGAAGATGCTTTTGGAGAGGGCTAAACTTAAAAAGCAAATTGAAGAGCTCTCAAAAGTGCATTTGCCAATATGAGCAAAATGAGTCCATCACTTTCATATGCACTCATTAATATTTAGAAAGCGTCATAAGCCTATAATATCTACAGGCTGGGCACTGTGGACAATATTGATATTAGGAGGTACAAATACTGAACTTGAACCTACTCCAGGACATATAACCTTGACTGTTCCAATGAAAAAACAGGCAGAGGGGGATGATTCAGAGCCAAAAACATGCTTGTATCAGTTTCAAAGTGCACTGTAAGTTCAGGGATCTGGAGCCTTGCGCTTGTTCTGCCCCTATTTAGCTGTAGGATGTGAGGCAACATTTGTAACCTCCCTCAGACGTTTTCTCCACTAGTGAAACAAAGGTAGAGTTTATATAGAGTGATCAAAACTTATAAGGACCTCCACATGTTACATTTATAAGTTCTTAGCTAGAATAAGCACCATGAATAGTTCAAAGAAAGGCTTAACAAAGATTTCATAAAAAACTTTATGTCTGTGTAGAAAGGCAGGAACAGGCTGTTGAAGCAATGTGAAGGAAAGGAGGTAGCATGACAGCTGAAGGAAGTTCTGCAAAATTCAATCATACTTCCAAACCCTCCCTGCTGACCCTGAGCCAGGTGGCATCTTCTGGGCACCCAGTCTAAATGCAAGACTGCAAGAAAAGACTCCCCAAGAAGCCCATAGGTCTTAAGCTCTCAAAACCAAAATTTCTTTTCAAGGGACAAGGTCTTTCATTCCACAGTAACAATGACAGTAAGTACACGTAAGAGAGGAAAATGGAAGTTTCCTAAAGAGAGCAACCATGCAGGAGGAACATCCACACAATCATTCAACAAAGAGACTGTGAACACCCACCCAGGGCCAGGGCAGTGCTAGGGCTGAGGCGTAACAGTGGCAAGGTAGGCACATTTCCTTGAGGGACTATAGAATTAAGCAAATTAACATGCAAGGAAATACAGAGTGGCAATAGAGTTAAGTGCTAAGAAGAATACTAGAATGCTACTACAAGAGAATTAAAAGGAGACTCAGTTAAGAAACACTAGTATTCTCAATTTTATAATACTGGTAAAACCGTTTAGGATTTATTGAATACTTTATATCATACCCAATGTTAAACATTTTATGTTTACTTATTCTTTAAATCAACACTTTGAGATTCATGTAATCACTAAACCCATAAGAGTAGATAAAGAGACTGAGTTGAGGTATTAAGCAATTTATCCCAGGTAGGAAGTGGCAGACACAGAACTAGAGCAGGTCTGTTCAAATCCAAGCTGTATTCTTGTAATAAATGTATTACAGTTTTATCTGCCCTCTATTGAAATAACTTAGTTTTATTTATTTTTCCCTTACTGCCTATATTGATTGTAAAATTATACATTTCATTCTTATTTCCAAAATAATTTCCTTTCATTTTTAATTGACATTATTAAGGCATAATTTATATAAGATATAATACATTAATTATAAGAACAGAGTTTGATAAATTTTGACAAATCTGTGTAACCACCACCATAATCAAGACAATTAAACATTTGTATTACACCTAAAAACTCTTTGTACACTTTCTCAGCAAATCCCTTCTCTTCCCAGCTCTGAGCAACCATGGCACTCCATTCTCTCATTACCCTTTAAATTTGGCTTTTTTTAGAGACGTGTATAAATGAAATCATACAGTACAGGCATACGTCTGAAATATTGTGGGTTCAGCTCCAGCCCACTGCAATAAAGCCACCATCACAATAAAGTGTGTTACACAATTTTTTTCATTTCCTGGTGAGTACAGAGTTATGTTTATACTACATTGTAGTCTACTAAGTGGGCAATAGTATTGTCTAAAAAAAGTACATATCTAAATTAAAAATACCTTATTGCTAAAAAATGCTAAAGTTCATCTGAGCTTTCAGTGAGTTGTAATCTTTTGGCTGGTGGAGGGTCTTGCCCCATTGTTGATGGCCGCTGAGTGATCAGGGTGGTGATTGCTAAAGGTTGGGTGGCTGTGGCAATTTCTTAAAATAAGACAACAGTGAAGTTTGCCACATTGATTGACTCTTCCTTTCACGAAAGATACCTCTGCATCACACGATGCTGATTGACAGTACTTTACACACAGAACTTTCAAAATTGGAGTCAATCAACTCAAACCTGCCACTGCTTTAACAACTAAGTTTATGTAAATAAATCCTTTGTTGTCATTTCAACAATGTTCATGGCATCTTATCAGGAATAGATTTATCTCAAGAAACCACTTCCTTTGCACATCCATAAGAAGCAGTACCTCATCTCTTCAAGTTTTATCATGAGATTGCAGCAATTAAGTTACACATTCAGGCTGTACTTCTAATTCTAGTTCTCTCACTATTTCTACCACATTTGCAGCAATCCCTCCACTGAAATCTTGAACCCATCAAAGTTATTCATGAAGGTTGGAATCAACTTCTTTCAAACACCTGTTAATGTTGACATTTTGACCTCCTCCCATGAATCCTAAATGTTCCTAATGACGTCTAGAAGTCTGAATCTTTTCCAGAAGGTTTTCAATTTACTGCGCCAAGTTCCATCAGAAAAATCATTATGTATGGCAGCTGTAGCCTTATGAAATGAATTTCTTAAATAATAAGACTTGAAAGTCAAAATTACTCCTTGATCCATGGGCTGTGGAATGAATGTTGTGTTAGAAGGAATAAAAACAACATTAATCTCCTCGTACACCTCCATCAAAGCTCTTGGGTGACCAGGTGCATTGTCAATAAGCAATTCACAATATATTATTATAATTATAATATTATATATTATACAGAACTTCTTTCAAAATTGGAGTCAATCCACTCAAACTCTGCCACTACAAAATATTATTATTTTGAAAGGAATCCTATTTTTCTGAGCAGTATGTCTCAACAGTTGGCTTAAATATTCAATAAAACATCCTGTAAACCGATATGCTGTCAACTAAGCTATATTGTTCTGTTTATACAACATAAGCAAAGTAGATTTAGTGTAATTATTTGGGGTCCTAGGACTTTTGGAATAGTAAAGGAGCATTGGTTTCAACTTAAAGTCACCAGCTGCATTAGCACCTTACAAAAGAGGTACCCTGTCCTTTGAAGCTTTGAAGCCAGGCATTGACTTCCCTCTCTAGCTGTGAGAGTCCTAGATGGATCTTCTTCCAATAGAATGTTGTTTCATCTACCTTGAAAAATCTGTTGTTTAATGTAGACTCCTTCATCAATTATTTTAGCTAGATCTTTTGAATAATTTGCTACAGCTTCTACATCAGCACTTGCAGCTTCACCATGTACTTTTATGTTATGGAGATGGCTTCTTTCCTATAACTTTATGAATCAAATTCTGCCACCTTCAAAATTTTCTTCTGCACATTCCTCACCTCTCTCAGCCTTTATAGCTTCGTAAAACTGGAGAGTTACGGCCTTGCTCTAGATTAGGTTTTGGTTTAAAGCAATGTTGTGGTTGGTTTGATCTATTCAGATCACTACATCTTTTTCCATATTAGCAATACGGCAGTTTCACTTTCTTATTCATGTGTTTCACTGGAGTAGCATTTTTAATTTTCTTCAAAAACTTTTACTTCACATTCACAACTTTGCTCACAGTTTGTCATAAGAGGCCTAGATTTTGGCCTCTATTAACGTTTGACATTAATTCTTCACTGAGCTTGATCATTTGCATCTTTAGATTTAAAGTAAGAGATACATATTTTTCCTTTCATTTGAACACTTAGAGGTCATTGTAGGGTTGTTAATTGTCCTAATTTCAATATTGCTGTGTTTCAGGGAGTAGGGAGGTTTGAGGAGAAGGGAGGAGAAGAGAGAACAGCCAATGGATGGATCAATCGGAACACATGCGACTGTATCAATTAAGTTTGCCATCTCATGTGACTGCAGTTTGTGTTGTTACAAAATAATTATAATAGTAGCATTAAAGATCACTGACCACAGATCACCGTGACAGATATAAAAATAATAAATGATTTTCAATAGTGTGAGAATTATTAATATGTGACACAGAAACATGAAATGAGCACATGCTATTGGAAAAATTGTGCCAATAGACTTGCTCAATGCAAAAATACTACTGAGTTTCAATTTGTAAATATCTGTGAAGGACAATAAAGCAAAGTGCTGTGAAACAAGGTATACCTGTGGCAATCGATGCCTACAACAAAGAAAGATTTCAAGTAAAAAACCTAATGATTCATCTCAAGGAAATACCAAAACAAGAACAAACTGAATCCAAAAGTAATAGAAAGAAATAATAGTGATCAGAGCAGAAATAAATGAAATCGAGACTGAGAAAATACAAAAGATTAATAAAATGAAGAGTGAATTTTTGAAAAGATAAATAAAATTGGCAAACCTCTATCTAGACTATCAGAAAAAGAAAAGACTGAAATAAATAAAATCCAATATAAAAAAGAGGACATTATAACTGATACCACAGAACTACAAAGGATCAAAAGAGAGTACCAGGAACAAGTATATGCCAACAAATTTAATAATGAAGAAATAATAAATCAATTCCAACACACATACAACCATCCAATATTGAATAACAAGGAAACTGTAAATCTGAACAGGCTAATTACCAATGAGGAAATTGAATTAGTAATTTAACATCTCCCGTCAAAGAAAAGCGCAGGACCTGATAGCTTCACTGCTGACTTCTACCAAACTTTTAAAGAAGAACTAATACCAATTACTTCAATGTATTCAAGAACATTGAAAAGGAGGGAATATTTTCAAACTCCTTCCACATAGCCAGCATTACCTTGATTCCAAAACCAGAAAAGAACACAACAAAACAAGGAAACTACAGGTCAATATTCCCGATGAACATAGATGAAAAAATTCTCATCCAAATACTAACAAACAAAACTCAACAGCAGATTAAAAAGCTATCCATTTTGTTCAAGTGGAACTTATTCCAGGAATGAAAGAATGGTTCAACATATGCAAATCAATACCTGTGAAACATTCCATAACATAATGAAGGACAAAATCCATACAATCAATTCAACAGATGCAGAAAAAGCACTTGGCAAAATTCAACATCCCTTTATAATAAAAAAAAACTGCCAACAAATTACATATAGAATGTATGTACCTCAACACAATGAAGGCCATATATAAAAATCCCAAAGCTAACATTATACTCAATGGGGACAAGTTGAAAACTTTTGCTTTAAGATCTGGAACGAGACAAGTATGCCCACTTTCACCACTTCTTTTCAACATATTACTAGAAGTCCCAGTAAGCAAAAGAAAGAAATAAAAGATATCCAAATTGGAAAGGAAAAAGTTAAATTGTCCTGTTTGCAGATGAAATTACTGCATATGTGTAAAACCCCAAGAAGTTCACAAAAAAAGTTAGTACTAATAAGTTAATTTTGTAAAGTTGAAGGATACAAAAATCAACATATAAAATCAGTAGCATTTGTATACACATATAGTGAACTATCTAAAAAAATTTAAAAAAAAATTTTATTTATAATAGCTACAAAACTACAAAGTACCTAGGAATAAATTTTACCATTAAGGTGAAAAGAAGCTACACTAAAAACTATAAAACCTTGATGAAAGACATTGAAAAGGATGCAAATAAATGAAAATATATCTCATGTATATGGACTTGAAGAATTAATATTGTTGAAATGTCCATACTACCCCAAGTTATCTACAGATTTGATGAAATCTCTATCAAAATACCACTGACATTTTTAATTCTAAAATTTGTGTGGAATTACAAAAATCCTGAATAACCAAACAATCTTGAGCAAAAAAGCAAAAGTAGAGGCATTATACTATGTGACTTCAAAATATAATACAAAGCTATAGTAATTAAAACACTATGATATCGACATTAAAAACAGACATATAAACCAATGAAACAAAACAGAGAACCCAGAAATAAATCCACATGCCTACAGTCAACTGATTTTTGACAAAGGTGCCAAGAACACACAATGGGGAAAGGACAATCTCTTCAATAAATGGTGCTGGGAAAAGTGGATGTCCACATGCAGAAGAATAAAACCTGACCCCTATTTTTTACCATACACAAAATTTAACTGAAGATGGATTAAAGACTTAAATGTAAGACCTGAAACTACTAGAAGAAAACATAGGTGAAATGCTTCATAACACTGGACTGGACAAAGTTTTGTTAATAAGACTTTAAAAGCACAGGCAAAAAATGAAAAGTAGACAATGGGATTACATCAAAATACAAGGCTTCTGCACTGCAAAGGAAACAGTCAACAAGTGAAAAGACAACCTGCAAAATGGGAGAATATATTTGCAAACACTACATCTAACAAGAGGAGGATATTCAAAATATATAAGAAACTCAAACAACTCAATAGCAAAAACAAACAAAAAAAAACCAACAACAACAAATTTAACCCAAATAATCCTATTTAAAAATGGACAAAACTCCTTAATAGAAATTTCTCAAAAAGACATGCAAATGGCTAACCAGTATATGAAAAAATGCTCAATATCACTAATCATTTCAGAAATGCATATCAAAATCATAGTAAGTTATCACCTTACTCCAGCTAAAATGACATTAGTAAAAACACAAAATAAGTGTTGGCAAAGAAGTGGAGAAAAGGAAACCCTTATACAGTGTCAGTGAAAATGTGAATTAGTCTATAGCCCCTCTGGAAAGCAATATGGAGGTTACTCAGAAAACTAAAAATCAAACTACCATATGATCCAGCAATCTTACTACTGGATATATATCCAAAGAAAATGAAATCAGTTTGTCAAAAAGACACCTGCACTTTCATGTTTATTGCAGACTATTCACAATAGCCAACCTGTGGAATCAGCCTACATATCCATTAGTAGATAAATAGATAAAGAAAATGTGGTATATATACACAATGGGATACCAGTCAGCCATACAAAAAAAAGAATAAAATCCTATTATTTGCAGCATGAATAAATCTGGAAGACATTATGTTAAGTGAAATAAGCCAGACATAGAAAGACAAATACCACATAATCTCACTCATATGTGGATTCTAAAAAGTTGATCTCATTAAAGCAGAGAATAGAGCAATCATTACCAGAGACTGGGGAGGGGGGACTGAAAAGAAATTGATCAATGGGTACATAATTACAATTAGCTAGGAGAAGTCAGTCCTGGTGTCCTATTGCACAGTAAGGTGACTATAGATAATGACATGTACTGTATATTTTAGAATAACTGAAAGAGAGGATTTTGAACATTCTTACTACAAAGATGTAATAATTGCAGGTGATGAATATTCAAATTATACGATTTGATTATTATATAACATACACATGTGCTGAAACATCACATTGCATCCCATAAGTGCATAAAATTATGTGAAATTAAAACTTTAAATAAATAATTTTTAAAAGATGCTTTGTAAAATTTCAGTTTTTGAATGTATTGAGACTTGTTTTTTGGTGTATCATATAGTCTATACAGGAGAATGTTCCATGTGCACTTCAGAGGAACATATATTCTGCTGTTATTGTGAAGGATATTTTACAAATAACTGTTAAATATAGTTCATTTTCAGTGATGCTTACTTCCTTTATTTCTTTATTGATTTTCTGTCTAGACGTTTTATCATTGAAAGTGGGATATTGGCATCTCCAACAATTATTATTACAAAACTATTTCTTCCTTCAATTCTGTCCATGTTTGCACATGTATTTTGAAGCTTTTTTTGTTTTGTGCATATATGTTTAAAGTTGCCGTAACTGGCCAGGTGCAGTGGCTCATGCCTGTAATCCCAGCACTTTGGGAGGCCGAGGCAGGCAGATCACCTGAGGTCAGGAGTTCAAGACCAGCCTGACCAACATGGAGAAACCCTGTCTCTACTAAAAATGCAAAATTAGCCATACGTGGTGGCTCACGCCTGTGGTCCCAGCTACTCAGGAGGCTGAGGCAGGAGAATCATTTGAACCAAGAGGCAGAGGTTACGGTGAGCTGAGATCATGCTATTGCACTCCAATCTGGGCAATAAGAGCGAAACTCTGTCTCAAAAAAAAAAGGTGTAACTTCTTAATGGATTGACAATTTAATCAATATACTATGCTCTTATTTGTCTCTTTTAACAGCTTTGTATTTAAGGTTATTCTTGTCTTATATTAACACAGACACCCATGATTTCTTTTAGTTACTATTTGCATGAAAACTTTTTTTATCCTTTTGCTTTTCATCACTTTGTGTCTTTGGATCTAAAAAGAGTCTCTTTTAGACAGCATACAGTTGGATCATATGTTTCTATCCATCCAGCCAATCTTTGTCTTTGGATTGGAGATTTTAATCTATTAACATCTAAAGTAATTACTGTTGGGGAAGAATCTACTTCTGTCATTTGGCTGTTTATTTTCTGTATGTCCTATATGTTTTGTCCCCAATTTTCTCAATTACTTACTTCTTTCCTGTTTAGCTGATTTTTCACAGTTAATCATTTTGATTTTCTT
Organism: Homo sapiens; assembly: GCF_000001405.40. Taxonomy (NCBI): domain Eukaryota; kingdom Metazoa; phylum Chordata; class Mammalia; order Primates; family Hominidae; genus Homo; species Homo sapiens. The sequence continues at coordinate 126,418,307 of NC_000002.12, forward strand.
CTCATTTCCTTTTTGATATACTTTTTAGGGCTTTTGTAGCTATCATGGGATTACATTTAGCATCTTAAATTTAAAGCAATCTATTTTGAACTAACATCACCTAACTTTAAAAGCATTAAAAAAAAAAAAACTCTTTTCCTACACATCTCCATTCTTTATGTTGGTGTTGTAACAAATTACATCTTAATATATTGTGTGCCCAAAAACATATATTTATAATTTGTGCATTTTTAAAAATCCTGTTGGAAATAAAATGCAAAATAAGCAAATAGACAGTAATACTTGCTCTTGCTTGTGTATTAACCTTATTGAAGATTTTTATTTCTTTACACAGTTTTCAGTTACTATCTAATTTCCTTGCATTTCAACATGAAAGGTTCCCTTTAGTATTTCTTGTATGGCAGTTCTAGTGAAGATAAATTTCCTCAATTTTTGTTTTTAAAAAAATGACTTAATTTCTCTATCAGTTTGAAGGACATTTTTGCCAGGTATATAAATCTTGATTAATTGTTGTTGGTTTATCATTGTTTTTTTCAGCTATAGAATATGTTATTCTGCTGTATTCTGGCATCCATATTTTTTTTAATGAGAAATTGGCTGTAAATCTTCCTGAGAATTGCTTGTAAGTAAGAAGTTGTTTCTCCCTTTCTGATTTCCAGATTCTTTGTTTTTGGCTTTTAAGAATTGGATTATAATATGTCTTTATGTGGATATCTCTGAGTCTATCATATTTGGAGTTCATTGAGATTCTTGAATGTTTTAATTCCTATTTTTCACCAATTAGACAAAGATTTTATCCTTTTTTTTTTTGAGATGGAGTCTTACTCTGTCACTCAGGCTGGAGTGCAGTGGCATGATCTTGGCTCACTGCAACCTCCACCTCCCAGGTTCAAGTGATTCTCCTGCCTCAGCCTCCCGAGTAACTGGGATTACAGGTGCACACCACCATGCCCGGCTAATTTTTGTATTTTTAGTAGAGACAAGGTTTCACTATGTTGGCCAGGCTGGTCTTGAACTCCTGACCTCAGGTGATCCACCTGCCTCAGCCTCCCAAAGTGCTGGGATTACAGGCATGAGCCACCATTCTGGCCAGTTTTTTCTAATATTCTTTATGCCCCTTCTCTCTCTTGTCTTTCTCAGACTCTCATCAGGAACATGTTAGTCCTTTCACAGTGTCCCCCAAGACTCTTAGGCTAAGTTTCTTTTCTTTTTTTAATTCTTTCTTTCTTCTTTTCACTCCCTTCCCCAAACTTAATAATTTCAAATGGCCTGTTTTCAAGTTTCCTAATTTTTCCTTCAACCTATTCAAGGCTGTTGTTAAACTCCTCTAGTAAATTTTTTATTTTTGTTATTGTGTTTTTCAGCTCTAGAATTTCTATTTGGTTATTTTTAGAATTTATATTTCTTGGTTGACATTCTAATTTTGTTTGTGTATTTTATTAGTTTCTTTATGTAAATATTAGTTTTATCATGATTTTATTTAGTGCTCTGTGCTCTCTTTTAGTTCATTAATCATTGTTTAAAAATTATTTAAAAGCCTTTGTTAAATTGGTACACCCATTATGGGTAATACTATGAAGATTTCTTTAAAAATCAAAAATAGAACTACCATATGATCTAGCAAAATACTCTGTTGAGTGCATATCCAAAAGAAGTAAAATCAGCACCTTGTAGAGATATGTTCTTTCTTATGTTCACTGTAGCATTATTCATGATAACCAAGATATGAAAACAACCTACATGTCCATTGACAGATGAATGAAAAAAGAAATTGTATGATGCATGGGGCATGCATATATATCATACATGAAATATAATTGAAATAATATTGAGCCTGAAAGAGAAGGAAATACTGTAATTTGCAACAACATGGACAAACATGGAGAGCATTATGCTAATTGAAATGAGCCATACCCAGAAAGAAAACATGCTATGTAATCTGATTTATACGTAGAATCTAAAAACAAGTTGAATAAATAAAAGTAGATGGTAGAATAATGGTTACTGGGGCAGGTAGAAAGAAGAAATAGGAAGAAGAAAAAGGGTACAAATTTGAAGTTAGGTAGTAATATGGCTTGGATGCTTTGTTCCCTCCAAATCTCATTTTGAAATGTAACCTCCAATTTTACATGTGGGCCTAGTAGGAGGTGTTTGGGTCAAGGGGGTAGATCACTCATGAATGTCTTGGAGCTGTCCTCTAAGTAATGAGTGAGTTGCCACTCTGAGTTCACATGAAATCTAACTGTTTGAAAGAATATGACATCTCTCTCTCTCTCTCTCTCTCTTGCTGTCACTCTTACCATGAGACAGACTGGCTCCCCTTTGCCTTCTGCTATGATTGGAAGCTTCCTGATGGCTCACCAGGAGCAGATGCCAGCACAATGCTTCTCATACAGCCTAGAGATGCATGGGTCAGAATAAACCTGTTTTCTGTGTATATTCCCCAGTCTCAGATATTCCTTTAAAGGGGTGCAAAATAGACTAACACAAGTAGGATAAATCAATCTAGGACTCTAATATACCGCATGGGGACTATGTTTAAGAATATTATATTGCATATTAAAAATTTGCTAAGTGAGTATATTTTAGTGCTCTTTTGATTGGGCCATGTTTTCCTGTTTATTTGTTTGCCTTGTGATCTTTTGTTATAAATTGGGCATTTGAAAAAATAATACCCTCTCCCAGTCTTTGTGAACCAGCTCTGTGCAAGGGAAAACCTTCACTAATGAGTCTAGCATGAAAGCTCAAGGTGGTCTCAAACATTTCTGGCTATCTGCCTTCTCTGGGCCTATGCATGTGTTTTTATTCTAGTCCTACCTTACCCATGACTGTTTTTAAACGTGGTAATTTCTCCCAAGAGTCTCACACTTGCATCTTCTTGCCCTATCTGTTCTATTGTATTACTCTGCTCACAATCTCCAGCCCCTAGGAATCCACACTTCTGCAGTTCCCCTGCAACTCTGATCCATCACAGTGCCCATCACTGCTTTTAACAGGATCCAACCTAATATCCACACTACATCCCCATCCTCATGCCTTGGTTAGGCATTATCTTGGTTGCTGCAGCTTCTTAACTGAGTGCTAAAGTTCTCACAAAGCTATTTTGGTGTGTGTGTTTTTGGTTATTAGTAGTTTCCATTGTATACATATATCTCATTTTCTTTATTAATCTGCTGATGGACACTAAGATTAATTCCATAACTGGCTATTGTGAATAATGCTGCAATAAACATAAGAGTTTAAAGGATCTCTTCAACATACTGATTTCAAATCTCTAGGGGAGATACCTGGAAATGGGGTTGCTAGTTCATAAGATAATTATATTTTTAGTTTTCTGAGAAAACTCCATACAGTTTTTCATAATGGCTGCACTAATTTGCCTTCCTCTCAACAGAGTGCAAGTGTTCCCCCTTTTCCACATTCTTACCAACAGTTATCTTTTATCTTTTTGATGATAGCTATTCTAACAGGTATGAGATGCTATCTCCTTGTGGTTTTAATTTGTGCTTCCCTAATGATTAGTGATGCTTACTTTTTTTATGTATTTGTTGGCCATTTGTATGTATTCTTTTGAGAAATGTCTGTTTGGGTCCCCTGCCCATTTTTGATCAGATTATTTGTTTTATTTTTAGAGTTGTTTGAGTTCCTTAAACATTTTGGATACTAATTTCTTATCAGATACATGGCTTGCAAATATTTTCTTTCAATTTTTAGGTTGTCTTTTCACTCTGCTAATTTTTCCTTTGTTGTGTGGAAGCTTTGTGTTTTGATATAATCCCATTTGGCTATTTTTCCTTTTGCTGTCTGCACTTTGGGAGTCAAAGCTATACAATAATCGTCCATAGCAATTTCAAGTAGTTTTTCTTCACTTTTTAAAGAAGTTTTATGGTTTCAGGCCTTACGTTTAAGTATTGAATTTATTTTGAGATGACTTTTGTATATGGTGTGAGGTAAGGTCCAATTTTGTTCTTCTGCATATGGATATCTTGCTTTCCTAACACCACTTAATGAAGATACTGTCCTTTTCCTATTGTGAATTCTAGGAACCTGTGTCAAAAACCAACTGACCATACATGCATAGGTTTATTTCCAGGCTCTTTATTTCATTCCATCTGTTGATATGGAATATGAAACAATCAAATTCATAGAAGTAGGGTATTGAATGGTGCTTACTAGAGGCTGGGTGTTTGGAGGAATTAGGAGATAATGGTCAAAGTGTACAAAGTCTGGCTGGGCACAAGGGTTCAAGCCTGTAATCCCAGCACTCAAGGGCTGAGGCAGGTGGATCACCTGATGTCATGAGTTCAAGACCACCTGGGCAAACATGAAGAAATGCTGTCTCTACTAAAAATACAAAAATTAGCTGGGCGTGGTGGTGCATGCCCATAATCCCAGCTACTTAGGAGGCTGAAGCAGGAGAATCGCTTGAACTGGGGAGGTGGAGATTGCAGTGAGCCCAGATTGTGCCATTGCATTCCGGCCTGTGTGACACAGCAAGACTCTGTCTCAAAAAAAAAAAAAAAAAAAAAATAGGTACAAAGTCTCAGACAGGAGAAACACATTTAATTTTTTAAAAATATTTGTTGCACAGCATGGTAAATATGGTAAATAATAGCATATTGTGCATTTCAAACTGGCTAAAGGAGTAAACTTAAAATGTTCTCTCTGCAAAGAATGATAACTATTTGAGGTGACAATATGTTAATTAGTTTGATTTACTTATTCTACATTATATACATAAATCATAACATCACTTTGTGCTCCATAGATATAACTATAATTTGTCAATTCATAATAAAATAAAATGTATATTCTGTACACAGCATAGAATTGGGCCATTTTTATGCAGTCTGCCTTTTCTTGTCTTTTAGTTGAACTGATTAAATCATTTGCATTCAATAAAACTTTACTAAATTATATATAATTTGCTACATCTAAATATATATAAATATGTCACAAAATTATACACACACACATATATATGTATATACATACCACAAAATTATAATAATAATTTAACTCAGTTTAAATCTTTCTGCTATTTGTTTCCTCTTTGGTCCATCTGTTCTTTGTATGTTTATTTTTCCCCTTTTCTTACCCTCTTTAAATTATTTGAGGCTAGGCACAGCAGCTTAAACCTGTAATCCCAGTGGTTTGGGGGCTGAGGTGGGAAAGTCACTTGAGGCCAGGGTTTTGAGACCAGCCCAGCCAACATAGTGTGACACTGTCTGTACAAACACTTTAAAAATTAGCCAAGCATGCTGGCTGTAGTACTAGCTACTTGGGAGCCTGAGACAGGAGAATTGCTTGCACCCAAGAGTGAGCTGCAGTGAGCTATGATCATGCCACTGCCCTCCAGCCTGGGCACAGAGCAAAACCCTGTCTCTAAACAAACAAACAGAAGGATAGATGATGATAGATAGATAGATAGATAGATAGATAGATAGATAGATAGATAGATAGAGATGATAGTTTTAAAAAAATCTCTTTAACTCTACTATTCACTTATTAACTCTATTTTATTTTTCTCTTTCTTTCTTCCATTTCTTCCTTCTTTTCCTTCTTCTTTTCTTCCTTCCTCTCTTTTTTCTCTCTCCTTCTTTTTTCCTTTATTTTGCTATTCACAGTAGCAGAGTCATGAAATCAACCTAAATGCTCATCAATGGTAGACTGAATGAAGAAACTGTGGTACATACACACTATGAAATACCAAGCAGCCATGAAAAGCAACAAGATTATATTCTTTGCAGCAACATGGATGGAACTGGAGACCATTATTCTAAGCAAACTAACACAGGAGCAGAAAACCAAACACCACATATTCTCACTTATAAGTGGAAGCTGAACATCAAGTACTTATGGACACAAAGAAGAAAAACAGACATCAACGCCTACTTGAGAGTAGAGGATGGGAGGAGGGTGAGGAATGAAAAAACTACCTATCGGGTACTGTGCTTATTACCTGGGTGAAATAATGTGTACACCAAACCCCTACAACACACAATTTACCTATATAACAAACCTCCACATGTACCCCAAACTTAAAAGTTAAAAAAAAGGAAAATGTGGTATACACAAACACACCATGGAATACTACTCAGCCATAAAAAATGATAAAATAATGTCTTCTGCAGAAACTTTGATGGAACTGCAGGCCATTATTCTAAGTGAAGTAATTAATAAGTCAAAAACCAAATACCACATATTCTCACTTACAAGTGGGAGCTAAGCTACAGGCACAAAAAGGCACACAGAGAGGTATAATGGACATTGGAAACTGTGAATGGGGGAGTGTGGGAGGGAACTAAGGGATGAAAAACTACTTATTGGGTATAATGTACACTACTTGGGTGATGGGTGCACTACAATTCCAGACTTCACCACTGTACAATTCACCCATGTAACCAAAAACCTCATGTATCGATAAAACTATCAAAATTGAAAATTAAAAAAAAATTAAAAAGGTTTTCAGAATTGAAAATTTGTCTTACTTTATATAAAAATTATATTTTATTTGCCTTCATTTTAGGGCAATATATTTACTAAATAGAGAATTCTAAATGATATTTACAATTTTCTAATACTACAAGGTCATGTTTCCATTGTCTTCTAGATTGCATAATTTCTGAGACGTCTCCAATTGTGTTTGTTTTGATTCCTCTCTAACTATATGTCTTATTTCTCTGGATGTGCAAGATTTCCTACTTATAATGGATTTTTGGTAGGTTAATTATTATGTGCCTTGGTGTGGATCACTTTGCATTTATTCAGTTGCTTGTCAAGCCTTTTTGTGGGCTTTTAGTTTTCATCAGGTTTGAACAATTTTTTTGTTGTTATTTCTTTAAATATTTATTCTCACTTTCATATGCTCTTCTTCTCAGACTTCAATTACACAAATGTTAGATTCCTTTATATTATTCCATAAATTACAAAGGCTTTTAAAATTATTTGTATTATTTCTCCACTCTGCTTCATTTTGCAATAAAGTATATTGTTTTCACTGGTATTCATTTGTAACATCTAATATACTGTTTATCCCATCAGTTGTACTTTAGATTTCAGAAAAAAAATATTTTATTTTGTTTCTAGTTGTCTCTTTTCTTATTCTCTTTTCTTATTATATTCATGTTTGCTTTAAGATCCATAAGCACTCGGCCAGGCTCAGTGGCTCACGTCCTGTAATGCCAGCTCTTTGGGAGGCCGAGGCTGGGCGGATCACAAGGTCAGGAGGTCGAGACCAGCCTGGCCAATATGGTGAAACCCTGTCTCTACTAAAAATACAAAAAATTAGCTGGGCGTGGTAGCAGGAGCATGTAATCCCAAGAGAACACTTGAACACTTGAACCCGGGAGGTGGAGGTTGCAGTGATCTGAGATCATGCCACTGCACTCCAGCCTGGGCAATAGAGTGAGAGTCCATCAAAAAAAAAAAATCCATAAGCACAGTAATATTTATAAGAGCTCTTTTAACCCAGTGATGCTGGAAGTTGCAATTTTTGGAATTGAAAAATTAGACCTTGGCGATGACCTTGAGCAGTAAGATAGATACAAATAACTCTCACATGCTTAGCGTTCCAATAATGGAACACTAGGCATAAATGTGTTAAGCTCTTCATCTGCTATATATAATGCTGTCTACTATTTCTCAGTTACTGTTTCTCTAGTAATTGAGTTTTCACCTAGTTGTTCAAAATTTGCTACATTTGTGCATGTTTAATAAATTTGTATTTATTAATACAAATAAGTGCTGGATATTGTGAGTTCTATGTTGCTGAGAATTCAGAATTGGTTGTGTGACTTTGAAGGGTGATTATGTTTGTTTTACCAGGGAATAAAGTGATCTTTTGACCAGGTCGATCCATTCTGTACCTGTTTATAAGCTTTGTGAAGGCAAGTCAAGAATAGCCTTTACTCCAAGATTAATTAATCCTTACTATTAAGTAATAATTTTGGGAACTGTCTTTATTGCTCAGTGTCTTAGAAGTGGTTTATCCTGTCTAGTCATATAGAATTGAAACTTCCCCCAACACTACATTAATTCCGGGAACTGTTTACTTTGTAGCTTCCCAGATTTTGTTTGTTTGTTTGTTTTGGCTGATCTCATGGAATTTCTCTCTATGCATGTGAAGATTAGCATCCAGCCAAATATCAAAGAATATCACCCACAAGAATGTCTGAAACTCTTTCTGTATATATTTCTTTCCTTTGGCAATGTGTTCCACAAATGTCATCCACCTCAGCCTCCCTGGACTTTGTTCTCTGTGCACCCAACTCAGCAAGACCCTTTTACTCTGCGTAGGTTCCACCTCCCTTGGTGGGGGTCCAGAAAAAGTCTTCAAGTATAAAGCTGGGGTGTTCTTAAAGCTGTACCATTGGTTTTCCTTCCTTCTGGGGCAATTATGTACCATTTCACAACTTTCTAGCTTTTTCATGGCAAAGCATAAGTCTGATCCTGGTTACTGCTTCAGGGGCCAAAGCAGAAAACTATGCTGAGGATTCTAGAATCAATTAGTGTATAAACAAATTAATGCCAGTGGTTAGCATATTGAATGTGAAGTGTTTGTGGGATATCCACTTGAAAATAATCACAAGTAATTGGATATGTAACAATTCATGAGAGTGATTTGGACAGAATATATATTTGGAGAATCATTTTCATGGACCTGAAAATTTATGGCAGAGGAGTAGAAATGAGAACAATTATAGTCAAGTGATGGGTGCATTATATAGATTGCTGGTGTTAATGAGTATTGAAAAGTGAAGGAGTAGTGGCTACATTTTATGAATTAAATTTTGCAAGAAGAATATGCATTGGATGATGTAGGAGATAGCAGTTTGGAGGAAAACATGCCCTTCCCAGTTATAAATCATTCAAATTAGTAGTTACCTATTTTCCTTGCTTCAGATTAGAGAATCTCTAAATTAAGGAGCACATTCTTGGTTTTTATGACTATGTTGCTTCAAATTAACCAGGCTAGGAAAAAAAAAACAGATTAATAAATTGAGAAAAACTAAAACCACATTCAAACTAAGCAGAAATCCAATAATACAGATGTGCACAATCCATATATAGGAATTTGAAATACTTTGGGAAAGTATAAAGTATCATCAAGAATCAACTTTAAGATATGGGAAAAATATAACAATAAGCAACAACCAAAAATCAGTGGGCTATAAAAATTTATCTGTCTTTCTTTGACTATTAATATAAATGTATTGCTTACTAGTACTAGGGTATTTCTTAGAGTCCAGGCTCTATTATTAGTATGAAAATCAATGCCAAATTATAGTAGGTTAATCAAATGAAGGCAACCATGTGTTAAGTTAGTGTCAGAGGCTGAATTACATAGGACTCATCCTTCTAACTTCTAGTCCAGGACTCTTTTCCTTGAGTAGGAATGTGCCCACAGCTGGCTTCCTGCTCACTGAATAGTTTCTCATTCTTCCTGAGCATGCAATTCAGCTAAATCCCTAGCTTCACATGAAGTTAGATAACCTCATCTGTCCTTCCAGGTCTGCATGTAAAACCCTCCCACAGAGTGCTGTTCTCTGTTTTCCCCTTTTCTACCGGCATCTATGAAACCCAAGACTATCTTAGGAGCCACATGTTGAAGTAGCAGAACTGTCTGTCAGTCTGTACCCTATGCAATTGTGAGGTGCTTCCTTTCTTTCCTACCACTGCCATTTGTACTTTATGTGAATGAAAAATAAACTATTGTGTTAAGTCACTGAGATTTAGGTATTTATCTTTCACAGTAGCAAGTGCTGCCTTAATTAACAAAGATCTATAACTTCATATAGACAATCATCTGATAATGCTTTTAAATTAATTTTAATTGGTATTTTAAGTTCCAGTGTACATGTGCAGGATGTGCAGGTTTGTTACACAGGTAAACGTGTGCCATGGTGGTTTGCTGCACCTATCAACCCATCATCTAGGTATTAAGCCCAGCATGCATTAGCTATTTTTCCTAATGCTTTCTATTAAAAAGATACATGTACCCGTATGTTCGTTGCAGCACTCTTCACAATGGCAAAGACATAGAATCAACCCAAATGTCCATCAGTGACAGACTGGATAAAGAAAATGTGGTACATTATACACCATGGAATACTATGCAGCCATAAACAGGAACAAGTTCATGCCCTTTGCAGGAACATGGATGGAGCTGCAGCAAACTAATGCAGGAACAGAAAACCAAACACCACATGTTCTCATTTATAAATGAAAGCATGTTTTAATAGGCTAAGAATAGATGCCACTGAAAACAGATGTAGAGAAGGGCAGACTCATAAGAGACACTCTTCTCCACTTTCCCCTCATGCCTGTCTATCTAAATTAAAGGGAGACCAGCTCAGTAAGAGATGGTTTCTCTACAACCTAGGGTAAAATCTGTCATCTTCATTCAGTGCACAGGGGATGCTAATAGTAGAATAGAGAGCTAAGTCAAAAACTATACAGGAAAGGTTAGTTTTGGACTTGGGGGGAAGGTCCTAGGGGAAACAGACAAGAACAAGTAAAAGCGTGAATGTGATAGGAGGGGTGAACTAAATGATTTCCCTTACAAAATAGAAGTTACCAGGGTCTTAAACTTTTCGTTATGAGCTATATGAGGCATGGTACACAGAAGGGTTTTGTTTCATTGTCCCATTTTAGAGAAAAGATACCTGTAACCAAATTTGATGCTCATAGTCATAACACTGTCTCCTTTCTTCTGAAAATAACCTTTAAGTATCCATCATCTTAGCCCATTATAAAATGAGTCATCCATTCCCATTAGCAACTAGTCACTCAATGTCACCCAAGGAAGCCACTTAAGACAAACTACAGAAAAGGATAGTATGGACTGAGCCACCACATTCATTTTTCCTTCTATTGGAATTTGCTCACCTAATTTCATTGTCTCCTCTAACACAGCAATCTATTTGGGTTCATTGACTGGTCTGGATTTACACAGGTTATTTGAAAGATAAAGGTCAGGTACACACAAGACTGCTAGAACCACATTTATTAACCACAGTCTCCCTGCACCCCCAGCCCCCACAGCCTCACTGACTTTTAGCATCATCAGTGTCATCTGGAGCATGAGAGCAGTAAATTTAATGTGGCAGAACATGAAACAAGAGCCAAGAATCAAGCCACAGATTAGTGATAGATGATGCCAAGTTCAACCTTATTAGCCTTTGAAAAACCACACTGCTCTGCCAAGCCAGTATCTAAACCTTGTTACATACAGAGCGCCTAGATGGTCCAATTGCTGCCAGTTTTAATCAGAGGATGACAAAGAGGCAATTAGATATGGCTTGGAGATGAAGATGAAGTCCTTCCTCAAGGGGATTTGCTGCTGGCTGAGATTCCAGCCTAAGAAGTTTTAAAAATTCTGTCTTGACTCTCTGCCTCAAGCCTTGCTAATTTTATACCACCAGCCTTCAGACTTTGATTTTTTTTAAAGATTCATATGTATGTATTCACAAAGCAAGGCATCTTCAAGAAAGAAAATGTCAAAAGTAGCTCCAGTGCAAAGAAGGGAGCTGCTTGTAGTCCATTAGCTTCATCAAACTGTAACTTTGACTCCTGCCCTTTGGGATAGGATCCTCTTTAGAGGTGAACAACAGATGTAACCAGGATGCAGGTTCTGTGCAATGTACACAGTGCTCAGCCATTACCGCCATGGTGACTGGGCTCAATTTGATGATCTTTCTCTCAACTAATATTGTGGGAAGTGGCAAACTATTCAAGGGTGCCAGGGGAGGATGTTGGGAGGACTGGCTCAATATTATAAAGTCCTGAAGGCTGGAGAAACCAGCAGGGTTGACTCAGTATGCCAAAAGGCAGCATAATTGAGGTAGATCATGATACTAATTCTCTAGAAGGCTAGAACATGCCTTGCAGCATGCCTCAGGGGGCAAGATAACATTGTGTCTCAAGTCCTTGAGGTGAGGAGGTGCTGGAAATGCAATCTTTATACAGAATTCAAAATTAATTGCATCTAGCCCCTGGTTCTATTTTATTTCCTATCCAAAAGATACTCTTAATACTAGCTTTAAAACAGTACTGGAAAAACAGAACATTTTGTCCTCGCCGCATATTGGATATTGTGGAACAACTAAAGTGAGAAAGATAAAGTCATTAGGTGATAGGAATAGAAGACACTTAAGTTCAAATCATACACAGATGTTCAAATCATACATCAGAACTGCATGTTCTGATGGTAAGAGCAGAAGCAGAGAAGCAAGAAGCCTAGAATATTCGAAGAACAAGGAGGCCCTGGTGGAGTGCTCTGAGTTAATGAATTAAGGTGGGCTTCGTGGAGCAGCAGCATCTGCATCACCTAAGAGCCTGCTTAAGGTGCAGAAACTTGGGCTCAACACTGCTTGCTAAATCAGACTACATTTTAACCTGTTTCGAAGGCCTATTAGGGTTTGGGAAGCACCACATTCAAGATCTGCATCAGAAAGAGCTCAGCCAGTCTGACCTCATACTAGCCCCCATAAATACTTGAGCAAGGGAAGACAGCAGTCTTTGCCTTTAGGCCAAAAATCTATACTTTTAGAAAAGAAAATGGGCTGCCCTGCTGGACAAGGCTTACAGTTTGAGATAGAAGCAGAGTTTTGGTAAAGAGAAACCAAGAAAAACTGTCCTGCTCAGGAGGAATAACATTCAAGACTGGATGCCTTTCCCACAGAACCTGCTCTGTGCTGCCTGCTCCAGGTCTGCACATCCCAAAAGGAATCCTCATTGCCATGTGGCTCAATCCCTTGTGAAGAACCACAGCCAGCTGTGGGGAAAACGCACCTACACAGCTCCAAAGATGACCAGGGCCAGCTGCCTTTACCAATTAACCGGGCTCGTCATCTGCAGTTATAAAAAGACAACCAAATATCATCACATGTGAGTAAAGTAAACATAGTAAAGAGAATTTATAATGAAGACACTTAGCAACTACTGTAGCATGGACTCCAAAAACTTGAAACTTGTGCTAGCCAAGAAACATGCAGAATGGCCACATTGGGGCCAAACAGCTGAGTGTCATTTACAGCCTTGGAATTGAACAGCCAAATTCAGTGCTGCTCAACATTCAGCCTGCATCACACTCACCCAGTGACAGAACACAAATTGCTGGATCCAGCCCCAAAGATCCTAATTCCATCGGTAGGGGTAAAGCTGGGAAATCTGCATTTCTCCCAAAATCCGAGGTGAGGCTGGTGCTGCAGGCCCAAGGAACTCACATTGAGAAAGAACCACTGGCCAAGGGATAAAGCTGAGAATTGGCCCAGGAGCCAAACTAGGAATTATTCAGGGGATAGACGGACATTTAAAAAATGGATCAGAGATGGAGAGAAAAGAAAGCCTATTTCAACTTTAAAATAAGTGGTAGTTATAAAAATCAATAAGTAAACAACAAACAAATACAAGTATAACATATTTTTGCCAAGTAAGTGGTTAGAAAAATAAACTAAATATCTGAACAACAAATTAGACACAAAGAAAACTAAATTGGTGATCTGGGGGATAAAACTTAGGCACTTTCTCATAATATACAACAAGGATGCAAAACTTAGAATATGTAAGCTAAAAAGGTGAAAGACATACAGACCATTCCATGGGGTCAAATGTTATCTGACATAAAAATAGAGAAGGGGTCGGGCGCGGCGGCTCACACCTGTAATCTCAGCACTTTGGGAGGCCGAGGCAGGTGGATCACGAGGTCAGGTGTTTGAGACCAGCCTGGCCAACATGGAGAAACCCTATCTCTACTGAAAATAGAAAAATTAGCTGGGCGTGGTGGCGCACGCCTATAATCCCAGCTACTCCAGAGGCTGAGGCAGGAGAATCGTTTGAACTCGGGAGGCGGAGGTTGCAGTGAACCGAGATCACGCCATTGCGCTCCAGCCTGGGCAACAGGGTGAGGCTCCATCGCAATAAAAAAAATAATAGAGAAAGAAAACAAAAGAGAGAGAAATAATTTTTAAAAGGAAATAAGTTGCCTGTACTATGATCGGTCATGAGTTTTTGAGCTAACAATGTCCATTATGCACTAAGAAGAAAGCATTTTTTAAAAGAAACGTGTGTAAATATATCCATGTTTTAAATAACTGAAACTTTGTATGTAGCCCTTGACTAACTTCTCCCGACTTCCCACTCAACAATGTGACTATAGTTAACCATACTGTATTGTTTACTTGAAATCTGCTAAGAAGGGTGATCTTAAGTGTTCTCACCAAAAGAAAAAGAAGAAGAAAATGGTAACTATCTGAGGTGATTGAAAAGTTTGTTAATTAGCATGTTTGTGGCATTTCACAATGTATATATATATCAAATCATAAAATACACCTTAAATATATACAATTTTAATTATCAAATATACTTTCACTTAAAAACTTTAAAATATATAATTAAAAGATTCTTGTTTATTCTTGAATAGAAGGATAAGGTTAACTTTTTAAAAGGTTATCAAGGAAAAAAATAGTGAATCCGAAAAATAAACAAAATCACATTAGTGAAGAACTTCTCTTTAGCACCATTGACAATGAGAAGACAGTGGGAAGATAGTGTCAAAATTTAGAGAGAAAGTCACTTTAACCACAGAATTCTTTACCCAGGCAAATGAGCATCCAAGTATGAGCACAAAATTAAAGTCAATTCCAGACACACAGGACCCCAGAAAATTAACCAGCTACACATCCCCACTAAAGGATTATTTAAGGATATGCTGCAAGTAAAACAAAAACAAACAACAACAACAACAAACTGAATCCAAGGAAACAAGTGAAATGTGAAATACAAGAAATTCGCACACAGGCCCAATATGTCCCAAGGAAGGGAATCAGGAACGGAGTGACCCTCAAGGGGTGTAGCAGCTGTGAATAATTAGACATTTTCTGGAACCACAATTGGCGAACTGCAGCCCTAACAGTTTCAACATGGCAGTCAGCAGAGGGCAGTGGCTAGATGAGTGGAGAGGGGGTGGAGGAGGATGCCATTCACTTCTTTTCCACTCTTCCTCTTTGTGCCTTCTTTCTTTCATCCTGCTTACCTTTTCCCCTTATTCTCCTTGTCCCATCTTTATTTTCAAACTGGATGCTTTTGTGTATTACAGTACAGAAAACCCAAGTAAACTTAAATAGCAAGAAACGCATCATGTCTCAGATCAAGCGGAAGGGTGGCTACGAGGAAACATACTCCAGAAGCTCCACAACCTGCTGAGTTCAGCAGCCTACCTATTTCTAGTCTGCTTCTCCCAGGAAGCCTGTCCTCTGGCTAGCTCCTGATAGTCGCAAGACTGTCCCACAAATCTAGGCAATGCCCTAAAGCAAATAATGTTTTATCACATTTTTAACAAAGAAACACCACCTCCCCAGCAGATTTCCTCTCATGTCTTACCCTAGAAGAGTTTCGCATGCCTATAGTTAAACTAGAGTCTTAATCTCTGCACTATCGGCATTTTGGGGTGGATAATTATGTGTTCTGGGGAACTGTTCTGTGCGTTGTAGGATGTTTTGCAACATCCTTGGCCTCTATCCACTATATTCCAGGTGTGAGAATCAAAAGTCTCCAGATATTTCTAAATGTCCCCAGCGAGTGCAGGTGGCAGAGAGGAGGTGCAAAATCATTGCTCCAGTTGAGAAGAATCAGTGACTTCATTCAATCACTTGTGAGAATAACGGGACATCATCAGTTTAGACTGGCAGTTCTCAATCTTTAGCATGTATCAGAATCACCTAGAGGACTCGTTCAAGCATGGATTGCAGGGCCATGCTCCAGAGTTTCTGTCTCCCAGGTAATGCTAATGGAATCGTAGTTTGAGAAACACTTGTGTAGTCCATCCAGGCTACACCAATCAGTGTTCATTCCTTGGGCGGAGACAGGGCTCCCCTTCCTGGAAGCTCGTGGATTCGAGGTGGAGGATAGCTCTCTGTATATAATCTGTGTCCCATTCGAAAATCCAAAGGGGAATGAATGTTATTAGGCAAGCATCACACAGGTTGTGCTGCTGTTCACATATGTAGACCAGGTGTGGCCAATAGACCTAACAGTCAGTAATGGACTGCAGCACAAAAAGAAGAAATCAGATGTCAGAGCAATGATTTCTGTTGTGGGAGGTTGTAGCACTACCAGGAAACCCTACTGCAGAGATTCGTGAAGGTGGAATTGGAACACAGGGTTTGGGGCTAACGACTCTCTTTCTCCTCCTGTCTGCCTCTGGCCCTGCACTCCAATCCTGCACATCAACGTATTTAAGTCTTTGGCTTTCTCCACCATGTATCCAGCCATAAGTAAGAAAGGAGTTGTGGACAGAGAGACTCTGCTAAGGATGGCTGCAAGTCCATCATTCCACACAACTTTTGAATGAGGAAGTAGAGGAGAGGAGAGTGAAGAAGGAGGAACTAGAAAACCTCTGCCTTCCAGGACACAGTTAGCCTTGCCATGTGGGTGAAATATTGTCCAACACAAGCTCTGAAACTTTGACCACCACTCCTACACCTCCTTCTGAGTGTTGGGGGTGGAAGAGATGAATTACAATGATGGTTAGAAAGGAAGCATGCAGAATCAATTTAGCACAGAGAGGAGAAAAGTCTTCCTGTCCCTTAGAGATAGGCTTTTTTCCTTGTAACGGAATGGCCCTGCCTCCAGAATCACCTCTCTGTATCACGGAGCCAGACCGCACTTTCCTTTATGACCCAATTTAAGTTCTTCCTGCTTTATATTCAGTCCCCTCTACTTCATTTAAATTTTATCTTACTCTTTCCTAACTCCCTAGTCATATATTTGATTCTGTGCTGCCTTTTTTACTGTTTTATAATTTCTTTAAGGTGGGAAGTCTAATCTCTCCAACAAAACTGTATGTTCTTCCAAAAGTACCAGGGGGGTATTTTTCCATTGGTTTCCTTCATTTCAGACCGATGTAGTATCTTCGAGTAGCCACATTCATTCCTAAAGTGCAAGATGGCATCACATAAAACTCACGGTGGTCAGAGACAAAGCTACGGAGCAGCATTCCCTGAAACCTTACCTTACCATGCCTTCACATACCAGTGCGACATGGGCTATTTAGTAAACCCTTCTGTTAGAAAGGGGATAATGATTGTTTTCAGAGTTAGACATTATATATATATATATATAAGGCCTGAAACTAAACCTTGCCAAAAGTAGGACTTAATAAATGGTAACATTTCTCATAATCATTAAAAGGTTAACATATAGATGTACCCTTTGGTTAAACACTGACTCTTCATCTACTCCAACCAACCTATGCTTCACATCTTATCCTAACTCTCTTCATTCTTCCAGATATCCACCTCAAAGCTAATTATTTCCATTATAAACCTGCTCTATTCTTCATACATATCTCTGTCTTTTTACTGGTTCTTTTTTTTTTTTTTTTGAGACGGAGTCTCGCTGTGTTGCCCAGGCTGTAGTACAGTGGTGCCATCTCGGCTCACTGCAACCTCCACCTCCCGGGTTCAGGCGAATCTCCTGCCTCAGCCTCCCAAGTAGCTGGGACTACAGGTGCATGCCACCACACCCACCTAATTTTTGTATTTTTGGTAGAGACGGGGTTTCACCATGTTGGCCAGGATGGCCTCCATCTCTTGACCTCGTGATCCACCCACCTCGGCCTCCCAAAGTGCTGGGATTACAGGTGTGAGCCACTGTGCCCGGTCTTTATTGGCTGTTTCTAATCTTGACTTCCTCTTTATTCTGAACTAAGTTCTGGGATACAAGTGCAGAACTTGCAGATGTGTTACATAGGTAGACATGTGCCATGGTGGTTTTCTGCACCTATCAAGCCATCATCTAGGTTTTGAAAATGAATCTTTATGCCAACCTTCTGACCTTCTCTGACAGCATGCCTCCCAGTGGGGTTCAGCCCACTCCCTTACCTAGGAGGACCCTCCTACCTCAATGTCCCTGATACATTCACATTGAAATCAATTCACATTAAAAATGGAACCTCAAGACCCTAAGCATCCTTAAGTTACTTCTGACATCACAGTACAATTGTTCTTCCAACTCTAAACTTAGCCAGAAAAACTGAAGTACAGCCATGTAGGTAGAAATCTGTAAGCTGAGGCATTGAGTGTGTGTCTGGAAGGTCAGCTCTCACTCAAACACATGCCTCTGCAACTTCTCCATCTACCATTATTCTCCTATTCTCTACTGGAAACCCCTGCCAGCATGTCTTTGGTCTCAGCAAGTAGGCTCCTATTTTTGTCTCTGGCTAATATCTGTCATTATGCTTGGGCTTCTGTTGGTAAGTTCTTAATTTAGGTCTTGCACTGCACCTGGAGGATCAATCCGTGTGGTTTCACAGGAACTGAGAAGTCTTTAGAATAGAATAGAACATGAAGTTGGCAAGCTGTTCTGTGACCAGGAATAAAGAAATCCTGACAAGTTTACTCTGTATAACATTTCTAACTTTCCCACATTTCTCAGTCTTCCAACTTATCCAGGAGATATGTCTCTATCTGAAATATTCAGAACAAAGAGACCTAGAATGTAGCTCAAGCATAAATCTCTGAAGATTAGATAGGATCCCAGAGCTTCCATATACTTTAGCTCATGGGTTTTGTATATAAGGGAGTTATTTGTTTATAGTACAACCTTCACTCAAAAAAATTCATTCACTTTTCTTAGATACTCTTCTTTTAAACTTCAGAACCTGACATCCCAACCCATATGCAACTAGAAAAAGAAAGTTAGAAGATATAGTAATCTTTTCAGAAGTTTGCCTTCTAATAACAAGGAAAGACAGCTGACAGGAAAGTAAGAAGACAGATTAAGTAAGAAAATAAGATATAAGAATACAAAATTCAAAGGAATGACAGTAATTATATTCAGAAGCTTTCCTAGCCTTGCCAATGTTCCCTTCAACCCTCATTATGTCCTTTTTGACGGTTACAACTACCTCCTACTGGTTCTGCCTGCGTCTTCCTTCACTCTAGTTGATTCTCTTTGAGTTATTCGAGTTATCTACTTGCAAAAGAAATTATAAGCTACACTTATTTTAGTGCCTCTGTTGTACTACTTTTGCCATCAGGACACTGTTTTAAAATATAACCTGGCCAGGCGCGGTGGCTCACGCCTCTAATCCCAGCACTTTGGGAGGCCGAGGTGGGCGGATCATGAGGCTAGGAGATCAAGACCATCCTGGCTAACACGGTGAAACCCCATCTCTACTAAAAAATACAAAAAAATTAGCCGGGCATGGTGGCAGGTACCTGTAGTCCCAGCTACTGAGGAGGCTGAGGCAGGAGAATAGCATGAACCCAGGAGGCAGAGCTCGCAGTGAGCCGAGATTGAGCCACTGCACTCCAGCCTGGGCGACAGAGCAAGACCCCGTCTCAAAAAAACAAAAACAAAAACAAATATATATATATATATATATATATATATATATATATATATATATAACCTGGGATTTTGTTTTTATTCAACTATGGAGAGGCTAACAGGTATCAAAGAAATGACTTTCATTGAAAAGATAGTTTGTTACCCACAGATCCCAAGAGAAGGGAGTGTGCCATGCCATGCCCGGCCACACAGAAAAGCCCCAGGGAAGGCCAAGAGGCAGTAGGAACAGGGGAAAAATAAAGGCAGGAGTCTTTATTGTGGTTTTCACAGGAAGGAATGGGTAAGGCAGGGTCAAACAAGTTTAGGATTAAATAATTTGAATAATTTGGGCAGGCTCTGGCCTATAAGGGTGGTTCCTGGTTGTCCAGTGCTTGGCTCTGGGGTAATTTGAGACAACGGTGTAGTGTCCTAAACTATAGGATCCTGATAAAAGGAGGGAGGTGGGGGTACAGAGTCAAAGGCATTCTCATAGACAAGTAGCTAACTATCTCCAGGAATTCACTAGTCTTGGAAGGGGTAGTCTCTCCTGGTTCAGGCTCAAAGTGTCAAAGCATCATAAAAATAAAAGCAAAAAACATAATTAACAGAGACAGAATTCAGACTTTTTGGTTGGGATCTGAGGCCATTCACACTTGGCCTTTGACCATCTCTCCCAGCCTCATTCCCAGTCACTTCCAGGACACCCAGGTTCCAGCCACAGCCCCCTCCGCCACCTTCCACAGGCCACCCATGCCCTTTCCACTCCTGTGCTTTTCTTCATAGTGTTCCACACATCGGGAATGTTTTTCCTCACATTCTTCACCTAGCAAACTCATCTGGAGCCTTCACAAATCTGCTCAGATTCCCTGAGTCCCTATGGCACATGTACACCCTCCTTCCTGTCATCTCTCATTTGACTTGGCTTATAGCTCAGTTAGAGTCACTGCTTAATAAGTTGTGTGTCAGTTATCTGTTAACATGTGTGTCTCCACCATCAATACAGGAGCCCTATAGAGACTGTCCTATCTTGACTCCCCAGTGACTAGCACCATGTATTAGACATCATAGGCACACGCCTAATAGTGGTTGAATGCATGGCAGACTTCAATTCTTTCACAGGGAAGCAAGAAGCCATACAGACTTAAATAGCTTCCAACGGTATTAGGTTATGGTAAAGCTGCTTGGCTTCACAGTAGGATTTTAGAAATTCAGATAAAATCTGATAATAATAGGATTTATTAGTAAAGCCAGAAATCATCCTTACTCTTGGGAGTCTGATTGGATTTGACTTTGGAAAGCTGATTTTTTTGGAATGAAGCCCTAATTCATCCCCATCTCATAATTCAACTAAAATGTTCATGCCTGGTTAAAAGGGAAGAAGAGGAGAAGGTTACTTTATGTACAGGTTGAATCTGTTGGAACTAATTGTAACTAATGCTCTGCTTTATTTAAATTGTGAGGTGAGAGAAGTTTACCTTGTTGGTAGATGAAGAACTCTAGGGATCACCATGCAGAGGAGAGAGAGAGATTTGGGAGGGCAAGAGGTCTTTTCCA
Organism: Homo sapiens; assembly: GCF_000001405.40. Lineage (NCBI taxonomy): Eukaryota > Metazoa > Chordata > Mammalia > Primates > Hominidae > Homo > Homo sapiens. Next base: position 126,439,196 of record NC_000002.12, read on the forward strand.
TCGCCACTGAAATCATACCATGTAGAGAAAGTCTAACTTTGTCTTGAATTGTTGAACATAAAGCAACCAAATGTTAGTTTAATCCTTCTTAGCTCCTCCCAAGACCTGTTAATAGAGAATGATGATGTATGATATTGCCAGGATGACACTATACAATTCTTGTGTTTTCTCAAATGGGGGAATCTGCACCCCAGTTTATATGAGATTCTCTCCTGAAGCAGTTTGCAAGCAAGTTCCTGTTCACCTAGAGCAGATGCTGACCCTCTAGGACCAGAGTGCTCACTTCTGTGAAAGTGTCAGAGAACTTTACACACATACACACATATGTATGCAGGTATGTACTATATATGTTTTATGTAGTTATGTGTGTGGAGAGAGAGAGGGAAGGAAAGAGAGACTGACAGAGAGACAGAGTGAGGTTGTAAGCATACCTCTAAATCTATTTCCAAATCTCTTCAAAATAATTTAAAATTTTTAAGCAAACCTACTCTTCTATATTAGCCTGAGAATTCATGTGACTTGAGATGTTTGAAATAAGGTATAAAAGAAATTTTAAAACGTACAGTGATTTTGTCTACATAGTTTGCCTTTCTTGACAAGAATCTCATAAGCCAAAGTGCGGTTTGCCCTGTGGTCATGGAGAACGCACTGTCAGTGAGGACTCTGCTGAAAAAAGAAGACCCAGCTTGACCTCACGAAGCTCACTCTGGGAACTGTGGCATTTGACACCTCACCTCCAGCTTCCTCCAATGCCACACTCTCCCCAAATAGTGAGAGTCCATCCAACTTGGTATGACACCATGCTTAAGTCAGGAGCAAACGGCCAATTGTTTTCATAATTGCATTCCCCCTGAAGTATCTCTAAACACAGGTGATTTGTGAGAGCGAAAGGAGATAATTAAATGCTGGAATATATTTGATTTATTGAGCATGGGATTATTTCTGACATTTATTGGTGACTCAAAGAAAGTCCAGAGCTAGAAAATATGTGCTCATTGCTTTGTATGATGTATATATAAGACAGGAGGACATGGCCCGAGGCAAAAGTGACACACTGGAAGTTTTCCTTCAGCTCCCCTTCCCCTGGGGGTCGTGTCAGCTCTGCCCACTTAAGCATGAGCTCTCCACATGAGCCAGCACCTCGTCTGCCTTCTCCTCACAGACTTCTCTCAACCCAATCAGAAAACAATGTTTTTACTTTCACCTGAAAAGAATTCTAAATTTACAGGGGAAAAAATCATAAAAATGAAAAAAGTATAAAGAATATCTATATATAATTTACTCAGATTCACCTATTGTGAGCCTTTTGCCACATTTATCATTTGCTCTATCTATGTATCTATTATCTTTTTAATTTGAGGGTACATCACACACATCAGCCCCTTTCCTCTAAATACTTCAGTGTGCATTTCCCAATAATAGAAATACGCCCTTAAACAACGCAGTACAATGATCAACTTCAGTAAATTCCACACTGATGCAGTACTTTCATCCAGCCTACTGTTTTGATCTAATTTTGTCAGTTGACCCAATAATGTCCTGTATAGGATTGTTCGCCTCTGATGCAGAATCTGGTCTTGGGTCAAGTGCAGCCTTAGTTGTCACATCTCTTTGCCCTCCATTAATCTATGGCATTTCTATAACTTTTCTTTGATTTTTATGACATTGTCATTTTCGAAGAGTATAATCTCCCCTCTTGGTTTAAATACAGTGTTTCCCATTTTGTCTTTGTCTAATGTTTCTTCATGATTGCAGGAATACCTGGGAGATATTGTGAGCTTGGTTTCAGACCATGGCAATAAAGCAAATATTGTAATGGAGCAAGGCACACAATTTTTGTGGTTTCCCAATGCATAAAAAAGCTGCTTACACTACACTATAGTCTATTAAGTATGCAATCACATTATGTCTAAAAAACAGCGTATGTGCCATACTTTAAAAATAGTTTATTGCTAAAAAATGCTAATGATCATCTGAGCCTTCAGCGAGTCATAATCTTCTTGCAGGTGGAGGGTCTTGCCTCAATGTTAATGGCTGCTGACTGATCAGGGTGGTGGTTACTGAAGGTTGGGGTAGCTGTGACCATTTTAAAATATAAGACAACAATGAAGTTTGCTGCATCCATTTCACAAAAGATTCCTCTGTAGCATGCGATGCCCTTTTATAGCATTTTACCCACAGTAGAACTTCTTTCAAAATTGAAGTCAATTCTCTTAAGCCCTGCCACTACTTTATCAACTAAGTTTATGTAATATTCTAAATCTCTTGTTGTCATTTCAACAATGTTCACAGTGTCTTCACCAGGGGTAGATTTCATCTCAAGAAACCACTTTCTTTGCTCATCTATAAGAAGCAACTCCTCATCCATTCAAATTTGATCATGAGATTGCGACAATTCAGTCACATCTTTAGGCTCCACTTATAATTCTAGTTTTCTTGCTATTTCCACTACATTTGCAATTACAATAGTACCATCAGAAATCACTGATCACAGATCACCATAAAAGGTATAATAATAATGAAAAAGTTTGAAATATTGCAAGAATTTCCAAAGTGAGACAGAGACACCAAGTGAGCATAAACTGTTCAAAAAATTACACCAATAGACTTGCTCAACACACAATTGCCACAAACCTTCAATTTGTAAAATATGCAGTATTTGCAGGGTACAATAAAGTGAAGCACAATAAAATGAGATATGCCTGTATATTAAGGTCTTGCATCCTTAAAATATTGAAAAGTTGATGTCATGTTCCTTGTATGGTATCATACCTGTGGGTCCAACTGTCTCTCAGAGGTAATGTTAATTTTGATCACTCAAAGAATGTCCCAATTTCTCCACTGTATATTGTTTTTATCCTTGCAACATCTAATAAGTACTTTATATGGAGACATCTTATGGAAATATCCTGCCCATCATCAAAACTTCCCTACCTTTGGCACCCATCCATGATTCTTGCCTGATGCAGTCTTCATCATGCTATCACAAAATGATTTTTTTTCAACTCCATCATTACCTACACATGTAACAACTATCTTCCATGGTCTATTATAATTCCTCCCTACAATTTTGGGGGTTTTTTTTGAGACAGGGTCTCACTGTGTCACCCAAGCTGGAGTGCAGTAGCACGATCTTGGCTCACTACAGCCTCCACCTACCAGGTTCAGCCTCTCAAGCAGCTGGGACTACAGGTACATGCCACCACACCCGGCTAATTTTTGTATTTTTAGTAGACATGGGGTTTCACCATGTTGGCCAGGCTGGTCTTGAACTCCTGGCCTCAGGTAATCTGCCTGCCACGGCCTCCTAAAGTGCTGAGATTACAGGTATGAGCCACCGTGCCCAGCCTATCCTCTCCATAATTTATTATCTATCTATCTAACTACCTATCATTTATCTATCTATGCTAACTAGTAAATTCCTCTTTTAAATGGTTTGTAATTCATTATGGCACTCAATTATTTGATACTAAAATTGTCCCATATTTGGCCTGTGAGACACTCTTCAAATTGTATCATATTTCCCTGTAACATGTCTCCATCATTATTATTTTTTTAAACACTTCTTACTCTCTGGCATACAAAATGTTCCAAGCTCATTTTGCACCTACCTTGCCAAGACATTTCTCTGTTGGGCCCGGCTTCATTTTAAAGGGAATAGGATTAGAGACCAAGATCTGATAATTAGATGTGCTAATTGTTGCTAGCATGGCTTTGTTTTTGGCTCTTTGAGCAGACAGAAATAGGAAACAGCCACATATTTTTACACATATGCATGCAGACATATACAAATATGCATTCATGCATGCATACACATGTGTGTATTTGTATGTGCACCTAAACATACACATTTTAGAAATCCTGAGTCCATACCAATGCCTTCCATTTTGATCCACATTCTTTTTTTTCTTTTTTTTTTTAGATGGAGTCTCGCTCTGTTGCCATGCTGGAGTGCAGTGGTGCAATCTCGGCTCACTGCAACCTCCACTTCCTGAGTTCAGGTGATTCTCCTGCCTCAGCCTCTCGAGTAGCTGGGACTACAGGTGCGTGCCACCATACCCAGCTAATTTTTGTGTTTTTAGTAGAGACGGGGTTTCACCATGTTGGCCAGGATGGTCTCGATCTCTTGACCTCGTGATCCACTGGCCTCCTAAAGTGTTAGGATTACAGGCTTGAGCCACCGCACCCGGCCTCGATCCACATTCTTATGTCCCTTCTATATGGAGAACACTGGCTCCCAGCAGCCTCACGGTGTCTCACTTGTTCAATCTTATATTACATCTAAACTAGCTCTAGAATTGTTTTTTCCATAAAACTAAAATCAACCAACCGACTCAAGAGCACAGAATATTTGTGTGCTGCCCCCCTGCGAACACACACACAGCCCACCTGCTCCAGATTCATGATATACAGTCACATACTGTGACCCAGTTATTTGGATTAGTTCTTTTCTTGTTTGTTTTTCTTCCCCTTCAGTATTTTTAGGGTAGTCATTAACTATAATTAAGTTCACTTGTTTCCATTTTCTTTGTTTCATGTTTGGCCTTTTTTCCATTCTTATTGATTTTATTTTAATTGTTGAGTGTGTAGCTTATCATCAGCCTTTAAAATGTCAAAACATTATAAAAATTACGCTCAGAAAAGTGTCATTCTCTCCTGTACCCTTCCAGCCCACACCCCTTCCTGCTGTCTTCTTGCAGGTAACAAACTCGATTTTTAAAAATTTATTCTCCCTCTGTTTCTTTTAGATGGAGTCTTTTACCTAAGCCTTTCTTTGTCCTGAGATGCAGAATGGAAGAAGAGTGCCAACACTCTTCAGGGTACCAGGCATCTCTCAACTCTCACAGCATCTCCAGGAGGGAAGCCACTGTCTCAGCCCAAGATAATGACATCTTCACCTGGACCAATGCTATTTATCCTGGAACGAGAAGCAGTGGATTTGGCACATCTTCAGCATTTGGGCTAGGAGGTCCAGAGATTGCAATGATGCAGAGCCTCAGTGTCTGGGATTGGAAACTCTGCAAGTCCAGCCACTCTGACACCGTGGCCATGCCTTAGGAAAATAGTTTTATAGGAAGTAAAAAGAAATAGAAAAGCTAGGTCACAAACGTGTTGTACCTTCAGGAGCCAAGATCTGTGGTGGCACACCACCAGCTGAATAATCTAACAGTGTGGAAAAGGGTTTCCTCGTTCAGACCCAACTTCCAGCTCCAACTGCAGCCTTAGGCTCCCCAGCCCTATCTGTAGGGGAGAAAGATGGCACCTGGTTCCCTGGCCACCAGGCTTCCATCGTCATCCAGCAGGGACAAACAAGATCCCATGAACAACCAGACCACCTGGGTGGTAACAGAGACACTGTGTGGTCATCACAATAGGCAAGAGAACTGGATGGCCTGCCAACTACATTCCCTCCCTTGGAGGTGACAAGAACCAGAGGTGACTTCTTGAAATAAGTAAACTCATGTAGATGCCTTGAAGTTGCCCAGTGGGAGGATCATAAGGACAGAGAATGACATTCCCATAATAGAATGGGTGGGGGCGATTATGAATCATTTGAGTATTGTGAAGAATGTGATCTCATTTTGTACCCAAGCCAGTGAGTATCATGCCAATTTTCTATATGAGAAAACAGGCTAGGCTGGGCATGGTGGCTCATGCCTGTAATCCCAGCACTTTGGTAGGCTGAGGTGGCTGAGGTGGGTGGATCACCTGAGGTCAGGGGTTTGAGACCAGCCTGGCCAACATGGCAAAACCTGTCTCTACTAAAAATACAAAAATTAGCTGGGCAGAGTGGCAGGCGCCTGTAATCCTAGCTACTCGGGAGGCTGAGGCAGGAGAATCGCTTGAACCTGGCATGATAAGCAGAGGTAAAGAGTGATGAAGAGGAGCTAGGAGCACACTGAGGGGGCCCATGGGGTCAAAAGTGGTCCCTGGGTCCAAGCAAACTTGCAGAAAGGGAACAGGAGGTGGTTATTGAATACTGTTGGGATCTCCTGCTGGCTAGGAGCTTCAATGCTTCTCATTAAATTCTTACAGGAAATGTATGAGGTAGGTAGTACCCACGTACCTGCCTCATGAGCAGCAGATGGAACCTCACAGAGGTGAGCGTGTTGCCGCAGCTAGCTATAGAGGGAGGCAGGATGCCACACCAGCCATCCTGTTGGCTGCAGATCATCCGCCCCTGCTCCACTCCAGCCTGGGGGGAGAGGGTAGTGAGCGGTGGCAGCTGTGAAGATGCCACACAGTGCTCCCCTCCTCTCTGGACTTTGAGATGTTACCACGTAGAAGGGGCCCCTGGTTCTTCCATTAAGGTTTGTCTTTTATTCTCTACCCAGTTTTGTGGGAAGTAAAATATGACATTTGGTTAATTAATTTTTCAGATCTACAAGGCCGATGTAGGAAAGGCTGTAAATTAAACAATTCTCATTTCCATAACATTGCGGTCCAAAGGGTATCGCGTTATGATGCATCCCTGAAGCAATGATGCACAGCTTCTATTAAACAAAGGCCTGCATGCAAAAGCCCCTTGCCCTGCCTTGTGATGAAGTTAGGCATGCGAAACAGAAAAATAATTGGACGTGTTTATCTCCCGATTTTTTTATCTGAATCTACTCAACAGGGCTGTCAGGGACTGTTCCCCAAGACAGGTCTACTGTATGAACAAAAAGATACAATTTAAAAGGCCATTTACTATATAATCTCCACCTCATTCCGAGATGGGAAGTGGCTCACCACCGTACATGCAGTAGGGCAGGATGGGAACAGAGGAAGAGAAAGGGAGGAGGAGAACACAGCAGAGGGCAGGAAATTATGGCTGGGGCCGCGGTGTACAAATGAAGGCAAAAGTGGGCCCAGTGCCCGAGCAGAGGAAGGTTTGGAAGTAGCTGGATGGCAGTTTAAAGGGCATGAGGACAAGGTAAGAGTCACAGGCACAGGGACGGAACTGAGTGAGAACTGCAGAACTGAGGAGGGGCTTAGTTTCTGAGCTGTTTTATTGTTTGACCAGTGTGTGGTCACAGCAGGCTTGGGGTTTGAGTAATGGGAGAAGGAGACAATCAGACCCATGTGCACCCTGAGGGCAGAGAGCAAAGGTTAATTACAGGTCAGGGGCTCAGGCCAGGGGGCTTCAGGGTCAGGCAGGTTGCAAAGGTGAAAGCAAGGCTTGGAGTGGAAGAGGGCCTTAGCCATTCCTCATTAGGGTCAGCACCACAAGCAATGGCCAGGGCTGAAGAAGCCAGGGTAGCCCAGGAGCCTGCACAGGACTGGAAGGCTAAAAGTCAAGCCAGGAGAAAGAGGCAGAGGGGCAGGCCAGGCCAAAAGAATGCATTTGGAGCCCAAGCCACAGAAACACAGGTGGCCACACTGCCTGATGCATCCTGCCAGGGCCTGCGGTGATGCAGGGCTGGAACAGAGGATGAGGAAGCAAGGAGCAAGACATTTCCCGATGCAGAAAACCAGCTGAGTGCCCTTCATTAATGGGGTGTATATAGTGAGTGGAAGCAAAAAAATAACAAATTTAGGCAATACAAATATGTGCCTGGCGATATACCGGCTTCTGGAAATATAAAAATAGATAAGATTGGGCCCCTGCTGTGCATTAGGAAATTAAATGTGACCTCAGCTAATTGCAGCAATTGTTCTGAGCACACAGAGGAGGGAGACACTACTTCCACCTGGGGTAATCAGGGAAGACTTCTGAGGACATTATACTTGGACCACATCTGGTAAAATAACAGGGAATTTTTTTCTTTTTTTTTTTTTTTTTGAGACTGAGTTTTGCTCTTGTTGCCAGGCTGAAGTGCAATGGTGCGATCTCAGCTCACCACAACCTCCACCTTCAGGGTTCAAGCGATTCTCCTGCCTCAGCCTCCCGAGTAGCTGGGATTACAGGCATGTGCCACCACGCCCAGGTAATTTTGTATTTTTAGTAGAGATGGAGTTTCTCCATGTTAGTCAGGCTGGTCTCGAACTCCCGATCTCAGGTGATCCACCTGCCTCGGCCACCCAAAGTGCTGGGATTACAGGCATGAGCCACCATGCCCATCCAATAACAGGGAATTTTTCTAGGAGAGAGGGGAAAGAGAGGAAGGACATTTTAGATAGAGGAAAGCATATGTTGTAGGTGTACAGTCATAGAAGGATTAATGTATAGACTCACCCATGGTGGGAAAGCCAAACTCGACATTTTAGGAAAAAAACATTCACCAGAGTAGAAACAGAACTCTCAGTTATCCAAATCATTCTATTACCTAGAGTTCAATTCTGTAAACAGGCTGTTCCAGAAGTATTTCTCATCATTATTTATAAGTATTAAAACATATGTGGAGAGTATTTCATTGTCAATATCTTGGAGTAAATTCCAGGGTAAGTGCACTAAAAATCATGTCTTTTCTGCAGGACTTCTCAGAGCTTTTAATATATTAATATGCATTTTGAACTTCAAAGAGAGAGTGTGGCATTAAGCATTTCTCATTCCAAAGATGCAAGCATGTTTTTTTTTTCAGCTCAAGCATAAATGGGATTTCTAGGAAATTGTGGCTTAAACATTCCAATTAATCTAAGCCTTAAAACATAGGTAGACAAATACCTCTGAAGGCCGGTGTCTCCCTTTATTGTAACTTGTGAAAGCTTTGTCCGCGGTTTTCATATTACGTGGTAATGCTTTACATGTTGTTTCTCCCAAGATCTGTGCTGTCCAGTATGGTGGTCACTAGCCACACACAGCTATTGTGCACTTGAAATGTGGCTGTACCATTGTGATGTGCTGTGAGTTACTAGCAAGTTCCTAGGAATGCATATGTGCCTTGCTCTCTATTTCCATCACACAGCACTGCCACAAGCCATGAACTACTTGAGTGTGGAGATCTTAGTCATCCGTGTATTCTTGATGCTTAATAAATGTCCTTTCATATAGTAGGCATTCAATAAACATTTGCTGAATGAAAAAAATTAGAATGTAAATAAGTGAAACCCTGTACCTAAACTACTTGTTACACATTAAATCTGATGCAAAGTGTTTGCCCTCATTTTCTGACTTTCATTTTGCAAAGCCTGTTTCTGCTTATTTATAAATGACCTCTTTACTGAAGTGAATATGTTATTTGCATGTATGCAATTAATCCACTAAATTGTTTTAACATATCCAGAAAGCTAGCTTTCCAAGCCATAGCATTCCCTTTTTTTAAAAAAAAAATACAGGATTCTGGGTTCCGACACGATTTACTGCCTTTGGGAAGCCTGCACAGTAGCATCTGACAGCTCATGTGGCTACCTGACCTCCTTCACCTCCTGTGTTTTCACTTCTGGCCTCATCTCCCTTGTTCCTCTTGCCCCCAAGACAACCACTTTCTGAAAAACAATCGATAACTCCCTGATCTCCAAAGCCTGTTCTTGTACTCGCAGTTCTAGTGTTTCTGAAGCATTAACTTATTTCAAGCAACTTCCGAATTTTGTAATGCCCCACCTTCTGAGTGATGCTCTTACTTCATTCTGCTCTACCTCCTCCGTATACCCTCTGAAGGCTTTCTTCTCTCTATTGCCTCGTTGCCCTCACAGTGATTTTCTTGGTAGCTGGGCAAGTCTGGCAATCTTTAAAACAGAGATAACAGACTCTGCCAGATGACCTCCGGGCACTGTGAAAGTTAAACAGGATAATGAAAGTAAAGAGCTGTGTAAACTGCCAAGTGTGAATAGGTATGAAGGGTGATTCTTACTAAATTGGAATGGAATGAAGCAAGGCACTTCACTCCTTTTTTCCTGAATTTCTGAGTCTTCCTACTCGTTTAAAGAACATTTAAACCCATCTCAATGTGCCTAGAGATGAACCGTCAAGACTGCTTAGTATTTTCACCCATCAAATGGATAATTCCATCCTTTCTACTTTCCTTCTTTTCTACTTGACATCTGATTTAGAGAAGAGTGTGGAAACTTACAGTAATGAGTGAAGCTTCTTCTTCTCTACTCCTCAAAATATCCTACTGCCCTTATTATTAGGCAACCAATATAATGTAACTAATAAGAACTAACACAGAGAAGTATATTTTACTTTTAATTAGTTATAATTATTACCTAGTACTTGAAATTTAATATATTCTTTCCCTCCCTCTTTGCATTGGTTACGTGGATTTTAGTACAATGTTTAACTTGAGGCCACACAGAACAGTGATTTAATGCTGGAATGTTGACCCGGATCGACAAAGGTTTTATTGTAGATTACAAAACTGCCCACAATTGGCCTTATTTTGTCCTATCCCATCAAGAGGTGGAGTCTGTTTCTCCACCCCTTGAATTGGGGTTGGCCACATGACTTGCTTTGGCCAAGGGAGCATCAGTCACCCTGATATAAGCACAGGCTTGAAAAATAATTTCTCAGTGACATTTGTCCTCTTACTGTTTCAGGGATGCTTTGCCTCCCACCAAGTGAAGAAGCTTGAGGAAGCACATGATAAATGTATTGCCCTGTCACCCTTATCATTTCAGCCAACTGCCTGACCCATGAGGCCACCCTAGACCACCCACTCACTGGCCCACCCACCAGCTGACCACGGACCCATGAGAGAACCAGAAAAACTGCCCAGGAAACCAACAAAATATGTAAGCTAAACAAGTGGCTATTGTGATAGGCTGCTGAGTTGTGGGGTGGTTTGTAATGCAGCAAAAGGGAACTGATACAGGAGCAACTACCTAGACACAGAGTGCTACTGTTAAAAAAAACCCCCTCAAACACAGGGCGTTAACCATGCAACTGGGAGATGTATAGAGTCTGGAAACACATTGGAGAAACTGGTAGAGAGAACTGCACATTCTCAGTGGTGGCTGGTGATGGCCACCACTGATGGTGGTCATCAAACTGATGAGGAAACTGCTATGGCAACTAGAAAAAGAGCAACACATGTTGTGTCATAAAGCAGTTTGTAAAGCTGTTACCTGGAGTAAATTGAGGAATACCACACATACCTTAAAGCTTTCTGATCTGGCTAAGCAGATCTCTAGACAGAATGTTGTAGTGTCAGCTGGTTCCAGATATGTATGGTATAGTATTGCAAGAAAGAACTGTTTCATCTGCAAAAGTTACTGCACATATTGAGGGACACGCACTTGTTGAAGACTTCTGGATTTAATATCATGTCTAGCAAATAGCTTGTCACCAAATACCTTGTTATAAGAAAATTCAGAAAAATGTTAAGGTCATTGTAATAGGAAAAGGGCCACTGGATTGGACAAAAAAGTAACTGAAATTGCTCAAAATACCAAAAGGCTCCTGTCCCCTAACTTATCTATTGCCATCAGCAGTGTTCAAGGGTTTCCCTTTCTCTGGACCTTCTCCGACACTTGTTATCTTTCATCTTTTTGATAATAGCCATTCTAGCAGGTATAAAGTGATATCTCATTGTGGTTTTGATTTGCTTTTTCCTAGTAATTAGGGATGTTGAGCATTTTGTTCATATACCTGTTGGCAATCTGTGTGTCTTCTTTTGAGAAATTTCTGCTCAATCCCTTGCCTATTTTTAATGTGCGTTTTTTTTTGCTGTTAAATTGAAATTATTAAGTATATTGAATATTAACTTACCAATGTATGGTTTGCAAATATTTTCTCCTATTTTATAGGTTGTCTCTTGACTTTGTTAATTGTTTCCTTTGCTGTATAGAAGCTTTTTAGTTTGATGCAACCCCATTTGTCTATTTTTGCTTTTGTTACCTGTGTTTTTAGGATCATATTAAAAAAAATTGTTACCCAGAGCAATGTCAAGAAGCTTTTCCTCTATGTTTTCTTCTAGCCATTTTACAGTTTCAGGTCTTACATTTAAGTATTTAATTTATCTTAAGAAGATTTGTGTATATTCTCCTCCATGTGGATATCCAATTTTCCCTACACTGTTTATTAAGGAGACTATCCCTTCCCCATTGTATTCTTGGCAACTTTGTCAAAGATCAGTTGATCATAAATGTGTGGATTTATATTAAATATCTGGGCTGGCTTTTCTCTTTTATTGGCCAGTGTCATTCTGCTAGGAATTCTATACCGCTGTAATGTATTTTGAATTCAGGAAGTGTGATGCCTCCAGCTTTGTTCTTGTTCAAGTTTGCTTTGACTATTCGAAGTCTTTTGTGGTTCCATATGAATTTTCAGATTGTTTTCCTATTTCTTGTGGAAAATGCCATTGAAATTTTTTATTATTATTGTTATTATATTTTAAGTTTTAGGGTACATGTGCACAATGTGCAGGTTAGTTACATAGGTATACATGTGCCATGCTGGTGTGCTGCACCCATTAACTCATCATTTAGCATTAGGTATATCTCCTAATGCTATCCCTCCCCCCTCCCCCCACCCCACAACAGTCGCCAGAGTGTGATGTTCCCCTTCCTGTGTCCATGTGTTCTCATTGTTCAATTCCCACCTTTGAGTGAGAACATGTGGTGCTTGGTTTTTTGTCCTTGCGATAGTTTACTGAGAATGATGATTTCCAATTTCATCCATGTCCCCACAAAGGACATGAACTTATCATTTTTTATGGCTGCATAGTATTCCATGGTGTATATGTGCCACATTTTCTTAATCCTGTCTATCGTTGTTGGACATTTGGGTTGGTTCCAAGTCTTTGCTATTGTGAATAGTGCCACAATAAACATACGTGTGCATGTGTCTTTATAGCAGCATGATTTATAGTCCTTTGGGTATATACCCAGTAATGGGATGGCTGGGTCAAATGGTATTTCTAGTTCTAGATCCCTGAGGAATCACCACACTGACTTCCACAATGGTTGAACTAGTTTACAGTCCCACCAACAGTGTAAAAGTGTTCCTATTTCTCCACATCCTCTCCAGCACCTGTTGTTTCCCGGCTTTTTAATGATCGCCATTCTAACTGGTGTGAGATGGTATCTCATTGTGGTTTTGATTTGCATTTCTCTGATGGCCAGTGATGGTGAGCATTTTTTCATATGTTTTTTGGCTGCATAAATGTCTTCTTTTGAGAAGTGTCTGTTCATGTCCTTTGCCCACTTTTTGATGGGGTTGTTTGTTTTTTTCTTGTAAATTTGTTTGAGTTCATTGTAGATTCTGGATATTAGCCCTTTGTCAGATGAGTAGGCTGCGAAAATTTTCTCCCATTTTGTAGGTTGCCTGTTCACTCTGATGGTAGTCTCTTTTGCTGTGCAGAAGCTCTTTAGTTTAATTAGATCCCATTTGTCAATTTTGGCTTTTGGGGCCATTGCTTTTGGTGTTTTAGACATGAAGTCCTTGCCCATGCCTATGTCCTGAATGGTAATGCCTAGGTTTTCTTCTAGGGTTTTTATGGTTTTAGGTCTAACATTTAAGTCTTTTATCCTTCTTGAATTAATTTTTGTATAAGGTGTAAGGAAGGGATCCAGTTTCAGCTTTCTACATATGGCTAGCCAGTTTTCCCAGTACCATTTATTAAATAGGGAATACTTTCCCCATTGCTTGTTTTTCTCAGATTTGTCAAAGATCAGATAGTTGTAGATATGCGGCATTATTTCTGAGGGCTCCGTTCTGTTCCATTGATCTATATCTCTGTTTTGGTACCAGTACCATGCTGTTTTGGTTACTGTAGCCTTGTAGTATAGTTTGAAGTCAGGTAGCGTGATGCCTCCAAGCTTTGTTCTTTTGGCTTAGGATTGACTTGGCGATGTGGGCTCTTTTTTGGTTCCATATGAACTTTAAAGTAGTTTTTTCCAATTCTGTGAAGGAAGTTATTGGTAGCTTGATGGGGATGGTATTGAATCTATAAATTACCTTGGGCAGTATGGCCATTTTCACAATATTGATTCTTCCTACCCATGAGCAGGGAATGTTCTTCCATTTCTTTGTATCCTCTTTTATTTCCTTGAGCAGTGGTTTGTAGTTCTCCTTGAAGAGGTCCTTCACATCCCTTGCAAGTTGGATTCCTAGGTATTTTATTCTCTTTGAAGCAATTGTGAATGGGAGTTCACTCATGATTTGGCTCTCTGTTTGTCTGTTATTGGTGTATAAGAATGCTTGTGATTTTTGTACATTGATTTTGTATCCTGAGACTTTGCTGAAGTTGCTTATCAGCTTAAGGAGATTTTGGGCTGAGACAATGGGGTTTTCTAGATATACAATCATGTCATCTGCAAACAGGGACAATTTGACTTCCTCTTTTCCTAATTGAATACCCTTTATTTCCTTCTCCTGCCTAATTGCCCTGGCCAGAACTTCCAACACTATGTTGAATAGGAGTGGTGAGAGAGGGCATCCCTATCTTGTGCCAGTTTTCAAAGGGAATCCTTCCAGTTTTTGCCCATTCAGTATGATATTGGCTGTGGGTTTGTCATAGATAGCTCTTATTATTTTGAGATACGTCCCATCGATACCAAATTTATTGAGAGTTTTTAGCATAAAGAGTTGTTGAATTTTGTCAAAGACCTTTTCTGCATCTATTGAGATAATCATGTGGCTTTTGTCTTTGGTTCTGTTTATATGCTGGATTACATTTATTGATTTGCGTATATTGAACCAGCCTTGCATCCCAGGGATGAAGCCCACTTGATCATGGTGGATAAGCTTTTTGATGTGCTGCTGGATTCGGTTTGCCAGTATTTTATCGAGGATTTTTGCATCAGTGTTCATCAAGGATATTGGTCTAAAATTCTCTTTTTTTGTTGTGTCTCTGCCTGGCTTTGGTATCAGGATGATGCTGGCCTCATAAAATGAGTTAGGGAGGATTGCCTCTTTTTCTATTGATTGGAATAGTTACAGAAGGAATGGTACCAGTTCCTCCTTGTACCTCTGGTAGAATTTGCCTGTGAATCCATCTGGTCCTGTACTCTTTTTGGTTGGTAAGCTATTGATTACTGCCACAATTTCAGATCCTGTTATTGGTCTATTCAGAGATTCAACTTCTTCCTGGTTTAGTCTTGGGAGGGTGTATGTGTCGAGGAATTTATCCATTTCTTCTAGATTTTCTAGTTTATTTGCGTAGAGGTGTTTGTAGTATTCTCTGATGGTAGTTTGTATTTCTGTGCGATCAGTGGTGATATCCCCTTTATCATTTTTTATTGCGTCTATTTGATTCTTCTCTCTTTTCTTCTTTATTACTCTTGCTAGCAGTCTGTCAATTGTGTTGATCCTTTCAAAAAACCAGCTCCTGGATTCATTAATTTTTTGAAGGGTTTTTTGTGTCTCTATTTCCTTCAGTTCTGCTCTGATTTTGGTTATTTCTTGCCTTCTGCTAGCTTTTGAATGTGTTTGCTCTTGCTTTTTTAGTTCTTTTAATTGTGATGTTAGGGTGTCAAGTTTGGATCTTTCCTGCTTTCTCTTGTGGGCATTTAGTGCTATAAATTTCCCTCTACACACAGCTTTGAATGTGTCCCAGAGATTCTGGTATGTTGTGTCTTTTTTCTCATTGGTTTCAAAGAACATTTTTATTTCTGCCTTCATTTCGTTATGTACCCAGTAGTCATTCAGGAGCAGGTTGTTCAGTTTCCATGTAGTTGAGTGGTTTTGAGTGAGTTTCTTAATCCTGAGTTCTAGTTTGATTGCACTGTGGTCTGAGAGTTAGTTTGTTGTAATTTCTGTTCTTTTACATTTGCTGAGGAGAGCTTTACTTCCAACTATGTGGCCAATTTTGGAATAGGTGTGAT
This sequence comes from Homo sapiens, assembly GCF_000001405.40. Lineage (NCBI taxonomy): Eukaryota > Metazoa > Chordata > Mammalia > Primates > Hominidae > Homo > Homo sapiens. The sequence continues at coordinate 126,454,823 of NC_000002.12, forward strand.
GTGGTGCTGAAAAAAATGTATATTCTGTTGATTTGGGGTGGAGAGTTCTGTAGATGTCTATTAGGTCCACCTGGTGCAGAGCTGAGTTCAATTCCTGGGTATCCTTGTTAACTTTCTGTCTTGTTGATCTGTCTAATGTTGACAGTGAGGCTGTAAAGCCTCCCATTATTGTGTGGGAGTCTAAGTCTCTTTGTAGGTCACTCAGGACTTGCTTTATGAATCTGGGTGCTCCTGTATTGGGTGCATATATATTTAGGATAGTTAGCTTTTCTTGTTGAATTGATCCCTTTACCATTATGTAATAGCCTTCTTTGTCTCTTTTGATCTTTGTTGGTTTAAAGTCTGTTTTATCAGAGACTAGGATTGCAACCCCTGCCTTTTTTTGTTTTCCATTTGCTTGGTAGATCTTCCTCCATCCTTTTATTTTGAGCCTATGTGTGTCTCTGCACGTGAGATGGGTTTCCTGAATACAGCACACTGATGGGTCTTGACTCTTTATCCAATTTGCCAGTCTGTGTCTTTTAATTGGAGCATTTAGTCCATTTACATTTAAAGTTAATATTGTTATGTGTGAATTTGATCCTGTCGTTATGATGTTAGCTGGTTCTTTTGCTGGTTAGTTGATGCAGTTTCTTCCTAGCCTCGACGGTCTTTACAATTTGGCATGATTTTGCAGTGGCTGGTACCGGTTGTTCCTTTCCATGTTTAGCACTTCCTTCAGGAGCTCTTTTAGGGCAGGCCTGGTGGTGACAAAATCTCTCAGCATTTGCTTGTCTGTAAAGTATTTTATTTCTCCTTCACTTATGAAGCTTAGTTTGGCTGGATATGAAATTCCGGGTTGAAAATTCTTTTCTTTAAGAATGTTGAATATTGGCCCCCACTCTCTTCTGGCTTGTAGAGTTTCTGCTGAGAGATCTGCTGTTAGTCTGATGGGCTTCCCTTTGTGGGTAACCCGACCTTTCTCTCTGGCTGCCCTTACCATTTTTTCCTTCATTTCAACTTTGGTGAGTCTGACAATTATGTGTCTTGGAGTTGCTCTTCTTGAGGAGTATCTTTGTGGAATTCTCTGTATTTCCTGAATCTGAATGTTGGCCTGCCTTGCTAGATTGGGGAAGTTCTCCTGGATAATATCCTGCAGAGTGTTTTCCAACTTGGTTCCATTCTCCCCGTCACTTTCAGGTACACCAGTCAGACTTAGATTTGGTCTTTTCACATAGTCCCATATTTCTTGGAGGCTTTGTTCATTTCTTTTTATTCTTTTTTCTCTAAACTTCCCTTCTCGCTTCATTTCATTGATTTCATCTTCCATCACTGATACCCTTTCTTCCAGTTGATCGCATCGGCTCCTGAGGCTTCTGCATTCTTCACGTAGTTCTCGAGCCTTGGCTTTCAGCTCCTTCAGCTCCTTTAAGCACTTCTCTGTATTGGTTATTCTAGTTATACATTCTTCTAAATTTTTTTCAAAGTTTTCAACTTCTTTGCCTTTGGTTTGAATTTCCTCCCATAGCTCAGAGTAGTTTGATCGTCTGAAGCCTTCTTCTCTCAACTCGTCAAAGTCATTCTCCGTCCAGCTTTATTCCATTGCTGGTGAGGAACTGCGTTCCTTTGGAGGAGGAGAGGTGCCCTGCTTTTTAGAGTTTCCAGTTTTTCTGCTCTGTTTTTCCCCATCTTTGTGGTTTTATCTACTTTTGGTCTTTGATGATGGTGATGTACAGATGGGTTTTTGGTGTGGATGCCCTTTCTGTTTGTTAGTTTTCCTTCTAACAGACAGGACTCTCAGCTGCAGGTCTATTGGAGTTTGCTAGAGGTCCACTCCAGACCCTGTTTGCCTGGGTATCAGCAGCAGTTGCCGCAGAATTTTGATAGGGATTGCATTGATCACTTTGCCTAGTATATTTTAACAATATTAATTATTTTGGTCTATAAACACAGGATATCTTTCCATTTATTTGTGCCCTCTTCAATTTCTTTTATTTCTTTTATTAATGTTTTAAAGGTTTCAGTTTACAAATCTTTCACTGCCTTGGTTAAATTTATTTCTAAGTATTTATTCTTCTTTGATGCTATTATAAATGGGGTTTTGTTAATTTTTTGATAGTTCATTGTTAGTGTATAGAAACGCAAATGATTTTTGTATGTTGATTTTGTATCCCATGACTTTAGTGTATTTGTTTTGTTTATTAGTTCTAACAGATTTTTGGTGAAAACTTTAGAATTATATATAGATGATATATATATCATATATATGTAGTTATATATATATCATATATATATATATGATAATGTCCTCTGTAAACAAGACACATGTAGGCTGAAAGTGAAGGGATATGGAAAGATATTCCATGGAAATGATAAACAAAACAGGTCAGGAGTGGCTATATTTACATCAGACAAAATATACTTTAAGTCAAAAATTATCACAAGAGATAAAGGGGTCAATTCATCAAGAGGATATAACAACTGAAAATATATATGGACCCAACACTGGAGCACCTAAATTTGTAAAGCAATAATACAATAATAGCAGAGGGACTTCAGTACCCTACTTACAAAAATGGGTTGCTCATCTGGACAGAAAATTAGTAAGGAAATAGTGGACTTGAATAAAACTATAGACCAAATGAACCTAACAGACACCCAAAACATTCTATTCAACAGCAGCAGAATACACATCCTTCTCAAGCACATACAGAACATTCTCTGGGACACTAGGATGTGTCAAAATACACAAATAAATGAATGCAATGCACCATATTAACAGAATGAAGAACAAAATCATGTGATCAAAAATGTCATGATCATCTCAATAGATACAGAAAAGGCTAACATCATACTTAATCATGAAAAACTGAAAGTTTATTCTCTAAGGTCAGGAACTAGGCAAGGATGCCCACTTTCATTACTTGTTTGAATGCCGGGGCAATTAAACAAGCATAAGAAATTGGATAGTAAGAAGTAAAAATGTCCCCTAATTTTCTATCAGCAGGAAGTAGGCTGAGAAAGTTAATGAGTTTTGACATGGGCTCTGCCTCCAACATCTTACTCTCCCCTGGAATTATCTCAATTTCCCTTCGTCATTGGTCTTTGGCAGCTTCCCACCACTCTCTCTGCAAACCAACACCCTCCCTTCCCCATCACTCATCATCACCATCATCATCACCTTCACCAACAGCCTCATCAAGCAGCAGCTTTCAGGGCCAGGCACAGTGGCTCATGCCTGTAATCCCAGCACTTTGGGAGGCCAAGGTGGGTGGATCACGAGGTCAGGAGTTCAAGACCAGCCTGGCCAAGATGTTGAAACCCCGTCTCTCTAAAAATACAAAAAATTAACTGGGCATGGTGGCACATGCCTGTAATCCCAGCTACTCAGGAGGCTGAGGCAGAGAATTGCTTAAACCCAGGAGGCAGAAGTTGCAGTAAGCCAGGATCACACCACTGCACTCCAGGCTGGGCGACAGAGCGTGGATTTTCCAACCCAAGAGAAGTCACAGAAAGTACACAAATGCATTCATGTGTAGATGACAATAAGTAAACCATCATCTAGGACAGAGACAAGAAGCTGTAGAAAAAGAGTTACTCAGTGTGTCCTGGGAAAACAGACACAGTGCACACCAAGCAATGCTAACAAAACAATGCAGTAGCTACAGATTCAACATGGGAAGCCCCAGAAGGAGCAGACACCTGTGGAGCACAGAGATCTTTGAGAGCTTCCTTAAGGGAAGAAATTAGCAGTGCCTTTAAGACAGATATTATTGAAAAAGACATCCACAGTCATTTGATAATTATTTAAGGAGTGTCTGCAGTGAGCCAGGTGCTACGCTACACAATGAGTAAAACAATAATCGTAAATATGAATAATGCTGCCTTGTCTTTGTGTTGCACTTTGCAATTCATCATCCAGTCAGGAATGACAATCTGAACATCAGGACAGAAAAGAAAAGGGACAAGCAGGAACTAGAATTGCTTAAACACCTCAGTGTCCCTAGCACCACACTGGTATTTTGCAGTGGCAGTTCAAATGCCATTTGAATTTAAGGTTGAGGCTTGATTTAAGGTTAAATCAAAAGAGAAACTAGGTGACCGACCAAGTCACTCATAGAGCTTGTGCTGGTAGAGTTCGGAACTGAATAAGATCCTTCAAAGCCAAAGCTCTGTTGAGGAATCTGGAGGTAGTCAGGGTCTGGTTTAAACAGAGCCCTGGGAAGGGTTGGGATTGGGTAAGGAGGAAAGGAAGAGAAGGAGAGAGGGAGAGAGATCAGTCAACAGGAAGGAATCAGGGCCATTTTCTACAGGAGTATACTCATTCCTCCAAAGAGCATCTATCTCCCAGGGGAGCACTGTTGCCATGACTAGTTAGCACCTGGAGCATTTTTCCAGTTCAAAGGTATTCTTTCCTATAATAACCAATTAGCACCTGTCACAGTCATTTTCCTGACCAGTTGATGAGGATTGAGGTTCTGGCAGGCTGGAGATTTCACTAAAGCCCTTTGGTTAATAACGGTGATATTCAGAGCAGAACTAATAGCTCATGCTTGGAATGGATTCTCTCTTTTATGTGACCAGATTCTCCCAGGACCTGCATAGTTTGATTTTTCTGTGCCCAAGAACTTTAACAAGCTATTGTTAGCCAGTAATAACTTTTGGAGCCCCCCTGGCCAGAAAGCAGAACAGTTCATCACTGAACAATACAGCTGATTTATTTTATTATTAAGGGAGTTTGTAAGAGGACAATTCATGTTTCCTCTGCTCTTAGGTGATTCTCAGAGTCTGCCATCCTTCTCAATATTGCCACATTGACTCCCATTGCTGCAGAGCTTATGCTGTGCAGAGTCCCATCCAGGACCCAAATTGCAGAGACGGTAGCCAAAGTGTGGGCTATGCAGGGAATGCAGTGTCCTTGGCTTTCTACCCATAAATGAGAACCTCATCATTATAGAGGGCTGTCCCCGCCCAGGTCACATTGGCGCCTCTCTCTTTATGCACATGTATCACAGCACCTGCAAGACTAGATCGCATGGATTTGTTTCATTGTGAGTCTCTTCTACACAACTGTGCATCTGTTCATGCCAAAGGTTCTGTGTGATTTAACTTTTGGACCAAACCCAAACCTGGATCCCAACCCTCAGTAATAATGACTGGGGTTAGCACAGCTAATTTGCTTACCCAACATCTGTTGTCTGGTTTCCTGACAACAGCACCTCAATTTTCTTTGGGAGAATCATCCTTTATTGGGTGGAGTTAACTTTCTCCTGGGCAGCAGGGTAGAAACAGGACACTGATGTGGTCTCTCCAGTTCACAGTGATTGGTCAGGCCTGGGCACACCACCCAATTCATGCCAAGGAGAGAAAAGGCCATTTTTTCTGCAATTATTGGGAAAGAAATCTCTTTCCATGGAGATTCCTAATTTGGCAAGATATAAGCCTGAACTACTGGTGAACATTTGTATCATACACACAGAGAATCTGACTAATGATTAAGAAAGATAGAGGAAAAAAATCTTGGAGACATAGTCAGAATTATAAGGACATTGTTTGAGCTTCTAGAACCATCTCTTCCTGAAGCCACTGCCCTTTGGCTCTTAGATACACTCATCATCCTTTGCAGCATCCTTCCATTCTGAAAATAACTCAATGAGCTAAGTGCTCTGCAAGTAAGGAAAAATAGGCTTAAACTGTTTAGCACTTTCCCCAAAACAGTAGCATAGTATAATGGTCAATTAGTGTCTGTTAAATTGTTAAGTTACTAATTTACTTAGCTGAAAAGCAACAGCTCTCATTTAATTCACTTTGCAGCCAGCCATATGAGAAAAAGGGGCCCTGTGCTCTTGCATTGTGGTTTCTTTTCTGGTTTCTCCCTGCCTGACCCTCTCGTGGACCTGTGATGTTCAGTGGCTTTATTATTCATCCACTGCACATTGAATCTCTGCTCGGGAAAGCATCTAAATTCTGTTAACCACCAGCCTTGCTCAGCACCACACTTTGCTAAAATGCACATCCGTTCCCTACCCTGCCTCTCCCTAACTTATATACTGGGGCACCATGAGGTCAGCATCTTATAAGAGGAAGCCCGTTTCCCTCTCATTGGCCTGTCCCTTTTCCAGTCCTGATGCTGGTTCCCTTCATGGCATCCCCTCCCACTCCTGTTCTCCCATCCCTTGGGTCAGGAGTCAAGCAATCCTGACAGAGACCAGCTGAGTGGAAAGGTTGGGAACAGCTTCCATGGGGCTGGAGCTGGAGTGTGTTTCATTCCAGCCACGAAAACATGGGGTCCAAAGACCTTGAGGAGACAGAGTCAGCATCTACAGGGGAGAGACAAGCTTCAGGGACCAGCGCAGAGGAGCAGAGGCCAGTGTCATGGTTTGGTTAGGGGAGACTGAGGCCAGGGTGGAAACACCCCAGATACACCTGAGGATAGGAACGGGGAACAAACAGTCCTGGGCAACTGCTAGGAGTGACTTGAGGGCAGCAAGACGCATGATGATGAGCAGACACTGGATGCGGCCCATCATCTGCTGTGTAGCCTTGAGCTCATTAATCACTCTCTGTGGCCCACTTCCCTGGTCTATCAAACATGGCTAATGATGATGCCTACAGATTGTCTCTTCTGAGGTTGTTGAGAGACTTAAAAAGAGCCAGAACATGGAATGTGCTAGGATATGGTGGTACTCAATGACAGATAGACACGGCCATCAGCGCTGTGGTGATTATGTCCCACAGCTCTGTGTCTGGTCTCTAGATTACCCAAATGACATCAGTAGCATCCAGCAAGTCAGAAGTCTCCCCAGATAAACCTAATCCCTTCTGTCTCTCCTTTTTTTTTTTTTGTTTTGTTTTTTGCTTGAAACTCACTCCTCTGTCATAAGCCACATGTTGCTCCTGCAAGAACAACCTGGGCTTCTCCCATCATGCATGACAAATCACTTCCAGGATCCAGCCCAGCCTGTGAGACCCCAGCCAGCATGGCCCACCAGGATGGCTCTTCCACAAAACGGAGATCCATTTGGAAATGGAAGAAGACTCACCAACCACTTCAGGCCCACCAATGCAGTGCTTTCCCAGAGGAACTTGCAACTTAACAGCATAAGGGACTTGACATAAAGGCTATTTCCACTGTTGTTTCCTGAGACCAGGGAAGCATTTTGGTTTTCAGCTTCCACGTATTTCTCACTTTCAGGTTTTTCTACTGTGAACACCAGCACTTTATTCCCCTGAGTAAAGGAGCAATTTTATGCTCTAAAGGACCTATCTAGAGCTGGATGAAGAAGGAGCTACTGAGTCAGGATTAGATCATGCTCCTCTGTGAGTGTGAGTGTGTTTAGTTGAGGTCCCTTTCTCATAGAAATTACATATTCTACATATTGTCTGTGTGATATATGTGTGGACTGGCAAATAGGAGCATGTCTACATTAGTACAGCTGGATTTAGCACAATACTATTAAAATGGAATTGGCCACATATTTATGCATGCATCCAGTCATGCTGGGACCAGAAGGCTTACTAACTAGTCCTGTTTCTACCCTGCTGCCCAGGAGAAAGGAAGGAGGCTTGTTTTGGCCAGGAAGGAAGGAAGGAAGGAAGGAAGGAAGGAAGGAAGGAAGGAGGGAGGGAGGGAGGGAGGGAGGGAGGGAGGGAGGGAGGGAGGGAAGGAGGGAAGGAAGGAAGGAAGGAGGGAAGGAAGGAGGGAAGGAAGGAAGTCAGTCAGTCTCAGGTTGTCACCTGTACTTCTGGCCAATCCACTATAAATTGGAGATTCCCACAACTCCCTCCTCAGGTTCTATTATTTGCTAGAACTGCCACAGAACTCAGGGAAGCACTTTCTTAGATTTACTCGTTCATTTTAAAGGATATTACAAAGAATATCCAGATGAAGAGGTACACAGGGCAAGCCATGGAAGAGTCGTAAGCACAGCAGCTTCTGTGCCCCTGAAGTTTGGGGCTCACCATCCTCCATGCACATGGGATGTGTTCTTGTTCACCAGCCTGGAAGCCCACTGACCCCCATATTTTAGAGATTTATATAGAGGCTTCATCAAGTAGGCATAATCAAATTTTAACTCCATTTTTAGCTCCTCTCCCCTCCCTGGAGAATGGGGGTTGGGGCCTAGGACCAAAAGTTCCAATCTAATCACAGTTTGGTCTTCTAGCAATCAGCCCCCATTCTAAAGCTATCCAGGAGCTTACCGAGAGTCACCTCATTAGAACTGAGGTCAGGGGTTTGAGACCAGCCTGGCCAGCATGGCGAAACCCCGTCTCTACTAAAAATACAAAAATTAGCTGGGTGAGGTGGCGGGCTCCTGGAATTCCAGCTACTTGGGAGGCTGAGGCGGGAGAATCGCTTGAACCTAGGAGGTAGAAGTTGCAGTGAGCCAAGATTATGCCACTGCACTCCAGCCTGGGCAGCAGAGTGAAACTCTGTATCAATAAGAAAAAAAAAAAAAGATTCTCCTATCACCCAGGAAATTCCACAGGTTTTAGGAGTTCTGTGCCAGGAGCCAGGGCAGAAACCAAATATATGTATTTTTTTATTATAAATTATGATATCACACACATACAATCCTTTAATCCTTAGATTCTTTGTCTCAATTTCTTCTCAGGTAATTAACTTCATGAAAAGCTTCACTCAAAATGTTAACCCCCACCACCATAAACCATTGTGTGTTATCCCTTGAAGCCCTCAAAAAATACCCATTATTTTATGGACCACACCATAAAGCATTCATAGAAAAAGGATTTTGCAGTGTTATAAAAAAGAAGGGAAAGGAATCTATAGTCATCAAATTACAGGTTATATATCTTGCTGAGATATGTATATTCTTCATATTGAAGAAAATGCTAAAAGCCTGGACATGTGAAGTGACCTTAGAAAAATAAAATGTTTTTATTTTGTATATTTTGTATTTTTCAAGCCAACAACTCTTCATTTTCTCTACAGAATCTTTTTTTTTAAGAGTAAATGTCTTTGTATATTTTTTTTTTCATTTTACAGGAACTAACTCTAATTCTACCTTCTTTCAGATCTTGGTTTACTGTTAAAAATAAATGCCTTTCTTTAAAGTAACCTCCCACCTTTTGTGCCGTGCTTGGAAAAGGAAAGAAGAAAGTTGGCTATAAAGAAAACAAAGACTTTGCCTGGCATGAGGTGGGGATGATTTAAAATGCTTCCACCCAATTGAGAAGGAAACCTATGGCCCTTTAAAGCTGAACTCCTGGAACCTGCATTTCACATAATTGGAATCAGTGTGAATATCACACGCAGCAAAATGAGAAAATGTCACTGACTCATCCTTCTTCAGTGAAGAAATGCTTGCCTTTCTTTCTAAAGGCTTGAAAAGGACCCGCTCAGCAGAGAGCAATTTTTTTCTCCATTCTCTTACTTTTGAGTCCTATTTTCCTATACCCTTGCAGAAAAGAAGCCTCAAATCAGAAAAAGATACGGAGCAGTATTGCCTCTGCATTTTCTTTATAAAAGTCCATTCATAAAATACCAGAGGACACCTTCTGCATTAATGAGAGTATTGCCTACAACTGAACCTCATAGTGAGGAATGAGCAAGTGAGGGTGCAGGGTTGCCCTGGGGTGAGGCTTGTTTTGGCCAGGACCATGCCCTCTGACAGCTCCCTGAGTGACAGTTAAAACTTTAAAATCCATAAGGTGACTCACAGCTCAGTGCGCATATGAGAAGGGTGGCTCAGGAAGCCAACTTCCCAGGTTTAATTTGGTTTCACTTCTAGTTTCCAGATAACATATGGAATGCCCAGTTAAATTTGAATTTCAGATAAACAACAAACGTTGTGCGGGATGCACTCAAACGGTCAGCCCTCAGTATCTGTGAGTTCTGTATCCATGGATTCAACAAATCATGGATGGAAAATACTCAGAAAAAAAATAACGATACAATAAAAAATATTACAAACAAAAAATACAGGCTAACAACTATTTACGTAGCATTCACATTGTATTAGGTATTATAAGTAGTGGAGACATGATTTGAAGTATACGGGGAGATGTGCATAAGTTATGCACAGATACCACACCGCTGCCTATCAAGGTCTTGAGCATCTGTGGATTTTGGTATCAGTGAGGGGGTGGTTAGTGGCAGGAGGCGGTCATAGATCCATTCCCCATCGATATCAAGAAAGGACTGCAGTAGAAAGTTATACATTGTTATAAACGTCATATGGCTAAATCTGACAACACTAGTTTGCCAATCATTTGCTGTATGACCTTAACGTCTCCATGCCTTGATTTCCTCACAGGGATAATATCCCCAAGTAGAGATAACAATAACAATGCTCTCATGAGAGGGTTGTTACAAAGATTAACTGAGTTCATGTTTGCAAAGTACCAGAATGGTACTTTGGCATGTCGTAAGTATTACCTAGATGTTCATTAACAAAAATGTAAAATGTATTTGTGGAAAAAATAAAAATCTGAGGCCAGATCAGACGAACAGAGACTTCAGCTTTACAAATTAATGCATCTTAGTCTTAGCATCTTTGAGACTGGCAGATGGATCGGCTGAAAGGCTTAAGCCATGGCAGAGCTGAACTTGCAACCAACAAGCACTAGTAGTGGTGAATGCCCCAGAGCTGGAGCCACAAGAGCCATAAAAATAGTCCTTGAGCCATCAATGCCCTCTCACCCCGCCAACTCACCAAAAGTGGTTTGTCCTGGTTGAGAGCAAAGCCCCATCAAAATTGGTTCTTACAAAGGGAAAGAGGGAGAGTTAGCCTAGAAAGGTGTTTGAATTTGAGGTTTAGTTTTTTAAGGATGAAAATGGAAATATGGGAGAAAGAGCAAAGATGTTATTGGATTAAGATGGTGTCTATGGTTCTTTTGTCTGGATCTTCTCAAGGGGTGCACATAGTGCCCCGAGTGGCTGCGGAACCCAAAATGCTTGGAGTTCTAAGGGCCATAATGGACAGGGAAGAGTGAGACATCATCTCTGACCTTTTAATCCAGCCTGCTGGCCATTGCTGCAAGATCAATACATTACTGTTCCCAAACTACACCTTCAAATAAGCAGTGACATAGTCCCATCCCTGGGAATGAACAGTTAGGGGTATTGTGGGATCGTAGCCGAGAAAATACCATGTGTCACGAGTCAGAGGCAGCAACAGGACAGAAATAGGAGAGTGGGCAGCCTCCTCACTGGCCAGGAGGACTACAGACTCAGTGAAGTGGAGTAAGCAGCTGGTGGGGACATGTAAGTATTCGTTATTGCAGTCCTATATGGTGGCCCCGGAGGGCGCTTGGGCTTGGCTCCTGTTCACAGGACAGAGTCAGCCACAGCTGATGCAGGAAGCTAGGTAGACAAGACATTGGAATACTTGGTATTTTCCATTTAGCTTTCAATTGCTTCCTGCTGTGGACTGGGTTTTCCTTGTCTCCCCTGCCCAACTTGCCTTGTTTAACCTTGTTAATTTCTATCAATTCTGGGAAGGGAAGGATGTCCTCATCCTTATGTCCATCCTGTGCTAATTCCTACTTTCATAACTCTCTGGGCTTGCTCTCTGACTGTGGAATGTGTGAAAGAAAATGCATCAAGGATCCAATAGGACTCTTAGCCCCTCCCAAGGTCTCCAGGATCTTGCCTTCAGGTGGGCTTCTCTGTGCCTGCCTGTGAGACAGGTGAGCCTGGGCCTCACTGGGTCAGGTGGTGGTGCTCCTCCCTCAGTTCTGACCTGTTCAGTCTTTCTGAGCTCTCCAAACGTTTCATGAGCATCTATCACATGTCTGGCCCAATGTCCAATACTGTAGGCTCAGTAACATGTGACCTAATATTTATCAGTGGCTTAGCATACGCCAAGCCTATAACGTACTTTATCTGCATTATTTCATTTTTGTTTTACAACAGATTTCTGAGGTAGATGTAATTATTGATCCTATTTACTGAACCCTGCTTTATAGGAGCTCATCAGCGAGGAGAAACAGCTAATAACAAAACACTGTGGATATTACATTCAGTCAAAGAAGTATCTGGGCACACTTGATTGGCAGCCCCTGCTGGGCATTGAGTTGTACAACATTGGACAAGACAGGCATAGTGTTGGGCCCCAGGTACCCCTGGGTCAGCAGGAGCAGATAAGCAAGGACAAAACAGCCACTGTGGGGGCCTTCCCGTGATTTGTGGAAAAACATCATAGGGCCAGGGTATCTCATCCAAGCTAAGAGTACATTTTCTGAAGAAAACAAGCATTCTAGTTTCTAATGACTGAGTGACAACCCTTCCCAACCTTGAAACAACAATGTCTTATTATCTCTAGTGGCTCTGAGGGTTCCCCAGGCTTGGCGGGCAGTCCTCGTCTTGCTTGGAATCTCTCCAGTCATTGCACTTCGATGCTGGACACAGCTGGAGATACCTGAGGTCTCGACCTGGCTGAACTCTGCGATGACTCCCTCACTCACAGCTCTGACCCTAGGCTGGCCAAGCATCCTCACCTGCGTGTGACCTCCCCACATGGCTGGCTGGACTCCTTCCGAGCACAGTGAAGGGAGGGGTACCTCTGCACGATGCCAACTGCCACCAGAACCTGCATTCCAAGACAGCATTTTAGAAAGTATAGGCATCCATGGCCTAGGTTGGAAGGCACTCAGAGGAGCATATGCCACATTCAGTGGGGTGTAAGTGAACCCCAAGCCAGCCAAGATTGAAGAAGGGGTGCAGCCTACAAAAGGCATGATTGCAAAGAGGCTGGTTCATCAGGTACCACGGGGACTCTCCACCACAGGAAGGGGCAGGGGGTGTGACTCGTGCATGAAAAAAAACCTGAGTTCCGGAGCAATTATAGGAAATGCTGTCATTCACCGAAGATCTACTCATTAGGCAACAGACACTTCACAGTTCTTATTTCTAGTAATAACAGAATAGTTTTAGAAATATAAAACATTCATATATTATACATAATAAAATACATTTCTAATTATGGCCTTCTTACATAGTAGGTATCACAACTTTTTGTTTTAAAAAGTGGAAACTCAGATTCAGAGAACTGGAGTGACTGGGCTCACATTTCCTTGTGAGCAGCCACAGTGGGATCTGAAACTGAAACAAGGTGAGTTTGACTCAAGCCACACAGAGGTCACCTCTGCCTCAGTGATCAGCAAATCATTCTTAAAGGAGGTGATGCCTGGCTGGGCACGGTGGCTCAGGCCTGTAATCCCAGCACTTTGGGAGACCAAGGCGGGTGGATCACCTGAGGTCAGGAGTTCAAGACCAGCCTGGCCAACATGATGAAACCCTGTCTCTACTAAAAATACCAAAATTAGCTAGACGTGGTGGCAGGGACCTGTAATCTCAGCTACTTGGGAGGCTGAGGCAGGAGAATTGCTGGAACACGGGAAGCAGAGGTTGCAGTGAGCTGAGATCTCACCATTGCACTCCAAATTCCGGGCGACAAAAGCAAGACTCTGTCTAAAAAAAAAAAAAAAAAAAAGAAATAGGAAAACTGCATTTGAACAATTCCTGGTTTAGAGTCTTTACTCTGCTCTTGTTGCTAAGGTAGGAAGTGCAGGGCCTAGGTGGAGCTTAGGGTGCACAGGAAGGCAAGGAAAGCTCCTGGAGGGCGATGCACTCCAGGCCACATCACAGAGTCTCCATCCGTAGCAGCTGAGAGTCAGAGGACGATTTTGAGTAGGCAGGTAGCATACTCTAGTCCTCTAGGCCTTCCTGGAGAGGTGTGAAGGTCTAAGCTCAGTGGGATCCAAGCTCTTCTCTTGATAGACAGAGGGACAGCCCTCTGCTGTGGCTGAACAGACTGACCTGGAAGGCAGCAAGTGTGCTCAGTCATAACACCTCCTCATGTGTTTAGCACCAAACCTGCCACACATTGGGTGACGATTGAATAATGGATGGATGGAGGCTTTATATAAATAAAAATTAACATCATTGGCGGCTTTTAAGAAAGAAACCTGCGGACAAAATCCTGCATTGTCCTTTCCTATGAGGCCAACCAGAGCCATCCACTGCCTCTGCTTGAAGTGCTGTGTGATCACATGGCCAAGCTCCGTGCCTCTCTTTCTGACTTTCTCTGCTTGCATCAGACCCTCCTAGGTTGGCTGCAGCTGTTGCCTATGCCAGCAGCCTGCCTTGAGGTTCTCTGTGTTTTTCTGCCTCCCCTCTCTTCTCAGGACACACAGTCCTCCTGGACAATGGCCCTCAACCCTTTGGTTAGCCACCACTGTGAGCTACTGAAGGACACTTCTCAAGTTGATATCCCCAACCCTGACTCTTCTCCTTGTCTCTTCCTCCTGAGGTCTCAAATGCACTACCCAAATCTGAATTCATTGTCTCCCCCAAAATCTTAATGGGTTCTTCTTAGCTGAGACTATGGTGCCACCATCTAGTAAGTCAGGAATCTGACAGCTAGTCTCAGCTCTCCGGTTTGATTTGCTATCACATGACATTAGTCATGGAGTCACAGCACTTTTGCCTTCACTTGCCCTCTCCTGGCCAGTGGTCCCACCACTCATCACCCTCCATACACCCTCATCACTTTGCAGCAGCCTCTCTCCTGGTTTCTCTGGCTCCAGGTTCGACCCTCTGCTTCGTCTCCAAATGATATCCTTCTGAAAGGCAGACTCTCTCATACCACTCCAAGATTCAGTAGTTTAATATTGTCATGCTAAAGCTCTGTAGAATAATTTTTGCTCATGACCAATGCCCACCATTCTCCCTGCACACACCTGTTTGCTTGGGCCTCCTACAAATCCTCAGATGCTACTCCTCCAGCCCCCTCAGATCCAGCCTGACTTGCTTTTAAGCCTCTGTACCCTCTGTTCCCTGATTCCTTCTACTGGGAATAATCCTCCCTCTCTCAAATCCTGGGTGAATACGCAACCCTTCAAGAAGCACCTTTGGGAGGCCGAGACAGGTGGATCAGGAGGTCAGGAGTTCGAGACCAGCCTGACCAACATGGTGAAACCCCGTCTCTACTAAAAATACAAAAATTAGTTGGGCATGATGACGTGCGCCTATAATCCCAGCTACTCAGGAGGCTGAAGCAGGAGAATCTCTTGAACCCAGGAGGCGGAGTTTTCAGCAAACCAAGATCACACCACTGCACTCCAGCCTGGGCGACAGAGCAAGACTCTGTCTAAAAAAAAAAAAAAAAAAAAGAAGCACTTTCAGCAGTGGAAGTCAGTGTTGCCCTCCTCCCTGCCCCACTCTATGTTGTGATCACAGTACCTTCAAATCAATTGACGGTGACAAGAGATACCTTTGCCTGTCAGAGCCATCCAGAGAAGTCAAGAAAATCCCATTCGAAAAGAATTACTTTCCAGCCTGTTTCTTAATTCCTAAAACACCTTTCCCATTCACACACTTGCCCTTATAGAAGGAAGTCCATGACTTACATCCATGCCTATGGGTGCAAAATAACCTTTGCTGTAAGCAACCTTGGCGGATGCAGGGAACAGGGACACTGCAGGTGCTCAGAGAAGGGTACAGAATGCAAAGATTGGTCATTGCAGGTGTGCTCAAGGCCACACTGGGTGCTTTCTCACCTTCGAAGCCCATCATACCAAGCCCAGGGCTGAGCTTGCTATGGATGCCCAGCCACATTATACAGTGTGATAAAACTGTTAAACTGCAAACCACACACCTTCTATTCCCAGGGCAGGATACCCCAGCCACTGGAATTTTATCTGTAAAGAGATCCCCTGCTGGCCTGTTACCATTGCTCAGGGTGCCTCATTTCCAACCCACGTGTCCAAGGATCCCTGTTCCAAATACTCCAGCAAGGGTGAGGGATCCTGGGGAACTGGCATTTGGTAAAAGTAGATTCTATTCCTTCACACTCCACTAGGCACTATCAACAAGCACTGTCTCATTTAAGCCTCTCTCAATTTGAAATGTGCTTATCTGCCATTATTCAGGGAACCACAAAGGTTAACCGACTTATTATCATCACATGACTTGTGACCTAGCCAGACGCCAGCCCAGGTCTCTGGGACTCCAGGCATCAAGTTGATCCTACTCTGCCACGCACGCCTCTCTGACTTGGTACCTGACGCCACAGAATATTCATTCCAGCTCCCTGTGACCTTTTCTACATTAACTTTCTTCTAGCTTCAGCAATGATGCTATTACAGATTTCTATTATTTGCAGATACTCACTGTGGGTGATTTCTCTAGAAAAAACACCCTGTCTCTGCTATGATAAGGTATGTGTACCAAAAGCTTGCGATTTGCTTTTTCACCTTTCTTTGTCTTTTGACAGTGGATATTTTTCTAAGCCCCACTTTTCTGCTTGTATTAACAGCATCTTATTTTTAGAAAATTACTTCTTAGGGTTCTTCTGATGCACCAGAAGCCTGTCCTCTCAAATGTGATTTCCATTACACCATCTTTCCAAAAGATGTGAAAGGGCAGGAGATAAGTAGTAGTTTGAAGTGCCAGAAAGAATCCTTTAATTGAGCAACAAAAGAGGAGGTTTTGATGCACTCCTCAAGCACAGAGTCCAGAAAACGAGAAGCTGGGGCATTTGCAAAGAAAAAAAAAGCCAAGTCGGTTCCTCACAAGCAGCCACTGGGGAGGAAATCTCAGTTTTGCAGAGGAATGAGGAGTGGAAAGGTGCCCTAGAAAAATACCT
Source organism: Homo sapiens (assembly GCF_000001405.40). Taxonomy (NCBI): domain Eukaryota; kingdom Metazoa; phylum Chordata; class Mammalia; order Primates; family Hominidae; genus Homo; species Homo sapiens. The sequence continues at coordinate 126,471,415 of NC_000002.12, forward strand.
GGAAGAAGGTTCTGGGAACCCAGATTAGCTGGCATTTCCAGTATTCCCCATGAGTCAATAAAATCCAGAATCCGTGAAAGTGCTTTTATGGATAGGTGGGGGTGATAGAAACCTCTGTAGGTATCCATTTAGCTATTTTTAGATTTTTTCTATTTTTATATTACATTACGAATCAAGATTTCAAGATATTTATGAGGATACGCACTATACAAGCAAAAGGACTGAGCATTATGTGTGTCACACATAGGGGCTTAATAAATATGAGTTTGAGTGAATGAATGAATTAATTAATTAATGGAGATGACTGCAAGAAGAGACCAGGTGGTATGGATGGAAACCTAATGAACTGCCACACACTGAACCAATTTGGCTACCAACTTTTTGGAAGGCCAGTGTGGAAAGAAAAACAGGACCCTGGAATTTAGCCTTGATTCTCCTGCTGACCAATTTAGGGTCTGGGGCAGCTCCTCTCTGGGTGTCGATTTCTTTACTCATTGCACAACACTCCTGTGAGCCTCTGGCAGGTGGGACCTGCCCCCCATCCTCATCTTCCCCATCAGAAGTGGCTCCAAGTCCCTCGGTAAATGTTTGTTGAATGAATACTCTCCATTCATTTTACAGCCAAGCCTTCTGTCTGACATACTTCACACAATTTACATTGTCCCTTCCCCTTCATGACACTGACCACAGTGTAGAGCCCGCCTCCCCTGCGGATGAGATGGGACGGGACACCCAGCACCCATCACCCACTCACCGGGCCCTCCCCAGGCTCTGACTCAGGAGCTCCCCGTGGCACACACCTCATGGCTCTTCTGCAGAAGCTGACATCTCCAAAGAGATGTGGAAAAGGACACTGGGACACGGATGCTGGAGCCACAAAGTGCTTTTCTGGGAAGCTGGGGGGAAAAGCCTTGGGAAAACACACCTCTTTAATAGTCCCTGAGTCCCTGATTCCTTTAGGATTGTTCTCCGTGCCCACCCACCAATAACTCGCTTGGCATGTGCTGAAATGGAATCACAGGGCCATCTAATGCCCACTAGTGTTAATGCCAACCTTGTTTTGAGAAGACGTCCCTTATTCAGTGGGATTTTACCCTATATTGTGGCTAAGAGAATATCCTAAAGACAGGTACTTCAACTTTCAGAATAAATTAATGTGTAGGAAAATAATCTATATACAACACTCTTTTTTGCATCTGCATTCTCTGATTGCAAATTCTAACTACAAACTAGAGATATGTCCTTCTGGGAAACCTTTTGATCTGGAGACCACACTTATGCACACAAACAACTTATTGATGTACACACATCTGAGGGGAAAGCATTTCCTAATAAATGATTAATAACACTCAAAGCTAACTGTTCAATGGGAATGAAAAAGAGCTAGGCTTCTTTTTCATATTTGCCAGAAGAGCTTAGCTATATAAAAATGGAATAAAAACAAACAAGGTTGTCAATTAAACTAAGCAAAATATTTGAATGTTATAATTTCCCCAGGTTTTTCTCCAATTACCTTTTTAAATCTCTCAAGCAAGAGACGTGACACTTCATTTGGTGACAGAATAGCAGTCCATCAAACCAGCATTGGAACACTCCTGGAAATGGGTGCATACCCACAACTGGGTCTTTCTCTCTCTCCCTGGCATATATATATACTCTCAACTCATGACAGTATGAGGAGAATCTAGGGATCATGTTCATTAAGATACAACAAATGCCTTTAGGGAATGTAGAGCAAATCGGTTCACTTACAAATTCTTTGACTCTTTTTCCCAGGCATCTTCTGTGGCCAACACTAAATGAGTGAAGAAATATGTATCAATAGTGGAAAAACTATGAAACTGTGGCAGAGCCAACAGGAAGTAGAGCAGGGAAGGAGAGGGAAGGAGCTATGTATTTAAGAAAAAATAGAAAAGGTCTCACTACCCTGAGTCTTCAGCCTGAAACCAAGAAGATGGAGCCCCAGGGCTGTGGAGAGCTGTGATGTAAAGACTGGAGAATATAGCATGCAAATAGGTCCAAACTTCAAGGACAATATTTGACATTCTAGGGACTACGTGACTTGAAGGGGTTTAGCAGCCACACACGACAAACTCATGTTTAGGTACTTACTACTACACACAAAGACACATATACACACACACAAATACATTAATATATATGTGTATACATATGTGTGTATGTATACATAATTTCATAGTTATGGCACGCAGCTTGTAGAAAGTTTTAAAATACTGAAAAATAAAATAATGAAAAAGGAAAGTCCCCTGTCATGACACTGTCTCTCAGTAGCATTTTGGGATATTTTGAGGTGGCTTCTTTTCCCATGTAGTTAGAAAATAGAAAAGTAGATTTAGAAAAATAAAATCTGACAAGTAGATAGTCTAATAGACAGAGATAATTTAAAGAGTGGAAAATATAGATATATCATTAGAGAAATGCAAATTAAAACCACAATGAGATATTATCTAACACCAGTTAGGATGGCTACAATCAAAAAGTCAAAAAATAACAGATGCTGGAAAGGTTGTGGAGAAAAAAGAATGCTTATACACTGTTGGTGGGAGTGTAAATTAGTTCAGTCATTGTGGAAGACAGTGTGGCAGTTCCTCAAAGACCTAAAGACAGAAATACCATTTGACTCAGCAATCCCATTACTGGGTATATTCCCAAAGGAATACAAATCATTCTATTATAAAGACAAACGCTTGTGTACATTCATTGAAGCACTATTCACAATAGCACAGACGTGGGGTCAACCTAATTGTTCATCAGTAATAGACTGGGTAAAGAAAAAGTGGTACATATACACCATGGAATACTATGCAACCATAAAAAAGAATGAGATCATGTCCTTTGCAGGGACATGGAAGGAGCTATAGGCCATTATCCTTAGCAAACTAACACAGGAACAGAAAACCAAATACCACAAGTTCTCACTTATAAGTGGGAGCTAAATGATGAAAACACATGGACACATAGAGAGGAACAACACACACTGGGGGTATCAGAGAGTGGAGCATGGAAGGAGGGAGAGGATTAGGAAAAACAATTAATGGGTACTAGGCTTAAAAACTGGGTAATGAAATAATCTGTACAACAAACCCCCATGACACAAATTTACCTATGTAACAAACCTGTACTTGTACCCCTGAACTAAAAATCAAAGTTTAAAAAATATAGACATATATTACAAATGTAAAGGCACATATTAACATATATGTTAAAAATCATGCTGTGTCCATCATTTTATATTCTGCTTTTTTCCATTTCTTATACAATGTATTTTTCCTTGCTATTAAATAGTCTTGGAAATAGAATTCTTAAGGGCTGATTGTATTTCTACATTTGGATATGATTTAATTTATTTACTATCCTATTGTGAATCATTTTACATTATATAGTATAGAATATAGTATATGATGTATAATATATAATATAATATATAAATATATTATAAACATAATATAAAGCCCTTTATATTATACATATAATTATATTATAAATATTTATATTATATATAAATATTATAAATAAGTCCTTTATATTATAAATATATTATAAATATAATATAAAGCCCTTTATATTATAAATATAAAGCCCTTTATATTTTAAATATTATATTATAAATATAATATATAAAAATTTATATATTATAAATATAAATATATTTATATTATAAATATATAAATTTATATCTAACATATTATATAAAGCCCTATTTGAATATGTTAGAGAGCCAGAAAGTTAGAGATAGTTTTTACAGCCAAGATTTGGAAGAGGGATGTCAAGAAAAGCAAGCTCAATATTTGGCACGACTTCTCCCCTTAAGTGATTGCCAATTTTAAAAATAGCTAAAGAGTAGCTGGGAGGCTGAATGGGGGCTTTATCCATGCTGTCGGTTTGAGGGTACCTGAACTGGAGACCAGAGCCTGCCGAGGACAAGATTGGCAAACAGCACAGGATTTGCACTGGGTGTTGTAAGAGCTATGCCCTTGAAATAAGACAAAATTAGAAGGAGACATGAACCCCAAGTTTTAATCATCTTAATCCCTAATTTGATTAAGGCTTTTTACCCCTAGCCAGCTACTTGCAAGGGCAAACAGATCTTCTATGAATAAAAATAACATTATTAAGAGCTCCAAATTATCTTTAGACATTTTCAAATACAAGGTCCAACCTTAAAGCAAAAATTATTATGCACATAACAATATAGGACTTGACAAAAACAACAAAAACAGACAATAGACACAAGGACAAGAAATTCAATAGACCAGAGGGCTATAGGAGGAGTGGTTGAGAATATTAAAAAATGGACAAAATGCATCCAGCTTCAGATTGAAAGACATAAATGTTATGAGCTGAATATTTGGGACTCTCCAAAATTCATGTGTTGAAACTCTAGCCCCCAATGTAATGGTATTAGAAGGTGAGGCCCTTTGAGAGGTGATTAGATTTAGATGAGGTCTTGAGGAATTAATTAGTGTCATAAAGTCCTCATAAAGGAATTAGAAAAACACCAGAGCTTTTTTTTCTCTGCTATATGAGGGCACAGTGAGAGGGTGGCCATCTACGAGCTAGAAGAGAGTGTCACCAGGAACCAAATCTGTGGGGACCTTGACCTTGGACTTTCCAGACTCTTCAACTGTGAGAACTGAACATCTGTTATTTAGACCACTCAGTCTATGGCATTTTGTTACATCAACCCAAAGTGACCAAAACAATAAGAAAAAGTCAGATCTAGGTACATCATAATAAGAATAATGAAAACCAAAGACTATGAGAATAAGACATATGACCTTCAAAGAGTAACAATAAAATTGAGAGCTAACTTCTGTATACAAAGTATGGAAGTCAGAAGCCAGTGAACATGGAATTCTATGTTAAAGTTATGGGATGGGGTAAAGAGAACTGCCAAATAGGAATTCTATATCAAACAAGATATCCTTGAGAACAAAGATAAAATAGACATTTTTACCAAACGTGAAAAAGAGAATTTATCATGAGCAGACATGCACTAAAGGAGATATTAAAGGAAATACTTTGGGACAAATGAAAATTATGTCTGTTTGAAGTTTAGACATTCAGGAAGGATGAAGAAATGGGAAATAGGCAGGTAACTCTAAATAAATAATGACAAGATAAGATAATGTTAATGATAAAAAATGGAGTATTAAAATACACTGAAAAGTGACACAAAAAGTGAGAGACGGTGAACAAAGTTAAAGTGTTCTGACATTGTTACTTATCAAGAAAGCAATAAAAAGAAAACACCTAATACTTTAATATGTTAAGGGTTCATGTTGTAATATTTAGACTCGCCACTTCAAAAGCCAGGCACCGTTATAAGAGTTTTCACTGCTAGGTAATTTCTGTGGATTTCAGAGCCTGATTGACAGGGCAGCGTTCCCAGGCACCAGAGGCAACTAGGGAAGCTTGAGTGTTCAGGACAATGAAGACAATTCACTTATCAATAGCTTATCCTGGACGTCCCCTACTTTGACTAACAACAAATGCCAGCAGTGCATCCCAGGCCCTGCCAGATGCAAGCTGCACAGACACAGGAGATTGTCAATGTGAATTTCAACTCCACAGGTGCACCCAAAAGTAGGAATTATCTAGTATTTAGTGGAAAGTCAAAAGTTCGGGTAAGTAAAAGCAAACTCAACAAACAAAAGAACTTAATCCATACAAACAAAACAAACAAATATGCTCACAACCATAAGAAAAATAATCATAAGAGAAAATCTACTAGAAATCATAAAAATTTAAATTATGTTTACTAAAAAAAAATATCTCAGATGAAGAGTAGAATAAACACAGCCGAAAGCAAAGAATGAACCGGATGCCTGCGGAATACACGCTGAACATAGCACGAATGATAGAAATATGAAAAGTATGTAAAGAAACATCATAAAAATGAAAATAAACCACAAATTTCAAGGTCCATCTAAAAGAAGATTGAAGAGGAATGAATAGAAAATAATCCCTAATGAAAGAAATACTGATAAAGCGCTCCATATCTGACAGTAAGCAAAAAACCAGAAAAGCCTTTCCATGGTAAATCATGCAAAAGTCTTGGATTAAATATAATACAAATAATGTTGAAAAATGCCACCTACTCTTAAAAAAATGAAAGAAAAGTGCTGAAGTCAAAACCAACCAGGGAACTATGAGGACACTGAAGTTGTGGCTGCCCTCAGCTCATGCATCTTCTGTAATGTGGATGTTGGGTTTGAAAGGGCACATAAAAAGGCTTTCAAGTAGTGCAAAATGGAACTTGGGGACTGTGATTCTAGCATCAGTACAGGTCCTGCAAATGGTTTTGAATGCAGGGAAGGGTGGACTACAGAAATTCTATCTTCTGAAATGAAAAACAAATAAAAAAGCAAATCCATCTCAAAATAGACTGAGGATGGAAAAGAATGTCTCCTCTGAGCTTTTTTTCTTTTTTTGAGACGGAGTCTCACTCTGTCTCCCAGGCTGGAGTGCAGTGGCGCGATCTCGGCTCACTGCAAGCTCCGCCTCCCGGGTTCCCGCTATTCTCCTGCCTCAGCCTCCCGAGTAGCTGGGACTACAGGCGCGTGCCACCACGCCAGGCTATTTTTTTTTTTTTCGTATTTTTTCATAGAGACGTGGGGTTTCACCGTGTTAGCCAGGATGGTCTCCAACTCCTGACCTCGTGATCTGCCCACCTCTGCCTTCCTCTGAGCTTTTTCAGTCACGGGCTTGGAGTGCAAATTTACATTCTTACATGATTGATGTGATGCCACCATAATTGAAGATAACTTAATTTTAAGTAATCCTTGCTTAGTAGCAGTCTGGGGCAACTAGCCAAAGCAACACAATTTTCCTCTGAGTGGAAGCCAGTCTTCACTGAATTTACAACAAGCATATGTAATCTGAAATTTGTCTTTGTGTCGTGTATGTGTGTGTGAGTGTGTGTGTTTTGAAGAAAGTCATCATAAATATACATAAGCAGAAACAACTGCCCAAAATTTCACATAATAGAGTTATCAAAACAGAACATAAAACAAGTATGAATAGAATAACCAAAGAAATAAAATAAATGCATTTTTAAAATGAGAAAAAAAAATGATGTCTAAACTATCAGCCAAATACCACTGCACACCAACCAGAATGGCTCAGATGTTACAGAGCAGGGCTTCCCCAACCGCCAGGCCATGGACCAGTGCCAGTCCATGGCCTGTTAGGAACTGGGCCGCACAGCAGGAGGTGAGCATGGGCAAGTGAGTAAAGCTTCATTTGTAGTTACAGCTGCTCCCCATCACTTGAATTACCATCTGAGCTCCACCTCCTGTCAGATCAGCTGCGGCATTTGATTCTCACAGGAGCGTGAACCCTATTGTGAACTAGGCATGTGAGGGATCCAGGTTGTGCACTCCTTTTGAGAATCTAATGCCTGAAGATCTGAGGTGGAGCTGAGGCAGTGATGCTAGTGCTGGGGAGCAGCTGCAGATACAGATTAACGTTAGCAGAGAGGTTTGACTGCACAGAGACCATAATAAATCAATTGCTTACAGACTGATACAAAATCCTATCAGTGAGTGGCAAGTGACAATTAAGCCGCATCTGGTGACAGGCTTTATAGTGGCAAGACTCACTTGGTGTACTTCAATTGTACAGCTGCATCTAGTGGCCTTAAAAGAATGTTTGGGACAACTTCAAATCTCCATACGTTCTGGATTAAAGTCAAGGTGGAATATCCTGAGACTGCCACAAAAGCAGTGAAAAGCCTGCTTCCATTTCCAATATCCTATCTTTATGAAGTGGGGTTTTCTGCAGTGACAGCAGCCAAAATGAGATTATGGAGTAAACTGGACATAAGCAACACACTTTGGGTGTCACAGTCTCCCATCACCCCCAGATGGGACTCTCTAGTTGCAGGAAAACAAGCTCAGGGCTCCCACTGTGATATGGTTTGGCTGTGTCCCCACCCAAATCTCATCTTGAATTGCAGCTCCCATAGTCCCCACATGTCATGGGAGGGAGCCAGTGGGAGGTAACTGAATCATGGGGGTAAGTTTTTCCTGTGCTGTTCTTGTGATAGTGAATAAGTCTCACCAGATCTGATGGTTTTATAAAGGACAGTTCCCCTGCACACGCTTTCTTGCCTGCCGCCATGTAAAGTGTGACTTTGCTTCTCCTTTGCCTTCCACCATGATTGTGAGGCCTCCCCAGCCATGTGGAACTGTAAGTCCATTAAACCTCTTTTTCTTTATAAATTACCCAGTCTCAGGTATGTCTTTATTAGCAGCATGAGAACAGACTAACACACTGATTCTACATTATGGTGAGTTGTATAATTATTTCATTACATATTACAATGAAATAATAATAGAAATAAAGTCCACAGTAAATGTAATGTGCTTGAATCATCCTGAAACCATTCCCTCACCACTCCACCACTGGTCTGTGGAAAAACTGTCATCCATGAAATGGGCCCATGATGCCAAAAACATTGGTGACCACTGATATAGTGAGTAGAAAAATCAAATTTGGTGACAATGTGGCATTGTTGGTGGAATATAAATGGGTGCACTTTGGAAGTACATACTAAAGTTCAACATACACCAGTTCTATGATTGAGTATGGCTCTATCTTGCTCCTACCTATATACCCATAGACAAGTGCAAAATATGCACCAGATGACAAGGTCTAGAGCCACTGCTCATAAAAAGCCCCAATCTGAAACAATCTAAATCTCCTTTGCCAATACAAGCAAAAAGTAAATTGTGGTATAATCATTCATAAGAATAAGGCAATGAAAAATAATGAAGCATTGCTAATTGCGATGATGCAATCAATCTTATAAAGATAATATCAAACAAGAAAAGACAAACTCAAAAGAGAAAATACTGTATTCATTTTATTTATTGAAATTGAGAAACAGCCAAAAGTATTTGTGTTAGAAAGGAGGAGTGTGGTTACCATGGGGCAGAGGCAGGCAACGCCTGGAAGGGACCACAAAGAGTCACCCAGGACACTGTTAATTCACTATCTATAAAATCTAATGCTTTGTTTGTTTACTAGATATCAACTTCATTTGTTAAAATGCATGTTGTATTATATTTCAATTTAAAGGCTACCAGGAAGATTTGAAATACAACTAAATATAACCACTTCAAAACAGCAGATTTGATAAAATAAAGAATAAATTAGAAAACATAAAAATAGGTCTGAAGATTTTATCAAGAGTGAAGCACAACAAAGTAAGAAAATGAAAAATATGAGAGATTGAGATATAAAGCACATAGAAAAATAACATCTAACATATATCTACGTGGAGTTCTGGCAGAAGAAAAAATAGAAAATATGGGAGCTACAATATTCAGAAGAATCATTAGATGCCCAAGTCATCAGATTCACGAAAAACAACAAATCTTAATGAAGATACACAATCATAAACCTATATCTAGATGTAGTATATAAAGAAACATCCCAATACCAGGGGAAAATAGATGATTGTTAAAGTAATCAGAAAGGAAAAACAGATTAATATGAAAAGATGACAAACAAATTGGCAAAAGATTTCTCTTAAACAACAGAAGCCAAATGGTAATTAAATAATATCTCAAAGTCCCTAGAGAAGATGACCATAAATATAGGATATTGTACCCACTAAAAGTACTAACATGGATAACGAAGCAAATAAAGGCAGTTCCAGATAAACAAAACCCAAAGCAAAATTGTAGGGATGCACTAGCGGGAAAAGAAGCAAAATTATCCTAGAGATAATACTAGCTGATAAGATGATACTAGGACAAACTCCTGCCAATACTACACAAATTTTTGAAAAATAATTACAATTTCTGGAAAGTATAATTTTTTAAAACTGACTGAAGAACATATGAATAATTAATAAATATGTAATAAGGTGACTCTATATCCCAGTTTGTTGATGTTAGTTCTGGTCTGTGTCTATTGTCCCAGGGGATTTCTTTTTCTTTTTTTGAGACAGGGTCTCACTATGTTGTCCACGCTGGTGTGCAGTGGTACAATCTTGGCTCACTGCAACCTCCACTTCCTGGGTTCAAGCAATTCTCCTGCCTCAGCCTCCCGAGTAGCTGGGACTACAGGCACGTGCCGCCATGCCCAGCTAATTTTTGTGTTTTTAGGTGAGATGGGGTTTCACCATGTTGGCCAGGCTGGTCTCGATCTCCTGACCTGGTGATCCACCCGCCTCGGCCTCCCAAAGTGCTGGTATTATAGACGTGACCCACCATGCCCGGCCTGCAATTTCTACTTCCCGGGTTCAAGATACTATCCTGCCTCAGCCTCCTGATTAGGTGGGATTACAATCACAGTCCACCACGCCCGGCTAATATTTGTACTTTTAGTAGAGACAGGGTTCCATAATGTTGGTCAGGCTGGTCTCGAATTGCTGACCTCAGATGATCCACCCACCTCAGCCTGCCAAAGTGCTGGGATTACAGGCATGAGGTACCACACCCAGCCACAGTGAAAATACTAATAGTGATTTTTTTCACTCTCAAAATTGGTTTGGATAACACATTTTATTGTTACTTGTCTACAATTACCAAGGCTTTAGTGTCCATTGTTAAGAAACATTTAAAAATATATTACATCAAATATATAAAAGCTCTTATAAGAAAAAACACATCATAATACACAACTAATGTGAGGTGATGATAAAACACATGCTAGACAAGGTCTGCATGATGAAGGGTAATTATGAGCCAGTGTGATTTTTGAATAGGAATACATATTGCTAAACAAAATATAACAAACAGGATTCAGCAAGTTATTGTAAAAAATGACTAAATTGTTGGATTCATCTAAAGATGCAAAGAAACTTTAATAGGTATATATAGTCACGTGCCACATAATCATGTTTGGATCAGCAATGAACCATGTACGCAATGGTGATCACATAAGTTTATAATCCCATATTTTTACTGTACCTTTTCTATGTTTAGATATGTTGAGATACACAAATGTTTACTATTATGTTACCATTGCCTACAGTACTCAGTACAGTAACCCGCTGTACCATCTAAGTTGGTATAAAGTACACTCCGTGAAGTTCAAACAATGATGGAATCGCCTAGTGACATATTTGTCAGAATATGTCTCTGTCGTTAAGCAACGCATGACTGTATTTGATATTTTTTAAATGATAGTTTGAATAAATGTAGAAAATGCATTAGGTAAAATTTAAAACAAAGTAATGGTTAAAAGTGAGGCAGGATTTTTCTCGGAGCCGCATCGCCAGCCGGAGACCTCCACGGCCAGCGACACCACCCACTGGATCTCATTCATCCTGGGCTCCCTGCAGAAGGCACCCTGCCCACTCAGCCTGGTGGGCTTCACTTGGCTTGCAGTCCCCCCTAGATCCCATGCTAGCCGAAGGATCTGCGTTCAGCCTGAATCTGGGCAGGACGTGCCACAACCTGTTTCTGCCTTGGGCGCCAGCACCTGGCTGAAGGGAACGCAGTGCCAAAACAGGGATGCCAGTGACCCCGAAGCCTCAGAAGGGATGTTACAGCGTCCTAACAGCTCTTTTAGTCCTGTTGTCTCACCCTGGCTGTCCGCCCTGATGCTGCTTCCTGTCACATGTGGCTGCCCTCTGCTGGCATAAGACAGAGGGCTACATACAGTTTTACAGCCTTTTTCCATACCTGTGTTCAGCGGGTCCTGAGTTCTTGTCCTGCATCCAAGAAGAATGAGGTTATGCTGGCAACCCAAGGGTGAGGAGAGTTTTACTGAGTGACAGCTCTCAGCAGAGAAGGCACCCAAGAGGGAACCCCTTCTCTGAAGTCGAGTAGTCTCTTCCCACCAGAAGAGACCACTCCCCTCTCCGCCCAAAGGCAGCCAGTCTCTCTCTAGTGTGGCTGAATCTGGGGCTTTATATGAGCTCAGAACGGAGGCGTGCATGCTGATTGGTTTGTGAGTATGCAAAAAAAGGCTAAAACAAAGGCACCACTCAAAGATGGGCATGACAGTGTAAAAAACCAACTAGGGAAGGGTAGGTATATGTAAACTAGGGGAAGGGTGGGGATCAATCAGAGGAAAGCATGCCTAACAAGAAGAGAGGTTCTCAATCGGGTTCGTGGATTTATCCGAGACTTTTTAGCTTTGCTTTCAGGTTTTAATCTGTCTTTGGTTTGAAGGTGGGATTTTAACGGGGACCCACCTCTGTCTGCCTAGTATTTGTCTGCCTTTTGCCGCTATCAAAAGCAAACAACTTTCAGCAAATTAGGCATGTGAGGACCATCTTTAATTGTAGAAAGTATATCTATAATATACTTATAATTCTAGCATTGTTTTATATACAACTTTTTTTAGTAGTTCTAGCTGTGCTGTGAGATATCCTGTTAGCTAGCTAGGCAGCTAGTTAGTACGTGTGTATGTATATAGTAAACATAATATGACATATAGATTATATATTACATACATAGTATTATGTATTATAAAACATAATTATATATAGAATTAGCTATATATGAAAAAGAAATAAAAATAAAATAATTACAAGATCATAAGTTAATTTACATGTAAAACAAGAGAATTTACATACAAATTATTAGAATTATTATTTTTTGGAAGTTCAGAAAGACTCAAGTCAGCAAAATGGCAGAGGAGTCAGCTTCAAACTCCTGTTCCTCCAAAGAAGCACCAGAAAATAAGCAGAAACTGCATGAACCAACTGTGTCAGAACTCTGGACAACAAGGAAGGTTTACAGAAGCAAGTGAAGGCTGTAGGACAGCATTGTGGTGTATTACCCACCTTTGTCCCACCCTCCCCACTGCTAGGTGCTGACCTTGAAGACTAAAACCAACATTCTCAGTGTAGGCCTAGGACCTTGCTTCCAGAGTGAGCAGAGTGGAGCTTATTCTCATCTGCTGTTTGTGTGCTCTCACCTGTCTGGGGGCTACCTGAGGACTAACAGGAGGAGCTTGTTTCTGTTTCACTCAGGATAACTTTAAATTCCATAACTCCTGACACTTCTTGGAATGGAAGAATTAACTTTCTCACGTGCAACTTAATCAGTGGCCGTCATCTCTAAAGCCAGGAATAGGCTGAAGCCTATGGCAGGGCGGGAGGACCCTCAGTCTCAGATATGCTTATAAGAGATTAGTTTTGTTTAAAATAAATGAAACAAGACATTGCATTTTCATTCTAGAAACAGCCATTGATATTCATATTTGATTCAGGCTTGTTATGAATAGCCAGAGCTTTGCTTTTCCCATCCTGAGCAGCAGTGCCCTTACTGCAGATCCAAAAAGAGACTCTATCAATATATTCCCATCAATACTCAAAGGAGTCACTTCAGCCCTTGTGGTGGCAACAATTAGCTGAGAATAACGAGGAGGAAATTTACAGAATAAGACTCCACGCACTGCCACTCTCCAGAGAGGGTGAAGTGTACGCCGGAGAACTCTACACATAACCAGGTTTTGTGTCCATTTTTACTTTTCCATCACTAGGGAACATCTCTCCGAGTGTCTGATTTTTTACTGTGTTTCTCTTTAAGCACTGCACAAATGTTGCTGCTGCTTTTCTGTGTATCCTGCTTACTCTTGCTCCATATAATGTGATAAAGAGCTTAAATTTAATATAATGACATATCTGTGTTTAAAGTTACTTTACTACATGTTTTCTGTATTTGTTCTATATGTTCTATAATCCCTTTTCATTCTTATCTTCCTTTGAGTCAATCAAGAAATATTTTAATCATTCAATTTACCTATTAGCTTATTATAAATTATTTTATTCTTTTCTTCCTTTTTCTTTTTTTTAAAACTTTACTTTAAGTTCCGGGATACATGTGCAGAGTGTGCAGGTTTGTCATAGGTATACATGTGCCATGGTGGTTTGCTGCACCCATCAACCCATCATCTAGGTTTTAAGTCCTGCATGCATTAGGTATTTGTCCTAACGCTCTCCCTCCCCTTGCTCCCAACCCCCAACAGGCAATGGTGTGTGTTGTTCCCCTCTCTGTGTCCATGTGTTCTCATTGTTCAGCTCCCACTTATGAGTGAGAATATGCAGTGTTTGGTTTTCTGTTCCTGTGTTAGTCTGCTGAGAATGATTATTTTATTCTTTTCAATGGTTACATGCTTCTTTGACATATTAAAGCATAATATGAGTTCTTTGTACATGTTTTAGACAATGCAAATACTTTAAAACAATGTAACTCTTAAATCCCCTTCACACAAATGTGACATTATTATTTTTATGTATTTTAATTTTCCATTGACATTAAAGCCTATGAGACTGATTTTTTTTATAGTCCATATAAATTTAGATTTACCTTTCCCATATACACTGTTCCAGGACTATTTATTCACTTCTGTGTTTCCATACTTCCATCTAAAGTTATCTTTCCTCTGCTCAAATAAATCCCTCTAGAATTTATTTTAATGAAGATCTCTGAGTTGTGAAATTGTTGCTTTTGTTTGTCTAAAGATGCACTTAGTTTACTTTCATTTTTGGAGGATTTTTTAAATATAAAATTATATGTTGGCATTTATTTTATAGTAATACTTTTTAAATGGTGTTCCATGTCTCTGGATTCAATAATTTCTACTGAGAAGACTGTGGTTCTTTGGAAGTAATATTTTATTTTATCTATCTCATTTAAAATTATCTCATTGACTTTGGTATGTGGCAGTTTTACTCTGATGTGCCTAGTTATATATCTAGTTGCATATTTCTCCTTGGGGCTTGTAAATCTTCCTGAACCTGTGATTTGATATTTTTAATTGGTTTTGGCAAGTTACTTGCCAGTATCTCCTCAAATACTGCTGTGCCCTAGTCTTACTCCCCTCTTCTCTTAGGACTTTAGTCACACATATAAAGTCATTTTCACTCTTTCTCATGTGTCATTTATGTTATTTTGTGTTTTTAATTTTTTCTCTCTATGCTTCAATTCAGATATGTCTATGGACTATTTTATAGTTTTCATAACCTTTTCGTTTTTTTTAATTTGCTGTTAAATCACATATTGGACTTTTAATTTTATATATTTTTCATTTCTATAATTCCTGCTTGTCTTATTTTTGGATTCCAAGTTTCTGTAAAAATTGTCCTACTTGTCACTTATTTTGTTGAAAATATTACTATTTTAAAGTCTGTTTCTGATAACTTTGATGACTAAGGATCCATATGGGCCCATTTTTATGGTCTTTTTCCCTTCCTTTTTTAATTTAATTTAATTTAATTTTTTTGAGACAGAGTCTCACTCTGTTGCCCAGGCTGTAGTGCAGTGGCACAGTCTCAGCTCACTGTGACCTCTGCCTCCAGGTACAAGTGATTTTCCTGCCTCAGCCTCCCAAGTAGCTGAGATTACAGGCGTCTGCCATCATGCCTGGCTAATTTTTGTATTTTTAGTAGAGATGGGGTTTCTCTGTGTTGGCCAGGCTGGTCTTGAACTCCTGACCTCAGGTGATCCACCTGCCTTGGCCTCCCAAAGTGCTGGAATTACAGGCGTGAGCTACTGCGCCTGGCCTTCCCCTCCTTTTTGTAAAAAAAAAATTTAGTCCAGACTCTTGGTATACCTAGTAGTTTGAATTGAATGCCACACAGTTTTGTATTAGAATTTACACAGATAACTTTAAGCTCTGTCTGATTCTATCTTCTTCCAAGTAAGCATTTATTTTGAGTAGACAGTCTTACCCTGGTTTGAGCTCAGTTTTCTGAGAGTGGATTTACATCCTTACTCCTCCTATGAAGTTCATTCTTACTCCAACTAGTGGAAGTTGCAGTGTTTACCAAGCTCTTTTGGCAAGTTCAGAATTTCCCTCTGTCTTCTCAGCCAGGTGCAACTGCTATTTCTGCTCAACTCCCTATTCTCTTATTTACTGCTTTCCTCTTGCCTTCTGAACCCCTGTGCCTAAAGAGGAACAAATATCTTAGGAAGAAGGGTGAGACAGTTGGCTGTGAATACCTAAAGCACTTCCTCCTCTCTGCCATCTTGGTCTATCCTCACCTGACTGCCTTGTAGTCTAGGAGTTCAGGTTCAATTTCCCTATCCCCATGAGGCTGCAGAAGGCTCTGCTTGGTTTCCCAAGTTTTAGTTATTGCTTCCTGCTTGGCTTCTGAGCCTCCAAGCTCCACGCCACTTATGAACTGTCAAATGCCTCTATGGAGAAATCCTGGTGGAATATTGGCCGCATCTTAATATGCTTTCCTTTCTCTCAGATTCTGATCTTTTACGCTCTGGCTGGTTTAGTAGTCCTCTAACACCTTCAAAAAGATTTGGTTTTATATTTTGTTTCCACTTTGTAGTTGTTGTCAGTGGGAGCATCAGTCTATTAAAAGCAGGTTGCCCTTACTGAAGATGGGAAATCCAAAGGTCACTTATAGACGCTTGCTTTTATAATCAATATTCTGATACTAGTTGGATTCACTGAAAATATTCTCTGAAAAGTCAGTTACCTGCCTTACTTAATATTTGGGAAAGACAAAAATACCTTTCTCCATCTCTTTCTCTTTGTTCTATTCCGTTCATCTCCTTGTCCATTTGCCCAAATGATCATTCCTCTGCCTTCTAGTATCTTCAGTCTGTGATGAAACAGAGGGTTATAATTTACACTTTCCTACAGGAAGAACCATTATGTCTTTGGGATCTGGACTGGAAGTTAAACACTCAACTTAAAGAAACACGATGTTATTACACCATTAATTCTTCCTTCATGACTGTAAAAGTTTAGCATAGGTGTTTAGTCATTGTACTTCTAGTAGCATAAAGAGGACAGCTGTATACTCCCTAACCTTAAACCTGCCTAACTTAGTTACAGCAATGGATTCTCCGGGACTCCAACTAGATTCACTCTACAAAGCTAAATATGCATATTCCAGCTGGCCACACTATTGGATGCTGACAGTACAAAGCTGAATCTATTTCTGGGCATTGCCATCGGCTGTAGGAACTTCCAAGTTCAAGATTACACCTCCATAAAAGAAGCTGATACAGGGAAACAAAGGCCTTGTTCCTGTGAAGGGCTGTCTCAGCTCAAGAGTGTATCATGGATTGACTGGGGCCTCAGTTGAGACCACATTGCAGGTCAGCTTTCCCCTCCACCAAATTCTGACTTTTCATTTCTTTACAGGTTTTTCTTCTGTGATCACACTCCAAAAAGCCTTTTGCATGTCACTTCCCATCTTAGAGTTTACTTTCAGGGAACTTAATCAAAGGCATTCACCTAATGTTTGCTGTAATTGTCCATTTCATTTCCTAGTGCCCACACTAGCTTAGCGTCCCTTGCTGTAATGTTAAATTCAACCTTAGGCAGATGGCATGCAGCTGCAGGGGCAATTTGGGTCAAAGCAGGAAAAAAAGTTGGTGAGAAAATAATGACATGCCCACCTAAGCTAATTTTTAATCAGTTCAGCTCTGGAGTTTACAAGATAAACACAGTAGAGTGAACAACAGGGATTAATGGAAGCTAAATGTCTATTTACCAGCTTTGATAATGAGCCTATTATAAAAACAGGCACACAAGAGCATGTGGACTGAACAGATAGGTGTTGAGGATAGACTGGTGAAAGTTTCTGTCTTGCTATTTCTAATGATTTCTAGGCTCGAAAGAGAACTAATTATACTTGGCTTGATTTACTCTTACCTTCTGCAGCTCACAAAGTCAGGGTACACCACTGGAGAAAAATACAGAACAAGATTTTACTTCAGAGGAAATTTAAAATTAGGAAGTAACCAAAATATGAATAATTAACAAGTTGACTAAAGATAGCTGTAACTCTCAGTTATTTTGGCATGTGTTATAATTCTGACAAAGAGTAATTGGTTTCCATTGATTCTGTGAAGTAATTTGAACAAAAGGAGAGTTAAATTCATTGCAAACTCCTTTGTGGAAATCTGTGGACATAACGATGGATGGTTGATTTAGGAAGCAGTCAATATTTCCATAGATACAGGATTTACCTTAAGCAGCTTGTAAAATTCCCTCTGTTGCTAAATCCCAAGTGGCCTGTAATACACAATCTGCTCCATTTTATTTCAGTGTTTCCTTGTTTTTTAAAAAAATCTTGCATTCAGTACAAACAATATGAAATCTGTATTCTGATTCAAGCTTAGATTATGTTACCTCGAAGCCCCAACACATTCAATCTGTTTCTGAAAGCTATATTATACAGTCTTCAGCATTAGTAATAAAATATAACTTATCAAGAAAACCAGCATGCTATCAAATAAAACCCTCAGAGATTAAAATTCAAAGAGAAAACAGTAAAATTGGAAGGTAGTAAAGGTGAGCAGTTTAAGAACTCTTACCATGGAGAGCGGTGAGAATCATGCAGGTTTATTTGAATCATCTCCATCTTTCTCTAGAATTAAGGTCCATGGAAATAAGGAGTATCTGTCTACCACTTAGAACAGCACATAGTAAGAACTCAATAAATATTGAATAGATTAATAAAAAAGAAAGACTGGATGAAAGCTATGTAACTAATTTTTCCAAGCAATTAAAGAGAAAAGATGCATCAGATTTATTTTTAAAAAGAAGAAAATAAAACCTAAAAATTTTCATATGAAGAGCATAAAGCTCTTAAATGTTCAATTTTCTGTCCATGGCAGTGAAGGCCACTGCAGGAAAAAAGTTGTAAGGATTCTGACACCTGGTAAAGCTCATGATAGTGTTGATAGCAAAAAATTATCTGTGGCCAAGCACGGTGGCTCACGCCTGTAATCTCAGCACTTTGGGACACCAAGGCTGGCGGATTGCTTGAGGCCAGGAGTTCAAGACCAGCCTGGCCAATATGGCGAAACCCCATCTCTACTAAAGACACAAAAATTAGCCAGGCATGGTGTCTCATGCCTGTAATCCCATATTCTTGGGAGGCTGAGGCACGAGAATTGCTTGAACCTGGGAAGCAGATGTTACAGAGAGCCAAGATTGCACCACTGCACTTCAGTCTGGGCACCTGGGTGACAGAGCAAGACTCTGTCTCAAAAGATAAAAAAAAAAAAAAAGATTATCTGTAAAACATACTCTCATAATCCTGGCTTAAGAGGGTAGAATAAAGATATCTTCTTAGAAATGAACTTGAGGGAAGAAAAAAACACAATTAAAGATAATATCAAAAGAAAATAGAAAATACCTATATCCACAATATACAATTTATGAAGAAAACATGCTAAATACTATAAATATTGATCCAGGATGGTAAAGGCTATCTAGTGAATATATTGATCTCTTCAGGTTTATGAAAGAGTCAGAAGTCTTCAAAATAGATTTTATAACCCAAGGAACCACATGATAATTCCTTATTTCAATTGAAACAAAAAGATAAGGTTATCCAACAATCTAGAAAGGTAGCCTTGAAGCCTGCTGGACATTCGTGGAATGGTAAATAATATGGTGCTAGACAAAAAGGTACCAGAGATTTAAAGAGAAATTCACATTTTGCATGGAATGATGAAGTGAAAATTGTGAATGCTAAAAGGCTCTGCAGCTATTGGAGGTATAAGTAAAATTATACACACACACACATACACACAATCACACAGGCACACAATCACACAATCACTTTATTAAGGATTTTACAGTAATCCAGGAAGGCATTCTGTTAATCAGCAGAAGAGTCATGCCTGGGAGGTCAGTGAAATTTTATGAACAAGAAAGTGCCACTTATGTTGCTGAATTTCTTTAATTTATACTTCTGGTACATTCTTAAGGATGTCATTTTTTGGTTAGAACAGTAAAGCTTACTCTTCACCTTTCCTCTATCCCCTTTAAGACATGAGTGAGAATTCAAAAGGAAATATTAGCATTCCAACTAAAAATATGCAAAGTAAAAAATAAGAAAGGGAAAAAAACACCTATACAATTGATAAATATGCACTAGACATATTACACAAACTACATGATGAAATTTTGATCAGCATTTCAACTTGAAATTAAAGAAATAAAATATGGTCTTTATAAATAAAAATATATATATACACAAGATCTCAGACAAAAAAATATAAAACAAGAAAATGACATAAAAAGTGAGTCAGGAAAATATAATTATAAGGATTCCAGGAAGATATTGGGAATATAATAATAGTTTTTTAATTTTTCTCATTCCCCTAAAGCACACACAGATGGCAACTAGAATAAGCTAAAGAAAAACACGAAGACAACATATATTATGATAATTGGTGAGCAAGTACCCTACAGACTCCAACATGGGAAAACAGAAATACCAACAACATGTATCAGATCTGCAGAGAAAAAGACAACAGGGCTTATCGTGGCAATGGAAACAGACAAACACTAAAGTTAACAGTAAGTATTCACTGCAAAGTATGAATGCACAGCTAAGAAGAGCAATCAAAACTTGGAGGGAGCTCTAAAGTGTCCAATTCAGATCACTACAGAGAACTTTATACTGGAGCAATACACGTTCTGAGGAATCCCAAAATTTACTAATGAAAACTTCATTCCAGGAGGAAGAGAAACTGAGGAGAAGCTTTTGGAGATAGAACCCACATTGAACAAGAAGTAAATAAAAAGGAAGATCCAAATATAACCAAAAACGGAAGCAGAAAGAGCAGATGTCAGAAAACATGAAGCCATATTTTTATCTCTTTGGGAAAACAACAGAAATGAGATCTCCAGAGAAATAAAGCTGTAAATAAAAGTTATCCTGAATGCATCTCTCTCTTTAAAGTCACAGAATGCTTTCATATAATAAAAAAACAACCCCAGAAAGCCATGTTTTCAAAATGAAGCAAAAGAAATTAAGAGATGACAGACTCTAAGAAAAGATAACAATAAAGCATAATTAGAAAATACTCAAAAATCAGGGTGATTAAGTAAAGAATGACTGGAAAATAGAAGTGATAAAATTCAGCAAAGTTGTTTCTCAACTATCATTTCAGAAATGAGTATTTAACAGAAAGAATGCAAGATAACATAACAGATCATGACTTGTGTCAAAATTATTCAAAAGAAAAAATTAAATTGGAAACAAAATGATTCACAAGAAAATTAGTAGATATTTTCAATGAAAAGAGTCAAACTGTAAAATATTTGAAGAAATTTTTCCTGAACCAAATATGAGGACCATGACCTATAACACAATACCGAGGGATCCTGTGACCAGGTGCCCAAGGTGGTCAGGCTACAGCTTGGTTTTATAGATTTTAGGGAGACATAAGACATCAATCAATATATGTAAGAGGTATGTTAGTTCAGTCCAGAAAAGTGGGACAACTCAAAGTGGGGGTTGGCGGGGAGCTTCTGGGTCATAAGTGGATTCCAACATTGGCAATTGGTTAAAAGAGTTAAGTTATTATCTAAAGACCTGAAATCATTAGAAAGGAGTATGTGGGTTAAGATAAGGGGTTTTGGAGACCAAGGTTCTTATTAGGAGATGAAGCATCTTGGTAGCAGGCTTCAGAGAGAATAGATGTTAAATGTTTCTTTTATTCTGTTTTTATTTCTTCTAAAAAAAAAGAAATGGGAGGCCGGGCACTGTGGCTCATGCCTATAATCCCAGCACTTTGGGAGGCCGAGGCAGGCAGATCACGAGGTCAGGATATCGAGACCGAGACCGTCCTGGCTAACATGGTGAAACCCCGTCTCTACTAAAAACACAAAAAATGTAGCTGGGCGTGGTGGCGGGCGCCTGTAGTCCCAGCTGCGTGGGTGGCTGAGGCAGGAGAATGGCGTGAACCCGAGAGGCGGAGCTTGCAGTGAGCTGAGATCGCACCACTGCACTCCAGCCTGGGCCACAGAGTGGGACTCCCTCTCAAAAAAAAAAAAAAAAAAAAAAAAAAGAAATGGGATAAATGTTCAGAACGTGCAGGTTTGTTACATACGTGTACATGAGCCATGGTGGTTTGCTGCACCTTTTGACCCATTCTCTAAGTTCCCTCCCCTCACCTCCCACCCCCAAACAGACCCTGGTGTATGTTGTTCCCCTCTCTGTGTCCATGTGTTCTCGTTGTTCAACTCCCACTTATGAGTGAGAACATGAGGTGTTTGGTTTTCTGTTCCTGTGTTAGTTTGCTAAGGATGATGGCTTCCAGCTTCATCCATGTCCCTGCAAAGGACATAATTTCATTCCTTTTTATGGCTGCATAATATTCAATGGTGTATATGTACCACATTTTTTAAATCCAGTCTATCATTGATGGGCATTTCGGTTGGTTCCATGTATTTGCTATTGTAATTAGTGTAAATGTTTCTTATCGGACTTAACAAGGTGCCAGACTATTAGTTAATTCTCTTCTGGATCAGGAAAAAGACCTGGAAAGGGAAGGAGATTCTGTACAGAATGTAGATTTTCCCCATAAGAGACAGCTTTGCAGGATCATTTCAAAATATGTCAAATAAATATATCCTGGGTAAAAATACTTTGATTTCTTTCAGGACCTGCTGTCTGTCATGTTGGCATCTCATTGCTACAAAGAGTTGGTTTTGTCAGTCTTAAGGTCTCCGTTTTAATGTTAATGCTAATCAGTTGTGCCTAAATTGTAAAGGGAGGAGAGAATAATAAGGTATGTCTGACCCCTTTTTCCAATCATGGCCTGAACTAGTTTTTTAGATTAATTTTTGTAATACCTTTGGCCAAGAGGAGGGGGGCTTAGAATTTTATTTTTGGTTTCTGATATAGAAAAGAGGCAAATGAAATTCAATATACATAGATTTAGAGCACCTGAAGAAGAAAGTAAAAGCAATGAATGACACAAATAATAAAAATATATTTCAAGAAAACTTTTCCAAATTAAAATATCATATGAATCTATATATCAAAATAGCATGCAACATACCTGTGAACATCTACTATACAACACTAAAATTATTGCACCAGGAAAAAAGAAACAAGCAGAAAGAAGAAGAAGAAAGAAAGAAAAAAGAAGGATGGGAAGAAAAGGGGAAGGGGAAGGGGAGAAGAATCCTTTCAAACTTCTGGCAAGTAACTAATAAAAGTCAAATAACTTATGAAGAAAAAAAACCCTTATGGTCATTAGATTTTTCAAGAGCAACATTTTATATCACAGTATATTTAAAATATTCAATAAAGTAAAATTTAAGTCAAGGATTTTATATCCAGTCCATATAATATTCAAGTGTAAAAGGCACAGGCACAGTTTGATTTTTCTGCAAAAATAGAAGGACTATTGCTTTCATGATCTTTCCTGAATATCTAAAGAATAAGCTTCAGACAACCTAAATGACTGAAATTACATAAATATAAGGCAGGTGATGAACATAAAATTATGTATTTTCCATGGGGGTAAATAGTGAGTACAATAGAGTATGTACTGACTTTTTGCTGTGACAATAAAGATTTAGCTAAACCATCAAAAATAGGTACAGTGATTGACTAAAATGATGATGTGGTGACTTCTGTGAACTGCTGTTCCACAATAGCAATGAAAATACTAGCAAAGCAAAATTAACCATTAACCATTTCACAACTCTGGAAACTAACCACAGCTACAGAAAACCAAAAATCATTTATCCAAAAACAACTACTGAATATCAGTAAATCAGGGCAGGGTGTGCAACATTTTGATTATTCCCATTCCTACTTCATTGGCAGCTCAATAGTCTTATAGCCATGAAAAGCCAGCATTCATTCTTGCAACCAATCAAAATCATTTACCTCAACTAAAACTCCATTAAAAATAAAATCTTCAGAGCACAGTCAATATTTTGTCTAAACTTCCAGCTCCCAGAAAAAACTCTGTTCCCAGGTACTATGGCTATTCAATTTAACTCAGAGCTCAGCTCATCAGGAAGAAAATTTTAAAAGCCCTACCCCATGGCATTTCCAGAACAATAGCAATTTCTTGACAACACCGCAGCTTCCTGAAGCTAAGACTTGATTTGCTTATGGCAAACAAGAGCCTAGCCTGAAATATAAAAGGAAATAATTGAGAACAAGATGATCATAAGGAACTGGAATGTTCTGACATATTTCTGAAGATTGCAAAGGCTGTACTCATGCGCAAATCTGTACCCATGCCCAAGATAAAAGATAAGACCCAGTCACCACTGGCTGGTCTGGCAGCCCTGCACAAGCAGGAGGTCAAAGCTTGTAAACTACCTGAAACATGAAGTTATGCCTTCTCACACAGATCCCCTTTGCAAAGGGAGGAAGATAAACAAGTAAAACATGTCAGGAAATCTTCTGACCTGTATTGGCTGATCACAATGACATAAGGATGAACGCTAGAAAGCTAAGCATAAAAATTAAAACAGGCCAGGCACAGTGGTTCACGCCTCTAATCCCAGCACTTTGGGAGGCCGAGGTGGGTGAATCATGAGGTCAGGAGCTCGAGATCAGCCTGGCCAACATGGTGAAACCCCATCTCTACTAAAAATACAAAAAATTAACTGGGCATGGTGGCAGGCACCTGTAATCCCAGCTACTCAGGAGGCTGAGGCAGGAGAATTGCTTGAACCCGGGAGGCAGAGGTTGCGGTGACCCAAGATTGGGCCATTGCACTACAGCCTGGGCAACAGGCAGGGCAAGACTCTGTCTCAAAAAAAAAAAAAAATTAGAGCAGATTTTTTAAAAAGTAGCAGAGAACTCAGTGACTTCAATTCCAGAGAATGTAGAATCTACAGGATTAGTTCAGATAATTCCCTAAACAAGTAAATAGCAAGAGGAAAGTAATTAGCAACAAAATAAAAAAATTAAAACCCAAAAAGATAGAAAACTAGAAGGGGAAAAAGCATCTGATTAAAGTTGTTACAGTATATTATCTAAAATATTTAGTTTCCAACAAAAAGATAATTATGAGAAATGCAAAGAAATGGAAAACTATTCCACATACACAGGGGAAAAAACCAATAGAAAATTTCCCTGAGAGAGTCCAGATTTTAGACTTAGTAGACAAAGACTTAAAAGTAGCTATTATAAATGTTTAAATAACTAAAATAAATCGTGAGTAAAGAATTAAAGAAAAATACGAGAACTGTCTTGTCAAATAGAGAATATCAGTAATAATGTTGAGTAGAATATCTTGATATTGATAATGCAATAGAAAATGTAAAAAGAACTAAATATAAATTCTGAAATTGAAAAGTATAGTAACTAAAATGTTAAAACCCACTAAAGGGAAATAAATAGCCTATTTGAGCAAGCAAGAGAAAGAACAAGTGAACTTGAATAGAAGTCAAGAAAGATTACTCAGATCAGAAAGGAAGAAAAATGAGCAGAACTTCAGAAACTTGTCAAGAATACAAAAATACACACAATAGGCATCTGAGAAGAACACAAATGAAGTGGCAATGTTTATCTGGGGAAAACCCAAGGTTTGTTTTCTCACAATAAGGAAAACGGAAACGTAGATGCACAAGGTGTGGGTTTAAGAGTGGAAAGTTTAGGCCAGGCACGGTGGCTCACGCCTCTAATCCCAGCACTACAGGCAGCTGAGGCAGGCAAATCATGAGGTCAGGAGTTTGAAACCAGCCTGGCCTATCAGGGGAACCCGCCCCCAATATTTCAACATAAGTTCTTTTTATTTTCCGTAAGTGTCAGCCGGCTGAGAAATAAAGAGAAAGAGTACAAAGGGAGGAATTTTACAGCTGGGCTGCCGGGGGTGACATCATATATCGGTAGGACCATGATGCCCACCTGAGCTGCAAAACTAGCAAGTTTTTATTAAGGATTTCAAAAGGGGAGGGGGTGTAAGAACAGGGAGTAGGTACAAAGATCACATGCTTCAAAGAGCAAAAGGCAGAACAGAGATCACATGCTTCTGAGGAAACAGGACAAGGGCAAAATCAGAACTCCTGATAAGGGTCTGTGTTCAGCAGTGCACGTATTGTCTTGATAAACATCTTAACAGAAAACAGGGTTCGAGAGCAGAAAACTGGTCTGACCAAAAATTTACCAGGATGGAGTTTCCCAATCCTAGTAAGCCTGAGTGTACTGCAGGAGACCAGGGCATATCTCAGTCATTATCTCAACCGCATAGGACAGACATTCCCAGAGCAGCTGTTTATAGACCTCCCCCCAGGAATGAATTCCTTTCCCAGAGTATTAATATCAATATTCCTTCCTAGGAAAAGAATTTAGCAATATCTCTCCTACTTGCAAGTCCATTTATAGGCCCTCTGCAAGAAGAAAAATATGGCTCTTTTTTCCTGACCCCACAGGCAGTCAGACCTTATGGTTGTCTTCTCTTGTTCCATAAAAATCTCTGTTATTATGTTCTTTTTCAAGGTGCACTGATTTCATATTGTTCAAACACACATTTTAAAAACAATTTGTACAGTTAACACAATTATCATAGTGGTCCTCAGGTGACGTACATCCTCAGCTTACAAAGATAACAGGATTAAGAGATTAAAGTAAAGACAGGCATAAGAAATATAAAAAGTATTATTTGGGAACTGACAAATGTCCATGAAATTTTCACAATTCATGTTCCTCTGCCGCAGCTCCAGCCTGTCCCTCCATTCGGGGTCCCTGACTTCCCTCAACACTGGCCAAAATAGTGAAACCCCGTCTCTACTAAAAATACAAAAATTAGCCAGGCATGGTGGCACATGCCTCTAGTCCCAGCTACACAGGAGACTGAGGCAGGAGAATCACTTGAACCTGAGGGACGGAGGTTGCAGTGAGCAGAGGTCGCACCACTGCACTCCAGCCTGGGCAACACAACGAGACTCCATCTCAAAAAAAAAAAAGAGTGGAAAGTTTCATAGGTGAAAGAAACAAGAGAAAAGCTCCCTCATGTAGAGTAAGGAGTATTCGGAAAAGATTTCCCTCAGCAGCAGAATGCAGTTGGTTTTACAGAGCAGCTTGAGGAGGCAGTGTCTGATTTACACAGGGCCCAGGGGATCGGTTGAACCAGATGTTCCATTTACATAGCCCATGAAGAGGCTGGCCATCCCACCTTAATCTTTTATTATGCAGATGGGGTCTCTACCTGGACGGCGCCATGACACCCACACACTTAGCCACAAAGAAAAGAGAAGAGAAAAACCTCCATGCTGGATATACCTGGTGTCCAGCACAGCTGCTGGCAATTACCTATGCAAGCTTCCAGCTTGCTTATCTGTGCTTGCAGCTTGATTTTTCAGGCTGCTTTGTGTTGAAAAGAAATGATTTGGGGGCTGCTTTTTTATTTTATTTATTTATTTATTTGAGACAGAGTTTCATTCTTGTTGCCCAGGCTGGAGTGCAATGGCATGATCTCGGCTCACTGCAACCTCCACCTCACAGGTTCAAGTGATTCTCCTACCTCAGTCTCCCAAGTAGCTGGGATTATAGGAACCTGCCACCCCCAGCTAATTTTTGGTATTTTTAGTAGAGACGGGGTTTCACCATGTTGGCCCAGGTGGTCTCAAACTCCTAACCTCAGGTGATCCACCACCTTGGCCTCCCAAAGTGTTGGAATTACAGGCATGAGCCACCACACTTGACCAACTTTTTTATTTTTTATTAGAAGATAAATCTTACTGAGGACTCCCAAACCCTCACTAACAGCTTAAGTAATTTCTTTTTAACTCCTATATTACAAAGAGAATGGGGTATAAAAAATATGTGAAAGAATTATGGCTAAAAACTTCCCAAATCTGATTTAAAATATTATACTTCCAAGAATTTCAACAAACTCCAAGTAAAGCAAAATAAAATTTGAAAATCCATACCTAGAAAAATTATGGTCAAAATGACATCACATAAAAATAACTCATTAACAGCTTACACTTCTCATCAGAAATCATGGAGACTAAGGACAGCCGATAGCATCTTCAAAGTGTTTAAAGAGATTGTCAACCAGCAGAACTATCCTTATCCAGCAAAACTACCCTTCAAAAATAAAGATGAACTGAAGACATTCCCACATAAACTAAAACTAAAAGAATGTGCTACTAACAGCTCTGCCCTACAATAAATACTAAGGGGGTTTTTGGGCTACAATGAAAGGATATTTGAATATATTCACAAAAAATAAAAAGCACCAGTAAAGATAACTGGATAATATGAATGTATTTTTGTTTGGAACTGTCTTTCTTATAATTGACCCAAAAGACTGTGACAAAATGCAGTATTATAAAGCAGTGTTGAAGGGCTTATAATGTAAGAAGTGATTGCTGACATTAATAATACAAAAGAGAGGGGTTAGAAAAGAAAGTATATTAGAGCAAAGTTAGCATATACTATTGAAATTAAGTTAATATCAACCTGAACAAGATTATTTAAATGTAAGATGCTAATTATAATCTCCAGAAAGACAAATAAGAAAATAATTCAGAAAATAGTAAAGGAAACAGCAAGAGAATTAAAATGCTATACTAAAAAATTATCTATTTAACAGAAAAGGCAGGAATCAAGGACTAGAAAACAAAACAAAGCAAAACAAAAAGACGTATAAAAAATAGCAAATATGACAAATTGAAAGCTTATCTAATCTGTAATTATAATAAATATGAATGGATTAAATACTCCAATCATAAGGTAAAGATAAGCAGAAAATATTTTTGTATGACCCAACTATATACTATCTACAAAACACATACTTTATATTCAAAAACAAACAAGTTGAAAGTAAAATGATCAAAAAGACACACCATTCAAGTACTAAACAAAAGAAGGCCATAGTGGTTGTACTTATGTAAATAAAATGATTGTATGAGAAAGAAACTTTTAGTAGAGACAAAGAAATTGTATTTATTAGGTAAATCTATAAGTAAATATGCATCTAATACATGAAGCAAAATACATTAAGCAAAAACTTCTAGAATTGAAGAGAGAAACTGACAATTAGAATAGTAGTTGGGTTTTCAATACCTTCCTTGTAGTAATGAATAAAATAACTAGGTATGAAATAAATGAGTCTGTAGAATAGCTAAAAAATACCATAAACCAACTAGAGCTAACAGGCATTTACACAACACACTTCTCAACAATGTAGAATACATGTACTTCTCAAGCATGCAGGAAACACTTTCCAGGATACATCAAATGCTAAGGCTAAATAAATTTAAATTGCTTAGAGTCATACAATACATATTCTCTGACAAAAATAGACTTAAATTAGAAATCCATAACAAAATGAAATGTGAGAAATTCACCAATATGTGGAAATTAGACAACACATTCACAAAGAACTTAGGAGTCAATAATAAATCATAATAGAACTCAAAAACATTTTCAAACTTACAATATACTAAAACTTATGGATTGCAACTATAGCAATGCTTACATGGAAATGTATAGCTGTAATATAGAGCAATAAAAAATAAAAAATCTCAAGTTAATAATAAGCAGTAGGAGTAAAACAATAAAAATTGAGTGAAAATAAATGAAATATGGAATAGAAAAGCAATAGAGAATACTAACAAAACCAAAAGTTGATTCATTGAAACGTTTAACAAATTAATAATCTTTAGCTTATGCTGACCAAGAAAAGCAGACTGAAAATACAAATTAATACATTTATAAATAAAAGAGGCTGTATCACTACCAACTTTGCAGAAATAAAACAGATTGTAAGAAAATGTCATAAACAACTGTATGTCAACAAATGAGCTCACTTAAAATGGACAAATTCTTAGAAAGATACAACCAGCTGAAACTGGCTCAAAAGAAATAGAAAATATATATATATACACTATAGAGATCAAAGTAGTGATTTCAAAACTTTCTAAAGGAAAAGTACAAGCCCACAGAGCATCACTAATGAACTCTACCAAATATTTTAAATATCAATACTAATACTTTATAAAATCCTCCATAAAATGAGAGGAAGAAACACATCCCAACTTATCCTATGAAGTATTTCTTGATACCAAAGCCAGAAAAAGACATTACAATAAATGAAAACTACAGACTAATGTCCTTTCTGACTATACACGCAAAAATATTCAACAAAATACTAAAAAACTGAGCCCAGCAACATAAGAGAATTTCATGCTAAGACTACACGGAATTTATCGCAGCAATTCAACATTGGATTAACACCCAAAAATGAGTCAATATAATACACCATATTAATAGAATAAAGGACAAAAACAATATAATCTTCTCAACCGATGAGAAAAAAAAGACATTTTTTAAAATCCAAAATACTTTAATGATAAAAAACATATTAAAAATTATGAATAAAAGGGAACTTCCTCATCCTGATAAAGGGTATCTGATCAAAATCCACATATAACATCACATTAGGTGGAGAAAGATTGAATAATTTCCCACTCAGATCAGGAAAAATGCAATAATAACCACCTTTGCCCTTTCTATTCAACATTGTGCTGAAACATCCAGTATTCAACTGGATACCAATGTATGGTGGTAGGACTAGCCAAGGTGATTACACAAGAAAATAATTTTTAAAATTCTGTGAGAAAAGGAAGAAGTAAAGCTATTTTTCTTTAAAGATGCCAGGATCCTTTATATAGAAAATCCTAACACATCTACTAAAAAACTACTGGGACTAATAAGAGCAAGGTTGAGGTTATGAGATCAATATACAAAAATCAATTGCACTTCTATATACTAGCAATGAACAATTCAAAAATGAAATTAATAAAACTTGTATTTGTAATGGTATTCAAAGAGTAAAATATCTAGGAATAATTTTTTAAAATAAGTTCAAAACTTGTATACTGAATATCACCAACACTGTTGAAAGAAGTTTCAAAGATTAAAATAAATAGAAATGTAAAAGATTGAAATAAATACTACTTCAGTCTCTACTTGTTATTTTATGTTTGTAAATCAAAAAATTAATAATATTGTTAAAATGCTAGTATATCCCAATTTCATCTACAGATTCAATGCAATCCCTATTAAAATTCTAACTAGTCATTTATCAGAAATTGGCAAGCTGATCCTAAAATATATATGCAAATGCAAGGAACCAAAAATAACCAAAACAATCCTGAAAAAGAATAACAAATGGACTCCCACGTTGCCCATTTTTAAAATTACTACAAAGCTATGGGAATCAAGACAGTGTGGTACTGGCATAAAGACATACAGAGAGATCAATGAACTAGAATTGAGAGTACAGAAATAAACCCTCCCCATTTATGGCCAATTGACATTTTACACAGATACCAAGACAATTCGGTTTGAAAATGTTGTCTTTTTAATGTATGGTGGTAGGACAACTGGATACCCACATGCAAAAGAATAAAGGTGGATTCCTTACTTATATCATAATTAATTTACAAACAATTCCTCACAAATAATTAACTTTAAATTAATCATAAATGTGAATGTAAGAGTTAAAATTTTAAAAACCCACAGGATTATCATGATGTTAGATTAGTCAATGGTTTCTTTGATGTGACACCAAAAGCATAAGCAATAAAAGAAATAATAGATAAATTGGATTTCATCAAAACTACGAACTTTTATTATTCATAGGACACAATCAAGAAAGTGAAAATACAATCCACAGAATGGGAGGAAATACATATAAATCACATACATATATGTATACAAAGCAACTTCTATCAAAATCTTTAAAGAACTCTTATAATTCAATAATAAGACAAAAACTGAATTAAAATATAGACAAATTATTTCAATTGCTGTTTTTCCAAAGAAGATAATTTAAACAGCCAAGAAGCATAGGAAAATATGTTCTACATCATTAATCATTAGGGAGATGAAAATTATAACACAAAATTAAATTTAAAAGCCATCCTTACAAATAAAAAATAAATTAAGCAAATGATGCTAATTGAGTATTTATTTGGTAGCATAATGATGCAGGAAGACACTATTCTGGCTGACTTTAAAACAGTGATTTTTGAATGTACATACTCAGTGGGGATATACCCTAAGGAGAGAAGTAATTACCGCATACACACACTTAAACCTCTTTGCTAATAGTATTAACATTATCATTAGGAAATTGTGTGTTTGTGTGATACAAAATAAAGAAAAATCATTATGATGTTTAATTAGTGGAATCTGAAGTATCAGTATGAACTCACAAAGTGAGTTTTGGAAAATTTCTTTATCCACCAAAAAAGCCTAAAAGCAACAATTAACCAGAAGCAGTGAACACCCCGCATGCTCAGAATACTTTCTCTAAATATTATTTCCAACTAAGATAAACCAGAGTTCCTTGGAAAAATTATTCCATATTCTAGAGCTGGGGCAAGTAAAAACGGTACAAAATGGGGCTATAACTTTTTTTTTTTACCATTAGAAAGCAAGAAAAATATCAAATACCGCAAGGTTCATGTTCTAAGTGAGGAAAGCAAAGATCACCTGGTGGCCATCATGCAGGCCATCCAGAGGCAACACTCCTTATCTGAGGAATTCAGAAGTAATTACACTTCCCTATTCTATTATCTAAAGCTGGCACCTGGTTCCAGGCACCTTTCCCAAAAAGGTGTAAGTAATTAGCTTTTCTGTACATCTCCGGAATGAATGCATGTATATTGTAACTCATTGTGCAACCCTTGCTGACATTAAGGCACCAAAATGTCTACTAATGTAATCATTTATTATGATCTATGTGGCTAATATGGTTCAAATTGCCCTTAAGCTCCAACTTTAAGGTCTATAAATATCCCAAAGGAAAAATCCACAGCAGAACACTCAGTCCTTTCCTTCTTAGGCAGCACTCTGCACTCTGCTGCAACATTCTTTAATATAACTTTATTTTTCAAACCTCTACTATTGTCAGTAGATTCTTCTTACCAACCTATGAGTTGACCACTTTCCAATGGCAAGGCTCTGACATCTCCCCGCAAAAAGCACTCATGGCCAGAGTTTAACAAGGTACTCCTGTCCAGATTAGAAAATGTGAGCATTAATGAGGTTAATAACTGCAATGGGTTGTGGCACATCGAACAAGTCTAAATCCAGGAGTTCATAAAGATACAAAAGGAATAACAACAAAGCAAATCGAACTACTTCTCGTTGCTGTTCTTTGAAGGATGCTGAGAAAACAACTCATTATTTTGAAAAAAGAAAGCAATAATTAAGCATTTATCCTGCCTCTCCTATATGAACTATGCCACACAATAATTATATACTGATAAGAGAAAGTTTCTTCTAATAAAAGTCTTCCATCAAATAAACAAGAAAGAAATTATAGAAAGGTGTTAAAGAGAACTAAATATGGCCTGAGAAGGACTCCATAATTCTATATTTGAGTTCTTGTGGACTGACTGTAACCTAACTTAATAAGTAGACAACATTGAAAACCTAGCTTAGGAGTATGCGCCGGTAAAAATCACTGAGTCTTGGCTAATCCTCGCAGCTGTACTTCAACCACTCATACACTGTTGAGTGTTCAAACTGTGTTCAAATAAGGCAACCGTCAACGTGTCACCAATCCAGCTGTTTCTGTAGCTCACTTCCGATTTCTGTACATCTCTTTACTTTTTTTGTCTATAAATTTGTTCTGACCACAAGGCACACCTGGAGTCTCTCTGAATCTGCTGTGCTTCCAGGGGCTGCCTGATTCACAAATTGTTCGTTGCTCAATTAAACTCCTTTAAATTTAATTCAGCTGAAGTTTTTCTTTTAACAAAGGGATATCTGACATTAGCAATTCCCAGTGAATTACTGGATCTAGACAATGATTATCAATGGCTTCTAATATAATTGAAAAAGAAAAATCAGACATTCCTGATGAAAGTCCCCTACAACTATTAAGAAATACTCTTACAAAACTAAATCAGACATCAATTTGATACAAAGTCTCTAGATTTAATCCTAAATTTAGAGAAAATATAATGTGCATAAGAACATGATAAATGATACCAGGTTCCAAATGGATTCCATCCATCTTTCAGTTAACAGATTGCGCAAGTGCTTTCAAAACATTTCCAGAACATAATGATCAAAAGTTCCCAAATTATATTTATAAAACCATCCTACTCTGGATATCAAATTATGGCAAACACAGCACAATGACATGAGTCATAATGAAATATACTAACAATTGTCATTGTAAATGTCCTAAATGATATATTAACAAGCAGTCTTGAAGGACATTAATATTGAAATAGGTGGCCAGCAAATGCCTTACACAATGATCTTCATCATTAGCAGAAAAGGAGCGGATATCACTGTAGCTACTGGACAGCCAATATTTAATAAAATTCAATACCCGTTCTTGACTTTAAAAAAAGTAAGATTCTTAATAAAGTAGCCAAAGATTAAGCCAAAAGCCAGCATTAT
Organism: Homo sapiens; assembly: GCF_000001405.40. Taxonomy (NCBI): domain Eukaryota; kingdom Metazoa; phylum Chordata; class Mammalia; order Primates; family Hominidae; genus Homo; species Homo sapiens. Next base: position 126,505,532 of record NC_000002.12, read on the forward strand.
GCTTGATAGCAAAACACTGAAAGGATCCTTAATAAAATCAAGAGTAAATAAAGTTAGCTCTTCTCCTCACTACTTTTATCATTATTCTGGAGGCCCTAGCCAGTACAAGAAGACAAGGAAAAGAAATATGAGGCATAAAATTTGAAAGGATTTAAAATTATTGTCATTTGCCAAAGACAATAGAACATAGCTAGAAAGCCCGAGTCAGCTGAACACAATTAAGAACTAAAAGAGAACCCAGTAAAGTGGCTGATTATAAAATCAACATATAAAATTCAATAGCTTCCCACTATAAAAAGATCAACCACTTAGAAAACATAATGAGAAAAAGATTGTAATTATAATTGCAACAACGAATAAAAATATAATCGTTAACAAGAATGTGTTAGCACTCTATGAAAAAATTTTTAATTGCTAAAGAATGATAAAAAAGTCATAATGAATGGAAAGATACACTATATTTTGGGGTGAAAAAGTCAATATTATAAAGCTATCAAGAGTCTATAAACCTATAAGGTGTCAAAACTATAAATCTATAAATTTAAATTTATGAGATACTGATATTTTAGAAAGGAAGAGTAGGTAATAGGGACAGACAAGCTGATTTAACAGTAATAAAAAGGTAAACATTAAAGTATATCCAGAATAATTCTGAAGACTTTTTGAAGTATTATAAGGTATAGCAATTCTGAACTTAATATTTGCACATGAATGGAGGACAGACATCAATGAAATGAAAAAGAGAGTCCAAAAATAAGTTAAATGTAGTATAAGATATAATGTTAGGAAAAAGCAATTAGAAAAAGATGGATTAATCAATACATGGTGTTTGGACAAATGGCTAATCCTCTGGAAAGTAATGGAAAATGGATTCCTACTCCAGTCTTCACATCAAAATTATTTCTATATGGATCAAAGGTTTTTAAAAACCTAGAAAATACTGGAATAACCATGAAAGGATTTCAAAAATGATACCACCCAAATTAATTTGTAAATTAAATCCAAGATTCATCAGAAACTGAACAAGATTTTTCCATGAAATTTGACAATCTACTCCTAAAATTCTTACAAAGTAAAATATGTTTGTCTTAGAAAGTAAAACAAATTCTTACGAAGTAAATGGTATGCAACATTTTAATGAAGAAAAAAGATAGACCCATTTGCCCTACCTCACAATGAAAATAAAATGCACGCCCTCTATTCATTTCTTTAAAAGCAAATATTTATCAAGTGTAACCAAGTACCTGCATTTTTCTAAGAGAGAGTTTAACTATTTTTATGAATATTTTCTCTTTTCTTTCCCTCTCCCTTTTCCCCCTGTTCTCTGCTTCCTACTTAGCCGTTTAGAAATGTAAATACAACTTTTCACCTCCCACTCATCAGATATTCCTTACAGGGCAAGTTCATCCATGTGCTCAAAGAGGGATCTCTCCTCCAGAATTGACAGTTGATTTGCAAACCAAAGCCTGCCACCATGAACCCTCACCTCCAGGGGGTCACCTCAACAGAGCATGTCAAAAGTATGCCCATTTGGCCACTTTTACAATTTACTTCTGCCCAGGAAGATGCCAACTCAACTGCCTGGTAAATGAGGCACCCAGACAGCAGGGAGGATCCTGCCCTTGCTCATTTCCTCCTCTACCTTATAAAAATGACCACTCTCTACTCCAAAAGTGAAGCCATACTGCTTCTTCCCCAAGCTAGCTCTGGAATAAATTCACTTGCTTTGTAAATAGCCTTGCTCTTGTTAACTGGACTCTGCATGCAGTGAGCAACTAACCTGCTTTTTGGTTACATAAGTACTGTCTTTATCCTCTCTGACCTTAATTAAACCCTTTGTAAATTAAGGTCAATAAATGTCCCAGTGTAGTTCACTGTTGTTTTATTTCGTTTTTCAGTTCTGTGTGAGACAAGGATGTCTGTGTAAAACCCCTTTGAAGCACATGTTTTCTGTGCTCGCTGTGGCCTTTGTTGAAGAGTAATTGAAGAGTAACTGCTCACTGTCCCTAGAAAGAGCACACTGATTACTTGTCAGTGGCCTGTTATCTGAGGCAGGGTCCGAGCACATGACCTATTGAATTCCCACTGACTGACGGGAAGTGAAGGACACACCCATTGCCAAAACAGAGTCTTCCTTGTGTAAACACATATTCCCCTGGTTAGGAAGAGCCTGCTCCACAGTGGCTGCCTGGTAGTATTTTTCTCCCAGTGCTTTGTTGACAAATGAACAAGATTTGACACTAACTAGCGGTGAAATATGGCTCCCAGTACTGAGGTGACTGGTCCTCTCTGTTTCGATGACACATATTATTGAAGGCCCCTTCAGGACATTTTACCTCCAAATGAATTTTTTTTGTTGTTAAAGAAAGAGAGAATGCACTGAGCAGATTTATGAGCCCTGCCTGTCTGCCTGGGAAACTAGCTGTTTTGACATAGTCTCCAGAAGATGCCTCGGGTATTGAATTAACTCAACTCCGAGAGGCCATCACACCGGACAGCCAAGCTTTATTCATTTTCCAGCCCCTAACAACACCTGATCCAAGGTGCGTTAGCATCCAAAGGAACTGCTAGGATTGGCTGAACACCTTAGAGGACTCATTCATTTGTTTACTCATTCATATAATCAGTATTTATGAAATGCGTAATATAAACCAGATATTGTCCTAGGTTCTAAAGACACAAAGGTAAGCCAGTCAGGCAAAAACTGCTACCTTCAAGGAGCTCACATTCTAATATGATATACAGTATCACATTTATCATATTTGTGTTATTAATATTCATGTTAGCAGGATTCAAATAAAAAGTAAGTCTACACTTCCGGAGGCCGAGGCCGGTGGATCACTTGAAGTCAGGAGTTCAAGACCAGCCTGACTAACATGGTGAAACCCCTTCTCCACTAAAATTACAAAAATTAGCCAGGTGTCATGGCGGGCACCTGTAATCTCAGCTGCTTGTGAGGCTGAGGCATGAGAATCACTTCAACCTGGGAGGCAGAGGTTGCAGTGAGCCGAGATTGCACCACTGAACTCCAGCCTGGGTGACAGAGAGAGACCATGCCAAAAAAAAAAAAAAAAGCCTAGAGCTCCACAGAGAAGTTGCAACAGGAAGTGGAAACAGAGCAGGCATATGGAAGCAGTGTAGACAATAAACCTATGTGACCTCGTCTTTAATGGGGATGTTTTTCAGGTCGCTTCAGGTCGCCATCTATTGAGTATATAATATTGTGGTACACCAGTGGACAGACCACAATTCTGATTAACTTACAAGTAGAAAGTGGCAGGCTCAAAATAGGACATCAGCCTGTGTGCTTATCCAGTCCCTATTTCCTGTCTGTTTCAGCTCCCTCAAAGTGTTTCACATCATTCCTAATGATACTTCAAATACTAAATGATACTACTAGGAAATCACAACTTTAGTTTAACGTGGCTTTCTATCTTTGATCCATTGTTAAGCTCCCCATAGTAATTTACTCACTTCTTGCTATGCCATTGAATCTTACCAGTAATGTTCTGTTGCAACTATTTTGTATACTCACTTATTGGATAAGGAAACCGAGATTCAGAAAGGTTTGGTCAACCTCATGAGGTCACACAGCCAGAAGGGAATAAACGCATAGGCAGTCCCAGGTCTTCCTGCTTCACATCTTGCATTCTGGACAGTGCTATTAGATGTTGTGCTCTATATAATGCTCTCAGGTGTTACTAGGGGGAGCAGAGATGGTAAGTCATGGTCCTTGTCCTCTATCAATTTATAATCTAGTGTGGAAATAAAGCATCGACAAATAATTGCAAGGCAGGACTATATATTTTTAATGAATAAAACTCTTAAATCTAGGTAATAACAAGAAGGAAAATCTACAAAGCTCATATTACAAGAGAAGGCATGCGAGAGCGTATGCTGTCCCGGCAATTGGGATTGGCTAGAAAGGCTACAGATTACAGTTCACTGCAAAGGCTGATCACTGAGAATTCTTGCTGGTGGAGAGAATATACCTAGACTGTTTTTCCGAGTTGAAGTTGTATATATAACCCAACCAGAAATCAGAAGCTCTGGTTCCCCTCTTTTTCTCAGACCACATACTCTTCCAGAAAAGCCCTATATTCTTTTCCCCATTCTCTTATAGCCATTTCAGTCAAGACTTCATGCAAAATCAGCCTCCTCCAGGGAACTGTGCTGTCCAGGCCTGTGCCCTGCTGAAGTGGGAAAGGCTGTTCTCCCCATCTGAGGCTCACCTGTGGTGGAATCAAATGACCCAGCACCAGGCACTGCTCCTGGGCAGGAGGGGCATTGATAAATGTTTGCTTTCGTGAGAGGAAAATAAAATCTTGGGACCCCAACTCGCTATGCAAAAAGGAAAAAATTAAGCTGAAAGCTGAGTCATGTAAGAAACTGCCTTTCTGTTTGCTCCTAAGCAAATAGCAACAGATTAAAGGCCAGATATCTCCACAGGTTCTATGTTCACTTTATCTAATGTAAAGTGCCAATTTATTGAGCACAAAATGAATACATAATTGACGATTTCCCTACCTGCTCCTTTTCTCTAGCAAAATGTGAATTCAGTAATGTGACCACATGTTCTTTCTTTTCCCTCCAGCCTGCTTTTCTCCTTTAAATATTGAGGCCCTCAAAATAATCTTTGGAGAAAGACACAGACTGCAGGCCGTTTCCATGATTTCTGTGTTTCTTTCTTACAGGCATGTCCTTAACCTTGACAAAATAAACTTCTAAATTCATTAAGACCTGTCACAGATGCTTTTTGGTTTGCACTGAGATGCATCAACTTCCTGCAAATTGCTAGGGAAGCAGATGCCTGGACCTGTAAGAGAAATTTTCATTGTGCTTTTGCATCCTGAGAATAGTAATTAATTTTATTTTTGACTGTCTCAGAAGAAGTTTTGTTATATTCTCTACCCTTGCCTAGAGTGTTACAGAATATCTTGGCTGGGGCAATGTGGGGGATGGGAGTGTCTTTCTAGAGGAAGAAATAATTCATGGAATTCTTTTTTCAAATTCCCATGAAATCCTCAGTGCCTCAGGGGCCAAGTTAACAATCTGGTTTTTGTTAGGTTTCTGCTAGGTCCGTTTTCATCATGAAGTTGTAGAAAGTAAAGTCTCCACATTGTTATGAACCTTTAATCTTCTTGTCATCTGTATTTCAGGTCAAACAGCTGATAATGTGTGGAAGAGGCACTGCATCCCAAGATTACCATGAGCAAGGGATTTGGAATCCAATAGAAGAAGTTTGCGTCACTGAGATATCCAGGTGCAATCCTGTGGTCACACTTGACTCTTCCTTCCCTTCCTCTTTCCTCAGTCACAGGGTTCTGCTGGTCTTCATGAGGAATCACCTCCCATAGCCACGCCCACCACCAACCCCCACCCAGCCTATGTTGGGTGGTATCAGCAGCATCCTCACTGGCCCCTACCTCCCCTTACAAATGCATCAGTCATCTCTGCACTTGATCGCTGCATTATTTGGTTCTCATTATTTGCCTTCTAAAGCTTAACATTAGCCTTGAGGGGGGAAAAGAGGAAAGCCTTGGTGGAACTTGACCTGTATCGCTTCCCTGCCACAGCACCCTGCACCCCTTACTCTCGCCCTGCTCTGGTGCAGGGCCCAGCTCCCAGGCTGACGCCTCCTTGAGTCTAGTGGTGGGTAAAGCCGAGTGCCTGTCGGCTCATTGGATTTAAAGTGAGTTCTTCCAAGGCATTCCCTGATTCACTGTTGAGGACGGGGTCCTCCATCTCTCCCTCTCTTTCCTCACCACCCTCCTCCTCAGCTTAGAGCTTCCCTGTTTTTGGTGGAGATGGACATGTGGCATGAATAAGACAAATCCTCTTTGTCTTATGTTTTACATCTTGGACTTTGCCTCCTAAAATAATAACCTGACAACTTTTTTTTTAAATGGGTTCATCTGCTTTGGACATGACCCTGCTGGGGAAAATGACTCACGGAAGACAGCATTAATATTCTAATTTCCCAAATTATTTCTCTGCCTTGTCCCAGTGTGTGGTCCTTCTAGCTGCCATCCCTCCCAGAGGTGTTTGGGAAGCTTTCCACAGCAATCTTATAGTAAGGCAGCATTCGGCAGGAAACCAAGCAGGCCCACTTCAGGCTTGACCCTGGACCTGGCTGTCCCAGAGCACCCCACTAGACCATGAGGTCTGTGTGGGCCATCCTGTTCCATCGCCTATCCCTTCTTGTAACAGAGATAATGAAGCCATGAAATTTTGTTAAATGAATTAATGGACGATCCATCTTCACCCTGTACCACCCTACTTCCCACAGGAAGGCTCCTGCTAACTGCAAAGAGCCCTTAAGTACCCATGTGAATAATACAGGAGGTTTAGGAAACGTTTTCCTCTTAATATGGGAAAAGGGACTATTCTTAATGTAAGTTCCTTTGGACCAGAATGTGTCACTGGCCAAGAAAAAGAAAAAATGTGATCGTATAAGCAGGTATGAATATGTCAAGTCATTAATATCAGCCTCCATGCAGCAAATTGCTTGTCACGCTTCATTTATACTCATTTATGAAGAAACAGGAGTATTTGCAGAGAGAGGCCATAAATATATTTTACATCGCTCTCTGGAAGCTTTCATCTCCTGGCTTGGAAGAGTCTGACAGGGGTTCCCAGCCCAGGCGGACTGTGAAGGCAGAGCAGAGTCTGAGAGGAAGCGAGAGGGGCAGGGGAAGGAAAGAAAAGGGAAAAAAAGGATTGTCTACTAAGCAGGAGCTATAAAAATTTATGAGTCTGAAGCAGGCCTGGATTTATGCATTGAGACAATTTCGTTAAACTAAATGAAAGTTAATCTGTTGTAAATCTTCACAGTTCTCGGTGATTCTGCAGAAATTCATTTACAGTAATTGGGAATAAGAGGAAACATAATGAACTCACTGATCCTGATGTATCTGAGGTCACTGTGGACATGAGAAAATGCCCTGCCTGCATTTAGAAGGATACGTAGCCATGGAGGTACCTGTCACCTGTGTGTTCTGACCGCGAGGGGGACAGAGCCAGTGTGCTGGTCCCATCCCAACCCCCAAGTGCAGCATGACCTGCCTCGTGCTGCGTTTCCATGTCATCTGTACTCATGTGCCCAAGCCTTCAAAAGACCCACCAGGATGAGGTTGCCCGCCCTGCTTCTGGCCTGCACCATGAGCTCCCCTGCTGGATACTGGCTGATGGGCAGATGCCTTGCGTTGCAGCCACCTGCTGGGGTGACACAACTGATGCCTCTGGCAGTTGTTCCTGACTCCTCCCACTCCCAGAATCATCTCTGTCTGGCTCTGGACCCCAAAATCAGCCACTCAGACAAGTCTTTCAGATTCCACTGAATCTTGTTCAATCCTCTGTCATCGACTTATTAAGTGATCTATAGCCAGTGGATTCCAAACATGGAATCATTTTATTCACTTTTTCTGTAATCACTGCTTTCACCATGCTGCCCAACTTTCATCTCATCTTTAATGACATGCTATGTGAATTTTACACATCTCGGTCACTTCTGGTTTTTGAAAGTTAGCATTGTTTGAACCTCTCTTTTACCTTGGATGACAACTTTTCCCTTCGCCTCTTAATCCAGGCATCTGGCTCCAGGAAGGCAGAATGGGGAGGAGGGGGGATGGCTGGCTTTCTCACGCTTGCTCACCTCCTTCTGCTGGAGGCTAAGAGGGCTGTCAGGAGTCAGTCTGAGTCACCCCTGAGGATGGATGAGGAAATGCCAGGTCTCTCTCTGGCTTATCCAGCTGTATCCTTTGGCAGGCTCTGCTCTGTGCTGGACTGTAAGGATGACATGCCTGGTCTTCTTGGGTCTCTGCTCATCTATACCCTGGCTTTTTCCACTGCCGTGACCCTCTTTGGTCCCTGCTGGTGGTCCATGTCACACTCAGAGGGTAAAGGAACCCCTGGACTTCCTGAGATATAACTGGGTGATGAGAACACAGAATGTAGCCTGGGAAGGAGAGGTTTGCAGCTGTTAGACTCAGTAAAGTCTAACAACTAGAAACCTCCACTGTGCCAGAGGGACATATGTCGCTGCTTCTGTGTGGTTGAAGGAGGAACACAAGTTCATCTTTATCAAATTCCAGCAATAAGCTGCACTTCATATATGTTTTCTTATTCCATCCTTAACACCTCTGCAAAATAGATATCACACTTCTGGTGTCTATATGGGAATAAAAATAAGCAGAAATTTCATGGGCATGCATTGTATGATGTGCCATGGGAAAAGACTTTAGGGTTTAGGTGGAGAGCAAAGGAGTCCAGAGGGCACAGAATGGATGTTTTGGCAGTGCAAGGAGGCAGGGAGTGGCAGTGATTTGGGAAGAGAAGTAAAAACTGATTGCAGTGTACAGGAATGGAAAGTAGTTCTAATTCCCTAGAAAAACAAATGAGGGTTTGATGCCTGTGAGCATTGTGTTGTGAGCAAGCAGTTCCTTTCTGGGCCCTATTCCCTAAGCCTGTATATAAGCACAGAAACCCCTAAGAAACCTATATGGTGAGACTCCTCTAGTCTATCTCGAACCAAAGAAGCCTCTTGCAGGAAAGGGGAGTTTCTGGGATCATTAGGCCCTGCCTGAATTAATGTTAATTCAATACTCTGGTGTACCTTTGTGATTAGAACACCTGACCCATATATTGACTGGAACCAAAAGTTCTTAGAAGGGGGTGGATGGATATGCTAACCTGGACACATTTCTTAAAACTATATTAGGAAGTTTATTTTAATTTTTTCCACGCTTCATGTATTTAGGGAGGAAACTCAAGCCCAGACAGGTTAAAACTGTAGCCCAGTTTACAGTGCTCCTAAATGGAAAATTCAGAGCACTGGCTCAATTGTTTTCATTCCTCAGCACCTGGCAAGACCTTCCTTTCCCAAATAATGATTTGTTGACAGACTGGTGTTTGACATGCCATGCTACACATGAAAACATATTTTTTTTTTTTTGAGACAGAGTCTCGCTCTGTCGCCCAGGCTAGAGTGAGATGGAGTGATCTCGGCTCACTGCGACCTCTGCTTCCCAGTTTCAAGCGATTCTCCTGCCTCGGCCTCCTGAATAGCTGGGACTACAGGCTCCCGCTACCACTCCTGGCTAATTTTTTGTATTTCTAGTGGAGACAGGGTTTCACCATATTGGCCAGGATGGTCTCGAACTCCTGACCTTGTGATCCGCCTGCCTCGGCCTCTCAAAGTGCTGGGATTACAGGTGTGAGCCACCACGCCCAGGCTGAAAACATGAATTTTAAAGGACAAATTTTTTGTGGTACTTGTAGTTTTCACAATTTAAGTCTCATTAATCATTAGTTCTTCTTTTCAAACAAGCTTATCAGGTGGGAGTAAGTGCTGAGGCTGAGAAGGCAGTGAAGGCACAAAGATTCCTACGGGTGGATTCCAGAATTGTTCTGACAAGTCTCTGATACCATGTGGGTGTCCCACAATCCAATTCAGCTTTGACACCAACTACCCAGAGTTAGTGCAGACCCCACACATTAAAAACAAAGTCTCTCAGGTGACTATCCTCACTTCAGACAACAGTGGCAAGTGTGGATGTCCCAAACCATCCCTACCTTTTCCCCACCAGCTACAAATTCCAAAATACGATGTTTCCACCAAACTAAACAGACCACAATTCACCTCTGATGCTGACCACCCAAGATTAGTGTCAGATCCCACACCGGGTTTGGCCCTTGACGAGACAGACCTCAGTCAGATGTCAGCTGCAAGTCTTAGGACCATACACACTTCTGACTGACTGACTGTAAATCTAAGGGTTTCCATAACCCTCTCAGTTTTGATAATTTATTACACTGACTCCTAGAACTTCCTGAAAGTTCTATACTTATAATTCTAGTTTTATCTTAATGGACCTAGATCCAGAATAGCCAAATGAGGAGACGCAAAGGGCAAGATCTGGGGGTAGGGAATGGATCCTTCGTGCCCTCACCTCATGGAATCAGAGTGTGTCACTGTCTCAGCACATGAATCCATTCACCAACCAGGAAGATCCACTGAGCCTCTGTGTCCAGAAGTTTTTACTAGGGTTTCATCACATGGGAATGATTTATTAAATCACTGGCCATGTGATGGAACTCAACTTCCAGCCCTTGTCCCCTCTCTAAGGTCAGATGGCTGAAAGTTTCAGTGCTCTAATCACATGGCTGGTCTTTGTGATGACTAACTCTCATCCAGAAGTTATCTAGGGACCCATCAAGAGTCAGCTCACATGTGCCAGTCACTCAGGAAATTCCAAGGGTTTTTGAAGCTCTACGACAAGAACTGGAGATAAAGAGCAGATATATTCTTTATTATACCACACAATGAGATGGAGGAATAGCATCATTACAAGGAAGAAGGAACCCAGGAGGGGAGCCAGAGGTTCTCAACTTGGGGATACAATAATGAGTGAAAACAGATATGGTTCCTGCCTGAATCCAGTGGCTCTAGGGAATCAATATGGTGTAGTGTTTAAGAACACAGCTCTGGTCCTTCCTGCCTCTTACTTGCTGTGAGACTTCAAATAGCTTTGTAATCTCTCTGAGCTTGTTTTCCATATCTGTTTAAATATGGTGCTAGAAATAGGCCTACCCTCAAAGTCTTGTTGTGGAGATTTAATGAGATAATCCATGAAATGTGCTTAAAACAGTGTTTGGCATAAAGTAAGATTACTATAACCAGCATCACCTTTATTGTAGTGAAGAAGACAGACATGAAAAGTCTGTGAAATAATAATTACATAATTCTCTAAGCAATCAAGGAAAGTAAATAAGTTTTATTATAGTCATGTTTTTAAAACTGGGAGTCATAACTCATTGATGAGTCATAAAATCAATTTAGTAAGTAACGGAATTTCTGAAAGCTGAAATAAAATAAATAAAATACATAGTATCCCTAAAAAATTATTTCCATTGCATGTGTGTGAATGTGTTTGTGTCTATGCATGTGTGTGTGTGTGTGTGTGTGTGTGTGTGTTGTACTGAGTCACAATGGAAAATGTATTTCTTCACCTGGGCTGTAATTTCAGCTTACTAGACTGTGAGTTCTTTTATAGGACTGTAAGCTATTTGAAGGCAGGATAACATTATAATGATCTTTCAATTTCTAAAAGTCAAACAGGTCCATGTACAAAATACACATCAGTAAATGAGTGTTCATTAAAAGAGATTGATTGGTGGATACAGTTGGATTCTAGATGTCTTCACTGAATATGGGACATAAACAAATGTTTTTGAGATATACTGAAGTGGAGACAGAAAACAGGTAAGTTCTGGACCCTGTTCTCTAAGACTATATGTAAACAAAGAAAACCTCAGAAATGCTAGGCACAGTGGCTCAAACCTGTAATCCCAGCACTTTGGAAGGCCGAGGCTGGAGAATTGCTTCAGGCTAGGAGTTTAAGACAAGCCTGGACAACACAGTGAGACCCTGTCACTACAAAAAATAAAAAATAAATTATCTGAGCATGGGGGCTAGCACCTGTAGTCTCAACTACTCGAGAAGCTGAGGTGAGAGGATCGCTTGAACCTGGGAGTTCAAGGCTGCAGTGAGCTATGATTGTACCACTGCACTCCAGCCTGGGTGACAAAGTGAGACCCTGTCTCTAAAAACTAATAAAATAAAATAAAACCACTAGAATATAATCAAGAGAGTATTCTTTTGCTTATTCAAGAAATATTAAATAAGTATCTACTATGTAACTAGCACTATTCTAGGAGCAGAGGATAAAGTACTGAGCAAAGAACCTGTGCTAGTGGAAACTGAATTCTAACAAAGGAGATAGAAAATTAGCACCCAGATATATATATTCTGATAAAACACAGATAAATGCTCTGCGGAAAAGCAAAGCAGAAGGAGGAGAGAGTGCCTCAAGCTGCTTTCCTAGATGTGGAGATCAGAGAAGGACTTGGAAAAGCTGATGTCAGAGCACAGACCCAGATGTAGAGTTGAGCCATCAGCTGTCTTGGGAAAGAGCACTGCAAGAAAAGAAAATGCAAGAGCAGGTGTCTGAAGATGGGGTGTGTTTGATGCGTTTAAGGAAGAGCAAGAAGGTTGCAGTGGCTGAAGATGAGAGAGTGACGACATTGTGTGTGTGTGCATGTGTGTGCATGCATAATCAGGCAACCAAATGCTATTCATGATGAGCTAGGAAAAGAGGACAATGACACCTTGAAGATAAAAGAAATAGCATGCAATGGGCAACCATTATGTACCAATGACAATGGATTCCTTCATTTAACCCTCACAACAGCCACCATGACAATAACATTAGCTAATAATGTATCAGTTAATATCTTAATCACTTGTGTGTATGACCTCATTTATAAGAAACCTGTGAAGCTTTATAAAAGAGAAAAGAGGCTCAGAGATTTGAAATAATTTGCCCAAGTGATTTGGTCTAAGAACAAGCCAACTTGGATTTTGAATGATTGCCACATCGCCCCACATTCTGATTGCCCTCACACTGTCTCTTTATGGAGGGATATTTGAGATTGTGTCAGACTCAGGTAGATCTGGGAAGGCAGAACAAGCATGAGAAGGAAGGGACATTTCAGGTATATCAGCTTAGATTGAAGCCAGGTAAGAGGGTGGGGGCCCTGCAGGGCTGTAGAAGGAAGCACGACCCATGTGAGGGGTCTGCAGGCAATTCTGCTCCCGCGCTCCCTTTGCCAAGTGCCACCTGCCATCACAGTGGGAAAAGGGCAGCTACCTGAATTGTCATGGCCCAGTGGGGACTCACAAGCAATGAAGCTGCCCTCAAACAAAGCTGACAACGTTCTGGTGAGGAGAAGGGCTAAGGCTCAGGAAGGGATGTCCTTGAAGGATGCAGGATGCTGGACTGGAGCTGTTGCCATGGTGATAGTCCAAGAGTGCCAGTGTGCTGCCTTCCCTCCACTCTGCCCTTTCTGAACAGGTGCTGTGAGTGGGTGGCCTGGCAAGGATGCTTTCCATTATGCCCCAGACTGACTCCCAGATAACCTCCCATCAGTGTCAGCTCTAGACCCTGAAAGCCTGGTAGGAGACGAATTTTCTCACCTGCAGTGGATAGAAGGTGCAGGTGTGCCTGCAAATGCAGGGAAACACCACCCCATTAATCAAAGATGCCCCACATCCACTGACATATAAAAGGACCTACAAGACAAAGAGAGGAGCAGTGGGCATGCCAGAAACCTGTGCGTCTCATAAGTGATAGGGACAAGAGGCAGAAAAATTCTAGGCAGAAAAAGGCAGGGTTCCTAGTGAAGCCCCACCCTCAGACCTAAAGCCAGAGCCCAAAGTGAGAACTTTACATCCTCATTTTCCCACTGGAATGTTGCCTTTTCCAAAATCACCCTAGCCTGCCCACCTCCCATCCTGTACCCATAAAAACCCCAGGCCCAAACTGACAAAGGCATGGCAGAGAAGGAGAGAAGAGAAGAAGCAGCCAGACATCGGAAAGAAACATTTTGACTTCAGAGGGACAGCTTGACGGCGGGACCTCAGAGAAGAGTTCAGCTGGGGACCACCAAACTCCAGGGGAAGACCACCTTCCCACTCCATCCCCTTTCCAGCTCTTCATCCCACTGACAGCCACTTTTATTGGCAATAAAATCCCCCACATTTACCATCTTCAATACGTTCATGTCACCTGATTCTTCCTGGATGCCAAACAAGAGCTCAGGATACAGAGGGCTGTCACACTGAGCCCTTAAACACTCAAGCCATCCACAGGCAGGAAAACTAAAAGAGCACACTGCAACACATGCCCTCTGGGACTCTGGGGGTTGCGGGTACTCCCTACCTGCTGCCCCAAGGCCACACAGAGTTCAGCTCCTGCTAGCGCCCAGAAGCACTCATCCCAGCCCCTGCACCCACTCACCTGTGTGCTCCTCCTCCCATGAGGGGTTGAGAGCTGCAGGCTGAGTAAGTCCTGTGAAGGAGTCAAGAAAAATTTCCTGTTTCATAATCAACGTCCTGCATAAAATGTATAGCTTAATGCACAGTGCAGAATTTAACCTTGCTTAAAAGGAGGCCTGACCTTTGCCCTTGGCTACTGGGAACTGATCTCTAGGCTCCTGGAATGTCATACCTGATGGAGTGACTTGGCCTGGGGGTCTTGAGTTCCCCTGGATAGCTAACAGTGTGATTTAGAATGGGGGCTGTCCACATTGGATACTAACAAAGTGACCTGGGGTGGGGGCTTTTGGTCACACAATATCAGTCAGCTAAAGGAGGGCTGAAAACTGAGGTCAATCATGTGGACAACTAATCAGTCACACCTACGTGATGGAGCTCTACTACAGACTCTGCACACCAAGGCTCAGGTGAGCTTCCCTGGTTGGCAGTACTCAGTGTGAATGGTCACACATGAATGCAAGGAGGGAAACATTGCCCTCACTCCACAAAGGGAGGACGACTAGAAACTCTGCACTTCATCCCCTCCTGGACTCTCCTCTAGATATCTCTTCCCTTGGTCAACTTTTATCTGTATCTTTTCCCTGTAACAAACTGTAACTGCAAGTACCACTGCTTTCATGAGTTTTGTGAGTGCTTTTAGTGAATTATCAAAAACAGAGGGTAGCTTGGGTGCCCTCCCAAAATTTCAATTGTTGTCAGATGTAAGGGTGGTCTTGTGTGAGCTGATCCCTGGCTTTCACACTCACCAACTGGTAGATGATGCCTGGGGTCCATTCTCCCACTGGTCTTGGCTGGCTATGACATCCCAGGTCTCTGGGTGTCAGCATGTGCATTTCAGCATGTGCGTCTCTAAATTTGACATGATATGTACGAAATATGGCTGCTGTGAGGATTAAATCATGTGCTAACACAGGAGTGACCTGCAGAATAAACCATAACAATCCAGAAATTATCTACCACTCTTCCTCACTCCCTCTGGTCTTACCAAACAAGCCAAACTCACTCCTAACCTCTGGACTTTTACTTTGCTTCCCCCTGTCCTGGGAAGGAGTGCCCAGCACCTCCCATCACATAGGTCTCAGCTCACATGTCCTTTCCTTCAGGGGGTCTTCCTTGGCTCTCTCCAACTTAGCTCTCACCCCGGGCAGCTCCAACCACTTCTCTCTGTCTTACTTTCTTCATAGCCATTGTCACCAGCTGAAGTTCTCTTGATCATGTCTTGATTCATGGGTTTAATGTCCATCTTTCTCTACAGAATTAAGCTCCAGAAAAGTAGTTCCAGATAGGTCTTGTTCATAGCTGAATTTATGGAGCCTACAGCTATACTTGGCCCATAGTAGAAGGAGGATTTGTTGAGTTAATGAATCTCTTTCTTAATTCAAGTGAAAATCAAAGACCAGCCAACACAGAGAAAGAGACCGGTGGACAGCACACAGCTCCATTGACACAGATACCAGCATGAGAATATTTCAACTAAACCCTTTCCCCACCTTGTCCAAGTTTCCTCACCTTTTAAACAGATGTGAATTTGGTTTTAATAAAGTGAATTGAATGTGAAATTTTTCCAGGTGAAGTCAAAGCTTTGAACTCATGTTGGGTTCCATTTTTGTGAAGCCAATAGTTATTGTTGATGGTAGTAGTTATGTTTGGTTTTTCTGTTGTTTTCTTTGCTTTTTTGGAAAGCGAGGAGAAATATTTTTGGTGCTTCATTTTTGTTTTTTAGCTTGTGGTTTTGTAATGAAATAAAAAAGAAATGGCACAGTCAGAAGAGAGAAGTGTCAAAGAAAACCTCAGCATATGTGTGGATGAAGGAGGCAAATGAAAAGGAAATGTTAATTATGTGTCTGTGACATGCCTGGATTATAGGGCAGCATGTCTTCCATGAAGCCCCTCTCAGATCTCTTCCTAGTGTGGCTGCTGAGAGGATTGCGGGAGGAAGCATGAATAAATCCCTGGCACGTGGTGGGCTCCACAAATGCCAGACCACCCTAGATCTGGTCCTGGCAAATAACTCCAGAATTCAAATTCTAAGGCTTTCCTTGATTGGGCAGGATTTTTGCACCTGTAATGTTTCACAGAGTGGAGAGTAATGCATTTGATAATGGCAAGGTGTCCCCTGAAGGGGGATAAATTGTGCAAATTGGCTTCTCTAAAGAGTAGGCCCCTTGATGCTGCCCTTCAGGCTGACAGAGACACAGGCACTGCCACCTTTACCCTGAGGGGTGTCATGAACAAGGCAGACACAACTTTGGAGATGTGTGCACATGAAACACACATATCTCTGTATGTGTATGTGTATGTGTGTGTGTGTAGTCTCTCTCTCTCGCTATGTGTAATAAACTGACTTTATATTAATGCTGTCAGTATTTTATATATTATATTAATATATATTGTCAGTTTATTTTGATAAAGGAAAAGAAAGTGAGAGAGAACTCCAAATCCAAACACAACCAGGAATAGAAATCCAGAGTGAACACAGACAACATGAATGGCTTTTGGGTGTGCCCTTTTCATCCCTTTGTAGTCATTGTGGTTACCTCCCAAATGTAGCTCTCCTCTCTTTAAAATCGCCCTATTTAGATGCACGTCCACATCTCTCCCTGTGTTTTCTTCAAAATAATCTTCACTCAGCTCTAAGGCAGAGCACATCATTTGTTAGCAGATCTCATAGGATGTGTGTGTAGGTGTGTATATAGAAAGAGATTTATTATAAGGAATTGGCTCACATGATTACAGAGGCTGATAAATCCCAAGATCTGCAGTCAGCAAGCTGGAAATTCAGAAAAGCTGATGGTGTAAATTTCAGTCCAAAATCCAGCAGGCTCCAGACTCAAGAAGAATCAATGTTTCTGTTAAAGTCCGAAGGCAAGAAGAGACAGATCTCCCAGCAGTCAGAAAGGAGGAGTTTCCTCTTACTCATGAAAGGGTTGGCATTTTTGTTCCATTCAGGACTTCAACAGATTGAGTACGGCCCATACACATAAGGAAGAGCAACTCACTTCACTCAGTTTACCAGTCCAAATGTTAAACTTATCTAGAAACGCCTGCACAGACATGCCCAGAATAATGTTTGACCCAATGTCTAGGCACTCTGTGGTCCAGTCAAGTTGACTCATAACATGAACCCTCACAAGTCCACATCCACATACATCTCCTTAAACCATACTTAACTGTAAAATAAAGACAATAACAAGGCCATGACTCTGCTGCACATGATACAACTATCCTTTGTACAATATAAATGGTACTAACTCCTCCAGAAGAGAAGGTAAAGTCCTTCAGTGCTGTTAACTCTCCTCCTTGATATCCATTGTTTAAATACCATGATATAAAATTAGCACTATTTAATACTATGATATAAAGTAAATAGATCTCACATTACATGATAAGAGGAGAGGAGAAACAAAGTTATTTTTATATGTACATGTTTAAAGACACACAACACATGGTGATTCATCAAAGATCTAGAAAGAGAAACACCATTTGACTCAGCAATTTCATTACCGGGTATATACCCAAAGGAATATAAATCATTCTGTGATAAAGATACATACACACATGTGTTCATTGCCACACTATTCACAACAGCAAAGACATGAAATCAACCCAAATGCCCACCAATGATAGACTGGATAAAGAAAAGGTGGTACATATACACCATGGAATACTATGCAGCCATAAAAAGAATGAGATCATGTCTTTTGTGGGAACATGGATGGAGATGGAGGCTATTACCCTTAGCAAACTAACACACGAACAGAAAACCAAATACCACATGTTCTCACTTATAAGTGGGAGCTGATGTTGAGAACACATGGACACATGGGGGAACAACACATCCTGGGTCCTGTTTGAGGGGGTGGGGAGAAGGAGAGCATGAGGAAGACCAGCTAATGAATGCTGGGCTTAATACCTAGGTGATGGGATGATCCCTGCAGAAAACTACCATGGCACACCTATGTTACCTATGTAACAAACCTGCACATCCTGCACATGTACCCCTGAGTTTGAAATAAAAGTTGAAGAAAAAATATTTAAAAATAAACACACACACATGTTCATAACAAAATAAGGAGAAAATACCCATGCCAATTTCAGTCCTCATTTCTCTAATTGATCATATAGTTGTAGCTGGTGTTAAAATTTCAATAACACTTGTAAATCATGACATGAACAATTTTATTCAAGGCCATTGTAGTAGATATAGGGACAACTATAATGGGATTTTGCAATAGAGGACAGAAATTGGGCTCAACCCTGAATACAGCATGGACAAGTGGGAATTTATAGCCAAAAATCAGGGTGGCAGTCAGTGGTTAGAAAATTACTAATAGAAAACTTCAGCGTAAGAGGGATTCTGGCTAAATAGACCTAACAGAATTCTTGCTTAAGACAGGCCAGGGTAATCTGACATCACCCAGGGGATAGTGGAGGATGAGGAATCTGATCAGGTATCAAGAGTGATCAGAAACTATGATCGTGCCACTGCACTCCAGTCTGGATGACAGAATAAGACCCCATCTGGACCAAAAAAAGAAAAGTGAGTGATCAGATATTGAGGATGATGGGGGTGATTCTTACTAAACTGACTTAGCAGGGTTCTTTGCTAAAACTGGACTTTACGAGGAAGCACACAAATGAACCTAGGAGAAGGTTCAGGGACTTGAATAAAAATGGGATCAAGCCAAGAATCTCTGTCACTGGTATTCACGATTTACCTTCTTCCATTACTAATTCTGCATTTGCTTTGCTATTAGCAAGCAGTTCAGCTGGTCATAGTTCTTAATCTGGTGGGATGTCTTAGTCAGTTTGGGCTGCTGTCACAGAATGCCACAGACTGGATGACTTAAACAATGAAAAAAATGTATTTCTAACCATTCTGGAGGCTGGAAGTTCAAGATCAAGGATCTAGAGGATCAGGTGAAGGCCCTCTTCCTGGTTTGCAGTCTATGTTCTCACTGTGACCCAAGTGGTGGAGAGCAGGCAGAGACGGCTAACACGCATGTGTCTTCTTAGAAGTGCACTCAACTTATTCATGAGGGCTCTGCTTTTATGACCTAATTACTTCTCAAAGGTCTCACCCCCTAGTATCATCACATTAGGGGTTAGGCTTTTGCCATATAAATTTTGAGGGGACACAAGCATTCAATCCATAACAAGAAGTAACCCAAACCTTTGTTCCTGAAGGATCTGGACCATTCATAGTCCTGTCTGGACTGGGTTATTTTAGTTTCTTATTGACTTTTATCATAGAATGTGGTAACAATAAGACACACCCTAAGGGGTCTCCTGTATTCCAGCACTTACCTTTACCTCCACTGTGGAGTAGTAGTTCAATATCTCCTTAGTAGTCAGCGTCTATCACCCTGACCAGCACACTAACTCTCTTCTTCGTCTGTTAACTAAGTGGCATAAGGAGTCCAAAGTGGCTGGGTAGCAGTCTTAACTTCCAGTTCAATGGAATAACTCTCTTGGTGGAAGCATTCCTACCTCTGGAACTAAGACCTCTAGGCCAGCAGAGCATAATAGGAAGGAAAAATTCTGCTGTAGGTCACTAGGGGTAATAGTGAGTGGTGCCACTCCTATTTCTATCCTTTAATTCCTAGACCCATAAATCTTGGCCATGAGAGAAACAGTATCATATATTGAATGTATATTGAATACTTATTCAGAGTATTCACATCCTTATGGAAAACCCTGCCCAAGCCTTACAAGATAACGTCGCCTAGCTGGCACTGTAACTGGGTCTTAAAAAGGCCATTCTACCTTTATATAAAACTAGCTGCAGGTGTGAAATATGGTAAGATCAGTGAATTCCATGGACATGGGTCCATTGCCACACTCTTTTTCTGTAAAGTGAGTTCTGTAATTAGAAACCATGCTGTGTGGAATACCATGACTATGGACCATTCAGGTAGCTGGCTGATCACCAGGGAATGGGACCACATTGGAGGCTTAGTGTTGGTCTTTGCTGCTGGCAGATTGGGCACTCAGGATAAAGCATTCTGTAAATACATGAATGATAGTTTTGGCAGAAGCATTGTGTGTAAGGAAGGAAAATCTATATCCAAAGTAAATGTCTATTCCACTAAGAACAAAGCACTGCCCTTTCTGTGATGGAAGTTGTTTTAGTCCATTTGTACTGCTATAAAAGAATACCCAAGGCTAGGTAATTTATAAAGAAAAGGGGTTTATTTGGCTCGCAGTTCTGCAGATTGTACAAGAAGCATGGTGCCAGCATCTACTTCTGGTGAGGAGCTCAGAAGGTTTCTACTCATGGCAGAAGGCAAAGAGAAGCTCTGTGTGCAGGTCACATGAAGAGAGGGGAATCAAGAAATAAAGGGAGGAGGTGCCAGTCTCTTTTTAACAATTAGCTTTTGCAGGAACTAATAGAGTGAAAAATCACTCATTTAGGATGGCACCAAGCCATTTATGAGGGATCTGCCCTAATGACCCAAACACATTAAATTTCAACATGAGATTTGGAGAGGCCAACCAAACCAAACTACAGCATTCCACCTTTGGCTCCCCAAATCTCTTGTCCTTCTCACATGGAAAATACAATCATCCCTTTCCAGTAGTCCCCAAAAGTCTTACCTTGTTCCAGCATCAATTCACAAATACAAAATTGAAAGTCTTATCTGGGACTCAAAGCAAGTTTTTTCCAGCTATAAGCCTGTAAATCAAAAATAAGTTACGTACTTCCAAGTTGCAATTGTTGTACAAGCATTTGGTAAACATTTCTATTCCAAAAGTGTGAAATCGACGAAAAGAAAGGGGTAATAGGCCCCATGCAAGTCTGAAATCAGCAGAGCAAGCATTAAACCTTAATGTTTCAAAAAAATTCTTGACTTCATGTTCTCATCCTAGGCACACTGGTGTGAAAAGTGGGCTCTCAAGGCACTGAGCAGCCTCATCCCCATGGTTTTGCTAAGCATGGCCCACATGGCTGTTCTCATGGTTTGAAGTCTAGTGCCTACAGCTTTTTCAGTCGGTGGTTGCATATGGCTGATGGCTCCACAATTCTGGGGTTAGGAGGGCAGCAGCCCTGCTCTCACAGCTCCACTGGGCACTGCCCTAGTATAAGTTTTCTGTAGTGGCTCCAACCCTGCAGAGGCTTCTGCCTGGGAATCCAAGCTTTCCAACACATTTTCTTAAATCTAGGTGGAAGCTGCTGAGCCTCCCCATCTCTTTCATTCTGGGTTCCTGCAGACTTGGCACCACATGGCAGCTGCCAAGGCTTAATGCTGTGCTCTCTGGAGCAGCAACCCAAGCAGTACCTGAGGCCCTTTGAACCATCTTAAACCAGAGTGGCCAGGGTGTGAGCAGCAGCCTCCTGAGGTGGGCATAGGGAAGAAGTGCTCCATGTGGGTTCCCAAAACCATTGCATTCTCCTCAGCCTCTGGGCCTGTGATGAGAGCAATAGTTTTGAAAATTTCTGAATTGCCTTCAGGGCCATTTTCCCATTGTCTTGACTATTAGCACCTGTCTCCCTTTAATCCCTGCTAACTTCTCCAGCAAGTAAGTGTTTCCCAGCACCCTTGGATTACTGAAAATGATCTTTCCTTTTCTAGCACATGGCCAGGCTGTGAATTTTCCAAATTTTTACACTCTGCCTCCCTTTTACTTGTTAATTCCAGCTTTAGGTCATTCTTTTGCTGCCATATCTGGTTGTAAACTGTTAAAAGCAGCTATGATGCTAAGAAATTTCTTTTGCCAGATACCTGAGGTCTTCAGTCTTAAGTTTACCCTAGCACAAAGCCCTGAGGCATAAATACAATGCAGCCAACTTCTTTATTACACCATAGCAAGAGTGATCTTTCCTCATTTCCATCTGAGACCTGGTCAGCATGGCCTTAACTGTGTATATTTTTGTCAATATTTTGGTTACAACCGCTAAACCACCCTCTAAAAAGTTCCAAACTTTCTTTCATCTTCCTGTCTTCTTCTGAGCCCTCCAAACTCTTCCAACTTCTGTGCCTTAGCCAGTTCCAAAGCTGCTTCCACATTTCCAGGTATGTGTATAGCAACACCCCACTCCTCAGTGCCAATTTTCTGTCTTAGCGCATTTGTGTTGTTATAAAATAGTACCGGAGGCTAGGTAATATATAAAGAAAATAGATTTATTTGACTAGTCATTCTGTAGTCTTTATAAAAAGCATGGCACCAGCATTAGCTTCTGGTGAGGACCTCAGTCCGCTTCCACTTACAGTAGAAGGCAAAATGGAGCTGGTATGTGTAAAGATCATATGGTGAGAGAGGAAGCAACAGAGACTGGGGAGGTGCCAGGCTCTTTTTAACAACCAGCTCTCCCGGAAACTAACATAGCGAGAACTCACTCACTACCACGAGGATGGCATGAAGCCATTCATGAGGGATTCACCCCCGTGACTCAAGCACCTTCCATTAAGCCCCGTCTCCAACACGGGGGATCAAATTTCAACGTGAGGTTTGGAGGGGTCAAACAACCCAAATCATAGCAGAAGCAGACCAAAGTAATCAACCTGTCTCCAGGTGCTGGCTGATTACCAGGGAATGGGGCCACATTGGAGGCTTAGTATTGGTCTTTGCGCTGGCAGATGGCACACTCAGCAATGTCCACAGCCAGTTCAGCCATGGTGAGTGGAAGTCCATATTGCTGAGCTCATGCATAACCTCCATCCCTGCCACCGTGGCCACTTGGTTCATGAACCCATTAGGCAATGATGGCCAATGGAACTGGAAAAAAAATGCTACCTAGTGGGTTCTGAGGAAAATAGCTCCTCTTTCTTGAGAGAGTTTTCAGAGGAGGACTTTTCCTTTCTTGATGTGGACCTGGAAACCTGCAGGTCTAGGAGCTTGCAACCACAAGGGGGAGCCAGGTACAGGCAAAGCAGAAAGACACCTAGCCCTCCTCACTTTACTGAGCTGCTGAATGTCCAACCCTGGGCCTAGAACTCCATGGGCACTTCGTATGAACCAATTACCACTTAAGCTAGCTGAGTTGGTTTGCAAACATACTAGCATCCTACTTAACGCAACTGCACGTGTCCTGTCCTCACCAAACTATTAGCTCTACATCATTTGTTCATTTATTTATCCATGCATTCATTCAACAAATAGATGACCTACTTTGCATCAGCTACTTAGTAAGCACTTGGAGTAGAGTCCTCAGTATTACATGGAATACATGAGCCTTCTCTTTATGCTCGGAATGTAGAAATAAGTACAAAGAATTTTTATTAAAATAAAAAAGGATGGGCTGTGCGTGGTGGTTCATGCCTGTAATCCAAACACTTTGGGAAGTTGAGGTGGGTGGTTTGCTAGAGCCCAGGAGTTCGAGATCATGCCCGGCAACATGGCAAAACCTCATCTTTACAAAAAAAATACAAAAATTAGCCAGGCATGGTGGTACACACTTGTAACTCCAGCTACTCATGAAGCTGAAGTGGGAGGATTGCTTGGGCCTGGGGAGGTCGAAGCTGCAGTGAGCCATGATCACAACACTGCACTCCAGCCTGGGCAACAGGCTGTCTCAAATTTTTTTAAATAAGTAAATAAATAAGGATGTGGAATAGTAAGACAGGTGCCATTATTAAGGTGGTATAAGATACAGAATGAAACAAGGAGAGCATTAATCAACTCTACCTTAACTGGAGAAAAGAATAGTCTTATTTTTTCCATCAACTTTTATTTTCAGTTCCAGAGTACATGTACAGGATGTGAAGGTTTGTTATATAGGTAAATGTGTGCCATGGTGATTTGTTGCAGAGATCAACCCATCGCCTAGCTATTAAGCCCAGCATCCATTAGTTATTATTCCTGATGCTCTCCCTCCCCCATCTCCCACAATAGGCCCTAAGGTGTGTTGTCCCCACCATGTGTCCATGTGTTGTCATTGTACAGCTCCTCCTTATATGTGAGAATACGCAGTGTTTGGTTTTCTGTTCCTGCATTAATTTGCTGAGGATAATAGCCTCCATCCGTGTCCCTGCAAAGGACATGATCTCATTTCTTTTTATGGCTGCATAGTATTCCATGGTGTATATGTACCATATTTTCTTTATCCAATCTATCACTGATGGGCATTTGGGTTGATCCCATGTCTTTGCTATTGTCAATGGTGCTGCAATGGACATAAGTGTGCATGTATCTTTATAATGAATGATTTCTATTCCTTTGGGTATATACCCGGTAATGGGATTGCTGGGTCAAATGGTATTTCCACTTCTACATCTTTGAGGAATCGCCACACTGTCTTCCACAATGGTTGAACTAATTTACATTCCTACCAACAGTGTAAAAGTGTTCCTTTTTCTTTGCAACATCACCAGCATCCGTTGCTTCTCTACTTTTTAATAATCACCATTCTGACTGCTGTGAGGCGATATCTCATTGTGATTTTGATATGCATTTCTCTAATGATCAGTGATGGTGAACTTTTTTTCACATGTTTGTTGACTGCATGAGTAGCTTCTTTTGAGAAGTGTCTGTTTATGTCCTTTGCCCCACTTTTTAAATAGGGTTGTTTGTTTTTTTCTTGTAAATTTGTTTAAGTTCAAGAAAGAAATTGCCTTAAAAGCCTCCACAGAAAATATCTTTTACAACAAGGAGACATTCTTTTCAGGCAGAAAGGTGGTCAAGGATACCTCAGGCAGAAAAATAAGCATGTTCAAGACTCAGAGGTATGAAATAGCAGGAAACAGCGCAAGGGATTAGATTAGTATGATTAGAATGTGTGGATATGAAAAAAAGCAACGTTGGGAGACAAAGCTGAATAACTAAGGAGGTAAGGATATGGAGGGCTTTGCATGCCACCATTAGGGAGACCCTGCAGGGTTTTAAGCAGTAATTTTCCATTTGGAAGCTGCTCACAGAGTCACCTTACCCCCAGAAAGCCTTCTATAATATTTTTCAATGAGCCCTGAAACGTACTCTATCAAATTTGGTAGCCTGCAATTCTCTGGCATAATACCAGAGTCCAACACCCAGAAAGGTCCAGATCTGGTGTACTGGTGACTCAGTTCGCTCTCTGGAGTAAGTAGGTAGTGTATTAAGCCTGGTCAATCAAAATTGAGGATCCTTGGTGACTTCAAATTTATCCAATGGCATTTGCCCTTGAAATAAATTAAGGAGACTGCTTTGATTTACTATCATAGTGAGGGTTCTTTGTGATGTAATTACAAGGAAACATGGGCAAGAAGGAAGTATTTGTTTTATTTGATGTGTTAAGTTTTACATTCACTTTATATGAACATAGCATCACCCTCCCTAGAGTTTGGCATTTGGATAACTTGTTAAATAATTAAAAGATTTTTGTTATTTCCTTTGACAGCTTCTTGATTATTTTTCTCAGGCCTGGAGGAAAGGTTAGCAAGCACCATAAAAATGTGTGCGCCCTCCATTGCAGCCAGACTGGTCTGCAAAATGCTCCCTGGATCCTCAACTTCCATTCCTGTTCCAGTGCCTTTGCTTAAGCTGTTCCCCCAAGAGTAATGCTCTTTTATCTGTATGTCCCTATGCTTTTGTTTATCAAAGTTCAAGTCCTCTTTCATGAGATCAGGTTGGAAAAAAGCCCTGGGATGGCAGTGGGAAGACCTAGTTGTGAGAAGTTTGCAGAGTCTGCACCTGAAGATAGCTGAGCCTCAGTTTCTTTAATTGTAAAATGTGCTATTACAATAGTGCAATTCAAGACACAAGTGTTGAGAAATTAATAGAGATAATTAAGATAGTGTCACTTTTGTGAGAAATTTACAGACTGAATGGGGAAAGACATACAGACTCTCACACACACGTAAGTAATTATAGCAGGTAAATATTATTGCACAATATGGGAAATTATGTCAGTAATTTCCAAAACTGCACCAAACTAATACTCTATAATTTTTTGCTCTCATAGTTTATTCAGCATTTTATACTTAATTCGTCATACTGTTTATATGAGTTTAACTTCCTTTTCAAACTCAATTAAAGTATAAATACGTATTTAAAGAAACATTTGCAATATGCTTTAGAGTTGACAGAGATGTCATTGGTAATAGCTAATTAAGTTATCACATTAAATCAGTGACTAAGTTATTGTTCTTCTTTTACAGAATAAGGAACTCTGAGGTGAGAGCACCTGTCCAATATCAGAGAGGTAAGTTGCGGAGCCACAGTGTAAGCCTTACTAGTTTTCTTTCTGTGCCACGATGCTTGGTCTGCATGCCCTTAAGTCAGGGTTCAGATGTTAAGCCACTGTCCTTTTCCCTACCTATCCTACACCCAAATCAACTCTCTGCTCTATACTACTTTAATCCTAAAATATCCTTCTTCTTCCAACTTGCTTGTCTCTTTAGAACAGACACCCCTCTCTCTCTGCCTATAATCCTCATCACACACTGAACTACTCACCTCATCCCTCCCATCCACATCCAGACTTTTCTCCCTTGACTCTTTCTTCTCAGTGGCTCTCCCCCTCTGCTCACTGAAAAATGTTAAAATGCCGATTCATTCAAAGCCAACATTATGAAGTGGCTGCTCTATACCAAGCCTTGAGTTGGACGTAGGGGTTACAATGATGAATGAGGCCAGTCATGGTGGCCTTTAATCCCAGCACTTTAGGAAGCCAAGGTAGGCAGATCACTTGAGCCTAGAGTTCAAAACTAGCTTGGCCAACATGGCCAAATCCCATCTCTACAAAAAAAATTTACAAAATACTAAAATTACTCGGGCATGATGGCATGTGCCTGCAGCCCCAGCTCTTCAGGATGCTGAGATGTGAGAATCACTTGAGCCCAGGAGCTCAAGACTGCAGTGAGCCATGATACACCACTGCACTCCAGTCTTGGTGACAGAGTAAGACCTTGTCTAAAAAAATAAAAGACGAATAAGACATAGGCTTTCTCCTCAGTGAGGTCATAATCTAGCCTTGGGAGTCAGACAAGGCCATAAAACTACTTCTCTGCAAGAAATTCTTGCTCTTACTAAATTTTGGGTGGAGATCAAGAGAAGATTGTGATTTTAAAAATGTGGAACCATGAAAATCCTGGCCAAATACCCAACCACACATTTAAAATTGATCAACTTGCCACTCCCCATAAATGTTTCAGTGATAATTTATCCCCAAACCCAACTGCAAGGTATTCTCTGTACCCTAAGTTGCCTTCCCTACAATAATCAGCCTTTTCTTCAAATATCTTCGGCTAGAAATTCCATCTCATTCCTAAAAGTATTCTGCCTCCCTTCTTTTTTTTTTTTTTTTTCTTTTGACAGAGTCTTGCACTGTCTCCCAGGCTGCAGTGCAATGGCGCAATCTCGGCTCACTGCAACCTTCATCTCCCAGGTTCAAGCAATTCTCCTGCCTCGGCCTAGTGAGTAGCTGGGATTACAGGCACCTGCCACCATGCCTGGCTAGTTTTTGGTATTTTTAGTAAAGACAGGATTTCACTATGTTGGCCAGGCTGGTCTCAAACCCTTGACCTTGTGATCTGCCCTCATCAGCCTCCCAAAGTGCTGGGAGCCACCACAGACGTGAGCCACCACGACCGGCCTTTGCCTCCCTTTCAAGGCGATGTCTTCTCCTTATACCATCTACATTTTGCAAAGTGGGCAGGGTTTGTCCCACGTTCCCTGACATTCTTCTGGTTAGTCCCATGTGCTTTTGAAGAGGAAGGGCTCGATGCCCTAAACCAGAAAGAATACAGTGCTCCATTTCTAATTTAGTGTCTTGTCATCATAGCCCACCCCATCAAAGAAAAATTTTAGATGGGTTTGTTTCCTTTATAGTGTAATTTGTGATGTAACAACATCAAAGTACACACGGCAATTGTCCTTACAGACACCAGAATATAATCCCATTTGGGAAAAAGAATAATTCTCTTATGAGTAGTACTGGCCTGTCCTTTGAAGAATAGTAAGCCCACCACCATTGTGATTTGATGCATTGAGTGGTTGGGCAGGTGTCCAACCAAAGTACTCATGGGCACAAGCTCAGATACCCCAGTACCAACTATTTTAATTAGAGGTTTTTTTCTGACCAAAGAAGACTAGTGAACAGTCAACCAACCAATTCACCCTACATACAAAAATTACAGTTATTCTAAGGGCTGAAAGTAAAAACACTGGGTACTACAAAAGCATATAATGGGTGGGAGGGCTGAACTAGTCTAGAGAACAGAAAGGAGATGTAAAAAAGGTTTTAAGCTGAAAACTATCAAAGATCAGGAATTAGCCTAGAAAAGGGAAAGGGGCTTTCAGAGGGCAAGCATTGTCAAAGGCTCTGGGGCAGGAAAGAACTGGGCACATTCAAGGAACTCATGGATGAAGAACTGGTGGGACTGGAGCAGGGTGAGCCATAGGGCAGTGATGAGCTCAGAGGCTGAGGCATTTGGCAGAAGCCACATCAGTGTAGGGCCTTAGAAGCCAAGCCATGTCAGATTTTGGCCTTGATCTTAAATAAATAAAAAGTGATTTAAGGATTTGGGTAAGGAGGTAAGGAGGAAATCGATTTATTTTCTAAAAAGACAGTGTCAGGGAGGAAAGCCTACTCCATCCTCCTAGGGTTCCTGATTAGGTCTAAAAATAAAACCGGCAAAGACAGATGGATAGGAGAAAGCACACAAATTTATTGAATAAAAGTTTTACATGACATGGGAGCCTTCAGAAATGAAGATCCAAAGACTCAGGAACAACTGTCTATTTTTGTGCTTAGGTTTGATGGAGAACAGACGGCCATGTAGAAATGTGGTTGGACCAAAGGGTATGATCTAATGGTGAGAGACTGAAGCGGGGAAAACCTAGCTAGACCTGTCTTTCAGATTCTTCTTGGCCTCTCTGTGTGGCATTCCTTTCCCCTGGGTGTAGGGCAGGACCTCTGGAATGAGGGTCTTATGATCTACTTTCAAACAAAGTAGGTCAGAGAATTTCTTTATAGCCAGCTCCTACACAGAAAGGCAGAGGAAGGTCAGAGTAGTATTTCTAGGTTTTATGGCTTGCTTTAGGGAAGGAGAATTCTAGTTTCTAGGTCTGCCTTGGGGGAGAAACAGGAACAAGAGAAAGGAGGGTGGGAGAAGGTTGAAAGACCTTGCTTCTAAGGCCCTTTCAATCTACTTCCGTTGAAAGCACTCAGCATGCCAAGGTGCCATAGTTTGGGGTATCATGTTCTGACCCCAGCAACGGCTCAGACTACTGCACAGGAAACAGGTACAGAGAGGGAAGTGGATTGCAGGGGTTTCAGTTGGAAAGACGTGACAGTGGTTAAGGAGAGGAAAAGGGGGGCCTGGACTCTTCCCTGAAAGGGCTGTGAATTGGGTGTAGCTCAATGTCACTTACAGAAAGAGCCCTCATGGTAGCATTCTGTGTGACGTCAAGCCCCGCATCCTGTAGACCAGTGAGTGGGTCCACAGGAAGTCCCTGAGGTGTTCTGAGAGCAATACATTTACAAAACCTTGGGGCAAAGCCAGAAGGACAGTCGGGGGCTATAGGAATGGATAAGACTTGTGGACATGCTTAGGCACAAGAGCTTTTTAGAGGATTAAATGAGAAGAAGCATATTAACTCTTTTGTCTAAGACACAGAATATTTTTAAAAGCTCTTCAAATACTGGCTAGCATTGCTTGATTCCACCCCCTGTTCTATGACCTGCATCGTGGCTCTCAGCTCCATGAAAGGAAAGGTGAGCCTCGTATGTAGCTTTTTCTCCAGCATTAAGCACAGTTTCTGGTATACATACATCAGGTTATCTGTGAGTCCTTGTTGATTAAGTTAAAGTAGTAGATTAAAAACTTTCCCAAGATAGGAATTCTGGCTTCAGAACCTCCTGTTTCCCTTATGACACACTAAGGTGCCCGGAAAAATCAAATCCAACAAATGTTTAAGATTGATCCTAGAATTTCTAAAGAATGGGTCTTACTCCAACTCAAGGTCTGAGAAAACCCAAGGAAAGGCCTCCCACAGGAGTGTAGACCCAAAGAAGTGGCTTCTTGACCAGGGCACAGTAGGAAAAGGCTGCCCAATGTGGCTGCTGAGGAAAGAGCCACAAATGACCACAAAGGCAGGGCACAGCATCTATTGTGAAAGCCCAGCCAAGGACAAAGCAGGGAGGACTGAAAACCAGGCTGGAAGCTTAATGAGCTGACTAGCAGTGTGGAATGCGAGTGAAGAATGGGGCAAGCAAGTGGTTACGAACTAAGACCATGAGGACGCAGCAAGCCTGGCCCTGCCACAGTTGAGTCATGACCATCGTCCCGGGCAGAGGAGACTTGCAGTCAGAAGAAACCGTGCAGGGAAGATCTCCAGAGAAACATCCTGGGTGCAGTGCTGAAAGGGGACAGCACTACAGGAAAACATCCAGGAGAATGTCCAGAAGATGGTATAATAGAGGAGGAGAAGGAGAGAGAAAGCTTCAGGGAGTCAGTACTCAGAAGCAGCCCCCTGTGGTGGGAAAAACACGGGCCCTGGGTCAAACCAGAGACCAATTCCCTGGAGCCACATGGAGTCTCCAAATTGTGGGGGACCATGAATGCTTTCTCACCAAGATGATCTGACTATGAAATGAGATGAAGTACATAAAGCACCTTGCACAGTGCATGGCCCACTCGAGATGTGTTCCCTGAAGTCATGCATTTAATACATATTTAATGAGCACCTACTATGTACCAGGCAGTGTCCTGAGAACTAAAGGTGCAGTAGTGAATGAAACAAAATCTCTGTCTTCAGGAAGCTTATATTTGAGAGGAAATGGCAAAAGATAGATAAACAAATACATTTACTAGTTAGAGGCAGGGAGCAAAAAGAGCCATAAAAATATAAGACAATGTAAGTGTGCTTAGATAGAATGGTCTTCAAGTGGTATTTGAACAGATATCTAAGTGAGGTGAGTGAGGGGGCCATGCACAGATCTGGGGGAAGAATGTTTTAGGCAAAGAGAACAGCAAGA
The DNA here is from genome assembly GCF_000001405.40 of Homo sapiens. Taxonomy (NCBI): domain Eukaryota; kingdom Metazoa; phylum Chordata; class Mammalia; order Primates; family Hominidae; genus Homo; species Homo sapiens. Next base: position 126,536,326 of record NC_000002.12, read on the forward strand.
GTAGAGATCCTGAGATGGGATGTGCTTGGTGGGTTCAAGAGGTAGTAGATTCTTTTTCTTCTCATTCTGTTCCTTCAGGGCAGCTTGACACATGACATCTGTGGACATTCCAATCCTCAGTCCTGAAGCTGTATCAGTCATTCTTTGAGAGATGTATTCCATATTCATTCCTTCATCTGCACATCTCCCAATCTGTAAGCAGAGTGTTCACATCATTTAGAGAGATAAGATTCAGTCACAGAACTAATGTGTCCCTAGGCCCAATGGTGGCCCCCAGCCCCTGGACCCCTAGATTTTTAGATCTCACACACTACTCAGAGTACCTTTCAATGCATGTGACAGCAGGGCACATGCTCAGGAGGGAGTGAGACTACTCACAAAGAGTGAGTGATGGAAGATAGAAAGAAGGTGGAGAAAGGGGCAGAGAGGTCCATGAACACACCCCCTTCTCATTTCTGAATAGAAAATAGAGGCTTGGATTGTACCTCCTAGACAGGCTCTCCCCAGGGCTGCTTAATGGAGAAGGCAGGTGGGAGTGGAAAGGCAGGGGGAGGTCTGGGACATTTTCTTTTGCTTTGTTGGCTTTGTAAAGCTAAAAAAAAAATCCACCAACTGTGATTCTAGTCCTGATTGCAAAACATTCTGTTATTTAGCTCTGGGGCTGCAGTTAGCAGATTGTCAGTTTGGCCTCACAGTGAAGCAGCAGCCAAAAAAGATGAGATATTTTAATTTCCTGAGCAGGTGCAGATATCAGGATTGGTTTCAGAATACCTGTGAAAAATGAAATAGAGGTGGGGAAGGAAAGCAAGAACTGATGTGATGTGGGCTGGGGGTTGGAGGTACCCAGAGAAGGAAGAGAGAGATGAAGCAAAAATGAGGAGAATACAAGCATGTGAGAGGAAACACCATGAGAAACAGAAGCAGGGAGACAGGGAGATGTTGGTCAAAGGGTAGAAGGTATCAGTTAGATGTAAAAATAAGCTTTTGAGTTATACTGTGCAGTGTAGTAACTGTCATGAATAATAATGTATTGTGTATTTCAAAATTGCTAGGACAGTAATTTTAAATGTTCTCACCACAAAAAAATGATGAGCATGAGAGGTGATAGATATGTTAATTTACTTGATTTAATTATTCTATGATGTATACATATATCAAAATATCACATTTTACCTCTAAAACAATTATAATTTTTCAATTAAAAATAAAAATACATTTTAAAATACAGTAATTTTTAAAAAGAAACAGAAAAAAGGAGGCAGCCAGAAGAAGCCTGATGACCTTAGAAAAATTACTAAAAATTTTGGGCTCAAAGTGGGAAGGGTTGTTCCATGCATTTGCTCCCTGGCCGGTTCAATCCTCTGTATTGTCAAGGTCGGCACCAACTCGCAAAGTGCCTTTCTGAAAATCTGAAGGACACCACTCCCTGTAGGCACGGCCCCTGCCCTAACTGTCCTCAGCAAGCCCAGCCTGGGCTGTCTTTCACCCATGCACACGCCTTTGTGCAAATCACCACCTGCACCCCCCACCTGGCGATCCTGTTCCTATGATAAAATTGATTTTCAGTAAGGCAGCAAGACTTTGAAGTGTTGGGAAACAGACAATATTGAGAAAGAAGGGGGCAGAGAGTGTGAGAAGTAGCAGGTAGAATAACACAGCCCAAAATGCATGGCTACAAAGTTGTCAAACAGCCTAAGGCAGGCACCAAGGCCACATCTCAAAGGGAATAGTCAATCTCCTAAAATAGAGCCATTAATAAGGTAGAAAGAGGCAGGGCACCTGCCCAGATCCCACACTCTGATTGCCTTCCCACCACTCTCTCAGCCTCACACATTCAATAAATGAATGCATGCCTTTACTAGCATGTAAATCCTTTCCTAGCCTATCCCAGTCTATCAGTGATGATGGGAATGAGAAGGAATAGGAGAGAATGTAAAGACTATCTTATATGTGCCTGAGGTCTGTGTTTGCATTAATTCACTCAGCAAGCATTTATATAGTGTGCGGTAGGTGCTAAATAGTCCTCTAGGTACTGGCCATGTAACAGCATCAAGATAATCGGATTCCTTTCCTCAGGAGACTGATGTGATGATATAGGAGATAACAAAAAGGGACTAAATAAAATGGTTAAAAGCATGGGTAGGCATGGTGATAATAACAATGTGGTTCATGCCTCAAGATTGTGTAATGATTAAATTAAAGGATACGTGTAGTGTGGCTCAGTGTGTGGCTCTGAGTGGGTGCTCCGCGACACTAATTATCTTTCAATATTTCTTTCTCTCCAACCCCAAACTCTAGTAATGGGAAGAAACTAGCAGTTTCCAATGTACAAATCTAGAAGAGTGTTGCTTGCACTGTTACAACAAGAAAAATGTTCATAAGACTTCAAATTCATGACTGTCCTTGAGCTCATTAAAGAACTGAGATGATAAGACAAAACTAATGGAGAATTTGGAGGGTAAGTCACTGGCAGAGAGAAACAAGACCCAACAAGATACCTCTGAATGCCAGTAAGACAAATTAGCAAGAACATTTTAATAAATTACTAAAATCTGAGCATGGCCTAGTGTGACAGTGTGAAACCCCCACAGGCCACAGACAGAGAGAGGTGCACACCCTCTGGCAGGCTTTTCCTCCGGGATCTCAGGACTTGCTCCCAGAGAAAGTCAGGCAGAATCCTGAGAATGCTTCCCTTTCGAGATTGCTGGTGGATGCAGGATACAGGAGTCATTATTGAGATCTGCCCACACCCATTTGCCTATTTTCTCTACAGAACAAAAATCTTAATAAATCTTGATTAATTAAAAGGCAACAAAAATAGTTGCCTGTAGGCACTGGAGAAAACCCTCATCAGCTGGGAGAAGGGACCAGGAAAAAAAAAAACTACTTATGGAAGAGGGACAGGAATACATGCTATAGCCACCAGCTTCTGGGAAATGGATGGAAAAACTTGAAAAAGCCACACCCTCAGGAACCAGATTCACAGTGACTGCCCAGAGCAAAGGCTTAGTCATAACATCAGACAAGGTATCACCTTTGCCTCTCACATCGTACTAACAAGCACTGAGTGCACACGAAGGAAAATAGAACTGAGCGCCATGAGAGAAAAATATCCTCTCTGCTATGCAGCACATAGTGAAAATACAAAGCTAAACATGTAGACCTAGAGCCACAATTGGGGTCAGCATTGAGAAAAAATGCTGTGGTTTATTAGCTCACACACCAACTGCATTTTACTGGTGGAACGTGAAGCCCCTGGTGCACTGAGGGCAACAAAAGAAACAACAAATATCAAACCAAGCCCAACTCCCAACTAGATTAACACAACCCACTCCACATTGAAAACCTAGCAGACAAAGTTGTACCCACCTTCCAACATTAAAACATTGTCTTAGGTATACGATACGTCTGACTTTGAAAAACAACAGAAACAACAGGTTAAGGTACATGCCAGAAGGCAAGAAAAAGCAAGAGGTAAAGCGATAGTCAGAACCAGACTCGCCTGATGAGACACAAACTTTTGCAGACTTTTCCTCTATTAATCTCTTCAGACTCTATAGGAAAAGGAAGATCCAGCTCTGTCAGTAAAAACAACATAAAAGTCAAATAGAGAATTTCAGTAAAGAGACAAAAGCTATAAGAAAGAATCAAATGAAAACGTTAACAATCTAAAACACAGTCATGGAGATGAAAAATGACTTAAACAGGCCAATCAGTACACTCAACATAGCTAAGGAAACTGTCAACAAACTGAAAAAGTTGAATGGAAACTACTCAACTAAAAAAAAGTGAAAAATGAGAAAAAGAAAAGAACAATAGCAATGACAAAACAATAGAACATCAAGGGCTATGAACCACATTAAAAGATCTACTCATCAGAACCTCATAAAGAGAAGAGAGACTGTGAAAGAAGAAATATTGAAGAAATATTTCCCAAGATTTTTCCAAAGTTAGTGACAGACACCAAACCACAGACCCTAAGAGCTCACAGAGAGCAAACAGCATAAAAACCAAATAAGCCACAACTAGGCAAATGATATTCAAACTGCTGCAAACTGAAGACAAAAGAAAATCTTGAAGACAGATAGAGAAAAAAGGCACATTACCTACAGAGGAAAATAAAATTAATTATTTCAGACTTATCATTAGTAACCATGCAAGCAAGAAGCCAATGGCACATCTTCAAAGTCTGGGAGAAATAAACTGCCAAACCATAATTCTATACTCAATGAAAATAAACTTCAAAAGTGAAGAAGAAATAATTATTTCTCAGATAAATAGAAACTGAGGTAATTCATTGCCAACTGACATACTTTATAAGCAACATTGAAAAAAAAAAACTTCAAGCAGAAACATGGAAATACACAAGGAAATAAATAGTATAAGGAATGGAATAAATGGAGATGAAATAAGTTTTTTCTTACTTTACATTTCCTTGAAAGATAACTAATGTTTAAAGTAAATAGTGGAAGTGAATTATGTATTTATGATATATATAATATAAAAGTTAAATATACAAGAACAAAGTTATAAGAAGTAGATGAGAGGAATTGGGAATATAGTGATATAAGATGGTCTAATTATATGGTAAATTGCATAATATTATTTGGGGGGTAGAATAGCATTATTTTAAATATATAATGCAATTTTTAGAAAGGAGCATAAGTCAATAGAAGACATAAAATTTTAAAAATGCTCAAATGAGTCCAAGGAAGGAAGAAATAAAAGAAAAATAAACAAAGAACAAATGGAACCAATAGAAAATATATGCAAAGATGATAGGTTTAATTAGGCATAAAAATAATCACTTTAAAATTAGTGATTTCAATATGCTATTTAAAAGATACATTATTAGATTAGATTATTTTAAAAAAGAAACCTCATGTATCTGTATCTATATCTATCTGTTATCTATCTATCTACATAGTCTACAAGAAACACACTTTAAATATAGAAAGTAAGAGACAAAAATAAACAGAATTGGCAGGAGTTATAGAGAGAAAACTGCAAGTAAATCTTAGAAATAAGAGAAAGCAAGACAAGCTAGACCCTAGAATAGCATGCGACTATCACTTGTATCACTTCTCTGCTAAAATTATTTAACAGATTGCTAAATTCCATATAAAATGTAGAAAATTAGAAAAAGCATCATTCTTATCATCATTTTTTGCCAAAGAAAAACCTGAAAAATGTGAAAATTTGCAATTTATTTTTAATCCATCAGAGAGCCAAGGTCACAGGACAACGAGTTAACTTGAAAGCTAAAGAAAGACAGGAACCTTCAAATAGAAACAGGATGTAATCACTTACTTACCTGAGGCGGACACTGCTAGACACCAGAAATAATAATTCAGCTAATGATTTTAATGAATTGTTTGATACAGTGCATGGGCTAGTGAGAGAATATAGAATCCCTAGGTTCTGTAAACACAAGAGGTATTTATACCCACTTGAAGGCTCTCCTTCATGATTCTAACTGAATGCTCACCAAAAAAAAAAAAAAAGAATAAATAAATAAATAAAATAAATGGGAGAAGGAGGAGTGCAGAAAAATCATCCCTCATGGCACAGGCCTTGGGTAGGGGAATAGAAGTAGTCATGAGAAAGGCACAAATACCTGTCTACATCCCCTATTCCTCTTACAGTACAAAGATTGAACTATACTGGAAGGGAAAAAATAAATAAATAAAACTCTTGACATTATCAAATTATAGAAAGCCTAGTACAGGTGGGAGTAGAGAGTGAAAAACAATCTTCTATCATAAAAGAAGTAAAGAAATAAGTGCTAGACCCAGCCATAAAACTGAGAGTACAAAAGGATCATTGAGAAGGCACAAATCCCAAGAACCATGGAGACAGCATGTTCCTAATACTAAGGCGATAATTTCCACCACAACACCACATCAAACTAACAAAAATGAAGCAACAAGTAATATTGATATAATGCTGGCATAAAGCAAAAAGGATGTACACTTGCTTTTTTTTTTCTGAGATACAGCATAAAAGAAATAACTAAAAGTGAAAGTTGAACAGACTTAGAGAAAAATCATCTGGCAAACCAGGGCCCTGCCCCACTGAAGAATGTGCGAAAAGAGTTTCAAGGCTGTAGCACAGTGTAAGTAACCATAGCAACAACAAATTTCAACCCAGTTCAGCTCATGAATAGACTTGGCCCCTTACATAAAAGGTCTAGCATAAGGAGAGACATGCCAGTTTTTAGGTATAAACATGATTTATCTTATTCTCTACAGAACTATACAAGATATCCAACTTTCAGCAAAAAAGTATGAGGCATAAAAACAACCAAGGGAAAAAAAATACAATATCAAGAGATTAAGAAACCAACACACCAAAAGAGATATGACACTAATGTTAGAAATATCATAAAGGAAATTTAAATAACTAAGATTTATATGTTAAAAGCCCTAAGGAAAAAGTATTTCACAACAAATAACAGGTGGGTTACATAAGCCGAGAGATAAAACTCTAAAGAATGAACCAAAGGAAATTCTAGAAGTTAAAGAAAGTATTTTATAGTGTCATTAGTAGATTTGGGACAGATAAGGAAATAATCAGTAAAACTGAGTATCCAGCAATAGAAATGATACAAATAGAAACACAAAAAAAAACAGAAAAAAAAATAAAAGTACAGACCATCCAAAAGTGATGGGATAGTATGTCAAATGATGTAACATATGTGTAATTGGAATCTAAGTAGGGGAAGATAGTGAAGAAATATTTGAAGAAATAATCAAACATTTTCCAAAATTATGACCAAACCATAGATCTAAAATGCTCGGAGAATAATAAGCCAATAAAGAACAAAATAAAAACATGCTTAAACAGAAAACATCTACACATATTATTTTCAAACTACTGAAAACTCAATACAGATAAAATCTAAAAAGCAGTCATAGAAAATAAAAACATTACCTACAGATAAACAAGGAAAAGAATTACAGCTGACTTACCTTCAGGAACTATGCAAGCCAGAGGAAAATGGAGGGACATCTCTAAAGTGTCAAAAGGGCGAAAATGTTAATTCAGAATTCTATATCTAGCCAAGATGTCTTTTAATTCAGAAAGAAAAATAAACATTTCCACAGTAAAACAAAAGTGAAAGACTTCGTTGCTCTTAGACCTGTGGCTACAAGAAATATGCAAGGAAGTTCTTCAATCAACAACAATTACAATACTACAGATAATTTAGATCTATACAAATTGGTGTATGATGCTATAAATAAAATAAACGAAGATAAATATAAAATTTATTTTGTTCTTAACAACTCTAAAAAACAACTGACAGCCTAAAGCCAAAATAGTAGCAATGTATTTTGTGATTATAACATCTGTAAAAGTAAAAAGGTATGACAAAAATAGCATAAAGGATATGATTTAAGAATTGAGAGTATATTAGTAAAAGATATGTTGCACAACAAATAAGATGGCATAATATTTTTGAAGGTATACTCCAATTACCTAAATTTTAAACCCTAGGTAAATTTTTAAAACAATTTCAAAAGGATATATAAATATTAAGCCAATAATGGATATAAAATTGAATCATAAAAATAAGCAATCTAAACAAAGGCAAAAAGGGGAAAAAGAAAACAAAATACAATAAAAAATTAGAAGAAGATGTTAACATATTAATTTAACCTATATCTTATTAAGATATAATAAGGTAGAAGGTTTTAATCCAAATTTATCAATAATTACATTAAATAGAAATGGTATAAGCAATTTATTTAAAAAGAGACTGGTAAAATGAATTGACAAAAGACTAACTGTCTGCAACAAACACATTTTAAATATAAATACAAAAATACGTTAAAAATATAAGTATAGAAAGATAGGTACCATGTAAAAAGTAACCAGAAGAAAGCTGGAGAAGCTAGAGAAGCTATATTAATATTTAAGAATATTAACAAAGGTAAAGAGGACCACTATGTAATCACAGAGAGGTTAATTATCAAAGAAATATAAACGTCCTAAACGTCTGTATACCTAAAAAGAAGATTTTAATATGGATTAGGCAAAAACTGATAGATCTGAAAGGAGAAGCAAACAAATCCACACATATTAGTGGAGATTCTGATACTTATATCTCAGAATATAAGTACACTTATATATACTTATTCTGATACTTATAAAATCAAGTAGACAGAAAATCTGTAAGAATATAGATAGAGGAAGATAGATCAGATGGCCAGAACAGCACTGGCAATCAACTTGAATTAACTGATATTTACAGAACATCCTCCAAAAAGCAGAATACAATTTTTTTCAAGATCACATGGAACATTCCCCAGTTTACACCATAATCTGGGCACAAAAAAAGCAAATCTTAACAAATTGGATGAAATTTAAATTGTACAAAATATGTTCATATATTATAGAATTAAGAAGAAATCAAGGTATCTTCAAATATTTGAAAATTAAATAGTACATTTCTAGCCAATGGCTCAAAGAACAAATTACAAGAAAAATTAGAAAATGGTTTAAAATGAATGAAAATGAAAATAAAATATAACAAAATGCATGCTGCATGGAATGCTGCTGAAACAGTCGTTGGAGAAAATTTTATAGCATTAAGTCTTCATATTATAAAAGAAAAGATCCCAAATCAATGATTAGGGTACCTTAAGAAACTTTGAAAAATCAAATTAAATTGAAAATAAGCAGAAGAAAGTAAATAATAACAATATTACCACAAATTGATGAAATTGAGAACTTTCTTTCTTCCCTAAAATAGAGATAATCAATAAAACCAAGAGCAGGACCTTTGAAAAAAAATAATTACATTGATAAACCTCTACCTAGACTAACCAAAAATAAAGAAAACATGAATTTAAAGTATCAGAAATGAAAGAAGCACATCATGGCAAATTCTACAGACCAACTAAAAAGGATAACGAACTACTACAAACTCTATGCTCATGAATTTGACATGTTAAATGAACTGGAAAAGTGCTTTGAAATACTAAACTCATTCAAGAAGACACAAACATCTTGGATAGTAAAATATTTATTAAAGAAATTAAATAGGCTGGGAGTGGTGGTTTGCACATGAAACCCCAGCAATTTGGGAGGCCAAGGTGGGAGGATCACTTGAGCCCAGGGGTTTGAGATCATCCTGGTCCACATAGCAAGACCCCATTGTTACAAATAATAAAAATATTAGCTGAGTGTGGTGGCATGTGCCTGTGGTCCCAGTCACTCCAGAGGCTGAGGTGGGGGATGCTTGGGCCTGGGAGGTTGAGGCTACAGTGAGCCATGTTTGCATCACTGTACTCCAGCCTGAGTGACAGCAAGACTCTGTCTTTAAAAAAAAAAAAAAGGAAAGAAAAGAAAAAAATTACATTTATAGGAAAGACATTCAGCAAAGAAAATTTCACAGACTGTTAGTTTTACTGTTGAATTCTTCCACACATTTAAGAAGTAAAAAGTACAAATCCTATGAAAATATTTCAGAATATATAAAGTAAGGGCCGTTTCACAACTATTTTATTAGCTCATTTGGTATTACGTTACCAAGATACCAAATGAGACAATGACAGTACAAGAAAAAGAAAACTAAAGAATAGTATCCCACATGAACATTAGTGCAAAAATTCTCGACAACATACTAGCAAACCAATTTCAACAATTCATAAAAGGGATAATACATCATCACCAAGTGTGACTTATGAATGTAAGTCTGGATCAACATGCAAAATTAGATCAATGTAATTCACCCTGTTAACAGAAAAATAAACCAATAGATCTATAGATATAGAAAAAGTCTTTGACAACATACACATCCATTTGTGATAAAAACTCTAAGCATACTGGGAATAAAAGGGATCTTCCTCAACTTCCTAAAGAACATCTACAAAATAACCTACACTTAAAGTCATACACAATGATGAAGTATTAAATGCTTTTCTCTGAAAATAATAACATCTAAGGGTATCTGTTCTCACCATTTTAATTCAGTTTTTTTTTTTTTCTAGACAGGGTCTCACTCTGTTGCCCAGGCTGGAGTGCAGTAGTGTGATTATGGCTCACTGCAGCCTCCACCTCCCAGGCTCAAGGGATCCTCCCACCTCAGCCTCCCATGTAGCTGGGACCAAAAGTTTGTGGCACTACATCCAGCTAATATTTTTATTTTTTGTAGAGACAGGGTCTCACTTTGTTGCCCAACATGGTCTCAATCTCCTGGGCTCAAATGATGCTCCCACCCACAGCCTCCCAAAGTGCTCAGATTATAGATGTGAGCTACCATGCACGACCCTTTTTTTTTGGTTTTAACAGAAGATCTTGGTCAGCAAAATAAAGCAAGAAAAAGAAATAAAAGACATATAGGTTCACAAAAGAAGAACTAAAACTGTTTCTGTATGTAGAACTAACAAGTGGCTTTACCAAGGTCCCAGGAAACAATACATATCAATGTGCCAATATTCTATATATGATTTCACACATGGTTGACAAGTTGAATCTAGAATTTATATGGAAAAGAAACTAGAATTGTCAAAAGCTATTCAGGAAAAGAAGAGTTAGTGTACTCCTGCTACCTGGTATTATAAAGTTGTGGTGATAAAAATGGTGTTATTGAAGAAAAGATCGAACAGAACAGAGTACCCAGAGTTATACCACACATCTATTGTGATTTTATCTTTAACAAAGGTAGAAAGACAATTTACTGAAGAAAGAATTGTGCTTTCAACAAATTATGCTGGAATAATTGAATATCTATGCCAAAGTAATTAAAAAGAAAGAAACTCTGAGCCATGTGTTTACATCTCACTGAAAAATTATATTAAAATTGTCATGACCTAAATGTAAAGTCTATGAAACTTCTAGAAGAAGACATAGACAATCGACATAACCTTGAATTCTGAAAAGTGTTGTTAGATACTATGCCAAAAATGTAATCGAGTAAACAATATATAAATTGAATTTCATCAAAATTAAAAACTTATGATGTTCAAAAGATACTTTTTAAAAACAGGCTCTTGCTCTGTCACCCAGGCTGGAGTACAGTGGTGCAATAGCTCACTGCAGCCTCAACCCCCTGGGCTCAAGTGATGCTTCCACTTCAGAAAAAGACACTCTTAAAAGGGTGAAAATAATAAGATACCAAGGAAAAGATAATGGGTCTAAAGTGATCAAAGGCTTGAGAAGCAGCTTCTTGATTCCCTTGCCCTGTTGCGCCTCTGCCGTCACCATGAGAAGAGCTTGCTCCAACTAACCTACCGGCTTCCAGAAGGGGATAATAGATGCACAGAGCAGAGTTTAACCCAGAGTAGTCAATCCACAGACCCATGAGAAAAAGTATCTGTTTTAAACAATTTTGTTTGGGTGTATTTTATTGAACAGCATATTTTTTGTTAAACCTTAAAGGCAGGGAAACAACACTTTCTGGGAAGTAAGATTTAGGGTGGAACACTCCACTGTGTTTGAGTTAGAAATACCTACCTTAGAATTCTGGCTCCACTTCTATTTGACCATAAGTAAGTTTTTAAAATTATTTTATCCTTTGTTTCTTTGTCTGTTAAAATTGGACACTATCATAGAATTATGTATTATATATTACTTATGTGTAACAGCCCAGTCTGCTATAGGTGAGATTTATGTTTAAGATTTCACCTAGAATAGAGTGGGATCTTATACATAAGATATATTGCTTTATATTGGCAAGATTTAAAAGGACAAGAGAGTCCTTTGGATTTTATTAATACTATTGATAAATAAGGAAAAGAAGGAGAACCAGGAGTTTGTTGGCTTAACTTCAAATTGGATTTCTGACTAGCTCCCAGTAGAAGGTCAGAACAAATCTTTGTCAACGCAGGGTAATGTGAAATCATTCATGTATTAGTTATTTTAAAAAAGCAAGTTATCAAAGCAGTATAAATCAAAAGTGGCAGCTCCTCCCATGGAGCTGAACGTATTGACTTGCGGTAGCCACTGGTAGCCACGGCCCGATAGCACAACACTTGGCTTTCTTACTCTCATGCTGCCATTAAGCACGTTGAAAACACTGACAACCTAATGAGGCATTTCCCAAAATGTGATCTATGGAATAATATTTTCTTCGAATGTTACTAGATGAATCATGGGGAAAAATGTGTTCCATATTCAAAGTTGTTTTAAAACTTTGGGGCTAAACAAAATTCCGTCTTTACTACATTAACACATTTGTGCATCTCCAGAAAAGCAAGATAAAGAAAGACACTGCATGCAGTGTACAGAATTACCCACACTCGCTGACCACAAACACGTATTCACTAAGAGGCATCTTGTGGCACTGCATCTTAGAGAACATATCTAGGTAAATGCTGAGTTTCTAAAAATATCTGCCATGATTGTAAGTTTCCTGAGGCCTCCCCAGCCATGCTTCTTGTATAGCCTGTGGAACTGTGAGTTAACTAAACCTCTTTTCTTTATAAATTAACCAGTCTTATGTAGTTCATTATAGCAATGCAAGAATGTACTATAATACAAGCAGCCAGAGAAAATAGACACATTATGAACAGAACAAGTGTGAGAATGATAGATGGTTTCTCATTGGAAATAAGGCATGGCAGAAGACAGTGGAGCACCATCTTCAAAGTAATAGATTAAAAAGTCAACCTAGAATACAATACCTAGTAAAAAAATTTTTTTAAATAAAGAGGTTTTACAGTGGAAAACCTGAGAAAATATATCACTCTTAGAACTGCACCCAAGAAATGTTAAATGAAGACCTTGAGATTGAAGGGAAAATAGAAACAGATCTCCCAGAAATAACAAAGAGCAATAGAAATGTTCAATGCATACATAAATACAAAAAGCTATTTTTCTTATATATTGTTAATAAATTTTATTGAGTGAGAATTAGCTATTTAAAGCAAACATAACAAAAAAAAGAAATATACTACTGATACAAGCAACATGTTTGAGACTCAAAATCGTGCTAAGTATAAGAAGCCAGATCTCCCTCCAAATTGCCTGTTTCCATTTATATGAAATTCTCATGAACATACATACAAAATTGCTACTGAACATAAAAACAAAATATTAGCACACTGGATCCAACAATGCATAGAAAGAATTATTCACCACAATCAAGTGGGATTTGTCCCAGGTGTTCAAGGCTGGTTTAACATTCAAAAATCTATTAATATAACCAATTACATTCAAAGGCTAAAGAAGAACAATTATATGATCAGTAAAAGAAAGCATTTGACAAGATTCAACATGCATTCATAACATGAACTCTCAGCAAGGTAGAATATGGGAACCTTTGTTCCCTTGATAAAGAACATCTGCAGAAAAGCCACAGCTAAGACTATACTTAATGGTGAGAAACTGGATGTTTTCTGCCTAAGAAGGGAACAAAACAAGGATGTTGCCTCTCACCACTTCGATCAACATTGTCCTGGAAGTCTTGTCTAATGCAATAAGATAATAGAAGAAAATAAAAGGTGTACAGATTAAGAAAGAAGAAATAAAACTATCTTTGTTTATGGATGACATGATTGTTTATGTAGTAAATCTCAAAGAAATAACAAAAATAAAACCCATCTGGAAGTAATAAGCAATTATCGCAAGGTTGCAAGATACAAAGTTAATATTAAAACATCTATTTCTCTTATGCCAGCAATGAAGAACTGCACTTGAAATTTAAAATACAATACCTTTTACATTAGCATCAAAAAATACTTAGGTATAAACCTAACAAAATATATACAATGATCTGTTTAAGGAAGTCTACAAAATTCTGATGAAAGAAATTAAAGATGTAAATAAATTAAGAGATAGTTGATATTCACATACAGAGAGACTCAATTTGCTTAAGATGTCAGTTCTTCCCAACCTGATGTATAGACTCAAAGCAGTCACAATCAAAACCACAGCAAGTTATTTTGTGGATATCAAAAAACTAATCTTAAAGTTTATATGGAAAGATAAAACACAATACAATATAGAAAATATCTTTATATCTGGAAAGATAGAAGCCAACACAATACAGAATCACAAAGCTAGATAACTAATACTACCTGACTTCAAACCTTCTTATAAAGCTGCAGTAGTCAAGACACTGTGATATTGGTGTCTCGTTTACTTACACAAAAACACATATATGTCAAAATTCATCATTTTGTCCACTTAAAATATGTGCACTTCAGTATAAGTCAATTATACTTTAGCAAAACTGGAAGAAAGAATATCATAAAGCATATTACCCAAGTATGTGAAACAGAGACAAGAAGCAGGAAGGCCACTGAAATTAAACATATATTGTCCCTCTGGCCTTGAGCAGGAAGAATATTTACATAAAAGAAAAGAAAATATTTTACCCCAAAAGGTCTTTCAGTAAAGCAATAATTTTAGACATGATATGTGAAAGAAATGAAATGAAAAGAAACTGGAAGCCAAAATAATGAAGGACAGTAGAGCTACAGTAGAAATAACACCACCGATAAGCCACATCTCATCTGTGACCCAGCCCCTAGACTGGAGAAAAATACTGGATACCATTGAGATGAGGTAGAAAAGAATAGAGTCATGGAAATGCCTGTGACTTAAAGCAATTTCTTATGAGACAAATCGGCCGTGAGAATGCCAAAGATGAGAGGAAAGATACTCCTGGGACAGGGAAGTAAACTATTTTCTGAACGTATGTTTGCAACACGGCATCTAAAACAAAAGTCATTCAAATACCACTTCAATGTTGTTTAATCATTCATGTTTCTTTCTTGTTTAATTAATGGTATCCTTGCATCCTCAATTTGATTTTTCAGCTACGCCTGGTTAAATATTGGGTTTACTTCTTAGGTTGACTCATATTCGTGTCTGGCACCACTGTTTGCAAGACTATGTCAGGCTGAGCTCAGTGGCCTCAGCATCTTCCTTCAGAGAGAGGCTCCTAAAATCACTTCACATAAAATGAAATAATGAGACAATGTAAGCCAGCAGAGAGAACACAATCTTAAGAGATAGAAAGACTTAGGAAATAGAAATAAAAAGGAGATAGAATTCCAATTCCAGCATAGTATTTATCAACTATGATATTTGGAGTATCAGTTAGGGCTTCAGCAGAAAACAGATTCTACCTCAAATGTCTCAGACACTTTAATAAAATGTAACCTACAGAATATGGGCTAAGATATGGAAAACCGGGAATGTTGAGGCATCCAGAGACTATGAAAATGTGGAAGTCATTATCAACCCTAGGCCTAAAGGACCAGGGAAAGAATTGCTGTTATCAGGGCCTATCAAGACCTGGAGTCACCAAGAGTGACAGTTGCTGAAGTCATGGGGAGAGGCAGCAACTGGTGGAACCTTGGCCAAAAGTAGGAAAGGAGGTTGAATAATACCAAATACTCCTTCCACCCTCTGACGTCCTGCCAGTAACTCCCACTGACCAAGCCAAGTGGAAACTAGCTGGTGTGGAAGTCCAGGTGTCTCAGCTCATAGCAACTAGCCTCCTGGGGTACAGAGCAAGACGGAGAAGGGCAGAAATAGATATAGTGGTGGTAAGGGGGTTCTCTAGAGGGACAGAACTAATATATATATATGTGTGTGTGTATGTATATATATATAAAGGGAAGTTTTTTAAGTGTTAACTTACACAATCACAAGGTCCCACAGTAGGCTGTCTGCAAGCTTGAGGAGCAGGCAGAGCCAGTCCAAGTCTCAAAACTGAAGAACTTGGAGTCCGATGTTCAAGATCAGGAAGCATCCAGCACAGGAGAAAGAGGTAGGCTGGGAGGCTCGGCTAGTCTCTCCTTTTCACATTTTTCTGCCTGCTTTACATTCTCTGGCGGCTGATTAGATGGTGCCCACCAAATTAAGGGTGGGTCTGCCTTCCCCAGCCCACTGACTCAAATGTTCATCTCCTTTGGCGACATCCTCACAGACATACCCAGGATCAATCCTTTGCATCCTTCAGTCCAATCAAGTTGACATTCAGTATTATCCATCACAGGGGAGTATAAAAAATAACAAACACATTTGTTAGTCATTTGGAGTTAGTGTCCTAAATTATCTGAACCTCGATTCTTTCATGTGTAGAAAGTGGATCAGAGCACCTATCTCACAGGCTTTTTAAAAAAGAATAAATGAGCTTTGCAGTATAAAGCATTTAGCACATTGTGGGTCTCGTAGAAATGATTCGGCAAATGTTGGTTTCCTTCTTCTACAGCATCAGGTAGACATGGACACAAAGTAGATCCTCAGACTATGCCTGAAGAATCTATCAAAACAGAAGTTCCTGAGGTTACAGAATCCACAGCATCTGAGAGGACCTTCCTCCAGGTGTGAGATCACAGAAGAGGGGTACAGCCTAAGCATTGGGGCATAGCAGCCAGTGGGGGTCAGACCATATCAATAGCAATCTAATGTACAGTTTGAAACTTATAGCAACCAGATTTTATCAATGATTTCCTCATTCCAAAATAGCAGCGTGAAATAAATCTTAAGAGATGGTATGCCAGCCTATACAATGATCCTCTCAAGAGTTGAGAATACATATTTTGGTAATTAGCTCATGATGACTGATATGTATTCGAACACAGTATGTTCAAACTATTTGCAAACGAGTCTAGCAAGGAGCAGATCTAAGTCTCACATTTGGCAAGTATAACTAAAGCAATGTTTTATTGGTAATTAATGCCTATCTTAATGCAACCAATATCAGATTTGTGGGTGGCTTGCAAGCCACAACAATATACCGCTCAGGAGAGGGACGAAAGACCTCTCACAAGAGTATACTCATAATATTTTCTGGCAGAAAAACGAAATTAAGAAAACTAGGAAAAGGAATTCCTACTATCACTAGTACTCACAGATTTCTCTGGCAAAACTCCACAGTTCCCCTCAAGACATATTGTTGAGTGTTTGGCCCACTTACACCATCACACAAGGTAGAATGACATTTGCTATATTCAGCCTAGATTCCTCGGTCTGACTTAAATCCCTCTAGAATTTGTCTTGCCAATATATTCATTTATTCATTCATAAATGTTCCTTGGATAAATTGTTCTGTCCCCAGAGACACAAAGATCAATGAGACATGGTCATTAATCCTGGGAAGCTCTTAGTTGTATGGAAAAGCAAGCCATGTAGACTAAGTATGTCCAGTGGTTAGAGGCACATTCAGTGTAGATTTGAACACAAAGTAGTCGTGAATTCTACCTGGAGAAGAGCTGAAATGCTATGTACCACCCTCCTCTACCTCAGCATACCCATTCATTTAGTACCATGTCTGATTGGCCCCTACACTAGACACAAGATGAGGCTGGGAACACAGCCAGCAGAGATATTACGTGTGCCTATCATGCTCCTGTGAGAATTATGTGTGGTAAAAAAAATATATATATATGAAAACCAGCTAGCAGAGCCAGAAAATTATAATGACTAAATTTTGAAGGAAGGGGGAGAAGGAGGATGACCAGAGGGAGGAAAAGTAAAAGGAAGAAGAAAATGTCTCATGGGTTCCCATTGCTATACTATCATCCACAAAGGCCAGAATGGGGTGTGTTATAAGACAGTTTCCTGAAGTGCTAATCTAGTTTATAGTGCCTTCCCTCCGCCCAGTCTTTTTACGTGGAAATAAAATGAATCTCTTCTCAGGATAGTTTATAACACAAGAGAGACTGAAACAGCAAAGAAGAAAGAAGTTATTTTCTCTCAGCAAATGAGCAAAGTAGTCTTCATTGTGATGTTCTCAGTGGATGCTTGAGCACTTTGTTCTTTTGAGTTCAATCACTTTATTTTAAAACCCCTGTTTATATGCCTGTCTGTGAACTAGGAAATTGGTGTCAATTCAATTACACAGGCATTTTTTTAGCAGCTATGATGTGCCCAGCACTGTTCCAGGAACCGGGTTCTGTTCTAAGTGCCAGATTCCCTTGTTAAAAGTCACTACTGCCCTCAAGAATCTTCCACTGTAAGAGAGAAGTTAAATGTAACAATAATAAATAAATTGCAATACAATAAATACAACTTGATCAGTGCAATAATAAAAGTCTACTAACAGGCAGAAGGAGTTTAGAAAAGAAGAGAAATGACTATCAGGAGAATTAAAGGAGGATTTCTGGAGGGAAAAAAACAAAAACATCTGCTTGATAGGTTTAAATAGTGAGTGTGAAGTGATGTCACAGAAATGGTGGACTAGGGTGCTTCAGAAATTGGTCATCCAAATGAGGCACCCACTAAGCTAGCAAAATCTGAGATAATCAACTTTATTTTTTTTTTTTTTGAGACAGTCTCACTCTGTTGCCCAGGCTAGAGTGCAGTGGCGTGATCTAGGCTCACTAGGCTCACTGCGACCTCTGCCTCCCGGGTTCAAGTGATTCTCTTGCCTCAGCCTCCCGAGTAGCTGGGATTACAGGCACTCACCACCACACCACCATGCCCAGCTAATTTTTTGTATTTTTAGTAGTGATGGGGTTTCACCATGTAGGCCAGGCTGGTCTCGAACTCCTGACCTCAAGTGATCCGCCCACCTTGGTCTCTCAAAGTGCTGGGATTACAGGCTGAGCCACTGCACCCGGCCTGAAATATCAACTTTTTTGGGATTCTGGGATCCAGTCAAAAACATATTGCAATCAAAGGAGTGCTTAATGAAGAAAAAGGCTGCGAAAAACAGATGATAAAGCATCGTGGCAGTTTTTGCTTACCCGCCTGCTATCTTCCACTCCCTAGATCAGCAGTAACTGTGGGGGTGACAACTCACATTCCTGGAATGGCTTGCTAGTGTCAGAGAGGCAATGTAGACAATTTTTTCTCAAAACTTGTGGTTATGCATTTTGACCTGTCTAGTGGTTGTCTGAGGGATTGATAGATAGGCTTTCCCTTTGTTGTGCTCCCTTGGAATAGAGTGATTTTCCAGGCAGCCTCTGTAGAAAGCACTTAAAGATGGATGGCCAGCTAATGCAAGGGATGGTGGACAGACCCAACAGCTGGAAAGGAGAAAGCTGGAGAGGAATATCCTTTTTTTTTTTCCTCCATTGCACTTTTATTTGAATGTAATATTTGGGACAATTATTCAAAAGGGCCAATATTTCCCAATTTAATCTGAGGTCATAATAAAACAAGCAACTAAACAGTGTTTGGGATTTCGGTTTCTCACCCTTATCATCAAGACTCACTGCCTCCCATCATCAGTATTTATTGAGCATTTACAGTATACTAGGCACAGTAGAACATACGGAAAACATTGTCCCTGCTTTTGAGGAGCTTACATTCTAACATTCTAAAAGAAAAAATACACCTCTTTTAAAATGGCATTTTTGTTTGGTGTTTTCTGCAAAGTACTGAGGAAATATTTTGTAAAGTGAGCTTTGGGTATAATTTAGCCCCATCATTATTTAGAGAATAGAGAAGGAAGAAAGAGGAAGGATTTTAAAGGCAGACAATGACAGATCATTCAGGATAGGTAGGGTTTTAAAGGGAGATAAACACAATCTCGTCAACTAAGGAGACAATTGCTGCAGTAAATAGGATGAGGGAAATAGTCTGTGGGATGCAAGCAAAGGAAGCAGGGTGCCTTAGACATTGAGTGGAGCCAGAAAGATCATGCGGCCTTTTTCCAAGTACATGGCCACCAAGTAGGAATGGTTGGTGACAAGACAGATGGCTAAAAAAGGAAGGTAATCTTGTGCACCTGACAAACAGAATAAAGGATCAAAATCGAAGGCAGGCTGTAGGAGTATCAAGAAATTCTTAAAAACCGAAAAGTGATTTGGAAGCACAAAACTTATAGTTAATGCTACCCATTGTCATGATGGGCCAAGAACATTGTGGCTTCTTAAGTTAGAAAATGCCATATACCAAAATTTTAAATGGAACATATTAACATTTTTTTCCAATTAATCTCCCCTCTCCCAGAAAAAATAGGAACTCATTTTTTTCAGGGTGGGGAGGAAGAGACGGGATCATGGGACATGGAAACAGTAGTTATATTAGTAGTATTTTTTGTTGTTATGATAAATTTTTTGTTTAAACTTACTAAAAGCCCATTAGCTGCCAAGAGGGAATAAGGAATAAATTTCAAAAATGTACAATTTCCTTTAGAGAAATTTCAGAACCAAAAGACTAATTTACACGAAAAGCTGTAGAGAAAGTAGTTGAAAAGTCCATTCATAAAACTTTTATTCCACTTACATGAATTTAATACACGTGTTCTTAACAATTATGCTTGGATTATCCACGAACATTTCATAAGACATTAAACAAAGCTAGCCATCATCTCAAGTTATTTCCTTGTTAACTATTTTTACAGCACATGCATGTTAGGCAAGTATCAAAAAAAAATCACAAAAGCAAAAAACCTAAAAAAAAGTTAAATACATGGGTTTTTGTTTTACTGCTGTGCTTGATATACATGAAGCAATGAATACCAAGCAATTCATTTTTACTGCATCTTTACTTTTACATTTGTTCTTAGGTTGCCTAAAACATTTAAATACAAATAAAATGAGTGTAGCAAAAATAATGAAAGCTAACAGCAGGTAACTTTACAAATAATGGAATGTGAACTGTTTCTGCCCTTATCCAGAGTAAAATGGGTCACAACTTTATCTAAAGGAAAACTTCTGCAGCTGTAGTCAAAGGTGTGCACAATGAGACTGAGTATTCCACAGATATACATGGTTTAACATGTGGTATCCATGGGGTATGTTTCTACCACAGCCTTGTAAAGTGCTCCAAACCTTAAAAGTACCCACAATTACTACACCTCTGACTGGAATCAATGATCCCTTTTATTCTCCACCAGGACAAACCAATATGTAGGCAGTTTTCTTTGCTTAGACATGGAAGCAGTTTTACACTGGCCCTTGTGAAGCCACAATGTACCAAAAGTACTATGCCAAACATTTATAACTTGTATAAAAATTCCACATCCCAATATTGGCCACCTCAAGATGAAAACAGATACCTCCCTAAATGTTGACTGGCTCTACTCCCTTAATATTAAACATAAAAACCACATGGGAAATATAGAAATCCAAATAGAAGTAACATAAACCTGTCATAAATCATAAACAAAAAACTATTTGTGGGACAGCATGGATGACAAATGGTCTACTGTGTAAATTTTAGAATGAGGCAGACAAAAGTTGGAAGGCCGGTTAATTTTCCCCTCCTTCTCCTGCTTCAGCTTCGTCTCCTTGGGTATCCGATGTCCACAATGTCAAGTTGTCTCTCAGTAATTGCATTATTAGCATGCTGTCTTTGTATGACTCTTCACTTAATGTATCAAGTTCAGCAATGGCTTCATCAAAAGCGGTCTTTGCAAGACAGCAGGCTTTCTCTGGGGAGTTCAGAATCTCATAATAGAACACAGAAGTTAAGGGCCAGACCCAATCTGACAGGATGTGTTGGTTGCATTTCTTTTTTGCTGATTTCAAAAGCTTCTTGGTATGCTTGTTGTGACTGATCCACAATCCCTATCTTGTCATCACCAGCAGTAACCTCAGTCAAGTAACGGTAGTAATCTCCTTTCATTTTCAAATAGAAGACTTTGCTCTCTGCTTGTGAAGCATTGGGGATCAAGAACTTTTCCAAAAGAGACAATACATCATTACAGATATCTCTTAGCTCCGTCTCAATTTTCTCTCTGTGTTCTCGAGCCATCTGCTGTTTTTTCTCAGCACCTTCCGTTTTTTGTTCAATACTTGAGACGACCCTCCAAGATGACTTACGGGCTCCTACAACATTTTTATAAGCAACTGAGAGAAGATTCCTCTCCTCATTGGATAATTCAGCTCCTTGCTTAGTTACAGACTTCATGCAGGCTGCCATGTCATCATATTGCTCAGCCTGCTCGGCCAGTTTGGCCTTCTGAACCAGCTCATTTTTATCCGTGACTGGATGTTCTGTGTCCGGAGTGGGTGGTGGCTGTGGACGAACAGGGGCTCAGCAGTCTCTGGGCGGCGGCGGCAGCAGCGGCGAGGCTGAGACTCTAGAGGAATATTCTTAAGGGAATTAAGGCCTTTGAAGGGGTGCCGCAGATGCTAGGGAATCCAGAGTGCGATGCACATCCCCAGGGCCAAACACATGCTCAGGAGAACTGTGAGAGGAGGCTAGGCTTATGCCTTTAGCTAACTCTGGACTCTGCATAAGCAGAAATTGAAGGTGAAGGCAGAGGTGTAGGTGAACAGGCTTAGCACTGAAGGTGCATTTTGGCTCAGAGATCTCCAAAGATTTGTGGGGGGAGGTCTTTTTGCTCAAGGTGTTTAAGGAAATTTTTGCCAGATCATTGCTTGACTGCTAAGATAACGAAGTAGAGATTTCAGTGACCACAGATGACAAGAAATACAGTCTTTTATTTCAAAAAATAGTTTGAAGAAGTCACTAAACAAATTAATAACTATGGTGGCCCCAACAATCAACAACAGCAAACTTTGAAGACAGATGTGAATCTGATTTCCACAGTTACCACATTATAATATTTAAAATGCTCAGTCTTCAACAAAAAATTTCAATGCAAACAAAAAAAAGAAAGCATAGTTTATTCACAGGAATAAAGAAAATTTATAGAAACCACTTTTGAGTAAGCATAGATATGGACTTACTAGACAACGCTTTAAATCAACAGTCTTAAATGTGAACAGAGAGCTAAAGAAAAACATGGACAAGGACAAGTAACTAAAGAATATCAGGAAGAAATGTATAAATAGATGAAGAACATCAATAAAAGGCAACCATATAGAAATATAGAGTTGAAAAGTACAAATACTGAATAAAAACTCACTAGAGGGGTCCAACAGAAGAGTTGAACTGGCAGAAGAATCAGAAAACAAAAAGATAGGGTAATTGGATTACTCAGTGAATAGCAGAAAAGAATTAAGAAAAATTAACAAATCATAAAGAACATGAAGCCATCAAATATATATATAAATATATTATATATATTTATATATAATATATTTATATATATACATATATATGTGTATATATATACACATATATATGTATGTATATATATATATATATAATCAGAATCCCAGGAAAATAGAATAAGTGGTAGAAAGATCATTTGAAGAAATAATGATCAAAACTCCCCAAATTTGATATAAAATGTAAACCTACACATGCACAAAGCTCAATGGGCTCTAAGTAGGATAAACTCAAAGGTCCACATCAAGACATATGATAATTAAATTGTGGAAAGACAGAAACAGAGAGCATATTTTAAAAGGAGTAAGAGAAATAGTGATTTGTCATACACAATTCATTCTCAATAACGTTAAGAGCCAATTTCTCACCTGAAACAATGGAGACTAAAAGGCAGTGTAATAACATATTTAAAGTTCTAAATTTTTTTAAGTCAATCAAAAATTCTATTTCTTGTAAAACTATTATTAAAAATTGAAGGAGAAATTAAGGCATTCTCAACTAAAAAAATGTTGAGGAACTTTGTCACTACTATATCTGTCATACAAGAAATGCTAAAGGGAGTCTTCAGGCTGAAATAAAAGAACATTAGCCCAGGACTTGAAGTTGTATGAAGAAATAAGGAACTACAATAAATGTAAATAAATAAGTAAATAAAAGACAGTATAATTGTTTTTGTCATTTGTGACTCCTCTTTGTTGTTCCTATATTATTTAAAAGACAAATGAATAAAACAATAATTATAAATCTATGTAAATTAACACACAATGTATAAAGATACATGTTGTGACAATAGCAATATAGAGGGGAGAAGATTTTTGTTAATGCTACTAAATTTTGTATGCTACTAAATTAAGTTGTTATCAGTTCAAACTGGAATGTTATAAATTTAAATTTTTTAAATTGTTAGTCTATGGTAATCACTAAGAAAATAATTTAGAAATATAAACAAAAGGAAATCAAATGCTACACTAGAAAAAAATCAACCAAACATGAAAGACACATTATGAGAATAATTATTGTAAATAATATAAAATATACAAAAAACAAAAAATGGAAGAAGCATGTACTTCATTGGTAACCACTTTAAATGTAAATGGCTTAAACTTGACAATTAAAAATCAGAGACTGACAGAATGGATTTTAAAATGATCTAATTATATGCTGTCTATAAGAGACTCACTTTAGGTTCAGAGACACAAATAGTTTGCAAATAGTAACCAAACAATATCTGTAGTGGCTGTTTAATATCAGACTTAATAGATTTTAACTCAAAAATTGTTACAAGAAATAAATAACATCATTATATCTTGTTAAAATGGTCAATTCATTAAGAAGATATAACAATTATAAGCATATATTCATCAAACATCAAAGCCCCCAAATATATAAACCAAACATAGCCTGAATTGACAGGAGAAATGGACAGCTATACAATAATAATGAGAGACTTGAATACACCATTTCAATAATGGATATGATATCTAAACAGAAGATAAATAGAGATATTGAGAATATGACCAACACTATAAGCTAACTAGACCTAATAGACGATAGACAGATGATAGATAAATAATACTTCACCCAACAACAGATTACACATTCTTCATATGCACACATAAAGCATTCTTCAGCATAGACCATAGGCTAGACATAAGACAAGATGTAATAAATTTATTTATTTATTTATTTATTTATTTATTGAGACAGAATCTCACTCTCTTGCCCAGGCTGGAGTGCAGTTGTATAATATTGGCTCGCTGTAACTTCCACCTCCCAGGTTCAAGTGATTATCGTGCCTCAGCCTCCCAAGAAGCTGGGATTATAGGCACACACTGCCATGCCCAGCTAATTTTTGTGTTTTTAGTAGAGATGGGGTTTCGCCACATTGGCCAGGCTCGTCTCAAACTCCTGACCTCAAGTGATCCACCCACCCCGGCCTCTCAAAGTGCTAGGATTACAGGCATGAGTCACCATGCCTGGCCAAGATGTAATAAATTTTTAAAAATTGAAATCATATAAAATGTCTCTCCAATCACAGTGAAATAAAGCAATAAGTCAATAACAGAAGAAAAACTAGAAAATTAACACATATGTAAAAATCAAACAACTCGCTTTTAGACAATCAATGGGCCAAGGAAGAAATCAAATGATAAATTGGAAAATACTTTGAGATGAATGAAAACAAAAACACAGCCTTCAAAAACTTATAGGATGCAGTGAAGGTCATGTTCAGAGGGAAATTTATAGCTGTGAAGCCTACATTAAAAAGAAAGAAGAATCTTAAATCAATAACCTAACCATAATATTAAGAAACTAGAAAAAAAAGGAGTAAACTAATCCCAAATCTAGCATAGGGAAGGAAATAATAAAAATTGGAGCAGAAATAAATGAAGTAGAAAATAGAAAAACAACCTAATCAAGAAAACCAAAATTTGGCTGTTTAAAACACAAATAAAACTGACAAACATTTAGCTAAACTGATAAAGATAGAAAAGAGATGAATAACTAAAATCAGAAATGAAAGTGGGGACATTACTACTGAGCTTACAGAATACAAAAAATATTTTAAGATAATATCATAAACAGTATCGCATAAATAAATTATATAACCCAGATGAAATAAACAGATTCTTAGAAACACACAAATACCAGAAGTGACTCAAGAAGAAATAGAAAATCTGAACACACCTGTAACAAGAGATTGAATCTGTAATCAAATACATCCCAACAACAACAAAAAATATCTAGGACCAGATGGCTTCGCTGATGAATTCTACTGAAAATCCAAAGTAGAATTAATACCAATGCATCTCACATTCTTCCAAATAAAGAAGAGGTGGGAATACTTCCTAACTCATGCTACAAAGTCAGCATTACCCTGATACCAAAGCCAGACAAAGAAAGATACCACAAGAGAAGAAAACTACAGACTACTATTTCTTATGACTATAGGTGCCAAAACTCTCTGCAAAATACCATCAAACTCAATAATGAACACATATTAAAAGTATTATATGCAGTGACCAAACAGCATGTATCTCTCTTTAAACAAGGTGGTTTGCCATGAAATAAAGTACATTAATAGAAAAAAGCAAAAGGAACATGATGATTAATTCATGCAAAAGAAAAGGTATTTGGTGAAATCCAACAACCATTCATGATTTTAAACACGCACACACTCAGGAAACTAAGAACAGAAAGGAATTTTCTCAATATGTCAAAAGCATTTATGAAAAACCCTTAGCTAATGCCATACTCAATGGTAGTGAATTAAGTGAAAGCTTCTTCCCTAAGATCAAGACAAGGAGGTCTGCTTTTATCACTGCTATTCAACATTGTATTGGAAATTCTAACCAGAGCAATTATACAAGAACAAGAAACAAAAAGTATCAAAATTGGAAGTGAAGAAGTTAAACCATCTCTCCCATGCATAGACAATCTCAAAGAAACAAAATCAACTTCAGTAAATAAATGAATTCAGCAAAATTGTAAAGTACAAGGTGACACACAAAAATCCATTGTGTGCTATACCTTGAAAAAGTAATTAAGAAAACAGTTACCTTAATAATAGTATTTTTGTAAAAGCATGAGTTATCCAGCAATAAATTTTACCAAGGAAGTGAAAGACATAAACACTTAAAACTAGAAAACATTTGTAAAATAAAGCCTTAAATAAATGGTAGTACATCCCATGTTCATGGTTTGGAACACTTAATATTGTTTAGATGGAAATACTATCCAAAGCAATAATCACATTCAAGGCAATTGCTGTCAAAGTCCCAACAGCCTTTTGTGTGGAAATGAAAAAGTGTATCCTCCAATTCATATGAAATGCAAGAGTGCCTGAATAGCCAGAACAGTCTTGACAAGGAACAAAGTTGTAAGGCTCACAATTACCAATTTCAAAACTTACTACAAGCTACAGCAATCAAAACAGTGTGGCACTGGCAAAGGATAGACATTTAGCCTAATTAAATAGAATTGAGAATCCATAAATAAACCTATACATCTATAGTCAATTAATTGTTGACAAGTGTGCTAAGATCATTTAATGAGGAAAGAATAGTCTCTTCACAAGTGGTACTGGAATAACTAGATATCCAGAGGCAAAACAATAAATCTGAACTCATACCTTATACCATACACAAAAATTAACTCAAAATGGGTGAAATTCCTAAATATAAGAGCTAAAACTATAAAACTATTAGAAGAAAACATAGGAGTAAATCTTCATTATCTTTAATTTTTTAGTGAATTATTAGATATAATACCAAAAGAATAAGCAACAAAATAAAAAAATACATAAAATGGATTTCATCAAAATTAAAAACATTTGCATCAACACATTAATAAATAATTGAAAACATCACCTAGGGAATGGGAAAAAATATTTGACAATGATATAGCTAATAAATGTCTGGTATCCAAAACATGTAAAGAGCTCTTACAAGTCAACAACAAAAAGACAATTCAACTTTTTAAATGGGCAAGGTACTTGAACAGACTTTACCCCCAAAAAAGATACAAATGGCTAACAAGCAAATGAAAAGGTATCCAACATCACTAATCACTAGGGAAATGCAAATCAATACCACTTAACACTCCCTAGGATGCCTATAATCAAAAAGATGGAAAATAATAATTGTTGATCAAGATCTGGAGAAATTGGAACCTTCCAATGTTGCTGATGCAAAGATAGAATGGTGCTGGTTACTAAAGTTTAAACATAGAGTTACCATGTGATTCAAAAGCTCTACTCCTAGGTATGTACAAAAAACAACTGAAAATAGGTATTCAAACAAATACTTGTTCATGAATGTTTATAGTAGCACTACACTAGCCAAAATGTGAAAACAACCCAAATATCAATAGATAAACAAACACATTGTTGTATATACATACGATGGAATATTATGGAGCGATAAAAAACAAAGAAGGGTTGATACATGCTACACCATAGAGAAACCTTAAGAACATTATGCTAAGAAAAGGAAGCCAAAAGCAAAACATCACGTATCATATGATTCCATCTATATAAAATATCCAGAATAGGTAAATCCAGAGAAACAGAAAGCAGACTGATGGTTTTCAGGTCCTGGGGAAGGATGAAACGGGAAGTAACTGCTTAGTGTTAAAGGGATTTTATTTTGGAGTGATGAAATGTTTTGGAACTAGATAGAGATCGTGATTTACAACATTGTAAATGTACTAAATTACTTACTTTAAAATGATTAATTTTTTATGTAAATTGTGCCTCAATTAAAAAATACACTTTTAAGTAAATGAGACTAGTTTAGAGGGAAAAAGGTGGAAAGGGAATTCCAGGCAGTGGAACCAACACAAATAATGTTACGCAGTTTTAAAACAGGAGGATGCGAGCAAGAATCTACAAAGAATTCAGTTTAAAACCTGACATTTTCAGGCCAGAATTGGAGAGTCAAGAGACTGGAGAGGTAGGGGGAATAATGGAAGGCCTGTGTGGCATGCCAAGAGACTTGGATTTAATCCAGCAGAAGATAGAAAACCATTAGATGGCTCTACACGAGAGAGGGGCATGTCCAAATTTGGGCTATGTGTGAAGGATTATGTTAGCCATTGAATGGAGGATGAGTGGGGCAGGCCATAGCTGCAAGTAGAGAACAATAGTTACGGGCCCTTGTGGAAGGAGTCTGGTCAAGAGGTAATGGGATACATGGACTAGGGCAATGTTAATAGAACTAGAAATAAGGAGAATATTTAAGAAATTCTTGGGAGATAAAATGGGCAAGACTAGATTGTTGTTTGATGCAGGAAGTAGAAGGAGTAACTCCTCAGTGCTGATGTCCAGGTTCTAGCCTGGGAGCCTGGGTGGATCCTGGCACCATCATCTGAGATAGGGAGGAAATCTCATTCCAAACACACTCCTTCAGAATCCCTGAAGGTCTGGAACCTTGGGTGTGCTCTCCTGGGATAACAACTTTCATGTATCAAGAAGAGATACATGTATCATCTCAAGCAGCTGGTACAATTAGCCAGGTCATTACTACTACTACCAAGTCTGCAACTCCACCTCAACCCCAATTACCCGACGCCCTTCCCCTGAGAGGAGCCCTTATTCTTGGGTTTACCAACCGAAAGACCTGTCTGCTTCACCCATCATTCAAACACTTGTAGTTGACTGCCAACATAAACAGGTTTATAACCTTTTTGTTGGATGAAATGACATCTGCTTTTCACTATGCTTAACATCTGGTTAGTCCAACAAAGCCTATAATTATATTTAATGGATGAGAAGTGTCTGACGGATTGCAGCCAAGTATCTGAATAAGACAATAAAGCTAAATGCAATGTGTAGGGATTTGCCTGATAGGATTCCCAGGCAAGGGTGAAAAGTGCTCTTTTTTCCAGTTGTACTGTTTGGTGTTCATACCATAGTTGGTTTAAAAAAAAAAGTGTTAAGCCTCCACACTGAAATGCACACCATGTTAGGTCCTGAGATGCACAGCTCTCTACCTTCTAAGAGCTCTTAATCCAGAGGGGAAGGCAAAGAAGTCAACAGCTCTAGCAGCATGACAAAAGATAAGACAGGGCCATAAACCAGAGACCTTAAGAGCACCCAATAGGAGCACTAGAATGAGACTGAGAAGGTTGGGTATCAAATAAGCTTTGAAGAAAGAACAAGATTTCAAATAATAAGCAGGGTTGAATAAAACAAAAGAATGGGAAGGAAATCTTCAGGCAGAGGTAACAGCACGTGTAAAGTCATAATTAAACAGCGTGATATTTCTGATGACTACTGTAGTTCCATAGGGCAGGAGCAAAGTGCACTCCTAGAGATGGAGAAGAAGCCAGAAGATCAGCCAGGTTGGGTCACTGAAGGCCTTAAGGCCTGAAGAAATACTTCTGAATGATATCCTGAAAGCCCGGGAACCACTGAAGGATGCTCACCAGAAGCGCCAAGTGATAAAATTTGCTTTTCAACAGGCCTGGGCAGCACTGCAAGGAGAGAGGGCAGGAGGCTGCTAGGGAAAGGCAGGCCAGGAGAAGACTCATGAGCAATCCAAGAGAGAAGTGGCAAAATGAGAAGGAGCCAGCCAGAGAGCTGTGAGAGACATCACAGAACTGAGGAAGCTGTGGACCTTGGGAAAGACACTTAACTATTTCAAACCTCAGTTTCCTTTTCAGCAAAATAGAAACAATAAAGTCCAACTCATAGTTGTTTTTTGTTTGTTTGTTTTTTGTTTGTTTTTTGAGACGGAGTTTCAATCTTGTTGCCCAAGCTGGAGTGCAATGGCGCAATCTCTGCTCATTGCGACCTCCGCCTCCTGAGTTCAAGCGATTCTCCTGTCCCAGCTTCCCAAGTAGCTGGGATTACAGGCTCCCACCACCACGCCTGGCTAATTTTCATATTTTTAGTAGAGACGGGGTTTCACCATGTTGGTGAGGCTGGTCTTGAACTCCTGACCTGAAGTGATCCTCCCGCCTTGGCCTCCCAATGTGTTGGGATTACAGGTGTCAGCCACTGCGCCCGGCCACTCATAGGTATTTTTTATGTTAAGCCCACTGAATGGCAGTCATGTTTATTTTTGCCGTATTCCATGAATACGGCAAAAGGCAAAAGTGCCTTAAAAGAAACCATATAAGCAGGGCCTTAAGAATTTTCCAATGCATGAAAAAAAAAAAAAAGCCACCACCACCACAACAACAGCAAACAAAATGATTCAGAATCAAGTATCATAGTCAATGCATGTTCAGATCCTAAAGTAAACCCACAAATGGAGATCTGAAGGCAATAAAATAGAGTAGTACAGTCCTGGAATCTCACAGACCTGGGATTGCACCCTGGCTCCATCACATAAAGGATGTGCTACCCTCTCAAGTCAGCTCTTTGAGCTTCCATTTCCTATTTTTAAAAAAGAACATTTTCCTCATTATTAAATAATATGGGGGAAGCTCTTACCATGGCCCTTGATGCCTAATAAGGCTCAACAACCAAACAGAGGTTGATAGAATTTAAAATTCACCCCTGAGAACAAGTTAGAAGCAGAGGGAGATCTTTCACCTAGGTCTGTCTCACTTCAGAAACGGTATGCTTTTCCTGAACCATGTCAAAAGTACTAAACCTAAAAGTGAAACATTTCATCAAATCAAGTTCCTGTTATCTGAAAAATTATAAAACAAAGCAACATCAGTAAGTTAGATGACTTACATAAAATGGAAAAGTTTCCAGAAGGCACAACCTGTTGAAATTGACAAGAAGAAATAGAAAATCGAATAGATTTAGTTAGACAACAGATTCAATTAGCAATTTGGCCAGGCACAGTGGCTCACACCTGTAATCCCAGCATTTTGGGAGTCCAAGGCAGGAAAATCACTTGACCCCAAGATTTCCAGACCAGCCTAAACAACACATTGAGACCCTGTCTCTACAAAAAAAAAAAAAAATTAACCAGGTATGATGGAGCATGTCTGTAGTCCCAGCTACTCAGGAGGCTGAGGCAGGAGAATCACTTGAGCCCAGGATAGAGCCTGCAGTGAGCCACAATTCCACCACTGCACTCCAGCCTAGGCGGCAGAGTGAGACCTTATCTCAAAAAGCACACACACACAAATATGTGTGTGTGTGTTTATATGTATATATGTTTTACATACATATAGCAATTTTGTAATTCCAGAAAAAAAATTCTAAGCCCAGAATATTTAACTATTGAATTCTAACAAACATTTAAACATTAATTCTAATAAATACTTCCAAAAAATAGATGAGAAAGAAACACTTTTCAACTCATTCTTGGAGGCTAGTATTACCCTGATATGAAACCAGAAAGACATCTCTTATGAATGTAAACATTAAAGTCCTCAACAAAATACCAGACAACAAAATCCAGCAACAAATTAAAAAGATTATATAGCACGACTAATTGGGATTCATCCCAGCAATGTAAGATTGTTTTAATCAGTTAATGTAGTACTCCATATCAATAAAGGATATACACCATGTAATCATCTCCATAGATGCAGAAAAAAAGCGGTTAACAAATGCCAACACGCTTTTATGATAAACACACTCAACAAACTAGAAATAGAAGGGAACTTCATCGAACTGATATAGGACACATACGAAAAATCCACACTTAATGGTGAAGACTGGATGTTTTCACCCATAGAACAGAAACAAGACAAGGATGTTTGCTTTTCCCACTTTTTTTTCAATATTTTGGTGGAAATTCTAGTCAGGGCAATTAGGCAAGAATATATATATATATATTTAAAGGCTCTTATGTTGGAAAGGAGGAAGCAAAACTATATCTGTGTAAATGGCATGAACCTAACTGAAGAGCTAACACTATAAAACAGGATCTTCACAACCTTGGCTTAGGGAAGGCCTCTTCAGATTATGATACTATAAGCTCATGACAAAGATAAAATAGACAAATACGACCTCATAAAAGTTACAAACCTTGTGGTTTATAGTATATCATTAAGAAACCTAAACAATGACGCATAGAATGGAGAAAATATTTGCAAATACTATATGTACTAGGGAACTTGTTTCTAGAACATATAAAGAACTCTTACAACTCAATGATAGAAAAGATAACAAATAATCCAACTTTTAAATGGGCAAATTATCTGAAGGGATATTCTCTAAAGATTATACACAAATATTCAATAAGTATGTGAAAAGGTGTTCAACATCATTAGCCATCCAGGAAATGCAAATTTAAAAAGCCACAGTGAGATCCACTTTGCACCCACTAGGATGGCTACACACACACTCACCTGATGATGTGTTTGCAAAAAGGGGAGAAACTGGAAACTTCAGACACTGTTGGTGGAATGTGAAATCATGCAGCAGGTTTGGAAAACACCTGGCAGTTCCTTGGAAAGTTAAAGATACAGTTACTATTTGACTCCTTAATTCCACACCTATGTATATTCCCAAGAATAATAACAACATGTCTCCACACAAAGACTTTAGAATAAATTTTCATAGCAGCATTGCTCATAATAGCCAAAAAGTAGGAACAACTGATGAATGGATAATGGTGAATGGTGGTACATCCAATAATAGAATATTGGCTCAGCAACAGAAACCACAGTAAGTTCTCACTTAACATCCTTGATAGGCTCTTGGAAACTACAATTTTAAGTGAAACAATGCATACTAAACCAGTTTTTAAGTGAAACGATGCATACTAAACCAGTTTTACCACCATCTCTGATATAAGACAGAGTTTAGTTTCCAAGGCATATTTCTGGTCACAAAAATATCACCAAACTTCTAAATAAAGACCCAAAACAGGCCAAGTGCAGTGGCTTATGCCTGTAATCTCAACACTTTGGGAGGCCGAGGCGGGTGGATCACTTGAGGCCAGGAGTTCGAGACCAGCCTGGTCAACATAGTGAAACCCCATCTCTACTAAAAATACAAAAAATTACCCGGGCATGGCGGCAGGCGCCTGTAATCCCAGCTGCTCCGGAGGCTGAGGCAAGAGGGTCGCTTGAACCCAGGAGGCGGAGGTTGCAGTGAGCCAAGATCGTGCCAGTGCACTCCAGCCTGGTTGACAGGGTGAGAGAGAAGAAAGAAAGAAAGAAAGAAAGAAAGAAAGAAAGAAAGAAAGAAAGAAAGAAAGAAAGAAAGAAAGAAAGAAAGAAAGAAAGAAAGAAAGAAAGAAAGAAAGAAAGAAAGAAAGAAAGAAAGAAAGAGAGAAAGAGAGAGAGAGAAAGAGAGAGAGAGAGAGAGGAAGAAAGAAAAGAAAAGAAAGAAGGAAAGAAGGAAGGAGAGAGAGAGAAGGAAGGAAGGAAGGAAAGAAAAGAAAGAGGGAGGGAGGGAAGGAAGGAGAGAGAGAGAGAAAGAAGGAAGGAAGGAAAGAAGGAAGGAAGGAAGGAAGGAAGAAGGAAGGAAGGAAGAAAGGAGGGAGGGAGGGAAAGAAGGAAGGAGGGAAGGAAGGAAGGGACTATTCTAATATTAAACACTGAAGTAACAGTGAGCTATATGTACATGTAAGAAAGATTAATAAAAACCAAATACGATAATTATTTACCAAATTACTCCAACTTAGGGTTGATAGTGTCTGTACTAGGTCCCAACAGCTCCAGACACAAGGCCAGAACCAGCCCCAGACAGGAAGCTATTCTATCGCAGGGCACACACACTCAGGTCACACTTACTCAGACAGGGACAATTTAGGCGCCCATTAACCTAACATGTGCACTGCTTTGAGAAGTGGGAGAAAACTTTGAGTACCCAAAGAAAACTCATGCATACATGGGGAGAATGTGCAAATTCCACTCAGACAGTGGCTCCAGCCAGGAATGTTTTGTTTTCTAATCATCAGCATCCTAATGAATTTACGTTGAACGAAACAATGTTATTTGAGGACCTATTGTACTGACACATGCTTCTACATGAATAAACCTTGAAAATATGATGCTAAATGAAAGAAATCAGACACAAAAACCACAGAATATACAATTCCAGTTATATGAAGAGTCTAGAACATGCAAATCTATAGAAACTGATATTAGCAATTGCTTACATGGGGTAGAGAGTAGTTTGAGGGGAAATGAGAAGTAATTGAACAACTGTTACAGGTATATTTGGGGAATAATGAAAATATTCTAAATTTGACTATGGTGATGGTTGTGCGATTCTGTGAATACACTAAAAACCATGATTCAATTTTATGGTATGTGAATTATATCTCAATAACGCTATTATATTGAAAACAACAACAGAAAAATTTAAAGTTGTGGACAAAATTAAATGAGTCTTATGTTTTAAAACTTTATTTGACTTTCATTTTGACTGCAAATGTCCCACCCTCATCAGGAGCAAATATTTACATCTGAGGATTACAAATTTTGGTGTTTGTGACCATTAGAAACACAGAGAAAATAAATAATATTTTAAGTTAAAATTTCATACGATTTTGTTAAAATTCTCACTTGTGGCCTTTCCCTTCCAGGCCAGCCCTTAATATCCTTTGCCACTGCCCAAAGAGGGTCTGCAATATGCAGCTAGCAGAGCTGCGGGGATGCCAGCGGATGCTGAGCGGATGCCAGCTACAATGCGAGCAGTGCCTCTGGAAGGCCATGAGGGGCTCCAGATGTGAGTGGTGGATGTGGAATCCCAAAAGCCAGGAGCCCCTGCTCTGGCTATGAGACACTGAACAAGCCTCTGAACTTTTCTGGGTTTCCCATTCCTTTTTTAATTATTAGTACAAACGCTAAACCATGGTCTAGCAACTTCACAGGACCACTGTGAAAGATAAAACCAAAGTGTGTGAAAGCCACTTAAACACTTTTTAACTGCTTTACAAATGTATACTCAGCTATGGGAAGTGGTGCCAAAGTCCTCATTTTACAGATGAAGCACGGAGGGCTAGGGAGGAGTTACTGGACCACATGGTGGCAGAGGCGGGTCTAAAATCTGGATCTGACTTGCAATCCTCTCCCTCCAGAGAAGAATCCTGGTCATCCACAGGCCATTCTCAGGACATACCCCTCTTTCAGGAAATTATAGGAATTGATTTCCTTTGCAATCCATGCATGTGGTTTTATAAGTCAATTAGTTCCCAAAATATACTGCAGGTTACCACATCTGTTACTTCAGAATATTGATGGTTTCTGGATAAGAAATTCTTGTTGTTTGCTGTTGGTTGACTGAAAAAGATTAAGGAAGTATCTTAGGTGGCCACTAAATTGACTGTTCAATTATCAATGGGCACATTTTGGACACTTTTTCTACTTTTGTATATTGCTCTCAGGAGAAAAACAAATGTTCAGAGGTCAGTATCAAATAATATAATTCATATGCAAAGTGCTTTATGGCTGTCAAATTTGCAAGGATAAACATGTTATTTCTAAGGTCAAATTTGCTATCTGTGGGAAAATGTATGTACTCCTGCATGAATTCCTTGAAATCATAATATACTATTAGGAAAAGTCTCCCGCTAACAGATTTCCTTGGCTGTGAGCATTTAAGCTAAGAGTCAGATATTTGCTTTAAAAAAAATTGCCGGACTCTAATGGGTCTGATCAGTCTAAGCCAGACCTGCAAAAGAAAGCAGGTCAACATTTCCATCCTGCCTCTTTGTAAAGGAAAATGTAACTAATCACACAAGCTCAATATTTAACATTAGTCCAAACTGAACCCTGACAAACACACTCTTTGAATGCTCAGCACCCTCTCCGCTGGCTGTACTTTCTGCCAAAACTTCACTGGCTGCTTCTTCGTGAGTCAAGGACGATGCCCAATGCCAGTACCTAATTATACTCCCACTTCTTAGTTGCACACTTCTTTCTTGGGGTCAATCATCCCTGGCTTCCATCCCTCATTGTCCCCTCACTCCATCCCAGCCACCCAAGTAAAATAAGAACCAGCACTCTGAACTTTTCTTAAGACTACAAGTCTTACGCAGTCTGTTTTTTTTCTTTCTCTCCCCGTCTTGAATGTGGCTTCTTGAGAACAGGGATCATGTTTGACACGACTATCTTTCACTCCACATACTTTTTACTCTTTGACAGAGCCTGCCATAGAACAAAGGCTCCATAGATATTTGATGGGTAAGCAAATACAATGAAGGACTGAATGTAAAGGACTCATACTTGGAACAATGACACCTAGACCCTTGGCTTTGGGAATTGATTCTTGCCAGCAGAATAGAGCACAAGGCAGGCCCACCATCTTTCTGAGGTGCACGTCCCTTTCGAGGCTGCAAGCTCCTCAAAGCCAGAGGCCACGTCTTAATCCTCTCAGGGCTGGATCCTTGAGAGGCACTTGGGAAAAGCTAGTACATGACCGCCCCATAAAAATTCCAGCACAAAGAAGGGTCACTCTGGCATGTGCCAGGAGGGAGAGCATGCTTGAGTTGGGGTCATGGCCTGAGTCATTTTTAAGGCTGAGAGTTTAATGATTTTTCTGTATGCCTATGACTGCCAATTCACAAATCACACACAGCCCTCCATGTAGTGTGTGGAAACAAGAGAACCTCCCTCCCCCTAGGCCCCTGAGAAGCCACAGGCCATAAAGGCATCTAAACTGTGTCAGACATGAACCTGGTGTGGTACCAGAACTCTGCAAGTGCATGAGGATCTACCTGTCTCTAGGTCCTCAGTTTCTCTTTCTAGTCACTATTCTTTTTCTTCTTCTCTTTTATTGTTTTTCCTTTTTGCACACTGGGGCCTCATATCTAATCTTTCCTTATGCCTTCCAGTCTCAGCTGTCTTGAGTGGCCTTCCCTCTCTACCTAACCCTCCTGCCCTTCCTCCTCACCTTGAACCATTTCAAAGGGCCCTCCCCAAGGATGCGGGTGCGGGGAAGTGAGTGGTTTAGAAACCACACCTTTTCCATGCCTCAGTGGCCTGCCTGGCCACCCTCTTTCTATGCCTTTGCCCCAGTGCAGTGTCTGGATTGGACTTGTAGAAATGACCCAAATTGTGGTTATGCTTTCAATACAGTCATGGTGCTGCTTTTGAACATGGGGGCGTCTCCACTCGAATACATGAGTCCAATGCATATACGTCAAGAGACTTGAAACAAACCCACCTTGGACTGCGCTAATTCGCTGCCTATGGTCTACCCTAGTGAAATTCTATCAAACAAAAAGCTTCTTTTGTTCAAAGGTGTTCATTACAGTTTTATTTGTTGTAAACAAAAATAATGTAAGCAATGTACGCACCTAAGGATAGTAGCCCATTTTATTTATAAAACACAGTAACACAAAAATATGTACATTATGTTATGTTAAAAGACAAGATCCCAAATTATCTATTTATTGCATTCAAAAGTGTGTTAAAATGCATAGGGAAAAAGAAAACTATAAAATATCTCCCCTCATACCCAGCACAGGCCTCATGTATTGTCCGATAAGTTGCCCCCCCCATCAGAAGAAGGTCCTGGCTTTCAGGGTTGCTGAGAGGGAGTGAAGGAGTGTAGCTCCATGTGGCTGACATGAGGCAGCCTCTCCTCACTGCTTCCCTGGCTGGTTTGGAAAACAGGCTTATTATTTGCTATCTGTGCACATAGCAGGTGTGCACATGGCCATGTTGAGCTTCTCATTCAGAACCAGTTTCCCGAAGCAGATTTGCTCTGGTTTGAATTTAGCATCCTGGACCTGCATCCTCCTTTGGGGTGAATCCATCCACACCTCAGACATTGATCAAGGGCCAGTCCTTCCCTTACGGAGCTCTTGGCTGAGGGGGACACAGGCACAATCTCCTTCCACTCTTGTGGGATCCTCTGGAATTCCAAAAGCTTGTAACATCTTCAGACATGAGTGGGCCGCTTGGCACTGGACACACACAGAGGTCCATGTTTGGCTTTTGTCCTTTGACATTACATCTTGATACCCTTTCCGCTTCAGTATAAAGGGAATGCGTCATGATGTTTTCACAACTGCACAGGATCTCAATACTTGGGCGTATCATTATTTTACAAGTCTTTAATCAGTGAGTATTTAGGTTCTTCCCAGTTCTTTCCCATTACAAACATGGCTGTAATGACTGTCCCTGTATACAGTAGGCATATTTTTAGTTCTAATACATCAGACCAGACTGTTTTCCAGAAATACTGAACTTACATTTCCCCAGGAAGATCTAAGAGTGCCCATTTCCCCAGTATCTCCAGCACTAGGTGATGATATTTGGCAAAAGAACAAGCAGAAGAAATGGTTTTGTTTGCATTTCTCTATTAGTGAGGTTGAGCATATTTTCATACTGTTGTCAGGCTTTGGTGTTTTCTCTGTAAGTCCTGCAAATCACGTATTCAGCATATGTTCCCATAAGTTGTATTAAATGGTTTATCATTTTTTTCCATTTGTAGGAGCTTTTAGTATATTATGCCGTCTCATCTAATAGTACTCAATGGGTATGTGTCACACATGGGTCATAAGGACGCTGAAGTGTAGTGAATACTCCTCCGGCAGCCTGGACGGCCTGAGGCACCATCCCTCAGGCCTTGTCGCTAAGGATGCATGCAGTCCCATCCATTTACCCCATTCATCCACACGATGCAGAGCTCATATTCTCTACTTTTATATGTGTTGTGGCATGAAGTAAGTTGGCAAGTGTTATTTCACACATAGATCTTTATGTGGCATATGGAGTGCAATTTGTGTGTACTCTTTTAGTATTTTCCTTTGTTTATGGTATTACTTAACATAGACTTTTTGTCATCATATAAAATCACATTTGATATTCCCATCTCATTGTTCAACTGGCTATTGTTTCCACAAGGACAAGAATTTGTATTTGTTTTGCCCACTGTACATCTTTAGAGCCTAGAACAGCATCTGGCATACAACAGATGCTCAATAAACATTAGTTAAACTAGTGAATTAACTGCAATGCAATGTGGAAAGTGCAGTGTAGTAGAGCTGCATATACTCTGTGTGTGTGTGTGTGTGTGTGTGTGTGTGTGTGTGTGTATTTTTGTCCTTAAAGAAGTAAGGCTTAACTTAATTGGGGATGGGGAAGGTGCTGCTGTGAATCTTTCTCAGTATTTGTTTTTCTTAGTGCATCTTTCCCTTTCTCTTTGCATTTCACATGGCAGCCTGTTCAGTGCCTCCCTTCTCTGAGCCAGAGGATTAGGGATGAGAGAGGATATGGGATGAGGTCAAGACTATGCAGGGGTTCACTGGAGTTCACTCCAAGAACAAGCTTCCAAGAGGCACTCCATCCAAGTCCTCTCACAGCACTGAAGCAGAGCCTGTTTGCAGCTGCCAGGCTTTCTAGACTTGGCTGCCCCTGGTTGCCACAGCACTACACAAATCAGCCAGGTCCCACTTTCCTCTACTACTTCCAATATCAGAACCTCGACTACTACAGAGAAACAGAGAAAGTATAGGCAAGCAAGACTCATAGAAGAGGTGGGTGTGGGTGGTGGTGCAAAGCACTGAGAGAGATGAGTGAAAAGGAGGCAGGCATGAGCTCAGGTCCTGCCTCTGTCCATTACTGGTGCATGATCTTGTGCTTTAGATAAATTGTTTTGGACCTGGGGATTTGGTATGTAAAATGGTAATAGCATCACCTATCATAGCATTGTGATAATTATGTGCCACAAAGTGTCTAAAACTTTTAGATGATCAATAATAGTTGTTATTGAAAAAGCACTATTTCTAGAGGCACTTATCTCCATTTATTCTGTACAAACACTCCTTTGACAAGACTTGTACATATTTGCAAATAGCCTCCCACCATGTTTACACTGCAAGTACAGAGCTACCTATGACACCAGATGTGCTATCACAAATTATTGTTGGATTTCCTCACCTTGTTTAGAGCATGTTTTATCATTCCTACTCTGCTGCCAGGGTACTTGCAGGCTGGAGGAGGCTCAAGGAAGGCTTCAGGCTTCAGATGCATTGGTGCTCAGCCATCAGGGATTCCGCTCTAAGACTTAGGGCTGTGCCTACTCTCAGGGAGAAGCTCAGTCAGAACTGCAGAGTACTCAGATGAGAGAACAATGTTGAGGGAACAAGATTGTTGCTGCTTGTGCCTCCTCTGTTCCAGCAAGCCTGTGCTGGTGTCCCACTGTTATTCATAGTGCCACTGGAGTCCCCAGTCTACCCTCATCTAACCTGCCCCTGCCCTTCATAGTGCCAATCGCACTTCAAGACCCAGCCCACATGCCACTTTCCACCTCTTTCCTTCTACCTCTATCATTGACTGTCATCTTCCTTGTACTTTTACAATACAGACAGCAGTTCATGTCATGATGAGACTTTGCATCCTAGATGGTGGGCTGGGCACACACATTGGTCTTGTGTTCTCTCCTAAGACCCTGAAATGACAGCAGAAGCATAAATGGGAAGAAATCTACCTTGAAACATGGACCATGAGAAGGCGGTCATCAGTGGTCAAAAGATACCCAAAAAATTTCTGGAAGATAAAGAAAGAAAAATGGCACCTTATTACCACTTAGAGTGACAGGAGCTATAGCTCAGAATTCTGGAGAGGAACAGGGTCACAGTCAGCAGGGGTGGGGAACAAATAGGAGGCAGCTAATATTTGGCCTGACATTGAACCCAGGTAAAAACACACATATGAACAGCAGAAAGGAGCTGAGGCTTCTAGGGTGATTGCTGGAGCCATGGATTATAGCACAGACAACCTTGGCAATGGGGAAGGGGCTGCAGTGGATGAGAGAAGGTGATGAGTCAATGGTTGTCTCCCATTCACCTTGAATCAAACCCTGCCAGAAACAGGGGCAATGATACACAAACAACCTTCCTTGCCAGGAAAAAGACTTATCTACCATCAGGGGACAAAAGAGAACTCAAAAATTTCAATGTTTATCCTAAAATGTTAAAATAAATGTTAGATTTAATTTTTAAAAGAATTGGATACTATTTAAAAAAAAAGAAGAAGAGATAATAAGAACAAGTTGTTGGGAAAAGAAGAAAAAGATTGCCAAAAATATTTAATTAGGATGCCTAGAAAATAATGTCAGGAAATTGTATTTTCCAAGTGACGGAGTTAAGGAGATGACAGAAAAGAGGCATTAAGTTTCAGTGAAGGTGCTCCAAGGAAAAAAGGACATAAAATAGGGGTGAAGAAATAATAGAAGAATTGTAAAGAAATAATGGAAGAGTGACTTCCCAGAGCTAGAGAGAAGCATAAGTCATTGCACTGAAAGACCGTATTACAAATTGAGCAGAATAAATGAAAAATAACTCCCATGTCAACACATGTTTCTGAAACTCCAGAAGACCAAGAATAATAAAGGATTAAAAAGCTTCAAGAGAAAGAAAAAAGAAACTCCTTAGAAACTCCTGAGAATCAGACTGATACCATATTTCTCTTTAGCAACACTTATGTAAGACAGAATGGTGCAACAGCACCAAGTTCTAAGGGAAATTATTTCAATCCTAGAGTTGATACCAAGCCAAAAGCCAAATTATTAATCCAACAGGAAGGCAAAATAAAGATATTTTCAGACACGGAGAGACTCAGAAATTTTGCCACGCATACATCCTTCCTGAAGAAATTACCTAAAATCTAACAAAAGGAGGAATGAAATTCAAGATAAAGAAAAACAAAGAGTGCAATAACAATAGGCCTAACCAAAAGTCCAATAAAAAGAAAATGTAGGATTCCAGCTGTCTAGTGATGCAACAGTCCATGAAAGAAGATGGTATGGCGGGCTCTCAGCAGAAAATCATCAAGAAAAATAGAATACAGCCCTCTCAATAACATGCACAAGAAGCCAGAAACTCTTAGCGATATGATAAAGGGAGGGTACGTTGGTTTCTCCTTGATGAACATAATCATATGCACTTAGGAAAAAATCAAAGCAAACAAATGAAATAGGATGGCAGAGCAATTCAAGGAGAGTGGACTCCTCTAAGGATGCAGGGAGGAGAATGGAGGTTGTGGAGGTAAAAGCAAACTTCACGTGAAACTATAACATTTAGTTATTTTTTTAAAAAAATCTGAAGCAAAAGAAAAAAGGCAATTGCATTTGGAAAATGGGACTGAGGGTGGGAAAGAATGAGGCAAGTTTGAAACGGGTACTATTCTTTTCTATCATAAGACCTTAGCAGCCCTGGTTTCCTTCCCAGATACACATATTATCCAGATAAAAGTTTTGAAATTAATCAACTTCATTTTAATGTATTAAGAGTCCAGACATTCTGACTATGTTGCTCTGGGTGGAATGTGAGATCGTTGCTTTTCAAAAACCCCTCTGGTGCCTCTACTGTCAGCCTGTCCTAAGGATGGCACTGAGGAGTCTGCACTGATGGGTTTCTCTCTTGGGGGAACCTCTTGGCCCACCCATTTGCACATGGATAGAGAGCTGGTGCACCTTCCTCCCTCCCTCAGCAGTGTACATCACCTTCTTAGAAAAGCATGGAGATCTCTAGATTCACCAGGGTTTGCCTTCTCTTCTCCCACAGCACTTTGGACTAAACGCATAAGGGGCACTTAATTACTCCTCTGACTCTTAAAGTTAGAAAGCAGTTAAAAGATCATCAAGTTCTTAAATTAACATTCTGATCAGCAGTGGATTAGCAAAAGATATAAAAGCAGGCCTCAAAATAACTTCCCTGGAGTCATTTAGTCTGTAAAAGGCATATTTCACAATCCTGCATCTACTCAAGAGAGCCAATTGCCCAGGGAGCCATAAGATCTAGGACATTCAGGGCATGTGAGCTCCCCATTTCCTCTCCCTCCAAGAACTCCTATTCATTCTTCAAAACCCAATATATTGTTGTCTTTTACAGCATCTGATTTCAATTCCACTTAACACATTTTTGTATATGCAGTCAGTCCTCTGTATCCACAGATTCTCCATCCACTGATTCAACCAACCACAGATCAAAAATATTTAGAAATCAATCAATCAAAAATAATACAACAATTTAAAAATAATACAAATTTTTAAAATACAGCATAACAACTATTTACATAGCATTTATATTGTATTAGGTATCATGAGCAATCTAGTGACGATTTTAAGTATAAGGGAGGATATGCATAGGTTATTTGGAAATGCTATGCCATTTTCTATCAGACACTTGAGCATGGGTATCCAAGGGAGTCCTGGAACCACTCTCCCTGTCCATCCTGAGGGACTAGTGAAGTTAAACCTCAATAAAATGTATCAATTCTAATATGTTATGTAATAAAATTTTGCACAAGGGACTCTACAACATTCTCACGTGGGCACGTAAGTTTACCTCAGATTAAAGTTCCTCTCTTACCATCTCCAAGCCTGTATTTGAACTTCTTGGAAGTTTGCTACTGACCAGAAAGGGATTCATCTGGTAGTGATATCCGTTTGAAGTCAGAGCTGCACATCTACTTACAGAATCTGTGCGGGTGAGGACACCCCTCAGCACACGTGCAATCTGGGGGCTAAATGCTGGGTGCACTCCACGTGGTGGCAGTCACGTGGGCAATCACAAGTGAAAAAATGAAAACGCTGCATTCTGCGGAGTGCAAACACACTGCCACAAATTGCATTTGGAAAATAGGACTGAGTCGGTCCTTATGTCAGCAAAGAAAGTGAGCAAAGAAATATGTTAGCAAAGAAAGTGAGGCATGACCTCAAAAACCAGCGTTTCTGTTCAAGGAAATAAGAGAGGGCACAAACAAATGGAAAAATATTCTATGCTCATGGATAGGAAGAATCAATATCATGGAAATGGCCACACTGCCCAAAGTAATTTATAGAATCAAATGCTATTCCCATGTAACTACCATTGATAGTCTTCACAGAATTAGAAAAAACTACTTCAAAATTCATACGGAACCAATAAAGAGCCAGTATAGCCAAGACAATGCTAAACAAAAGGAACAAAGCTAGAGGTATCATGCTACCTGACTTCAAACTATACTACAAGGCTACAGCAACCAAAACAATATGGTACTGGTACAAAAACAGACACATAGACCAATGGAACAGAATAGAAATCTCAGAATAAGACCACACATTTATAACCATCTGATCTTCAACAAACCTGACAAAAACAAACAATGGGGAAAGGATTCCCTATTTAATGAATGGTGCTGGGAGAACTGGCTAGCCATATACAGAAAACAGAAACTGGACTCCTTCCTTACACTTTATACAAAAATTAACTCAAGATGGATTAAAGACTTAAATGTAAAACCCAAAACTATAAAGACTCTAGAAGAAAACCTAGGCAATACCATTCAGGATATAGTCATGAGCAAAGATTTCATGATGAGAATGCCAAAAGCAATTACAACAAAAGCAAAAATTGAGAAATCGGATCTAATTAAACTTAAGAGCTTCTGCACAGTTTGTGAAACTATCCTCAAAGTGAACAGACAACCTACAGGATGGGAAAAAAGTTTTTGCAGCCTATCCATCTGACAAAGGTCTAATATACAGAATCTACAAGGAACTTAAA
The DNA here is from genome assembly GCF_000001405.40 of Homo sapiens. Taxonomy (NCBI): domain Eukaryota; kingdom Metazoa; phylum Chordata; class Mammalia; order Primates; family Hominidae; genus Homo; species Homo sapiens. Next base: position 126,581,067 of record NC_000002.12, read on the forward strand.
CAAATTTACAAGAAAAAACAACCCCATTAAAAAGTGGGAAAAGACATTTCTCAAAAGAAGACATGTATGTGGCAAAAATGCTCAACACCACTGATCATTAGAGAAATGCAAATCAAAACCACAATGAGATAACATCTCACGCCAGTGATAATGGCAATTATTAAAAAGTCAAGAAATAAGAGATGTTGGCAAGGGTATGGAGAAATAGGAACACTTTTACACTGTTGGTGGAAATGTAAACTAGTTCAACCACTGTGGAAGACAGTGTGGCAACTTCTCAAAGACCTAGAAGCAAGAATACCATTTGACCCAGCAATCCCATTACTGAGTATATAGCCAAAGGAATATAAATCATTCTATTATAAAGATACATGCACACGTATGTTCACTGCAGCACTATTCACAATAGCAAAGAAACAGAATCAACCCAAATGCCCATCAATGATACATTGGGTAAAGAAAACGTGGTACATACACATGATGGAATACTATGTAGTCATAAAAAGGAACGAGATCATGTTCTTTGCAGGGACATAGATGGAGCTGGAAGCCATTATTCTCAGCAAACTAACACAGGAACAGAAAACCAAACACTGCATATCCTCACTTATAAGTGGGAGCTGAAATATGGGAACACATGGACACAGGGAGGGCAACAACACACACTGGGGCCTGTTGGCGGGGTCAGGGGAGGGAGAGCATTAGGATAAATAGCTAATACATGCGGGGCTTAATTATCTAGGTGATGGGTTGATAGGTGCGGCAAACCACCATGGCACACATTTACCTATGCATGTTCTGCACATGTATCCCAGAATTTAAAATAAGACAATAAATAAATAAATAAATAACATACATAAAAGAAACAGTCAAAAATAGTCTTTTCCTAAATAAAAAAATCAGTGGTTAATCCACATGGAACATTGAACCAAACAATTGATTGTTTTCATGTTTGAGATACTATGCAGGAAAGAAGCACTGAGGAACCAGAGGTTTCATGGAATGGCACTATTAAGCTTACTAGCTGGGAGATGCCTTGCTATTACACTTATTAGCTGGGAGATGCCTTCAACTTTCCAGAATAATCCAGGGAATAAAAAAGATTTTAAAATAAATTTAGAGAAATGGTACAACTTCATTAACTTTTGGAAACCTCACTGTAAAAATGGAACAGAAACACTTTCTTGAGGGTTGCTGTGAAAGTTTTGGGCCCAGCTTTTGAACTCAGACCAGGGCTTCAAGGGCAGCTCAATGGCTCACTGCCTGCCTGACACTGGGTCTGTGAGTTCAGCTGCCTTGAGTCTCACCTTCCTCCACTGTCAAATGTCCTCACCTGCCCCACAGCCTCACATGGTTGTGAGGATAAAACACCATGGAGACCAAAACATGCAATCCCAGCGCCTTGTTCTTAGTGTGGAAGCCACAAATGATCGTCTGTGTTACCCTATGCAAGATAGTTTGCTTTCTCTTATATCCTTCTCAGTATGTTCTCATGAAAAGAAAGTCCAGACCAAAATTATCATTGTTGTGTGAGCACAAGTTGTCTTCGTGAGCCTCTGAAATCACAGCTTTTGGATTCCATCTCCTCCATGTAGGCATGCAACGTATCCAGATGCCAGATTTCAGTATGCAATGCCCATGCCCCTCTTGATACCTTCAAGCAAAGAAATCAGACTGACACGAGATATTACTATCACTATCATTATTATTATTATTCACCCTCAAGCAATAGTGATTAATGAAACACAAATAAATCTCACTGATCTCCAAACAGCAATACTTTGAGAACCAGAAGAGTAGCTTCCACTTTATTAGGCAGAAAAGTTCCTCTGTTCCTCACTGAGAAATTATAGGCTTTCTGAGACATATTTGACAATCACAAAAAAATAGAACTCCATATTTTAAAAACCAGATGAACAATATGTAATTTAAGGCATACCTATGTCACAAAAAAAAGTCTTCCACTCACTCATTATGTAATTCACTTTTCGGCACCAGCCCCTGGCATATGATATGTGAATGATAGATTAAACGGAGCTAGGAATGCACATCCCTGCTTGATTACAAAAGGAATAAAAAACTTCCATGACCCCATTGGATAGAAAGGCCATTATTATTTTTAGAAATCCTTTAGTTGAAGAGAGTTTTGCTGGCTTCCCTCAATAAACTTTTAAAAAAATACATCAGGTCCGAAAACTCTTTTAACCCATGCTCATCTTGAAACAAGTATTCTCAAGAAAACTCCCTAATTTCTACTCCTCTTCCCCTGGGTAAGCTGCTGGGGTAGTAAAGAGCTGACATTTCTTAACATTTTGTGTAGGTATGTAGACAGTAGGTCATGATGCCACTGGTGGGCTTATTGGGGCAAAGAATTACTAAGGGGAGTCATAGACCCTGGGAGTGCACAAAACACTGTGAACTGCTGAGGTTGGGCCAAGCAGAGGTGCCCACCTGCCTTGAGCATCCCTTGAGAAAAAGGTCCACGACCTGGCCAGTCAAGCAATGCCAATGCTAATTCCGTAAACTCACCAGCCAAGCAATAGCCAATGCTTACAATGGGACCTGTGACCAAGCAGGCATGGGGCAGTGAACACCAAGAGAACAAAACAAGAGCCCCAAGGAAGTGCATGTCTACCTCCCAACTAACATGAGGACACAGTGAGCTCTGCTGTGCACACAGGCCACATCTCGGGGTGGGTAAGGAGGAGCATGGAGTATGAGAGTCTTATCATTAACCTGAAGGAATACATTTTCAACCAAAAGAACACTAATTAAACCAGTGTAAGTTTTCCCACTACCAGGCCAGGTGAGAGCTCATGGGACAGAATAGGTTGTAGATAAAGAGGCAACATTTGCTTTGTCCATCTGGGCAGTGGCATGTGTGAATATTCAACCTCATCAAATGCATATAATATCTGTGTTTCCATTTGCATGAATAAATAAATGTGCATTTGCCACATTTCAGTTGGTCAATCTATAGTGGATCATCACCATTCCTTCGTGATTATCAACCGCATGTACCAGACATGGTGCTGCCTTTTATACACAACCTTACCATACTGCAAGTTAGATGGGACTACCCTATTTTACAGATGTGGAAACTGAGACTGGAGAATTTCAGTGTCACATGCAGGGTCACTCAGCTGGTAAGTGACAAAGTCAAGTTCCCAACCCAAATGTGTCAGACGCCAAGACATGTGTTCCTTTCCTACGCCTGGCAGAATCTGGAAAGCCACATAGTAGGAAAGAATAGGACAATGGCAATAGAGAAAGGGTGGAAAGAGCCTTCCAGTTTAGGGTGAGCAAAACCTGGACACCACGGCAGTGACAGAAGATGAAATTAGGAAAAAGACAGGCTCCAGGAAGGTTCTGGTGTGATGAAGCATTGAGGATACATAGGCTGGGGGCATTGCAGGGAGTGAGGTTGCCAAAGGAGGCCGGATCCTGCAGACCTGCTTGGTGGCAGGTGGAGAATGGAGGCAATAGACTGCCAAAGGGCCCTGTTTCTCCAAGTAACAGAAGTTTCTTGCCTCTTGTGACAACTGCAGGGCCAAGCAGCCCTCTACTCATGAGGCAGAAGTGTGTGTCACATCAGCCAACTGCTCCCATAACATAATTCCCCTACCTTGTACCTGCAGTGCACATGCTGTCCAGGGGTGGGTCCTCTGGCTGTCAAAGATTATTATTGAGGAATTTCAGCCCAGGCCTTCCTCACAGAACAGTGTGTCTATGTCTACACTTGCCAAACCTATAAGACTGGCCCACCTTGTGCTCCAATCCTAAGGTACACTCTAGTGTCGAGATAGGAGATGAGTCTCAACAGCTAATGGATACCATATGGCCAAATTCCATAAATCTGTGTGGTGAAGTCAGGGGTCATCTGCCTGGACAAATCCCAGCTCCACCTCCACTTGTTGTGAGACCTTAGGCAAGCCCTTGCTTCCCTAGCTCTTATTTCCTCACTCTAATATTGGAATAATAGCATCTATTTGATAGTGCTCTTTATAAGGACCAAGTCAGTTCACTCCTGTAAGACACTCATTCCCAGAAGACACTCATTGCATGTTAGCTATTGTTAATAAGTTACTCCTTCCAGTAAACACGACATTCATGGGAGATAATGTTTCCTTCATAAACAGGAATGAGACTCCCAGTTACTGATGGCAGAATGTGAAGGAAAGTGTGGGTTTCAGTATTTGGCAGCACAGGGTTCCATGCATGCTCCCAAGACTTCAGAGGTATAGGGGCCCCAATGTGCAATGGCAGCCTGGGAGAGAAGCAGGCACTTAACTCCAGCCTGTGAGATCTGCTACAGCATGAATAGAGAGAGGGTCCCCAGAAGCCTTGGAGACCCAGCCCTTACCCCATTGTGTCCTGAAGGCAGGACATGGAGTCAAAGAAGATAATTCTCAAGTCTTGAGATTTAGTGTTCTCTTTGTTGGGTTTAGACTAACTTGGTACCTGTTACTCCTTTCTTCTTGCCTATTCTCCTATGTCTGTCCTGTGCCTGTCCCATGATTGTATTTTGGAATCCCATAACTTGCTTGATTTCAGACTCACAGCTAAAGGGAAATTTGCCTCAGGATGAACCGTGCCTTGAGCCTAACCCATATCCAATTTAGATGAGACTCTGGACTTTGAACTTTTGAGTTCATGCTGAAATGCGTGAAGACTTTGGGGGGTGATGGGATAAAACAAATGTATTATGCATGTCATGAATTTTGGCAGGTATTTCGGGGCCAGGATTGGAAGGCTTTGGTTTGAATGTGTCCCCTCCAAAATGCAGATGTTGCCAATGTAGTCAGATTAAGAAGCGGGGCTTTTTAGAGGTGATTAGGCCATAAGGGCTTCTCCCTGGTTAATGGGATTAAGACCTTTATAAAAGAGGCTTCACACAGTGTTCAACTAGTTTGCCTTCCTATTTTTTAGCATGTGAGACCCAGCATTCATGGAGCCAACCTGGAAGCAGAGAGCAGCCCTCACCAGACACCAAACCTGCCGATGCCTTGATTGTGGACTTTCCAGCCTCCAGAACTGTAAGAAATAAATTTCTTTTCTTTATAAATTACCCAGTCTCAGGTATTCTGTTACAGCAGCATGAAATAGACTAAGACAGTGAGGATGTAGAATTTCAATTTGGGTAGGTGAAAAAACTCTGGAGATGAATGGTGATGATAGTTTCAAAAGAATGTAATTATACTTAATTTCACTAAATTGTACATTTAAAATGGTTAAAATGGTAAATTTTCTGTTAAGTATGTTTACCACAATTAAAAACACCTTCTAAAGTCTTCCCATGGCCAATAAAGCAAAGCTCAATCTCTCCGGCCAAATGCGCAACTGTTCTCATGGGCTGGGCACATGTGCTAGTCTGGCGTGGTCACTTTCCATTTCCTACCCACAGTTCAGCTACAGTGAGTTCCCTGGTGTCCCTGGAGTGTACCCTTCTCTCATTTCCGTGCTTTGTGTATGTGCTTCTGTCCACTGGGAATTTCCTTTGCTTGTTTTTTCCCCTTTGTCTACGCTTACTCTGGGTCACTCAGCTCACATGCCGTGCTCCTCTGGGAAATCTTCTTCGATCCTCAGGATGGATCAGCTTTGCTTTCCTGGTGCTCCCGCTGCTTTATGAGAGCATTGATAACACTGCAATCTAATCATCCCATAACAATGCAAGGGGGAACACCTATTAGAAAGAAATAAAGCCATATTGTGTTCACATTTTAATGAGAGGAGAAAATTCCGTCCATAAAAATAGACCCAGAAGTGACATAGACAATATAATTAGTAGACAAAGATGTTAAATCAGTTCTTATAACTACATTCCACATGCATAAGAAAAAAAGGGACGCGTGAGCATGGTAAGCAGAGATATGGAGCATAAGTAAAGGACTCCAATAACATTCCTAGGTGCAAAAAAACATAATGTTGGAGATTTAAAATATAATGAATGGGATTAAAAGTACATTATACATTACAGATGAAAAAGGGGTAAACTTGAAAATATAAAAATAGAAACGACAAGATGAAAAACAGAGAGAAAAAAGGGATAAAAAATGAAAAGCGAATCAGTGAGTTATGGAAAAACTTCAAGAAACCTAATCTATGTATAACTAGAATATGTGAAGAAGATAAAAAGAGAGTAGAAATAGAAAAACACATACTTGATGAAATCATTGCCAAAAATATTCAAAGTTGATAAAAACTAGAAACCCACAGATCCTAAAACTCAAGGAACTACAAATACAAGAAATATGAAGAAAACCACACCATAATGCATCATAGTTGAAAATATTAAAACCAGTGATAGAGAGAAATCTTAAAACCAGCCAGTAAAAAAAGTCTCATTACATACAAAATGGTAAGAATGACAGAAGTCTTCCCATTGGTAAAAATGAACACAAGTTAATAATAGTGGGACATCTTTAAGGTACTGAAAGAAAAGAAGTCAACTTACTATTAAAAAAAAAAAACTCGGCAAAAATATCTTTCGAAAACAAAACTGCCTGGGTGCAGTGGCTCATGCCTATAATCCCCACACTTTGGGAGGCCAAGGTGGGAGGATTGCTTGAGGCCAGGAGTTCAAGATTAGTGTGGGCAACATTGTGAAACCCCATCTCTACAAAAAAAATAAAATAAAATTAGCCGGGTGTGGTGATGCGTTCCTGTAGTCCCAGCTGCTGGGGAAGCTGAGGCAGGAGGATCATTTGAGCCCAAAGAGGTCGAGGCTGCAGTGAGCTATGATTGCACCACTGCACTCCAGCCTCAGAGACAGAGCAAGACCCTGTCTCAAGAAAAAAAAGAAAACAAAGATTTTCATAGGCAAACAAAAGCTGAAAGGATTTATCATTAGCTACCCTGCACTACAAAAAATATTATGGAAAGTCTGTTAGAAAGAAAATGACATCAGATGAAAAACTCTATGTAAAAGAACAAAGAACTCCAGAAATAATAAATATGTCAGTTAAATATATATATATATATATTCTTCTCATTTTAAAAATATCTTTAGAACATAATTGATTGCTTAAAATAAAAATAATAGCAATGTATTGTGAAATGTATAAAATACATAGAAGTAAAATGTATGGCAACAACAGCACAACAGCCAGGAGGGAAACACAGAAGTATAACATTACAAATTTCTTATATCATGTGGGAAAGGGTGTGATATTACTTATGGGTAAACAGTGATAGGTACAAGATGCTAACTATAAATCCCAAAGCAAACATTGCTATGATACACAGATTCTTCAGGTGGCCCCTCAATCCACTCCTCTGAGTGTTCATGCTTTTGCGGGATCCCTTCCTCTTGAGTGTGGGTTGGACCTGTAACTTCTTTCCATTCAATAGAATATGAGAAAAATGATAGAATGTATGTGATTATGTTATACAATATTGCAACATTCATCTCGCTAAAGTCTGTCTATAATTTGGAATAAAATAATGGAGTGAATGTTTTCCCACTATATCATAAATAAACAATATCTACTGTTATAACTCCTATTCAACATTATAATTAATGCTTTACCCAATACAATACAGCAAGAAAAATAGATGGCATAAGGTTGTAAGGAGGAAAAAAAGCTCCCTCTATTTGCAATTGTTGATTGCATAGAAAACGATAAAGAATTAACCAAAACAACCACTAGAAGTAATAAGTGAATTTAGCTATGTTGCTCGACACAAGGTCAATATATAAAAATCAATTGCATTTCTATGCAATAGCAATGAAAAAATTGGAAATAGAAAATGTTAATATAATTTATAAATGTATAATAATGCCAAAAAATATGATACTTAGGTATAACTATAGCAAAAATGTGAAAGACCTTTATGGTAAAAATTATAGGATACTGGTAAGAGAAATGAAAGATATCCTAATTAAATGTTAAGATATGCCTTGTTCATGGATTAGAAGACTTAATATTGTTAAGAATTCATTTCTGTCTAAATTAAAACATATATACAACCCAATTTCAACGAAAATTCTGGCAGAATTTTTAGAAATAGGAAAAGTGATTCTAAGATTTGTGTGGAAAGGCAAAGGAACTAGAATAGCCAAAACAGATTTTACAAAATAGAACCAACTTTGAGGAATTTTAATAACTGATTCAATACTCAGTTATAAAACTACATTAATGAAGACATGGAATACTATCAAAAGGACAGACACAAATGTCAATTGAACAGAATAAAGAGGCTAGAGTTAAACCGACATATACGTGATTGTTTTTACAAAGGTGCAAAAGTACTTCCTTGGAAAAAACATAGTCTTTTTCATAAGTGGTTCTAGAACAATCAGTTATTTACATGCAATAAAAAATATCAATCCTTTCCCCAAAGCACATATAAATTGATCAATTGGACTTTATCTGACTTTAAAAGTTAAAAAGACAATTTGCAGATTGGGAGAAAATAATTACGAATCCCATATCTAATAAAAAACTTGCATACAAATTACACAAAAAGACTTTCAAAACTCAAAAATATGAAAACTAATAGCCCAATTTTTTAAATGAGAAAAGACATTAATAGACACTTCACCAAAGAAAATATGAGAATGACAAAATAATCATAGAAAAGATGATCATTATTATTAGTTATCAGGGAAAAGCAAATTAAAATCACAATGAGTATCACTATACACCTCCTAGGAGGAATGTTTTTTTTTTTTTTTTTAACTGAAAATGCCACGTTCTGCTAATGGTGTAGAATAGCTATAATACATAACACTTTGTTGGTGGGAATGCAAAATGGTAGATATTTGTAAAACAAAGTGCCAGTGTCGTATAAAGTAAAACATAGATTTACCATGTGGCTCAGAAATTCTCCTTGGTATTTACCTTAGTGAAATGGAAACTTATATTTGTACAAAAACCTATGCATTCGTGTTTACAGTGGCTTCATTTTGTAATCCCTCAAACTAGTAAACTCCAATTTTTCTCTAAGAAACTAATAAATACAGTGTGATATGTCCATATAATGAAATACTACACAGCAATCAAATGGACATGGAATATCACTGGAGACATGGAAGCTACGAAACAAAACCGAATGAAAATTTTAGAACTAAAATGAGCACTATCTAAAGTGAAAAATGATTGGTTGGGCTCAACAATACACTGGAAGCAAAAAATTTAAAAAAAAAGAAAGAAAATACAAATTTGCTGATGATTTGAGGGAAATTACCATTTTAAAAAGAGAAGATTGAACAAAAATAAACAAAGCCTCAGGGACTGTGGGACAACACAGATCATTGGAATTCTAAAAAGAGAGAAAAGAAAATTAAATGATGAAAAGATCTTTAAAGTCCCAAATTTGGTGAAATCTATCAACTTATAGATCTAATAAATGCAGGAAAATAACCAGCATAATGACTGCAAATAACTCTATATGTAGGCAGAACAGAGTCAAAATACTGAAAATTAGAGATAAACAGGCTGGGCGCAGTTGCTCACGCCTGTAATCCCAGCACTTCAGGAGGCCAAGAAGGGCAAATCATTTGAGGTCAGGAGTTCGAGACCAGCCTGGCCAACATGGTGAAACTCTGTCTCTACTAAAAAATACAAAAATTAGCCGGGCATGGTGGCGGGCACCTGTAATTCCAGCTACTCCGGAGGCTGAAGCAGGAGAATGGCTTGAACCTGGGAGGTGGAGGTTGCAGTGAGACGAGATTATGCCACTGCACTCCAGCCTGGGCGACAGAGCAAGACTGTCTCAAAACAAAAAATAATAAAAATAAAATAAAGATAAGCAGAAAATCTTAAAAACAGTCAAAGAAAAAAAGGTAATATTATACACAAGAGAACAACAAAAGAAATTATGACTCACTGCTTCTCAGAGAAAAATGGAGACCACAATAAAATGGAATGGCAACTTCAAGAGCTGAAAGAAAACTATTAACCCAGAATTCCATGTCTAGCCAAAATATTCTTTAATTCTATATCTAGCAAAAAGAGATATCCTCAAATAACAGCTGATAGAATTTGTGTTCTAATAATTAATTCTTTTTTTTTTTTTTTTTTTTTGAGACGGAGTCTCACTTTGTCGCCCAGACTGGAGTGCAGTGGCGCGATCTCTGCTCACTGCAAGCTCTGCCTCCCGGGTTCTCGCCATTCTCCTGCCTCAGCCTCCCGAGTAGCTGGGACTACAGGCGCCCACGACCACGCCCGGCTAATTTGTTGTATTTTTAGTAGAGACGGGGTTTCACCGTGTTAGCCAGGATGGTCTCGATCTCCTGACCTCGTGATCCGCCCACCCCGGCCTCCCAAAGTGCTGGGATTACAGGCGTGAGCCACCGTGCCTGGCCTCTAATAATTAATTCTTAAAAAGAAGACTGTCAGTTTAAAGAAAAAATAGTCTATTGCTGAGTTGAAAGTATACATAATAAAATGCAAGGTATAGGAATGTAAATGGAATTAAAAAGTGTTATGTTATGGAGGTGGATGGGAAGATGTTGATCAAAGGGCTTGAAGTTTTAGACAGGAGGAATCAGTTTCCAAGATCTATCATCCAGCTTGGTGGCCATAGTTAATAATAATGTATTCTATATTTCAAAATTGCTGAAAGAGTAGATTTTAAATGTTCCCACTACATAAACACTGGTATGTGAGGGGTTGGATATGTTCATTAACTTGATGTACTCCTTCCACAATGTATAAATAAATCAAAACATCACATAGTACCCCATGAATATATATACTAATATTATTTGGCAATTAAAATAATTTGTTAAAAAGAAAGTGTTATAAGGGTCTTAAGGCTTAAAAATGTATAGTATTAAATCTAAGAAGAGCATAATAAGACTCAAATATATACTATAACTCCAAGAATAACCACTCAACAATAGTACAAAAAGTGACAGATGAAACACCATTATAAATGAAAGGTGAAATGTAAACATTATTTAAAATTAGTATTTGAAAATTTCAAATATGTAAAATTTTTAAAAAATATTTGAAGAAAATATATAATTAACTCAAAGGCAGGGAACAAAAACTCCTATGTAACATATAAAAAGAGACAGCAAGACAGTTTACTTAAACTCAACAATTTAAATAATTACATAAAACATACATGCACTAATCTGACAGCCTACTTCTAAAAACAAGACATAACTATATACTATCAACAAGAAATAAATGTTAAATATAAAGTAGATGGACTGAAAGTAAAAGAACGGAAAAAAATGTCTTCGTGCAAATAATAAACATTAAAAAGCTTGTTTGGCTATATTATCACAAAATGTGTATGTTAAGACACTAATTATTACTGGAGAAAAAAATGTGTTTTAGATTCTTCTTCAAAGAGTTTACATTTGTTCCTCCAATGACGCATGAATCAAAGAATTCCTAAAAAAAAGAAGTGAGAGAAGGCACTTGAGTAGCTTTCTAACCTATGATAATAAAAGAGTTAATTCACAAAGAAACGTAAATATACTTAATCTGCTTACATCTAATTACAGGTCTTCAAATCGACAGAATGAAAGGAGAAATAGAAATATCCACAATTGTAAATTGGAGAGTTGAGCACTCCTCTCTCAAAAAATGACAGAACAAGTAGATAGAAAATCAATAAAGAACAGAAGATTAAAACAACATGTCAACCAACTTGATCATTAGAATGCTACACCTGACAACTGCAGAATGACAATATTTTCAAGTGTACATGAAATGTTTACCAAGTTAAACCATATTATGACATATATAATGGCCCCAGTAAATTTCGAAAGATCAAAATCTTAACAGATTTCTCTAACAAGAAAAACTATTATAATAAAAAACTTTATATCAAAAATCACTGTTTAGAAAATAAGCAATAAAAATTGTAAATAATTCACATGTCAAAGAAAAAATAGAAAATATTTCAAAAGTGATGGCTAAAACACAACATAATCAAACCATGTGGATTCCAGGTTAAGCAGTACATAGAAAAAAAGTTATCTTTAAATGATTTCATTATAAACAAGAAAGATTTAAAGTGAGTAACCTAAATTTTCTTATTATAAGCTAGTGATAAAACAGCAAATGAAACCAAAATTAAATATAAGAAAGGAAATAATGAAAATAAAATCAGAAATCAATGAAATAAGAAACATAATTAAAAGAAGATTTTTTAAAACAATTAACAAAATTGATAAACCCGTTACAAGAATGATAAAAAAAAAAAAGAAAAAAGCACAAATTATAAATTTCAGGAATAAAAGAAGAGATGTCATTGTATATTCTAAACACCTTAAGAATATAGGCCCAGCGCGGTTGCTCACGCCTGTAATCCTAGCACTTTGGGAGGCCGAGGTGAGCGGATTGCCTGAGTTCAGGAGTTTGAGACCAGCCTGAGCAACATGGGGAAACCTCGTCTCTACTAAAATTAAAAAAAAAAAAAAAAATTAGCTAGGTGTGGTGGCATGCACCTGTAGTTCCAGCTACTCGAGAGGCTGAGGCAGAAGAATTGCTTGAACCTGGAGTGGAGGTTGCGGTGAGCCGATATTGCACCACTGCACTCCAGCCTGGGCAACAGAGTGAGACTCTGTCTCTAAAATAAATAAATAAATAAACAAATAAATGAATAAATAAATAAAGGAATATTAAGTCAATTCTATTTTTTAAAATTTGACACCTTTTGAAAAACCCAACTTGCCTCACAAAAGAAGAAATAATATAATTAAATAAGTGCATTTATAAAGCATATAACATATACATATAGACATATATAGCATACATATGGCATATACACAGATGTATGACATATACATTGACATAAATAGACACGTTTATTGATAAACTAAATTCATAATAAAAATTTCCAGGCCCATATTATTTCATTGGTAAATTAGATCAAATGTTTAAGAAGGAAATCACAGAAATTTTACACACACACTTTCAGTAAACAAAAAAGGAAGAACACTTCCTAAATCCTTTAAGCCAGCATAAATTTACAAAACCTGACACAGTTATTACCCTAACAGCTACAACAAAAAAAGATGACCAATGTCATTCATATACACAGATGCAAAAGTTCTTAACAAATAATAGCAAATTAAATCCAACATTATGTAAAAAGAATAACACAATATGATTCATTTGGAGTTACCTCAGGAATGTAAGAAATGTCAGGTTGGTTTAACATTCTAAAATTAATCAATGTTATTTTTTACATAGCAGAATAAATGGCAAAAATATAATTATTTTTAAAAATGGAAAAAATCATTTGATAAAATTCAATACTTTTTTATGATTAAAACTATCAGCAAAGTAGGAGGGAAAGTGACTTTTATAACCTGATAAAGGGCATCTAAACAAAACTCACAGCTAAAATTAAACTTAATGATGAAAAACCAGATGATTTCCCTGTAAGGTCAGGAACAAAGAAGCACGTCTGTTCTCATCAGATTCAACATTGCACTAGAAGTCCTACCTTGTGCAATATGGCAGAAAAATAAATGAAGGGCATACCCATTGAAAAGAAGTGAAACTATTTATTAACAGACAAGATGGCTGTGCATGTAAACATCCCAGAGTCAACAACAACTAAAATAAGTCTACTTTGAAAAGTCACAGGATATCAATATGAAAACCTAAAACGCATTTCTACCTGCCATAAGCAAAAAATGTGTGGTGGCTTTGAACTGTGTCAAATAAGTGAAGCTGATTAAGTGATGGACACCAAACAATTTTGTATGATATGTTAAAGAGGGAAATAAAAGGGTACCACTTTTAGACCCAGAAACAGCTGAAGCTATTGTAACTTATTATACATTGCTATTGAACTGCCAGCCTACCTCATAGGAGAGAGCAGCAGCTGGGCCAAAAGCTCCTCCAGCTTCTGCCCAGTGCCTTCATTCAGCTTATGTGAATCCCGGGCCAGGTCAGTGAGTAGCTACATAGTGAAGGATGTCAGCCTATCCTACAAGTCACTTGCATCACAAAGGTTGCAGGTGATCTTAATCAACCCAGTCTGTCATAACAAAATATCATACTGGGTGGCTTAAACAATAGAAATTTATTTCTCACAATTCTGTAGGCTAGAAGTTCAAGATAAGGGTGCCAGCATGGTCAGTTTCTAGTGAGGATTCTCTTCCCAGCCTTCAGACAGCTGCCTTATTGGTGTTTCTTCACATGGTGGAGAAAAATCTCACTCTCACTCTTCCTCTTATTAAATGACCACCAATCCTAGGATCCCTCTCTTATGATCTCATTTAAACTTAATTATCACCTAAAAACCCTATGTCTAAATACAATTATTGGGGGTTAGGGCTTCAGCATATCAGTTTCTGGTGGATTCAGGGAGGCACAATTCAGTTCATAGCAGAAGTAATGAGAGACAGACACAGTTCTATTGTGTCATTACAGGTTCTGGTTTGTTCTTAGTTTCTCCCACTCCGTGCCCATCTTCCTTTCCCAACCACTACCACATGCTCTCTGTACCAGAAACTGAGGCAACAATCCCAGAGGCTGCTTAATGACCTCTCATAATTGCATAGAGCCTAATAACTATCATTAATCTCTCATTCTACATTACTTTCTATATGGTAGTTCTGCTTCTTTGATTAGACCCTGGCTGTTACATGATGAAATATGAAATTTAAAAATACGTCATTTATAATTTCATCAAAACCACGAAACACTTAAAAATAAATTTAATGAAAGAAGACAAGAACTCTATACCAAAAAATACACAACATTGGTAAAGGATATTAAAGAAGTCCTAGATAAATGGAGAGGTCATGGATTAGAAGACTAGACTGAATATAGCTAAGATGTCAATTCCCCACAGATTGATAGAGATTTCATGCAATTCCAATCAAAATCTTTATAAGTTGTTTTATTGAAGTTAACAGCTGACTCTAAAATTTATTTAGAAAAGTAAAAGACCTAGAAGAAACAAAACAATCTTGGAAAAAATAGACAAGGCTGTACGATTCCCACTTACTGAATTTAAAACTTCCTGTAAAGTTTCAACAATATGACAGTATGGTATTGATACAAGGATCATCAATATCATCAATGAAATAGGAGAGTTTAGGAAAAAAAATATATATGATTAACCAATATTTCACAAAGGTGCCAAGGTATTGGAACAACTATATATCCACATCAAAAAAATATTAAGCTGACCCCTACCTTACACTTTACACAAAAATTTATATAAGAAATATCATATGCTGGGCAAGGTGGCTCATGCCTGTAATCCCAGCACTTTGGGAGGCCGAGGCAGGCAGATCACCTGAAGTCAGGAGTTCAAGACCAGCCCACCCAACACGGTGAAACCCTGTCTGTACTAAAAATACAAAAAATTAGCTGGGCGTGGTGGGCACCTATAATCTCAGCTACTTGGGAGGCTGAGGCAGGAGAATAACTGAAATCTGGGAGGCAGAGGTTGCAGTGAGCCGAGATCACACCATTGCACTCCAGCTGGGCAACGGAAGTGAAACTCTGTCTCAAAAAGAAAAAAAAGAAGAAAGAAATATCATAGACCTAAATGCAAATATAAAAAGTCTGAAACTTCTGAAAGAAAAAAATAGGAGAATGTTTTCCATGACCTTGAACTAAACAAGAATTTTTTAGAGAGAACACAAAAACACAAACTATATAAAAGGAGCAGTTATGCATTGCTTAGTGATGGGATACATTTTGAGAAATGCATCATTAGGCAATTTTGTCATTGTGTGAACATCATAGAGTGTACTCACATAAACCTAGATGATATATACATTTTTTATCTGCATATACTTTTTCATATGGGAAACCAAATGTTCCAGCACCATTAGTAAATACCAATGATTTCTCTTCCTTGATATGCAATGCCAATATCAAGTGCCATATATCAGGTTTCTTTTTTAAAAAAAATAGAGACGAGGTCTTGCTCTGTTGCCCAGGTTGGTCTTGAACTCCTGGCCTCAAGTGATCCTCCTGCCTTAGTCTCCCAAAATGCTGAGATTATAGGTATGAACCACCACACGCAGCCTCAGGTTATCTTATGGGACCACCATCATACATGCAGTCTGTCGTTGACTGAAACATTGCTGTGCAGTGCATGGTTATATACTGAAATTTACCAAAACTAAAAATTTTGTGCACCCAAAGACACAGTTAAAAAAACTGAAAGGCAATTCACAGTTTGGGAAAAAGTATTTGTAAAACACATAATTGACAAAGGGCTTTTATGGAGAATAGTATATAAAGACTCTTAATATTCAATAATAAGAAGAGAAACAACCCTATAATAATGAGCAAAAAATTTGAATAGATACTCCAGAAAATAAGACATATTAACAGTCAGTATGCACATATCATTTGTCATGAAAGAAATGCAGATTTAGAGCACAAGGAGATACCAAGAACCTAGGAAAGTTAAAGTTTGGCAACACCAAATGCTGATGATGCTGTGAATAAACTAATACGCTTGAATATTTCCGGTGTGATCTTTTAAATTGTACAATTGCACTGAAAACAGTTTGGCAGTGTCTTAGAAAGGTTAATACGCAATTATCATTCCTAGATATTTGATTGAGGCAAATTGAAAATATGTTTATGCAAACAGAAGTTTATTATATAAAAATAGTGATAGCTATTTTATTTATTATAGCGCTCAACCAGAAACAATAGAAATGTCTGTCAAGAAGCAATTTAAGGTGCATTTATACAATGGAATACTTTTTATCAGCAGAGAAACAAACCATCAACACATGCAACAACATATTTATAGCTATACCCCCCTCCTCCCTCCCTTCCTGGCAACCACTAATGCGTTCTCCATTTTCAAAAGTTTGTCATTTGAAAAATATTATTAGCATTTGAAAAATACTATAAATAGAATCATAAAGTGTGTAACCTTTTGGATGGACTTTTTCCACTTTGTATAATTCTGTATTGAATATATCATGAGTAAATGCAAAAGAACCATTTGTGGTGGATCTTCTGACTTTAAGAGGCCTGTGTCTAACATTTTTCACTTCATCCAAGTTCTATTTTCTTTCCAAGGACTATTTTTTTCAAGTCTGTATTTGAGTCAGAAATAATGTTGTTTTTCTAGTAGCATGATATAGCCTAAAAATGTAAAGTTGAAATTATTGATTTGTCTTTTGATGCAAATTGCCTTTTTTTCAAATATTAATAAAGATTCTTTTTAAAGTGACAGTTTAAAAAATGTTTAGATGTCTGAGAAGAATGGTGCGTGTACTAGGAAGCTCCAAGCCCTGTTTCTTCATAGAAACATTAAAAACAACCAGAAACTAACTGGACAACTTTTATAGGAGCTCTGGAAAACAATCAAGGGTCTAAAGAAACCAAGTGAACACCCAGTTAAGAAAAAGCCACTTTCAAAATGGTAGTAAATGTCATGGGGTTTCTATTTACCCTTGCCTTACTCCCTAAGTTACAAGATATTCTTGGTCTATAGGAGGAAGCATCCCAGCTCCCAGCCTTCTCTCTCAACTGAAGGGAACAGAGCAGACCCTACTGACAGTATTCCAACCCATCTAGGCACTACCTACCGGATGTTTCTCTGCCTTGTCTAACTCAGATCTCAGGCAGGGAAAAAGCAGCAAGAACAGCTCATGAGAGCAGTGCACAGACTCCAACCTGGGAATCTGGGGCAAGACACTTGGAAAAAGAGATTTATAGTGGAGACATAAAATGACCACTTCAGGCCCTAGGGAGAAGCTGGAGTGAGACCATTTGGGAAATTAATACATTCAAAAGTAGCCATGGATAAATGGGAATTGAGAAAGTCACATGAAGGCCCAGGTAAGATGCATGCTCAGAAAGGGCCTGAGAAGACTGTTTTCATCTTGGACTGATCCCCAGGCTCAGGGTGAGGATTGCAGCCGCACAGAGCCAATTGGCAGAGACTGGAAGAGGTGGCTGTTTTCTCAAATGTCCAATTTTTAACAAAAATAACAAGGTGAAGAAACAGGAAAACATAACCCACTCAAATAAATACAATTAATTGGCAGAGATACCATCCTTAAAGAGGAAGAATTGGAATTACTAGACAGAGACTTTAAAATATCTTCCATAGTATGTTCAAAAGCAAAAGGAAAAAATGAACCAAGGACTAAAGAAAATCAGGAAAACAATATACGAACAAAATAAGAATACCAACAAAGAGACAGGAATTATGAAAAGGAACCAAGCAGAAATTCTGGAGCTGGAAAACATAATGACTGAATTCAAAAATTCACTGGAAGGATTAAGTCAATCTTGACGCAGAAGAACAAAATTAGAGAATTTATAATATCAGGCTTCAAGACTTATTCTAAAGCTACAACACTCAAGACAGTGTGCAAGTGTATAAAACTGAACTAGGAAACAAAATAAAATATCCAAAAATAGACCTATATATGAGACAGTCACCTTATTCATAACAAAGAATTCACTGCAACTAAGCAAGGGAAAGGATGATCTTAATAAATAGTGCTGGACCAATCGGGCCCCCAAATGAAAAAAAATTAACATTGACATCTACCTTGCACTATACACGAACATTAATCTAGGATGTAACATAGACATAAACATAAAAGTCATATGAAAGATAAAGCAATAACACTGCTAGAAGAAAACATAAAAGAACAATTTTATTAACCCAGATTAGGCTAAGATTTCTCAAACAGAAACAAAAAAGCACTAAATATAAAGGCAAATTATAAATGCTAAACACATTAATACATAGCTTCATTCAATTAAAAAATCTTGTTTGCCAAAAGCCAGCATTAAAAGTGAAATTGTCAACTCACAAATTAGCAATGTATATATTAAACCAAGGACTTTCATTCAGACATATCCTTACCTGTTCCTGTATCTGTATTCTCTGCCCCACTCCATGCTTCCCTGACTCTAGGTTCAGTGTGTGACTTGCTTGGGCAGATGGGATGTTACCAGAAGTGATACAAGGAGAGATACAATTGGGCTCCCTTACTCATTTCTCTGATAGGTCTACTGTAAAAATTAAGAAATCAACTTCATGCAGAACTCTGTGCAGTAATTTGTAATCAATAGATGTCCAGTGAAGGAAAACTCCCTTCTTCCTTGGGTTCTTTACCAGCTAAGGCTGAGAGGGCCCCTATGGCCCTGGTGAAAATCATTAGCTTTTCCTAGTGACCAGAGGCAGGTACTGTTGGCTTCCAGTTCTATCTGAAAATATGGAATAGAGGAAGAGTAGGATATTAGAAACCAAAAACAAACAGGAGATATTTTAGTTTCACTAGTCTTCAGAGGCTCTGGAAAAAGAAATTTTCCTTTGGAATTCATCTTCTCATTTCACAAAATAAACAAATAAGCAAATATGGAGGTGGAAGTTTCTCTTTCTGGGATTGTCTGAGACTGTCAGCAAATAGTGAGAAAGTGCATAGCTATTGCAAGCAGCTAATTACAAACCCCTTAACGTTCACACTGCAATTAAAGACATTTGTTCTTGATGAAAGCCGTCCCATAAGCTTGCATGAGCCCAGTCAGGAGGCATTTCCTGGGCTCCTGAAAAACACATTCATAAATCAGGACAGCCTCTGAATAAAAAGGGCCAATTAAAGTGATTAGTTCTCTATATAATATAGTTATTTGCAGTCATGCCTTTCATTCTCCCTCTCTCCTCTCCTCCAAGGACAAGGTTCTAAAAGCTAAACATCCATATTTCAATGTGTGCCCACATGGCTCCAAGAAAAACTCCATTAGGTAAAACAGAGAAAAGGCCAATTCTTTAGTAGTTTTCAACACTTTTTACCCACTGGAAAAAAAATTGACTCAGTCATGCCTCTTCACAAGCAAGCCAAAGTGTCTCACAATTTTTCCAATGCCAAGTTTGGTCTGCAGATCCCTTGGGAGGGAGGCAGGGTGGCGAAGTGTGAGGGGAAAGGCTTAGCGCCAGAAAGATCTCATCTGAGTCACCTTGCACTCAGAGCTGCCTATCCTTGCCTGGTTCTCAGCTCCCTCTGTACCCAATGGTGACAGCATCATAGCACCTGCAGGGTGTGGCACAGATTAAATGGAACATGTGGTGCCCATAGGTCACACGCTCTTGCCCTCTTCTTCCCAGTAGAAAAAACAGCCCCTCCTGCATCTTGCAGAGGGGATGGGCCTGCATGGTAGGTGGCAGACACAATCCCTTCTGTCATTCCCCATTGGGACTAAGGGAAGCCTCTCCATGAATGTTTAATTTCAAAATGACCTTACAGGTTTGCAAAGTGGAGGAAAAACTTCACCCCACCCCACTTTCCCAATATGAGTTCCATATTTAGTGTTATAACTCTTAGAGACAAGTCACTTGCAATTGTATACTCTTTTACATTTTAGGTGAATCATGTGCACAACAGTTCCCAGAAGTCCCCTGGGTTTCCAGCCCTATCCTCTAGTCAGCAGTCCTGAGATATACAGTGACATGAAGCAGAAGGAGTCACCTGTGGGGAGGCCTGGCCCCAGAAAGGCCTGAACTCTCTGTCTTCACATGGCAGAAGTGGGCAGTTCGCTCTCTGGGGCCTCTTTTATAAGGGCACTAATCCCACTCATGAGGACTCCAGCCTCCCACAAGCCCCCCTCCAAATACCACCACACTGGGGGTTCAGATTCAACATGTGAATTTTGGGACAATGCAAACATTCAGTCTATAGTACCCCACCCACTAGGGAATTGTCATTTGTATTTCCCAAC
Organism: Homo sapiens; assembly: GCF_000001405.40. Taxonomy (NCBI): domain Eukaryota; kingdom Metazoa; phylum Chordata; class Mammalia; order Primates; family Hominidae; genus Homo; species Homo sapiens. The sequence continues at coordinate 126,601,709 of NC_000002.12, forward strand.
CACTTGCCCTCTGTCTCACCTTCAAGGACAGACACAGCTCTTACCTGGGTCTGCCAGGCCACCCCTGAGTGATTGGACTCTACCCTTTGTGTCTCACTCTTTCCAGTTTCTCACCTTCTGATTCAGAAATGGCCAAAGCAAAGGGGTGCAGGTAAACCAGTTATGCAGATTTATTTAAAACTATATTTTAAAATATAATCTTTATACCTAGATTTTTTTTTTGGTGTGTTAAATGAACAACAATAGTCTTTACTTTGGTGTGAAAATAATATGTTCTCTCCCATTTTTTTTAAACACTTGGCCCTCTCAGTCTTCTTTTTCATCTTCACACTTCTAATATAGACATGCAGGTAAGAAATATTTTATCATTCCAAATTTATCGTAAGAAAAAGAGCTGTGGAAACGTGTGGAAACTAACACTCGCCCGACAATAAGGAAGGTTGGGACTTGGGTGGCTGGGGGAGCATTCTACTCATTCGAAGAGACAGATGTTGCTCTCCACCCAGGTGCTGCCCACAAAAATGCAAACCCTGGGTACAGCTACTTAAGAGAAGATGGCCTCTGGATTTGTAACATGAAACCCACTGGTTGTTAAATGTACAAGTAATCCAGTGTTTTAAGCAGCCTATGGCCCAAAACCTGCAGGACAACTGCTGACTTGATTTGACCAGAGTGTGCTCTCAGCTCTGTCCAGCCTTCACGTGGCTTTTCCACTCCAAAACTCCACCCAACAGGCTGCAAGACAGACCCAAGACTCAGTCTGGTTTGCTATATTCACATCCCGACTCTGGCCTCCTACTCAGTCTGACCTCCAGCTTCTATCTTCAGCAATTACTACTGCATAAGAATTACTACAGCCAGGCTGTCATCAATTTTCCCTCTGAATGCCTTTCATGTTGTCATTGCCCAAGCAAGCAATATTCTCTCTCATCTTGCAATTCTGCCTGTGCAGATCCTCCCCATGCTTCACACTTCCTCCAGGGTAGTCTCTGGAGAAGACTCCTGCCTCTTCTGCAAACTCCCAAGGTCTTCACTTGTACAAATCTCAGAAATTAATTTCAGCCTCTTTTACCATTCTATTTCCAGTGTGTTTCCTATTGCTTATCAGCTAGACTAAACTTTCTAAGATCAGATATTTCTTAGATTTGCTTATTATGATTTTCTCAGTACTTTGCACATAGGTACTGGGAAAATAAAGTAAGACCTACTTTAAGACTTGTATTTTAGACACTGACTACTCCTCCAAATGAGACGGAAAAAACACTAAAAATGCCCAGCAAAATATTGAAAGTTTATTTTTTAGTATGTTGATTATCTGACAAAAAAGTAGGAATATTTCAAATGCCAAAACCAAGTGAAATCTGGAACCTAGAGCATTAAGCCAAACACAGAAGGAAAGTTTCTTTTTGGGGACATTGAGCATCCATTTGTGATGTTGCAGGACTCACGGATCAAGATGCAAAGCTAAGGTCCTTTGAAGGTGAGAAGCCTAATTCTTTAAAGCCGGAACAGAAAGTGTTACTGGAAATAAACCTACATTCTGCACTTATTCCCCTTACACACATCCACATCCACTGAGTAGGGGTGGACAATGAAATGTACCTGTGAGAATTGTGGCACTGAGTGAAGAGGAAAATAAATGTATCCTGAGAATTGCTAGAAAAAAAATATTGTCCTCACTCAAATTGCAGCATGAATTCACAATACCCAGAAGGTCTAAAAAGACTCAAAGTGAAAACTCACTTTAAAATGTCAATCTCAGCTAACCAGTAAAAGTAAATGTTCAACACAGGCTTTAAAGAATCCCCACAGATGAACTTCCAAGGATTCAGATGTCACAGTCAAAAAATACACAAGGAATGTAGGCAGGTTGAGTGAGAATCAGCAATAATAACAGGAGGTAACACATTCTCAAAAGTTCGTGTTAACAATTACTGGCAAGAATATAAAATATTTTTATGTAATGGGTTTAAAGAAATAAATATAATACTGATAAAATGAGCAAAAAAAAAGTAAGACTAGTAAAATACCAAAACCATTTGATCAAAAAAAAAAAAAGAAAAAGAAAAGCTTCCAAAAATCCAAAAATATGTTTAATGTATAACAATTAAAATGAAGAATCTGGAGCCAAGAGTGGTGGCTCATGTCTACAATCTCAGCTATTTGGGAGACTGATATGTGAGTATCACTTGAGTCCAGGAGTTTAAGGCTAGAGTGAGCTATAATTGCCAGTGTACACCAGCCTGAGTGATAGAACAAGACCCCATCTCTTAAAATAAATAAACATAGAGCAACAATACAAACAAGCTGGCATAGTAGCCAGCTAACAACACAATGACAGGATCAAATCCGCACATATCAGTTCTAACCTTAAATGTAAATGAGCTACATGCCCCATTTAAAAGACACAGAATGGCAACCTGGATAAAAAAGCAATACCCAATGGTATGCTGTCTTCAAGAGACCCATCCCCCATTCAATGACACCCATAGGCTCAAGATAAAAGGATGAGGGAAAATCTACCAAGCAAATGGGAAACAGAAAAAAGCAGAGGTTGCAACCTTAATTTCAGACAAAACAGAATTTAAACCAACAAAAAACAAAAAAGACAAAGAAGGGCATTACATATGGTAAAGGATTCAATTCAACAAGTAGACCTAACTATCCTAAATATATATGGACCCAACACAGGAGCGCCCAGATTTATAAAGCAAGTCTTTAGAAACCTGCAAAGAGACTTAGACTCACACACAATAATAATGGAAGATTTCACTCCACTAACAGTATTATACAGATCATCGAGGCAGAAAATTAACAAAGATATTAAGGGCCTGAAATCAACATTGAACCAAATGGATCTAGTAGACCTCTGCAGAACTCTTTACTCAAAAGCAATAGAATATACATTCTTCTCATCACCACATGGCACATACTCTAAAGTTAACCACACAATCAGACATAAAACAATCCTCAGCAAATACAAAAGAATGGAAATCATACCAAACATACTCTTTGACAATAGCACAATAAAAATAGAAGTTAAGACTAAAAAAAAATTGCTCAAAACTACGCAATTACATGGAAATTAAACATGCTTCTGAATGACTCTTGGGTAAAAAATAAAATTAAAGCAGACATCGAGAAGTTCTTTGAAACTAATGAGAACAAAGGTACATCATACCAGAATCTCTGGGACACAGCTAAGGCAGTGTTAAGAGGGAAATTTATAGCACTGAATATCCATGTCAAAAAGTTAGAAAGATCTCAATTTAACAATTTAACATCACCACTGGAAGAACTAGAGAAGCAAGAGCAAACCAACCCCAAAGCTAGCAGAAGACAAGAAATAATGCAAATTAGAGCTGAACTAAGGGAAATTGAGACACACAAAAAAATTCAAAAGATCAATGATTTCAGGAGTTGGTTTTTTTGAATAAATTAATAAGACAGATAGGCCACAAGCTAAATTAATAAGAAAAGAGAGAAGATCCAAATAAACACAATTATAAATGATGAAGAAAATATTACCACTGACCCCACAGAAATGAAAATAACCATCATAAACTACTATGAACACCTCTGTGCATACAAACTAGAAAACCTAGAAAAGATGGATAAATTGCTTAACAGATACACCACAAACTGGAAAACCTAGAAGAGATGGATAAATTCCTTAACAGATACACCACTGAACCAGGAAGAAATTGATTCCCTGAACAGATCAATAGCAAGCTCCAAAATTGAATCAGTAATAAATAGCCTACCAATAAAAAAAGCAGCCCAGGACCAGATTGATTCACAACTGAATTCTATCAGATGTACAAAGAAGAGCTGGTACCAGTCCTACTGAAACTAGTCCAAAAAATTGAGGAGAAGGGACTCCTCACCAACTCATTCTATGAGGCTCTATGAGGCCAGCATCTTCCTGATTCCAAAACCTGGCAAAGATGCAATGAAATAAGAAACTTCAAGCCAATATCTTTGAACATTGATGCAAAAATCCTCAACAATATACTTGCAAACTGAATCCAACAGCACATCAGAAAGCTAATTCACCACGATCAAGTAAACTTCACACCCAGGATGCAAGGTTGGTTTGACATACACAAACCAATACATGTGACTCATCACTTAAACAGAACTAAAGACAAAAACCACATGTTTACCTCAATATATGTAGAAAAGGCTTTTGATAAAATTCAACATCTCTTCATGTAAAAACCTCTCAATAAACAAGGTATTGAAGGAACATATCTCAAAATAATTAGAGCTATCTATGACAAACCCACAGCCAACATCACACTGAATGGGGAAATGCTAAGCGTTCCCTTGAAAACTGGCACAAGACAAGGATGCCCTCTCTTACCACTTCCATTTGACATAATATTGGAAGTCCTAGCCAGAGCAATCAGGCAATGGAAAGAAATAAAGGGCATCTGAATAGAAAGAGAGTATGTTAAACTATCTCTGTTTTCAGATGACATGATTTTGTATCTAGAAAATCCCATAGTCTCAGCCCAAAGGCTCCGTCAACTGATAAACAACTTCAGCAAAGTTTCAGGATACTAAATCAATGTACACAAATCACTAGCATTCCTATACACCAATGACAGCCAAGCCAAGAGCCAAATCAGGAATGCAATCCCACTGACAATAGCCACAAAAAAATAAAATACATAGGAATACAGCTAACCAAGGAGATGAAAGATTTCTACAATAAGAATTACAAAACACTGCTCAAAGAAATCAGAGAAGACACAAACAAATGGAAAAACATTTCATGCTCATGGTTAGGAAAAATAAATATCATTAAAATGGCCATACTGCCAAAAGCAATTTACAGATTCAATACTATTCCTATCAAATTACCAATGACATTCTTCACAGAACTAAAAAAAAAAAAAACTATTTTGAAATTTATATGGAACCAAAAAGGAGCTCTAACAGCTAAGGCAATGCTAAGCAGAAAGAACAAAGCTGGAGGCAATATGCCACCCAACTGCAAACTATACTACATGGCTACAGTAATCAAAACAGTATGGTACTGGTACAAAAACAGACACATTGACCAATGGAACAGAAGAGAGAGCCCAGAAATAAGGCCACCTACAACCATCTGTTCTTTGACAAAGCTGAAAAAGAATAGGCAATGGGGAAAAGACTCCATATTCAATAAATGGTGGTGGGATAACTGGCTAGCCATATCCAGAAGACAGAAACTGGACCCCTTCCTTACACCATTTACAAAAATCAACTCAAAATAGATTAAAGACTTAATTTAAAAACCCAAAACTATAAAAACCCTGGAAAACAATCTAGGTGATACCATTCTGGACATAGAAATGGGCAAAGATTTCATGACGAAAATGCCAAAAGCAATTGCAACAAAAGCAAAGGTTGACAAATGAGATCCAATTAAACTTAAGAGATTCTGCATAACAAAAGAAACTATCAACAGAGTAAACAGACAACCTACAGAATGGGAGAAAATATTTGCAAACTACGCATCTGACAAAAGTCTAATATTCAGCATCTATAAGGAACTTAAACAAATTTACAAAAAAAAAAAAAACCAACCCCATTAAAAAGCAGGCAAAGGATATTAACAGACACTCTTCTAAAGAAGACACAGATGCAGTTAACAAGCATATGAACAAAAGCTCAGTATCACTGATCATTAGAGAAATATGAATCAAAATCACAACGAGATACCATCTCACACCAGTCAGAACCACCATTATTAAAAAGTCAAAAAATAACATGCTGATAAGGCTGTGGAGAAAAAGAAATGCTTGTACACTGTCTGTAGGATTGTAAATTAGTTCAACCTTTGTGCAAAGCAGTGTGGTGATTCCTCAGAGAGCTAAAACCAGAACTACCATTTGATCCAGCAATCTTATTACTGGGTATATACCCAGAGGAATATAAATTATTCTACCATTAAGACATATGCATGCAAATGTTCATTGCAGCACTATTCACAATAGCAGAGATATGGAATCAACCTAAATGCCTGTCAATGACATTGGAGTGAGAAAATGGGGTACATATACATCATGGAATACTATGCAGCTATGAAGAATGAGATTATATCTTTTGTGAAAACATGGATGGAACTGGAGGCCATTATCTTTAGCAAACTAACACAGGGACAGAAAACCAAATACCACGTATTCTCACTTATAAGTGAGAGCTGAAGGATGAGAACTAATGGATGCAATGAAGGGAACAACAGACAATGGGGTGGAGAGTGGAGGGTGGGAGAAGGGAAAGGATCAGAAAAAAATAACCATTGTGTACTAGGCTTAGTGCCTGGGTGATGAAATAATCTGTACAACAAACCCCCTTAACTGTTACCTATATAACAAACCTGCACAGGTACCCCAAAAGTAAAATAAAAGTTAAAAAATAAAATCAAATAAATAAAAGTTAAAATGTGACATCATAGATTATTATTTTGTGCATTTACAAGAAACTAGCCTGCTAATTAAATAAGTGTAAATGTTTATTATTTAATTTTTATGCATGTATGTGAAGTAAAATTAAATAAAATAAATAAACAATATAAATAAATAACCCAATGGATGGTTTTAACTGTAAAGTTTCCAAGGCTAAAGAGATATTTAACAAAATGGAAGCTAAATTTAAATACGTTATCTATAATGCAGTATAGAAGCACAAAGATTCAATAAATAAAAAAAGAGATTTAGAAGACATGGAGGACAGAAAGAAGAAGTCTCATATTTGGCTAATTAAAGGACCAGAAAGAGTGAAGTGAGATGGGGAAAGATGGTATTTTAAGAAATAATGACTAAGAAACTTTAGACTGACAAATGACATTGGTACTTACATTACAAAAGCAACCAGAATAAGAACAAAATTAAATCCACCTTAAAAACGTAACTGTGAAGCTGCATAATACTAAGGCGGAAAAGAGACAATCTTAAAAACCTTCAAATAGAAAAGACAAATAAACAATAAAAGAATGACAAATAGAAAATGGAAGTCAGAAGATACTGGAATAACATCTTAAATGTGCTGAGAGGAAATAGCTCCAGTGAAAATATCTTTCTAAAAGTAGATGAAGGAAAAAAAATCAGCCTAACAAAAACTAAACAAAATGCTTTTACTAAATATATTGTAAAGTTATCCTATAGGCAAAATGAAAACAATCAGATGGAAGATGTCAGATGTGAGAATAAATTTTTAAAAAGGCAAGATGTAGGTAAATCTATCCAAACACTGGCTATATAAGACAATAATAATATTGTTTATCAACAGTTGGGGAAAAACTATCGTTGGCAATAATATATGATAAGGAGGCCACACGACTGCTGCTAATTTATTATCAGTCCTTGTATTGTTTAGGACTGGTGTAAAGATAACAGGCATCTTAAATTTCCTGAAGTGACCATTAACACAACCGAAGATGGAATTAATCAGTTCCAAAATATTAGAGAGAAAAAGGTGCAATGAGAAAACTTACAGAAACAATCAAAAAGGGAAAAAGGAAAGGTTAAAAGCACAGGAAATGCATAACACAAAAAAAATTCAAAATAAATGACATGAATAAATGTAATTATAATGGTAATTTGAATGTAAAAGAACTGCATTCAAGAATTAAGACAAAGATTGTCACACTAGGTGAAAAAACAAAAGCTAGCTTTATGCTATTCGTAAGAAACACTTCTGAATTATAAATATTAGAAAAAATAAGGCTAAAAGAATAAAGAAAATTATACCAGGGAAGTGCTAACCAAAATAATTATATAGCTCTCTATTAATAGCAGGCAAAAATAGATGAAGGCATAAAGCATTAACACTATTAATCTATTAGTGTTTAATAGAAACATTATTAAACAGTTAAAGGTTTATTATTAAGGAAGATATAACAATTATAAAGTTGCATGTATATACAACATAGTTTAATATATAGTAACCAGAAATTAAAAGAACTAGAAGGATAAACCATTATCATCAACAAAAACAATATCATAGAAGGAGATTTGGTACAATTTTCATAGTAGATAATAAATATATCAGGAAGTTACATAGTATGCATATGTAAAATTAAAACAATGCAACTAACAAACTTAAACACACAAAGGTAATACATTAACCATGCCGGTAGAAAATACAAATTTTTCTTCAGCATATATTTAACATTTATAAAATTGACCAACTGGACTGTAATTCAAACAATAAAGAATTAATGAAATTAAATTAAAGATCAATAACAAGAATATAAATTTTAAATTTTAATACTTAGAATTTCTCATATAGCCTTATATTTTTATAAATTAGAAAGCAATAACAAAAAGATAAATATCATTTTTTAAATATAGTTTTTAAATTATTTGTGGATCAAGTAAGTTATTACTATGTTAAAATATTTTGAGTTGAGCAATAATTAAAGTACAGTATGGTTTGAGTATTTATCTGAAATGTGTGCACCAAAAGCATTTTGGATTTGAGATTTTGAAGTATTTAAATATACACAATGAAATGTATTGGGGATAGGACCCAAGTCTAAACACAAAAGTCATTTATGTGTTACCTATACCTTATACACATAGCCTGAAGTAATTTGATACAATATTTTTAATAACTTTGTATAAGAAACAAAACATCTATACATTGAACCATGAGAAGCAAAGGTGTCACACATACCTATGGCGTCATGTCAGAGCTCAAAATATTTCAGATATTGGAGCATTTTGGATTTCAGATATTCAGATTAGGAATGCTCAACCTGTGTAACAAAATTGCAGGATACAGCTAAAGCAGTATTCAGAGGAAAATTTATAACATAATAATTTAGATTGGACTACAAGGATGAAATATAATGAGCAAAGAATCCAATTTGAGTGGCCACAGCATGAGTGAAAGGAAGGAAACACAGAGCAGAGAGCAATTCCATGAAAACCGACAGATCCTCTGCACGACTAATGGAGAGGGAAGTCATCAATATTAGAAGTAATAAGTGTACGTAACTACAGATGCTGCACAAATAAAAACATTAAGGGATTTGATAAATAACCTTATATCAATAATTTGAAAACATGCAAAATCCACAAATTACTTAAAAATACAAGAATCAACACCAAAAAGAACAAAAAGTGTAAATAATCCTGTAACTATTCCATAAATTATATCAGCAATTAAAAATCTTTCAATTCAGAAATGGTCTCAGATGGTTTTCTCTGTTAGGTCTGACTCTCAAGAGGAAAATAATTCTAATTTGACAAATATTCCAGATGATAAGACAGTGGAAATACTCTGCAATTCATTTTACAAGGGAAAAAAATTAATAGGCCCATCTCACTCATGAACTTAAATGCAAAATATATTTGAATAAATGTGAACAAACCAAATAAAAATGTATGGAAAAGGTAATGCACTACACCGTTAGAGATGTAGGACTAATCTAACACTAGAAATAATTTTATATAAGTTCTATATTAAGTTTAAAAGAGAATAATTGTAGAATTTTGTATTCGATAAAAACAAAATTTATTTCATATTTTAAAAATAAAGTCTTATCAAACTAAAAGTAGAGATGAGGTTTATAATTTTTTTATTACACTTTAAGTTCTGGAATACATGTGCAGAACGTGCAGGTTTGTTACATAGGTATACACATGCCATGATGGTTTGCTGCACCCATCAACCCTTCATCCACATTAGGTATTTCTCCTAATGCTCTCCCTGTCCTAGGCCCCCAACCCCCGACAGGCCCCAGGGTGTGATGTTCCCCTTCCTGTGTCCATGTGTTCTCATTGTTCAACTCCCACTTATGAGTGAGAACATGTGGTGTTTGGTTTTCCGTTCTTGTGTTAGTTTGCTGAGAATGATGGATTCCAGCTTTATCCATGTCCCTGCAAAGGACATGAATTCATCCTTTTTATGGCTACATAGTATTCCATGGTGTATATGTGCCACATTTTCTTTACCCAGTCTATCATTGATGGGTATTTGGGTTGCTTCCAAGTCTTTGCTATTGTGAACAGTGCCACAATAAACATATGTGTGCATGTGTCTTTAGAGTAGAATGATTTATAATCCTTTGGGTATTTGCCTAGTAATGGGATTGCTGGGTCAAATGGTATTTCTAGTTCTAGATCCTTGAGGAATCGCCACACTGTCTTCTACAATGCTTGAACTAATTTACACTCTTACAAACAGTGTAAAAGCATTCCTATTTTTCCACACCCTCTCCAGCATCTGTTATTTCCTGACTTTTTAATGATCACCACTCTAACTGGCATAAGATGGTATCTCATTGTGGTTTTGATTTGCATTTCTCTAATGACCAGTGATGATGAGCTTTTTTTCATGTTTGTTGGCTGCATAAATGTCTTCTTTTGAGAAGTGTCTGTTCATATCCTTTGCCCACTTTTTGATTGGGTTGTTTGTTTTTTTTCTTGTAAATTTTTTTAAGTTCTTTGTAGATTCTGGATATTAGCCCTTTGTCAGATGGATAAATCGGAAAAATTTTCTCCCATTCTGTAGGTTGCCTGTTCACTCTGATGATAGTTTCTTTTGCTGTGCAGAAGCTCTTTAGTTTAATTAGATTCCATTGGTCAATTTTGGCTTTTGTTGCCATTGCTTTTGGTGTATTAGCCATGAAGGCTTTGCCCATGCCTATGTCCTGAATGGTATTGCCTAGGTTTCCTTCTAGGGTTTTTATGGTTTTAGGTCTTACATTTAAGTCTTTAATCCATCTAGAGTTACTTTTTGTATAAGGTGTAAGGAAGGGGTCCAGTTTCAGCTTTCTGCATATGGCTAACCAGTTTTCCCAATACCATTTATTAAATCCTTTCCCAATTGCTTGTTTTTGTCAGGTTTGTCAAAGATCAGATGGTTGTAGATGTGTGGTGTTATTTCTGAGGCCTCTGTTCTGTTCCATTGGTCTATATATCTATTTTGGTACCAGTACCATGCTGTTATGGTTACTGTAGCCTTGTAGTATAGTTTGAAATCAGGTAGCATGATGCCTCCAGTTTTGTGCTTTTTGCTTAGGATTACCTTGGCTACTCAGGCTCTTTTTGGTTCCATATGAAATTAAAAGTAGTTTTTTTCTAATTCTGTGAAGAAAGTCAGTGGTAGCTTGATGTGGATAGAATTGAATCTATAAATTACTTTGGGCACTATGGCCATTTTCACAATATTGATTCTTCTTATCCATGAGCATGGAATGATTCTCCATTTGTTTGCTTCTTCTCTTATTTCCTTGAGAGGTGGTTTGTAGTTTTCCTTGAAGAGATCCTTCACATACCTTGTAAGTTGTATTCCTAGGTATTTTATTCTCTTTGTAGCAATTGTGAATGAGAGTTCACTCATGATTTGGCTCTCTGTCTGTTGTTGGTGTATCGGAATGCTTGTGATTTTTCACACTAATTTTTTATGCTGAGACTTTGCTGAAGTTGCTTAACAGCTTAATGAGTTTTGGGGCTGGGATGATGGGGTTTTGTAAATATGCAATCATGTCATCTGCAAATAGAGACAATTTGACTTCCTCTCTTCCTATTTGTTTGAATACCCTTTATTTCTTTCTCTTGCCTGATTTCCCTGGCCAGAACTTCCAATACTATGTTGAATAGGAGTGGTGAGAGAGGACATCCTTGTCTTGTGCCAGTTATCAGATGGAATGCTTCCAGTTTTTGCCCATTTAGTATGATATTGGCTGTGGGTTTGTCATAAATAGCTCTTACTGTTTTGAGATATGTTCCATCAATATCTAGTTTGTTGAGAGTTTTTAGCATAAAGGGGTGTTGAATTTTGTCGAAGGCCTTTTCTGCATCTATTGAGATAATCATGTGGTTTTTGTCATTGGTTCTGTTTATGTGATGGATTACATTTATTGATTTGCATATGTTGAACCAGCCTTGCATCCCAGGGATGAAGCCGACTTGATCATGGTGGATAAGCTTTTTTATGTGCTGCTGGATTCGTTTTGCCAATATTTTAATGAGGATTTTTGCATTAATGTTCATCAGGAATATTGGCCTGAAATTTTCTTTTTTTGTTGTGTCTCTGCCAGGTTTTGGTATCAGGATGATGCTGGCCTCATAAAACGAGTTAGGGAGGATTCCCTCTTTTTCTATTGTTTGGAATAGTTTCAGAAGGAATGGTACCAGCTCCTCTTTGTACCTCTGATAGAATTCAGCTGTGAATCCATCTGTTATCTACCAGCAATTTAAAACATGAATCACACACTAAATAAATGGAAAAATGAAAGCATTTTCTTTATGAACAGGAAAATTCCAGGGTACTTGTTATCACCATTTCTAGTCAACATTTACTAGTGATTTACCATGCAATAGGAATAGACAAATAAATGAAAAGTTTAAGAACAAGAGAGAGAGGGAAAGAAAACAGGAAGGAAGAAAGGAAATTTTATAGATAATATGTATTACCTCACGTCATACATAAACATTAATTCCAGATGCTTTAAATATTTAAATCTGTAACACAAAACTATAAACATCTTAGAATGCTATATGAAAGAATATCTTTGACTTCAGGATAGAAATGGGTTTCTTAAGATTCAAGAAGGGCAAATCATAAAAAAGTAAACATATTAAAACTAAGAACTTCTGACTATTATAAGGAACCATGTTATGTTTTGAACATAAGCCACCAACTGAAAAAAAAAATTGCAACATATATCACTGACAAAGAAATAGAACACAGAGTATTTAAAGAACTACTGCAAACTGATAGGAAAAAGGTAATTCACAAAAGACAAACATGCAAAAGACTTGAAGGAATACTTCACAAAGAAATGCCAAAGGTTAAAAAATACATGAAAAGCTGCTCAACTCATCATTAGTCAGGAAAATGAAAGTTAAAACCACAATTAAATGCTGTTTTTACATCCACCAAATTGGCAAAAATTTCAAAGTCTCACAATATCAAGTTTTGGCAAGGATGTTAGGAAAAAACTATCTACTGCTGTGGAGTAACAATCTGGCATTTATCCAGTGAAATTGAAGATGTGCATTTCAAAAATGCAAGAATTCCTTTCCTAGGAATTTATGGAATGCTTCCACACATGATGTGCTCCAGGGACTGTCCATGAAATGTTCATAACAGCACTGTTTATAACAGCAAAACCTCAGAAAAAAGCCAAATGCCCAATGACACGAGAATACCTAAAGATTTGGGTACATTCATCCCAAGCAATACTGTATAGCAGTGAAAATAAATGAACTATGGCAGTGAGCATATGGTGACTTACTCTCAGAGGGGTATGTTGAGTAGTGCAAAGCAAGTTGCAGATGAATGCATATGTTATGATTCCATTTAAATAAATTTTGAAATTTGCAAAACTACACACTGTATTCCTTTTGGGGGTGCTGCAAGGCAGAGCTGTGCTGGCCCTGTACTAACCACATCAGCAGATAACCCTTGGAATTTGACAGTGCACATTCTCTGAGGAATTCCATAGTAACCCTGATATGGATTCAGCCACAGTTGTTAAAACTATAGAGAAATCCAATACAATTATTGACAAAAAAAAAAATGTGGTATAGTGGTTACCTCTAGGGAAGGTACAGGTACTCTCTGGGCTTCAAAGATTTTGGTAATGTCTGTTTCTTAAACTATATGGGGATATTCTGCCGTTTATTGTAATGTGTATTATTTTATATTTAATACACATATTATATATTATTTTGTATCTAACCAACATTCAATAAAACCAATTAAAATAATGACTTGTCTAGTTGTGGCCTTGCCTGTACAATGTGACTCATGGTATTACCATTTCAGTCCCAATGTCTTCCTGCAGGATCCTAGCTTTCTATCATCCCACCATGAATGAACCCTTATTTCCATGGACCATGAAAACCAGTGGACACTGAGAGAAGCCATCATGGCACAGAGAGTGAAACTCACCTCGGGCAGATCTTCATTAGATTATATAATACCTGTGTGACATAAAGAAAACTTAACCTGTCTCTGGTTCTTCATCTTTGCAATGGAGATGGTAATATACAACTCATCATGTTGCAGGGAATTGAACTACATAGGCAGAGGAAGGGTAAATCAGATGCAACATTTTTGGTGGACAATTTGTGGAAACTATTAAAATATAAAATGTTCTTCCCATTTAATCAGCAATTCAGTTACTTCTCATCTATCTCATCTATTCCATAAAAATTTTCTCCAAACTTTGCATAGATCTACAGGAAAGCTAGTTCATTGCTACATTGTTTTGTGTAGGGAAAAAAATTAGAAGATACCTTCAATATGAGAATTGTTAAATAAATTATGATACATCAATACTTGGGAATATATCATGTAACCATTAAAATGAATAAGGTCGATGATGTATTGATATAAGAAAATGTCTATGATATATGATTCAATGAAAAATATTCATGTAGACAGAGTCTGAAGCCCAGAAAATTTTAGAGAGGTCTAGTTTTTACCAGCTAGTAGGATGAAGAACGGGAGCTGCAATCCATATAACGTCATTCTCAAGTGAGAATTATTCCTGCTTCAACATACAGCGACCCTTAAGAAATCTTCTGTTAGCTATGTTTTGCTCTTTCTCTCTCCTAAAAGATTTCTTTAAGTTATTCAAAGTCATAACTGCAGCAATGAAAACCTGATGATTTTAGCAGCTTTCTGAAATCTAAAAATGCCACTTGTAAAGACAAGGTCTGTGAGGCTAGGGCACCTGCATTTTGTGGGGTTTTGAGGAGGAGCTGCTATATTTGGGGCGTATGGTTGATCAATCTTCACATGGTCACCACCTGTCTGTGGTACTATTTTTTCCTGAAAAACTGGGTTGAAATGTCACATAAAGGCCTCTCCAAGGCTCTTAGATGAATAATTTAATCACCCTCTAGTTGTCTCAATGGAGCTGAGCCTGTCTCTTTTCAAGCATGATCATAGGAGGGAATTCAGAGGTTGCACTGACCCGGCCTTCATCTGCCATCGCCAGCGTCATGCTTGTCTGTCTCCTTTGAAGGCAGGCTCAGAGAGTGATTAGAACAGTCCCTGGAGAGGGTTAGGGGGAGGATCATTATTACAGGTTTTCTCAAATGTGGAGGGGAGGTGGGCAAGGCCGTGAGAGCCATCCATCCTGAGTCCCAAAGGCAAAAACGCCCTCAGGACTGGCAAGGTGATTCAGTTGGTGGTGCGGGGGTCTATTTGGGGTTTGTGTTTTTTTATTTCTTGAGAGGCTGAAGCATTTTCAAAATGAACTGTGATATTGCCCTAAAAATTTCCCCCTTGTTGACCACTTCCTTTTCTATAAAAAGAGATTAGAAAGGCATGGAGGGGCTGGTTTGTGCTTGTATGTGCCTGGGCAACTAGGAGGCAGTGTAGAATCAGCCCCTCACATCAACCAGGAGGCTGACAGGGCCCTCCAGAGCCAGGCGGCCAGGCCTCCCACCCAGTGCCCTCACCCTCAATCAGCCACCCTGTCGAAGGTCTGATTGTTGGGTGATCATCACCGCTGCAAGACAATGACAAGCCTTGTCAAAGGTGAGCTATGTCAGCACTAGCTTTCCGCCAGAGGATTTCATGTGAGGACTCAGAAAGTGGAGCCATTGCTATTTACCAGCTTAGTACATACATAATCTCATAATCCTCTCCGTGATTTTACAGAGTCAGTGTTTATATCCCAGCTCTTGTAGATAAAGGGCCTGAGACTCAGAAGATAGGAAACTACCCAAGATCTCCCTATTCCAAAATGGCAGGATTGGGATTTGAGCCCAGCCCCAAATAATTCCAAAACGCATGCTTTTCTGGCAAATTCTCCATCCATAGACGTCGATGTGGTCAGAGCTGTTTGGGGCCAGCATGAAATAAATCTCATTCGTGGTATTTTCTGCAAATTCCAGCTAAGTTTGAGAATTCACTGAAGTCTACATTCAGATCCCCCAAGGACAGAAAGGCAGATGAGGACTCATCGCAGCAAGTCCCACAGACGGGACTCCATTACCCCATGTGAGCACAGAGGCTGCTCTTCCACCTCTTCTGCATTGAGAGCCAGCAGGGATGTCCTGGATGGACAGCTCCTTACCATGCTGCTACCACTAGTCCAGGACAGCTTTGTAAGGATAGTGGGGACACAGGCTACTTCTTGAAAGAAAAGTAAAAACATTGTTTCTGCAACAACTAACAAAATGCCTACAACCACTGAATGCACCAGGCAACAGTGCCTGATACAAATCAGCACTCAAAATAGCTTTGGCTGGGCATGGTGGCTCACGCCTGTAATCCCAGCACTTTGGGAGGCCAAGGTGGGTGGATCACCTGAGGTCAGGAGTTTAAGACCAGCCTGAACAATATGGTGAAAACTCATCTCTGCTAAAAATACAAAAATTAACCGGGTGGTGGTGGGTGCCTGTAGTCCCAGTTACACAAGAGGCTGAGACGGGAGAGTTGCTTGAACTCCAGAGGCGGAGGTTGCAGTGAGCAGAGATTGCGCCATTGCACTCGAGCCTGGGTGACAGACTGAGACTCCATCTCAAAAAGAAAAAAAAAAATAGCTTCCATATGCCAGCAACTCTTCTAGGGGTTTCCTATAATTTTAATACCCACATGACCCTTCATGGTAAACATAATCACCTCCATTGAACCTATAATGAGATCGAAGCTCCAAGCCCATGTTCCACAGGGCCATGCACAGTCAATTCATTCCATTGTGTTCATCTACTGGGTGTGTAAACCTGAGTCGTGTACCGATGAAGGCCCCAAATGTAGAGAGAAAGGTCTTATTCTACTCCTCATAGAGCTGACAATCAGACCAAGGACAAAAGTAATACAACATGAAAGAAAAGCAGCAATGAGAGGTGATGAGTTGTCCTTGTCACACAGACTAGAGGCTCTCTTGGCAAGGCAATGCCTCCTCCAGAAAGCCCTCCCAGAGCCCCAGATAATATCAACCACTCTCTCTTCTGAGCATCTCTGCCCACCCTCTGGATTCTAGGCACATTTCTCTCTACATACATCATCTGTTTTGGAGGCAATTTGCTTACTTGCCTATTTCCCTAGTAGACTCTGGGCTCACTGTGGCAGGCATTGTGACTTAGGCTTTCTTAGCAAAAAGTTGGTGCCAGGAAAAAAAAAGTGTTTATTGTTACAGAATGTGAATATAAGAGCAGGTCTTCTGGGTCTGACATAGGCTGGGCATTTCATGCAGAGCAATTTCTGCAGCAGAGAACAGTGACAATGGTCAAAATACCATCCAGAGGAAGTCATATTCTCTGCTAGTCTCTCCTGTCACCCAGCTTTGCCTGTTTAAATGATAATTCACCATGGTGTGTGAATCCATTTTTTGTTAACCTTACAAAGAGTTCTAAAGTGATAGAGTAGAAAAGGGGGCACTAGACTGGGCCAAGAGTTCTGAGTTTGCATTTCAGTTCCGTCACTAACACCTTCTGACAGTGAGGAGGCCCCAGCACCTCTCTGAGCCTCAGCTTGCTCATCTGTAAAATGAGAGGGTTGAATTAGCTAAACCCCAACGCCCTTTCCAAAGCCCACATTCTGTTAATCAGAGAGGACAGATATGGAGAAGCCATTAGCACTCCACAAGCCAGCAAAGGGTGATACTAACCCCAGACATCAGGGAAAACAGGAGCTATTTGAATAATGACTTTGCAGATAGGCATTGGGGCATCAAAAACCTCCCTTGCCATTCTCCAAGTTATAATTCCACCTCATTGTCACTACCACCCTAATTCCTGCAGTAATTTCATTTAATTTTATGACCTGGCTCCTCCAGCCTTCCTAGTCAGATAAGCAGGTTCAACAGCACTGAGGATGCTGCCCGGCAGTGATTTGCAAGGTTGGGAACAGTGTATAAACCAGGCTGATCAACAATGTGGGTGGAGGCATTGATTTACCTCTGAAGATGAAAGTCAGATCTCCTTGCAAGCAAAACAAGCAGGACAGTGGAGGATGCTGGCTGGTGGGGAAGGGCCTGATAATGTGCCTACCAAAGGCATATGAATGGCTGGTAGGTTATCATCAAGGCAAAGAGATGAACCAGTGTAATCTGCTCATGAGTAGAAAGAAGGAGCCATGAACCAATTTCTCCCTGGAAGGGTCCTGCAATGGCCAAGTACAAGAGCAGGACAGCCGGGAGCTGTGGGCAGAGTCACTTGTTATTGTCATGTGTAAAAGACACTGGCACTGCTGTATTCAACTCCCTTGGGCAAGTCACTTCACCTGCCTGTGCCTTAGTGTCCCCAGGGGTGAAGTGGGTACAGAAATAACTATGTTCATGATTGTGAGTGTGGTATTCATGAGGAAGTCAGCAGTGACCCCGTCACAATGGCCATGGAGATGAGACTTTATCCTCTGTTCTTGGTAGCCCTTTAGCCCCAGAGTTTCAGAGCCAGATTCTAGAAGAGTGTTAAGCTGAGAGGGCCTCCTGATATAAACCCTGACACTTCCTTATCCAGTGTGTTCTGCTTGTCTGTGACCTTCTTGGGCAATCATTGAGTGTGTCTTATTTTGCCTTGTTTCTCCAGTTTAGCAAACTGCCTGACCAGGGACGACCCAGGGCAAACTTGAAGGGGGCATGGAGGCACCCATGAAATCTGGGAAATCACAGAAAAACTGCTTCCAAACAGGCCTGAGAGTTCAAAGAAGAAGCCTAGAGGGAAAAGGCCCCTTTTCTCTTATCTCCTCCTAACTAGCCCTGATGAGATGACGTGCCAGCCTGGAGCTGAGTTACCACTGAGTCAAGGTCAAACACACAGAAGGCTAACTCCATCTCACCAGAGGGCTGTGAAATGGAGGACAGAGGAAAGAGGAACTGCCTTCCTCCTTCCTCACAAGTGTAGCCGAGCCCTGGCCAGACTGGTGTGACTAGAGTCCAGTGCAGACTGGTTACTACATGGGGTATGGCTGGAGGGACCCTGGCTCCCTAAAGGCCCAAAACTCCACCAGGAATGGAGCTGTGGGTCCAGCAAGCAGTCACCAGCCCCTTGCATGCTGGACACTGTTCTGAGCACATTGCACACATTCACTCCTGTAAGCCCCACGACAGCTGGGAGGAGGTGGGAACCCAGTTATAGATGAGGATGGAGCCTTAGAGGTGAGAAACCTGCTGGGGAGCACCCAGCTAGCAAGCAGAGCGGAGGGACTTGACCTTGAAGCAGGGCTTCTCCACTGTGGCACTACTGACATTTGGGGCCAGATTGTCCCTCATTATGGGGCTGTCCTGTGCATTGTAGGATATTTGGCAGCATCCCTGGCCCCCACCCACTGGACATCAGTAACACCCCTCTCCCAGCTGTGACAACCAAAAGCATCTCCAGATATTGTCAAGGGTCCCCTGGAGAGGGTCAAATCAGCCCAGTGGAGAACTACTGTATCAGGGCAGCAGACACGGGCCAGGCAATGGCGATTTCCACATACAAATTAATTGCTTGCTGAGATGGAAACTAGAATTCGGGATGGGGCCACAGGGAGGGGCACTGAGCTCAATCTCATGGGTCATGGGGAGTAAATAGGTCTGAGGATCAGGAGTCAGCTGGGGAAGGACAGGGGGAGGGTGTCCCAAGCAGAGGGTCAAGGATGGGAGTGGTAGCTGGCAGCATGTCGGAACCAGCTGAGAGATTCTCATATACACAGTTGTCTAGAGGGTCCTGTAAACATACCCACTGGGTCAGAAGCTCCAGGGTAAGGTCCTAGGATCACCATCTTAACAGGTGCCCCACATAATTTGTGTGCAGCCAACTAGTGCTGAGGTCTGGGAATTATAGGACTTCAGTGTGGAGGATGCTTAAAGTGTGAGCAGAGGCTCCTGGAAGCCTCTGAGTGACACAGGATTTTCTTCTCAGTCATTTTGCAAGCCAGGGACCTCCAGCCAGTGACACCCTGCCTGGTCCTTGCCTGACCACATTACCTGCTGCAGGAGACTGCCCACCCACTCAGCCCACCTGAGCCACGTCTGGCTTATGCATGGGTTCATGAGTTCTTGTCCCACTCCCAAGAGGAATGAGGATACACTGACAATCACAGAGTGACCAAGGTGAGGAGTTACACTGAGTGATGAAACAGCTTTCAGTGGAGAGGGGTCACGGGGGTGGTCCCCTACCCAAAGGGGCAAAGTCGCCCTAATATGGCTGAGCCCAGGGCTTTTTATGGGCTCAGAATGGGGGAGGTGCAGGCCATAGGTAGTATTGGAAAAGGCAGCATTCGATTGGTTAAAAGGCATTATTCAGAAAGAGTCAATTAGGAAAGGGTGCACAATTAGGAAAGGAAAGAGTCAGTTAGGAAAGAAAAGAGTGAACTCTGGGTTGCAGGTTTCATCTGGAATCAGCAGTTCGGACTTTCAGCCTTCAAACTGTTTTTGGCTTGAAAATGGGATTTCACCAGGGACCCACTCCTACAGCCTAGGCATTTGGCTGCCTCCTGTCGCTATCACAAGGACTCCCTAGGTAGACTCTGGGCAGTGAGAGGCACTAGGTGTGTGGTTACCCCTGTGGAACAGGCTGCACCTTATGTGAAATATAGTCATGCCTGAGCTTCCTCACCTAACCAGATGCTATCACAGCCTTTACATCAGTGGATGGTAAAAAAGCATAGGTTTTGGAGTCACACGGAATTGAGTGTGAATCCACTATTGACAGACCATCACCGTTAGCCCCTTGAAGATGTTTCTTTTTATCTGTAATATGAGTACAAAACATCTACCTCCTAGGCATTTTAAGGCTGGAATTGTGTATTTGAAGCATTGTAATATGGTTGACATCAAAGGTTGCTGAACGAATCCAGAGCTAAGTAGCTGCTCAACAGACAGACCTCCCAAGTAAATGATGCTGCTGAGATGCATGTGGAGATTACTAGAGAGTCACCCAGAGTGCTCATTAAAACACAGAGATCGGTATTAGAACTGGGCCCCACCGCATGGAGTTTTTCCTCCCAAATAACTCCTAGCAGCCATGATTTCTAAATCTCTCCCTGGATCTGTTCGTGACTGGGGGCAAGGTAACAAATGATCCCCAAGCCATACCTCTGCCTTGACAGCCAGAGCCAGGTACCCAGCCAAGGCCCAGAACTCATTTCCAGGCAGGCTGGCCTGGCTTTTTCACAGCCTGAGAGCCTTTCTCTGAACCACAGCAACTGTACCACCACATGCCACTCACTTCTCAGGGCGCTGTAATTCAGTCACTCCCAATGGTTTCCTGAGTATGAGTCTTTTTTCCACCAACACTATTGAAAGCTGGGGCCAATGTCTGTAAGTGGACATTATCACTTACTCTCCTCACTTCTTGGGGACTGCATTTTAATCAGGAGCTATGCAATCCTTCCACACTGGGCCCTATGTCCTACAGTCACCAATCAGTGCCCCTGTATGGGCTGTTTTCTCCGCAATGAATCCCAAATCTGCTGGTTGTACTCAAAACCCACATTTTAAACATGCATTTTCTTCCTGGCCTTAAAAAAAAATTCAGCACCTTCCTCTACAAACAAAATCACAGCTATCACGTATAATACATGTTATTTTTTAGCTGAGCCTGCAATTTGTAAATAAGCCCATTGAAAATATGAAGAAAAATGCAGTATTTGAAGCAGCTTGGAAAATGATACTGCCAGGGTTGCTCTCCAATTTAAACCCATTTGGGTGACTAAGCAGCATAATTGAGGAGGTGGTCCGTTGCTTTTTCCAAACCCAGCAAATTCCTCTCCCCACAGTCATGATGGCAGAGGTTTTTCTCAACATGGAGAAATGACAGTAGAAGGAATTGATCCCTGGGCATAAAGGGTATGGGGGTCAGGGAAGAAGCAGCAGCACTAACACTCTCCAAGGGACACGCTGCGCCAGACACTGCATGAAGACCTTGAATACACATTAGGTGATGCTCACAGCAATAGCTCTCAACCTCCGTGATTATGCCTCCTGGGGCAAGGGCAACGCCTGCAGACATTTTTAGTTGTCACAATAAGGGAAGGAGAGGTGCCACTGGCATCTTGTGGGTAGAGAACAGGAATGCTGCTACATATCCTAGCCCCTCACAAGAAAGAATTATCCAGTCCAAAATGTCAATGGTGTCAAGATTGAGCAACCCTGGCTTTCAGTATAGTTGTTGATGAAAAGAGTCAAACTCTGTAAAATACCTGAAGAGATTTATTCTGAGCCAAATATGAGTGACTATGGCCCATGACACAGCCCTCAGGAGATCTGAAAACATGCCCAAGGTGGTCAGGGTGCAGCCTGGTTTTATACATTTTAGGGAGACATGAAACTTCAATCAAGTACATTTCAGAAATACATTGGTTCAGTCCAGAAAAGTGGGAAAAATTCAAAGTGGCAGCAGGAGAGGTAAGGAGGTGGGGGGCTTCCAGTTTATAGGTAGATATTTAAAAATTTTGGTTGACAATTGGTTATCTAAAGACCTGGAATCCATAGAAAGGAAATGTCTAGGTTAAGATAAGGAATTGTGGGGACCAAAGTTCTTATTATCCAGATAGAAAGAGGATAGATTGTAAATGTTTCTTAACAGACTTTTGGTCTGTGTTGATGTTAGTGCCAGAGGAGTAAAATGAAGCATGTCTGACCCCCACTTCCCATCATGGCCTGAGCCAGTATCCCGGGTTACATTTTAACAGGGCCCTGGCCAAGGAGAAAGCCCATTCTGATGGCAGGGCATTGAGAATTTTATTTGTGGTTTACATAGTTATCACCATCCTTATTTTCCAGATGAGGAAACCGAGACTCAGAGAGATGAAATCACTTCCGAAAGGTCAGTAAGTGAAGGAAGCAGGGTTCAAGTTGAAGTCTAGCTGACCTCACAGCTCCATAGTCAACTTTTAAAAGTCATCATTTTCCCTGTATCCAACATAAAGATGGTTGTGTGGCCTGTTTTTAGCACAATCTGAAGCTATGTAGTCAATCACACACACAAATGAAAGCAGAGATAAACAATATCCACATACGCATACAATATTTAAAGTTAAGAATCACTGATTTCACAGCTCTTTTCTTTTCACAGGAAAGTTAAGAAGCATTTCACAGTTATTAAATTGCCATGTAGCATTAGTAAAATCACTGAACGTCTCTAAACCTGTTTTCTCATTTAAATAATTCATACTGCAGTTATATTTATTGAGAATGACCTAATGTAGTCATCCTTATCTGAAATCTTTTTAGCTAATTAATTGATGTGATGATTTATTAGTCCAATCTAAAGTTCAATTTGCATGTCAGGAGGGGACCATGTGCATTTCAGGCACCATAACAAATGGCAAGAGACATTGTTGGGTGGCAGGTATCCACCTGCTTGTCCTAGAACTGCTGCATTGACCTTGGTATCAAGTGGAACCAGCCTGAGGACCAACTTGATGGACTGAGGAAGGCAGAACCCACCAAGACTCCCAGTTCATTACAAACTTTATACCTACACCATGATCTTTAGTGAGGTCACTGCTGCCTTGGGAGGTCTCTGCACCCTCTCTGGGATAACACAATATCACAGGCTGTTTTGCTTTGTGGATTCTTCTCCTTCTGATATGGAGACCACTATTACGAGGCCAGAGAGTTTGGGCTTTGGCCACAGAGGGCTCTTGAGGGCTTGCAATTGGTGGGCTAACATCATCACTTGTTTTATAATAAAATGATTTGAAACATGTTTAATGTAAATAGGTTTGCAGACAATATTTGCAAACAAGATTGTTTATGTAGAAAATCCTGGTGAAACCACAAAATAAAAACTATAATGAATTTACATATTGAATAAACTAATTTAGCAAGGCTACAAGATAAATGGTCTCACACAAAAATAATTTGATTTTCTGTAGTTAGCAACAATTAGAAAAGAACATTTAAAACAACTATACTAACAATAGCATTAAAGAGTATTTAGATACCTAGGAATAAAGTTAACGAAAGATGTTTAAGTCCTCTTCACTGAAAAACTACAAAACAGTCCTGAGAGATATTAAAGATTAAGTAAATGGAGAGAAATGCTATGTTCGTGGGTTGAAGGATTCAAAATATATAGTTTAATTCCCATTCAAATTTTGAAATCCCATCATTTTGAAATATGCCTGGAGCATTCTCTTCTCCCCTAACAAAGGCCCTCGCACAGAGGAAACCACTTTACCAGAGTCTTATCTGACACATGGGAAGGGCAATTAGACAACTCCAAGCCTCCACCAACCACCCTTTCTCACATAAATAGAATACAAAAAGGTAAGACACATTTCTGAAGGTCACAGCCCAAGGACTCAGGCCCACTAAAAATTACTGAGATTTAATGATAAAGATACTGAGATTTAATGATATATAATGCTTTCCCTCCCCATATCTTACGACCTCACCAACAAGGCTCCAGTGTAATTGCAATGAATTACAACCAAAAAACCTACAAGACACAAACTCTTTAAAGAGTTCTTAGGGAAACACAAAGACAAGAGAAGAGAAAGAATTAACAAGAAAACTGAAACCCTCTGACATCTATAACTGCAACAAACCATGTAGACTGAGTGAATCTGTGTATTAACTCACTATGCATTGGACATTTCTGTGACCAAGTGTGTGGGGGTTTATCACACACCAGGCAATTCTCCAATTCTCTGCAGACACTACCGGGGTGTCCCACAAGTAGTAGGTCCTCTGGTCACCACCACCATGGTGTCCCACAAGTAGTAGGTCCTTTGGTCACTCACGACTTCTGTCCAACTTGGCTACAAATCAGAGGTTCTCAGGACCCTTTTCTTAGGTTCAACCATTGGCTAGAATGGCTCACAGAACTCTGGGAAACACTTCACTAACGTTTAACAGCCAAATGGAAGAAATGCATAGGGCAAGATACGGTGGAAGGGGCATGGAACTTCTATGAGTTCTGCAGGTATGCCACCCTCCCAGTACCTCCACACATTCAGCAAACCAGAGACCTTCAAACCCCATTCTTTTGAGTTTTTATGTAGGCATGATTGACTAGAATAGCAGTCCCCAACCTTTTTGGCACAAGGGACTAGTTTCATGAAGATAATTTTTCCACAGACTGGGTGGGGGATGAGGCGGGGATGGTTTTGGGATGACTCAAGCATATTACATTTCTTGTCCACTTTATTTCTATTATTATTACATTGTAATATATAATGAAATAATTATATAACCCATCATAATGTAGAATCAGTGGGAGCTCAGCAACTAGATGATCCCATCTGGGAGTGATGGGAGACAGTGACAGATAATCAGGCATTAGATTCTCATAAGAAGTGTGCAACCTAGATCCCTCACATGCACAATTCACAATAGGGTTCATGCTCCTATGAGAACCTAATGCTGACATTGACCTGACAGGAGGCAGAGCTTAGGCGGTAATGCAAGCAATGGAGAGCAGCTATAAATACAGATGAAGCTTGCTCACCTACTACTCACCTCCTGCTGTGCAGCCCAGTTCCTAACAGGCCACAGACTAGTATTGGTCCATGGCTCATGGGTTGGAGACCCCTGGTCTCGATCATCGACCATTGGCAATCAACTCAACCTTCAGCCCCTCTCCTCTTCCTGGAAGGTGGAACTAAAGTTGCGACACTGTAATACATAGTTGGCAACCATCCCAAAGCTATCTGAGACACCCCCACCCCCCTCTAGCTACCAGTAATTTAATTAGCATACAAAAGACACTTATTACTTCAGGGTTTCCAAGAGCTTAAGAGCTGTGTGCCAGAAAATGGGAATGAATATCAAATATATCTTTTAATTATATCACAATATTACAAAGGTAGAACAAAGTCTTTTTCTTCTCATTTTTGATTAATCTAATAGTTCAAATTGTTACTGAGCCAAAGGACTTGCTGCCCTATGCACTAGAAACCAATACTATGACATGGTGTTTTTGAGAATACAAAGCTTTTTATAAAGTCAACCAACAAAGAGATAGGAGTCCAGCTCAAATCTGTCTCCCTGTGCTTTAAGGCAATCATATTACTAGAAAATGTTTAGTGCATGGATTCCGGGATTAGTAGGGAATTGGTGGAAGGAAAGAGGTCTGAAAAGTCCTTGAGCATGTGCAGTTATCTCTCTGTGCTACCTTATGAATCACATGTGCACATTCAAGGGGAGTTAGTATAAAACATTCTGTGGAAATTTGGGCTGTGACATTAGCATGCTCCTTCTGGCAGACTCCAGTTAGCCACATTTGTGCCAAACAATTTCAGCCACTTTTGATATCTGACAGGCTGAGGGAGTTTCCATGTTTTAGCAAGTTGTTTCTTTTCTTATCTGCCATCCTGTAAACTCAAGAATTTCTGTTAGTCACTGATTTCTTTAACTCTTTGGGGCGCAGTTTCAAAAGTAGTAATAGCAACAGGGTATTGGGTAATTATAGCTTAAGAATGAGTGAAATGAACAACAAAAATGTTATATGAAAAAAAGGGAGAAATTGAGAACGCTTCCATTATAAGGTAACTGCACTACTCATGAAGAAGTACATGGTTATTTGAAAGTAAGCTTAAATTGGTTGTAAATTGCAAACATTAGCTCAACAACTTGAAACAATATTAAAGACGTATAATTTATATGCTAAGAGAAGAGATGAATAGAATTATATGAAATCCTCAATTAAAACCAGAGAAGACAGAAAAAGAGTGAAAAACAAACAAAAAGAACAAGGGCAATGAAAACACTTACAAACATGGTAGATATTAATCTAACTATATCAATTATCACTTTAAATATGAATATCTCAAATACACAAAACAAGAAACTGTCACAGAGAATTTTTAAAAGACCCAATTACATGTTGTCTACAAGAAACCTATTTTAAATATAAAGACACATATACATTAAAAGCAATGAAATAGAAAAAGATATACCAAGATAACACTAATCAAAGGAAAGCTGGAATAGCCACATTAATTTTAGACAAGGCAAACTTCAGGGAAATTATCAGGAATAAAGAAGGGCGTTACATAGTGTTTAAGGGGTCACTTCTTTAAAAATATATAACAATTTTTAACACATATGTGTCTAACGACAAAGCATTAAAATATGTGAGGCAGGCCAGGTGTGGTGGCTCACGCCTGTAATCCCAGCACTTTGGGAGGCCAAGGTGGGTGGATCATGAGGTCAGGAGTTCAAGACCAGCCTGGCCAACATAGTGAAAACTCATCTCTACTAAAAATACAAAAATTAGCCAGACATGTTAGTGTGTGCCTGTAATCCCAGCTACTCAGGAGGC
Source organism: Homo sapiens (assembly GCF_000001405.40). Taxonomy (NCBI): domain Eukaryota; kingdom Metazoa; phylum Chordata; class Mammalia; order Primates; family Hominidae; genus Homo; species Homo sapiens. The sequence goes on from NC_000002.12 coordinate 126,628,876, forward strand.
TGAGGCAGGAGAATTTCTTGAACCTGGGAAGTGGAGGCTGCAGTGAGCTGAGATTGTGCCATTGCACTCCAGCCCAGGTGATAGTGTGAGACTCTGTCAAAAAAAAAAAAAAAAAAAAAAAATATATATATATATATATGGCAAAGCTTGATAGAATTGCAAAGAGAAATGAATAAGTCCACTGCTATATTTGGAGACTTCAACATTCCTTCATCATTGACAGATCCAGCAGGCAGAAAATTGGTAAGGATATAGTTTAACTGAACCATGCTATAGATCTCCTGGTTCTATTAGGTTGGTGCAAAAATTACAAGTTTTTTTTTCCATTTAAAAGCAATGACAAAGCCGCAATTACTTTTGCACAAACTTAATACTTGCCATATATAAAGTATTTCATTCAACTACAAAAGGAAATATATTCTTTTGAAGTTCAAATTGAGCACTTAATATTGAAGATCACTTTTGGGGCCATAAATACCCTCTTACCAACTTTAGAAAATAGAAATCACACAATCTCTGCTCTCGGATCTCAGTGGAATTAAACTAGAAATCAATAACAGAAATATATATGGGAAATCCCAAAATAATTGAAGATGAAGCATATGCCTGAATAACACATAGGTCAAAGAAGAGGTTTCAAGATAAATTTAATATACTTTGAACAAAATCAAAGTGAAAATACTAATTATCAAAATTTATGGAATGTAGCAAAAGTAGTGCTTAGAAGGAAATTTATAGCATTAAAATGCATACATTAGAAAATAAGATTGATACAAAATTAATAATATAAGCTCACATCATAGAAAACTGGAAGAAAAAAAAAACTATAAACCTAAAACCAAGAAGAAAAACATTTAAGATAAGGCAGAAATCAGTGAAACTGATAAAAGAATAACAGTAGTGAAAATCAATGAAATCAAAACATGATTCTTTAAAAATATCAATAAAATTGATTAATAAATTGGTCAATTTGATAAGCCTTTACTCAGGCTAACCAAAAGAGAAAGAGAGAAGTTACAAATTAATAATATCAGAAATAAAAGGATTATCACTACTAATTTTATGAATATTAAAAGGAAAAGAAGAGAATATTATAAACACTTCTAAGTGATAACTTAGAAGAAATGGAAAACCACAAAACTCTAAGGAAAGAAATCTAATAAGGACTAAATAAATAGAGACATATTCCATGTTCATGGGTAGGAAGACTCAATATTGCTAAGATGTCAAATCTGATAACTTAGATTAAATGGAACAATAAAATATGGAGATGCTGTCTTTCAAGAAAAAAATAACAAATCTGAATTGGCCTATATCAAAGAAATTAAATCAATAATTAATGACTTTCCAAAACACAAAGCACTGAACCTAGATGGTTTTACTGTTGAGTTCCTCCAAACATTTGAAGAAGATGTAATATCAATTCTCTACAGTCTCATCCCAAAGAATAGTAGCAAAGGAAGCACTTCTTACCTTATTCTATAAGGTGAGTATTACTTTACTATCAAAATCAGATGAAGACATTACAAGAAAGGAAAAATACAGGCCAACATATTTTATGAACATAGATGCAAAAATCCTCAACAAAGTATTGCTAAATCAAATTTACAATATGTAAACAAAACTATACACCATAACCAATTGGAATTTATTATGGATATGCAAGGCTGATTCAACCATTTGAAAACTCAATTAATACAATTCAACACATCAACAGGCTAGGAAGAAAAACCATATGATCATATCAAAACATGCAGAAAAAGCATTTGACAAAATCTGGCACCAATTCATGTTAAAAACTTTCAGTAAACTAACAGCAGAGAGAAACTTCCTGAACCAGATGATAAATATCTATTTTTTAAAAACCCCCTACAGCTAACATCATATTCAATGGTAGGAAAATAGATGATTTACCCTTAAGATTAGTAACAAGGCAAAGATGTCTCCTCTTTCTACTCCTACTCAACATCATACTTGAAGTTCTTTTAATGCAATAAAACAAGAAAAGGGAAAGAAAGGTATACAGATTGAAAAGTAAACAAATAAAATTGTCTTTGCAGATTACATGATTATGTAGAAAATCTCAAAGAATGGAGAAAAAACTTTCTGGAACTGGGAAGTGAATATTGCATGTTTGCAAGATTCATTGTTAATATACAATAATCAAGTGCTTTCCTATATATCAGCAAGAAACTATTGGAATTTGAAGTTAGAAACACAATACCATTTATAATAACAACAAAAGATGAATACTTAGATATAAATATAATAAAATATGCACTAGATCAATATGAAGAAACCCACAAAACTGATTAAAGAAATCAAATAAGAACTAAATAAATGAAGAGCTATTCCATGTTTATGGAAAGGAAGACTCAATATTGCTAAGATGTCCATTCTTCCCAACTTGAACTATAGATGCAATGTAATCCCCCCAAAAATCCCAAGATGCTATTTTGTGGATGTCAACAAACTCTTTTTAAAGTTTATATCAAAACTCACAAAAGAAACAGAATAGCAAACACAATACTAAATATAACAAAGTTGGACAACTGACACTACCTTAACTTCAATAATTACCTTCAACATTACTTCAATAGCTACAGTAACCAGGACAGTGTCATACTGGCAAAAAAAAAAATGGACAAATAGAACAGAATAGAAAACAGATCAATAGAACAGAATAAAGAGCCCAGAAATAGACACAAATATAGTCAACTGATCTAGACAAAGGAAGAAAGGCAATACAATGGAGAAAAATATCACCTTTTCAAAAAATTTCACTAAAACAGCTGGACTGTCATATTAAAAAAAGAATGAACCTAGATACAAACCGTATGTCTTTCACAAAAATTTACTCAAAGTAGATCATACACTTAATGTAAAATGCAAAGCTATAAAATATCTAGAAGATAACATAGAATAAATTCTCAATGACCTTGGGTTTAGGAATGAGTTTTTAGACACAACATCAACATCACCATCCGTGAATAAAAATTACTCGTAAGTTGCACTTCACTAAAATTAAAAAATTCTGCTCTGGAAAAGACATCGTTAAGAGACTGAAAAGACAACAGTAGGGAAAAAATCTTAGCGAAACACATATCAAATGAAGGACTTGTATCCAAAATATACAAAGAGCTCTTAAACTCAATGATAAGAATACAAACAACCCAATTAAAAATAAGTAGATAATCTGTACAGGTACCTAGATGTCAAATAAGTATATCAAGAGTTGTTCAACATTATATGTGTTAAGGTATTGCAAACTACAGTAACTATGTGGTACCACTATACACCTATTAGAATTTCTTTAAAAAAAAAAATTGACAATTCCAAGTGCTGCAAGGGTATAAGGCATCCTAGCAGGAATACGAAATAGTACAGCCACATTAGAAAACAGTTTGGCAGTTTCCTACAAAGCTAAACAGTCTTCTCATACAATCTAGCAATTGTACTCAGAGCATTTACCAATTTAATTGGAAGGTTATATCCACAAAAAACCTACACATGAATGTTTATAGCAGCTTTAATCATAATTGCAAAAAATTGAAAACAAATAAAATGTATATCAATAGATGATATTGAATAAACAAACTTAATATATGTCCATACAATGAAATATTATTTAGTAATTTTTAAAAATGAGCTTTTCCTCTAAGCCACAAGAGGACATGAAAGAACCTTAAATGTATATTTCTATGCATAAGAAGCCAATCTGAAAAGACTACATTCTGTATGATTCCAACTGTATGACATTCTAGAAAAAAGCAAAACTATAGAAACAACAAAAAGAGATCTATGGTTTTCAAGGACTCAGGGAAGGAGGAGGATGAATAGGTGAAACATAGGGGATTTTCAGGGCAGTGGGACTATTTTTCGTGACATTGTAATGGCAGGTACATGATATTATGCACTTGTCAAAACCCATAGACTATATAATACAAGGGGTGACCCTTCATATTGCTATGGACTTATAGTTCATAATAATGCATCTATATTGGTTTATCATAACAAATGTATCACATGAATGTTGGTAAGTCAGAGACCTCATCTAAATGCTGAGGCACTTACCAGAGCCCATCCTCTTTGCTGAGTTGTGAACTTCATTTTTCTCCCCAGCCTCAAAAGATTGTCATCATCTCTTCTCAGCTTTCTCAGCCACCATTTGTTTATGAGAAAATGCCTCTGGAGACAAAGTGATACCAAATGTCAGAACTACTTTTCTGTGCTTCTCCTTTCTATAGACTTTTAGCCCTTCAAGTCTTCCTGCCACATTAGTTCTTCTATAACCTCAAACTAATTTTCTTAATATTGTGGTCAAGTGTTTATAAATGTTCTTGGCTGCATGGTTGATGCCCTGTCCAATCCTAAAAATAAATGGAAGTAGTATAAAGAGTGAGATCAGTAGCGAATAGTCAAAAGACCATGACAGGAAGAAAATATTTGCATATGTAACAGTTAAATTGTTATACACAATATACAAATAACTACAGTAAATCAATCAGAATATAGAGAATCAACAAAAAAGAGAAGTGTGCAAAGAACCTAAACAGGTCATTCACAAACAAAGCACAAATAGGCTATATATGAATAGATCTAGTAGGTATGCAGGCTTGCTTTTCACAGGAAGGGGAGCATCACACACCGGGGACTGTTGTGGGGTGGGGGGAGCGGGGAGGGATAGCATTAGGAGATATACCTAATGCTAAATGACGAGTTAATGGGTGCAGCACACCAACAGGGCATATGTATACATATGTAACAAAACCTGCACGTTGTGCACATGTACCCTAAAACTTAAAGTATAATAATAATAAAATAAAATAAAAATAAAAATAAAAAATAAAAAAATAAAATACAAATTAAGCTAGCTATAAGATGCTATTTTTCATACATTGGATTTTTAATATTTTACAGATTAATACAATACTCTATTGACATGCGATGGTGAAATAAGGACTTTCATATTCTATGGAAGTGGGAGTGAAAATTGCCAATTAGCAAATATCTTTCTGTATTTCAAATTTATTACCCTTTCACTCAGCAATTTGATTTTTCAGAATTTGTTATTCAGAAATTTTCATAAAAGTACTCAAAGATACACTAGCTAATAAAAAAAAACTGTTGAGAGCCCACTATTTGTCAGACATTGTTCTTAGTGCTTTACATGAACAAACTCATACAATTCTCACGATGACATAGAGATGATAGATGTATGCCAGTCTGAATGGTAGTTGAGGGAGGAAACTAAGGCTAGAATTGAAATAGACTGAATTGCTATAAACTATAGAAGAGTTTACTGTTGTCTCAAACACTCATTAGTAGAGGTAAAATTAAAAGAACAGGAGAGAGAGAGATTGAGAGAGAATGGCTGAATGTACCAGGCTTGGTTTTGGCGGGTAGAAACAGATCAGAAAGTGTTGCCCAGATGTATCAAGGGGCTGTGACATGGAACCAGGTGGAGACGGCCACAGGGCTGAGCTGGTCGTGTCCCTAAAATGAAATAACCATGGGAGAAGATTTAATTGCTTCCATACCAAGTATTTTTAATCACCTGCCACTTCCCTGTGCTCCACAGCGCCGACTGCTGTGGGGTCTGAAGAAAAAGTACAAAACGGAGTCTCTTTACCTAAGATCTAGACATCTTTATAGGAACACCGTGGACTCCGTTCCAGTCTCCCAATGGAGCCCTGCCGAGGCATCCAGGAAACATCTATAGCACTGTGTGGGATTTACTGTAAAGTTATTATCTCCACTGCTTGACGCTATTCTTCCTGAAGGCAATTCTGCATCTGATTGACCTCTGTGTCCTCCACACTTAGCACAGTGTCGGGCACACGTGGACTGTAGGTGAATGGCTGTTGAATACATAAATGATTGGAACCACAGATGGATGAATAGATGAGTGGGTAGGTGTATAGGGAGATAAACAATAGTTCATATTTAGTATTAACCCTTTTCTTATTATATGTAGATGAGAGGGTTGCACTCAATGATGTCTAAATATCTACTATTCTGCAAATATTTCTATATTCTGATCTAGCTTATTACCATCCTTCAAGATTCCAGTTTGCGAAATTTATTTTCACCCTTCAAGCTGCATCAATATAGAGAGAACTATGATTTAAAATGGTACTGTTTTTCTTTAACTGCATTTTCTCCTTTCCAAGCAGAAAAGCCTTTCATACCTATTGTTTCATGTTTCTGAGAAAACAAACACTAACAGCTTCAGGACTGAATATCAAAATATCTGTCCACTGTCATATTTATTCTTATACCAAAAGAAAATCTATTTCATGTTTTTTTTTATTGTTGCCATGCACAATAAAATTCTGATGTTTCAGATGGTCATCATTTCCAACAATTCTTGACAAAGTCAGACACAGCTGAGTCAAGGCATCAAGCTGGCATAGTAAGAGCCATCCAAGCTTCCAGGAGCATGGCCCAAGCTGGAGAAACAGTGGCTTCCTGCACATGCTCTTCCTATGAGGGAGAGCTGGAGGGCAAGAGGCTGAACCTAGCCATCTAGCACATTCCAAACTGTGCTGGGATACACTCAGGTCATGTTCACTCACATTCCCCCAGCCAAAGCAAATCCCAGAGGACTAGGGTAAGGCAGTGCACTGGGCTCATGCTGGGGAAGGGAAGAGTAAATATTTGTTGCACAACAGTACAAGCTATCCCAGGGGACCATTCAGCAGTGAACCCTCAAGACTCCTGCTGCTTCCTCACAGTCTGCTGGAACTCTGCCTGCTTTGTTTCCATTGGTGACTTTACCACTAATAAGTGAAGATACGAGGTAAAAACAGTCACCACTTATTGGGCACCTACTATTCCCCAGTCAATATATATATATATATATATATGGGGATTTACAGGGGTGAGGCACAGTGTCTAGCTTTATTATTTTTAATCCTCTCCATAAATCTGCAAGGTGAAAGTGATGCATGCATTACATAAAAGAAAGCTACAGATCAAGGAGAGAAACTAAGTAGTCCAGTGTCAGTAAGTGAGTCAATGCCTAAGACAGATGTCAAGTCTAGTTCTACCGGCCCATGTAATCAACCATGAGCTCCTTCCTGTTTCTTTTGATACTCAGCCTCATAGGTCATCCTATCTGATTTCTTTATCTATGCCAATAGAGACCACAATGAAATACTCCTATATACCAGACAGAATAACTTAATTTATAACACTCAAAATACCAAGTGTTTGGAAGAAGTAGAATATTGAGAAATTTATATACTGCTGGTGCCCATGGAAATTGGCACTTTGGGAAAAAGTTTACATTATCTAACAAAGTCGAATGCATACTCTATGAAGCAGCAAGTCCACTTTTTTGTGCATAGTGTGAAGTGTGTGTGTGTGTGTGTGTACATAATGTATAAGTGTCTGTGTATATTATGTACATTGTGTATGTGTCTATACATAGAGTATGTGTAGTATCTGTATATATTATGTATATAATGTGTATACATAATATGTATAGTATGCACATATATTATATATAGTATGTATATATAATGTATAGTGTGTGCATGTGTGTATATATCTGTGTAAATACATATCCAACAGAAATGTGTGTACCTGAACACCAGGGTACATGTACATGCACAAGAATTTTCATAGCAACATTACTTATAATTGCCCCAAACTGGATATAATCCAATGTCCATTGGTGGCAGAATAGATCAAATTAATTCTAATATATTTGTATATTAGGATACAATGAAAATGAATGAACTACAGCTACGGATAACAACAAAGTGAATTAATTTTATGGACATAAGTTGAGTGAGAAAAGCCAGACTCCAATAAGTAGACACTATATGATTCCACTTATGTAATGTTCAAAAAGCAAAGAAAACCATATTCTTCCTTAGGCGAAACTTGAAAAAGAAAAACGAAGGCCAGGCAAGGTGGCTCACGCCTGTAATCTCAGCAATTTGGGATGCCGAGGCGGGCGGATCACGAGGTCAGGAAATTGAGACTATCCTGGCCAACATGGTGAAACCCTGTCTATACTAAAAATACAAAAATTAGCTGGGTGTGGTGGCATGAGCCTGTAGTCTCAGCTACTCGGGAGGCTGAGGCAGAAGAATCACTTGAACCCTAGAGGTTGCAGTGAGCCAAGATCACGCCACTGCACTCCAGCCTGGCAACAGAGCGAGACTCTGTCAAATAAAAAAAAAAAAAGAAAAGGAAAGGAAACCAAATACAATAAAGTTAGCATAGCTGTTACCATTGTGTGGGGAAAAGGAAGGTAAGATTTGGAGATGGCATGAGAGGCTTCTGGGAGGCTGGACATGTCCTGTGTCCTGACTTGGACGGTGCTTCCATGGGGGCTGATGTTGTGATAATTCATTGAGCTGTATGTACACTATTGTTTTCTGCATGTTTTGTATGTATGTAAAGCTTCACAATTTTAAAAATATAGTCAAAGGAGAAAGAAAGAATGGGAGACGAATTGGAGGCAGTAACTTTAGGTGACTTTTTAAAGAAGTTTTGCTGCAATAGAGAACAAAAGAATTGGTAGTTGGGGAGGAAAATGGAAGGGGTTAAAGTGCAAGATGTGCACTGATGCAAGTGATCCAGGAGGCAGAGGAGTGAGACCCTTAAGAAAGAAGAGATGACATTGAATGCCCCTGCGGAAAGGTGGCCAGAGACGGAAGCAGGACTGTGCTTCTAGGCCTGTGGAATCATAGATTCTGTGGTGGAAGGAGGAAGTGGCCATATCTCAGTGGATTCTATTTTGAAAGTAATAAGATGAGAGAAGAGCTTCAGGGGTCTGGAGAAAAAAGAGAAGAGATGTGCAACAGCATTCCCAGAGAGAGGATCCAAGTGACCAGAAAATGTAACAGGCCACTGGGCAGAGTTTATATAAGTCCAGTGCTTATAAATTTAACACAACGTTGGCAGCACACACTGAGCTGCGAGGGTGAAAGTGCAGGGTAGGAGGTGAATGGTGTTCCATCGGGGCTGGGCTTTCTTCAGACAGCGAGTCACAAGGAGAGAAGGGCAAGGTCGCTAACGGGCAAGGAGGAGCGGAGGTTGAGGTTGCAGGGTGGGTCCCATGTGGACTTCAGAGTCTAACCGGGGTGAGGAAAGAACTGTGGACATGAGAGACAGGATAGGGTCAAAGTATCGAGGATTCCAACAAGCCTAGAGAAGTGTCAGAATCAGCTCCAGAGAGAGTGTTGAGAATGTGGGGGTGCAAATGGTCAGGGAGCTGGATGGTGCTACACTGGAGGCAGTGCAGCAGTAAGGTCGGCCTGCTGCCACCGCAGGGGGCCTATGAGACGGAGGAAATGGTCGGTGCTGGCGAACATGCCAAGGAACTGTGAAATCAGACTAAGGTTTATGTGGATCCTGAAAGGCAAACGTTGTGCTGGAGAGAAAAGCACGAAGCTGCAAGGTATCCCCAGGAAACAAGGGAGAATGACTGGGGGGCGGGAAGCAGGAATGGAATCTGATAAAGGGCATTTCAAACAACTGGGTGTTTGCAAGAAGAGGAAACGGAGACAGAACAGCCCTCCTCACCCAGGCATATTGCCCCTTGGTAGATCCCAGTGGTACTTAGGATGAGAAAAAACAACAAACAACAACAAACAGTCCCCACTTGAGTGGACTGAAGAGAGAGCAATGTCCTCAGGGAAAGCAGGGCTCCTGAAAGAGCATGAACATTAGGTCACATTTAATGAGAAGTCAGAGAACACAGAGAAAGTTTTTGACAAGACTGTGAATTCCAGGGCACCTGGTGGAAGGGTTTGGAGGAGTAGGAGTAATGGGAGATGGATTTCCATGAAGGGCCTTAAGAAGAGACTGGGAAACTTGGAACTTTGGGTGGTGACTCCAGTAAGCAGGGATATTGACAATGGTATTGGCTTGATGGTGTACTGGGAGAAGGTAGGTTATCATTTCTACTTATAGCCTCTGGAATTGCTTTTCACGTGCAATGGGGAAGCAGGGTCGGTTCTTTAAGGAGATCACAAAGCTGTGGGCATCCCCAATGCATCACTTAACCATGCCGTAGGCAGAGTTGAAGCTGGGAGGCCTATCTGAGTCATTTCTTTGTACTGTCCACGTGCCTTTTTTTGGAAAAAAGGTCATTCATTTAAATGAATTGCTGCTAAATTTCGTCTTACTAAATCAAGTCCATTTTCTCAGCCAGTTGAGATGTTTTTGATATCGTATGCTTTCCCTGTGGTTTACAAGTTTTCTTCAAGAATTAAAAAAATAATTCAAATAGTACAGAGAGCTTTTGTTTGAAAAGCAATCCTCTCCCACATACACCCTACCCACAGCCCTGCTCTCCAAAAGCCCTTTCACCATCTTTGATTATAGGTTTCCAACGGGTTACTTCATTTTTCTAGATAATATGCTTATTATCCTAGTTTTGGACTCACCAGCTTCAAACAATGTCTATTGGCTTTCATGCAGGTAATTCTTCATTTACCCAACCTAGATTCATTCTCCCCTACTCTGTGCCCAGGAGATGGGGGCAGACTGCAAGGGCTTCATCAGCAGAACATGCAGGTAGGTTAGGCCAGAGTGGGCCCCACCTGCCCCAACCTCCCTCTGTGCTTCTGCAGTGCTATGCTCCGATAAAGCAACAGGGGAGGGGAGGCCCCTCACCCAAGGCCCCCACCTGGCCCAGCTCCAGTAACAACATTCGTCTCCTGTCCCTTAAGACCTAAGGGTGGTGCTTGTGCTGGGATGAGAGGCCCTTAACCCAGCCCACAGCTCTGAAATGAGTTCCCCTCAAAATACTCTGTGCCTCGTTAACCTCTTTGAGTGTGCCCATCATCTTTGTCACTTCAGGATGCTGCTGACTCACCTCGCATACGAAGGATGGCAGTTCAACACTTTGACATCACTCTCCACATCATTTTTCATTGCTTTCTCCAAATACTGGACACTTTTATAATTACATTTGGTTCTCCCCTGAGTTGATTTTCTCTGCAACTTTAAACAATATGGTAAAGCACGTGTTCCTCTGTGATCCAATGTCATCTGCCTCTCAACCTCCCTGTGCAAAGTAGACCGTCAGCATCCTCTCCCTTCCCTCCACTTCTCACCTCCTCCTCCTACTTGCCACTGATAGGCCTGGACTTGCACAATTTCAATCTCACCAAAAATCACATTCAATTCAGTGACCCTGATTATCTTCAGTGTGTGTGTGTGTTTTTCTATAGGCTCATTCTAAACCGGAATACCAACGAAGTGACAACAAGTAATCGTATCCGATTTTGCCACTGCAGAGCCAAGTGGGGTGAGAGGCTTGTCTCCTGTTTTTGGGGTTCCACTTCTTGGCCCCTGTACTTCCCCAGGGAAAGTGCCCCCAGCCTGGGGCTGCAATGGATTAACGTTCCTCACACTCCATCAGTGGCCCAAAGTGATGCTGTACTTTAGTTATAGCTTCAGATTTGGCCCATGGCTTATTTGTACAGCTTTTTGTTTTCTGGGGTTTCGGCCAACATTTTTCCTTGTGGAAAAACAAAGTATGCATTCTCACCACGTTTTCAGGTGTCTCCAGCCATTCAATCACCCTGTTTCTCCTGTGGAGCCTCCTTTTCATTTTTTTCTGCAGCGTTGTCCCTCCAGAAGTTTGCCATTCTCCAGAACTAAAATGAAACCCTGTGGGTCCCTCCACCGCCCTCCAGGCACACCACTGTGGCCCGATCCCGGGGCTCTTCTCCTTGCCATTCTCCCTGCTCTAATAGATTTTCTTTTCCAACAGCTTTCTTCTGTGTAAAAAACTTTTTCAGTCTTTAAATCTCCAAAGATGTCTTTATTTTCTCTCACAGTCAATTGATCTTTTAGCCAAGTATAAGATTTAAGGTTCAAAGACATCTCCACCTGAACTTTGAAAGCACTGATCTGTTGTCTGCTAGCTTCTGCATTATTGATGTGAGTTCTAAGGCCAGTGTGTGACTTTATTTGCTGTAGAAGCCTCTCTCTCTCTCTACCCACGTCATTTGTGAAGCTTTTAAAACCTTTCTCTTTAAAATATTTGTTCTGTAATTATATTATGTATATGTGTGTTGTGTGTGTGTATATATAGATAGATAGATACAGATATAGATAGATGTAGTCTTTAAATTCAGCCATTTCAGTCTGAAGACTATCTTTCATTAGCTCTGAGATATTTTCTTCTGTTTCTTCTCTTCATTCTTGTTTGTCTTCTTCATATATATACACATCACATATATAGTTATACCTATAGATATATATACTTAGGTATATAGAATGATATGTATATATAGTTATATATCTGCAGTTATATATATATAACTCTCTCCCTTCATTTTTTCTGTTCTCTCTTTGGGAAGTTCATATTACTTGGAGGTCCTTATATTATCTATCATTTTTTCTATAGTGTTTTATCTTGTTTTTCTCTTAGTCTAGAAGATTTTCTTTAGCTTTAACTTCCAATTTTTTTAAACTTTTATTTTTATTTTTGAGACATCATGGCAGAATGCAAAGTGGGAGCAGGCACGTCACATGGCAAAAGCAGGAGCGAAGCCGGGCGTGATGGCTCAAGCCTGTAATTCCAGTACTTTCTGAGGCCGAGGTGAGCAGAATACTTGAAGTCAGGAGCTCAAGACCGGCCTGGCCAAAATGAGGAAATCCCATCTCTACCGAAAACACAAAAAATTAGCCAGGCATGGTGGCACACATCTGTAATCCCAGCTACTCAGGAGGTTAAGGCAGGAGAATTGCTTGAACCTGGCAGGCAGAGGTTGCAGTGAGCTGAGTTCGTGCCACTGCACTCCAGCCTGGGTGATAAAGCGAGACTCTGTCTCAAAAATAAATAAATAAAATAAAGCTGGAGCAAGAGAGAGAATGGGAAGGTGCCACACACTTCTAAAGAATGAGATCTTAGGATAACTCACTCACTATCTTGAGAACAGTACCAAGAGCAATGGTACTAAACCCATGAGAAACCCACCCAATAATCCTATCACCTGTCCCCAGGCCCCACGTCTAACATTGGGGATTATGTTTCAATATGAGATGTGGGCAAGGCATACATCCAAACTACATCAGGAGGCATTCACTTCCCACACTAGTGGCTTTCTTACAGTTTCTTAGAGACATCCACACTTTTTTGTCCCTGTGGATAAACTTTTGTGGCCTGCCTGACATTTTGTACCCAGAAGTGGGGAAGTGGGGAGGATATACATGCTCCTACTGCAAGCAGAGACCTTCAACCCTTGTCTTCATCCCTAGTTCAGACCCCCACCCTCCAACCAGCCATCTCTGAGCCCAGACCCCTGTGGCTCTGGCAGTCTAAGACCCCCGCACCCCGCACGCACACACACCCTTCCTCTGGGCTTCCTTTGGGCTGCAGTCCCCAGCTCTCTGTTGCCTCCCCCTCAGCACACTCCCACACCCCATCCAGCAGCCAGGAATTCCCAAAATCTCACAGGTGGCTGGAGGAACCCCTGTGCAGCTCGCAAGCTTATTTCTTCCAGTATTCCTTTATACAATTGGAATGGGCTCCCCAGAGGGAGAGAGTACAAAACATGCTAAATCTATGAACTTGAGCCAAATACTCAAAGGAACTTATAAATGAGAAAAAAACAGTTAAGAAATAAACAGTCACCCATATCCCATGGCCTTGGTATGACCATTCCTACCTGTGGGTGGAAGTAGTTATATCTGGATGTGGTCATGGCACAGCTAATCCACGCATGTGTGTTTATTTCACATGGTATTTTCTAGTTTTTTCTATAGCGTTATGAAGCCTTTGTCTTTATCATCATTAATGAAGCTGCAAACCTCCCAGGAGAGCCTGCCTCAACCCTCCAGAGCACGTCAGACACAGATGTCATTAACCTACGTGGGGGCAAAGTCACTAAGCAAAGCGGTAGGTGGCGAACCAGGAACGAGAGGCCACATCTGCCACATTCTAAATCCTGCTCTGTCCTTGCTTGTGAGACCATTCTGGAAATTTAATGAGGTTACCTAGCAAAGCTTATAGCAAAATTGTGGCAAACATCATTACCATTCTGTTCCCACTTCTTGGTAGCTGTTGGGGCTCAGAAAATAATACCCCAAGGTGTGGTGCTTGGACGCACTGAGTGCTTTGAACTAAGGAGCAGTCTCAGAACCAAGGTCTCTCTGACTCTCCCCCTGCCCCCTGTCTCTGGATCCTATTTCTCTCCCAAAGCACGTGGAGGGGCTTTCTCTGAAGTTTTCCTTGGGAAGTTTCTCCAAAAGAAATTCAATTGTCATGAATCCCCTCCCTGGTATCTACATTAACAAAAGAAGGTGAATTCTTACTGCAGAGAAAGAAACTAAGTCTCCACACCCAGGATACCATGTCCAGACGACTATCCAGGACACCATGCCCAGACAGACTTTTCACCTATTCTTCACAGGGCTAGATTCTGAGAGACCCCATCTGCATAATTCCCAAATTCCTGTCTCCTGTTGGCCAAAAAGAGAAAAAGCCACAACAAAAGGCCTAAGGAGGAGCTGCTTTCATCCCTTAGTGGGCTCCAGAGCTCAGCAGGGAGCAGCTCGAGATGCAATGTGTTAGTTCAGTGTCATACCAACAAATTATACCCAAAGGGAAAAGGGCTGGGACCCAAACAAGGCTTCCTGAAAGTTGGTAACTCACTCCCTCATTGTTGGAAGTTTTTAACTGAACCTCTTTCGGCAGCTCCCTGCCTCCTCTCCTTGTGTCTCAGGTGTCCAGCATGAATCACCCCCATGCAGCTGTGCCGTGGCACCAGGAGTCCATGGGGACATGGGGATGTGGGAGGTGGGAAGGGAGCCCAAGGAGAGTGAGCTGGCAGCACTGCCATGGCAGGGCTTTAGAGGGCGACAGCCCTGGTTGGAATTCCAGCTCAGGCACCGAGCCGCTGTGCGAGAGTCACTCCTCTGGTCCTCAGCTTCTGTCAAATGAAGAGTGAACAGGAAAATAAACAAAAACAAAGCACCACCTGTTGTGACAATTAGCTGTGACAGTTAATAATACTCATATGCTCAGGAAATGGGTCCTATAATCCTGTGCCTGCTGCCATGCATTTTTAGGGAAAAATACACACTTCCTGGAGCATCTGAACCACCCAGGTTGCCTATGTGTTGCCTCCTTTTTTCACTGACTTGCTAGAAATTCAAGCTCCTCCTCACGTTTCTCTGGGCTCTTTCTTTTTTCTCCCCTCAGTCTGAAGCTTCCCAACTTTTCTCAACCCCAGTCCATAGACATCGGCTTTTAGAGTGCACACCAGCAGTTGAGGCTGGCCTATGCATCGCCTCAGCCCACCCCAGACCACCCAGTGTTCCCATTGAGTTTTTATGCTCTTCCTGTTCTCTTAGAGATGCCCATTAGGAAGCTTCCAGAAGGGGGCCATTCTGGATGCTGAAAGATCTACCCTTGAATGAGGTGCTGCTGTAAGTCAGGGGAGTAGACTACAGCTCCCACAGCCTCACACAATGCTTGGGTGCTGTTGGGGCTCAGAAATCAATACCTCAAAATATGGCCCTTTGACATGCTGAACTGAAGAATCCTCAAAGTCTGTCTGGCTTTCCCCTTTCTCAGCTCCCCACCAACACCTCCTGGGTGTTAATCCTCTGTCTCTCCCAAAGCCCAGGATGAAGTTGTTCTCTGAAGTTCCCTAATCTGTCTAAAGTCTGGACCTTCCTAAGAAGAAAACATGATCCCTGGTCCCTTCCCTGGGCTTTCATTAACTGAACTCACATGTCAGGAAGAAAGTCTGAAGTCTGTCAACGCACCTGGGCAGACTTTTGTCACAAACCATGGTCTGTTCTTTAGGCACAACAGTTTGTCACAAGCCATTGTATGTTCTTCAAGCCCATTGAATTTCCCTAAAAGTCACTTATTACTCTCCTAAAATTACCCAAACTTCCTAATATGGTTTGGATTTGTGTCCCCACCCAAATCACATGTCGAATTGTAATCCCAGTGTTGGATGAGTGCCCTGGTGGGAGGTGACTGAATCACAGAGGTGGACCTCCCCCTTGCTGTTCTTGTGATAGAGTTCTCAGGAGTTCTCGTTGTTTAAAAGTGTGTAGCACCTCCCCTTTCTCTCTCTTCCTCCTTCTTCAGTCATGTAAGACAGGCCTGCTTCCCTTTCTGCCATGATTGTAAGCCCCAGCCATGCTTCCTGTACAGGCTGCAGAACTGAGAGTCAATGAAGCCTCTTTTCTTTATAAATGCTCCAGTCTCAGGTAGTTCTTTATAGCAATGTGAGAATGGACTAATACACTTCCCCATTTCTCCTTCTCCTAAGAAGAAGGATATAGAAGTACCCCATTGGTTAATTGGGTAATTATTCTACAATGCTCCTATGCTATGCATGTTAAAATAAACTTGTAGACCTTTTCTCCAGCTAATCTGCCCTTTACGAGTTAATTTTTCAGTGAACTTTCAGAGGGCAAGGGAGTTTTCTCTTGGCCCCTATGGTGGTTTCCCATCTATCTGCCTTGCATGGTGACAGCCAGCCTTTAGCAACTTCTAAAAGAAAGAGGATCTATCAGCTCAGTCTGAGCAGGCATGATAAGGTCTCCTCCCTTGCCTGGAGGCACTCATCTGAGCCTCCAAACCACCCCATTAGTGAATTCTCAGAAAGAACATTCTGCTGAGAAAGAGGAGGATAGGTTCCCAGTCAAGGCTGGGAGCTTGTAGCCACTAATCTCTTGGTGTCTAGATCAGGTACAAGGCTGTCTCTCTGTCCCCACCCTCTCTGGTCCCCTCCTCTTACTGTCCACTCCTTTAGAAGGAGCCTGTGGCAGCATGAACAAAATAAACTTCTCCTTCTTGTCCACATCCATCATAAAATATGCATAGCTGGACTTGGGTTTTCTTAAAAGCTACCAACTTGCCAATCATGTAAATCAACCTATGTTTCTGCATTAATTGAAAGAACCAGAAAAAGGCCAAAAGAGAAGATATTTGCAATACACATGAAAAGGTGATGTTTCCTTTTTTGTATAAAAGGTTCACATAAATCAAAAAGAAAAACATTTGCCACTCCTTCCACTCCTTCTCTATTAGTCAGGGTTCTCTTAGAGGGACAGAATTAATAGAATATATATATATATATATATATATATATATAGAGAGAGAGAGAGAGAGAGAGAGAGAGAGAGAGAGAGAAGTTTATTAAGTATTAACTTACACGATCACAAGGTCCCACAATAGGCTCAATAGGCTCTCTGCAAGCTGAGGAGCAAGGAGAGCCAGTCCCAAAACTGAAGAACTTGGAGTCTGATGTTCAAGGGCAGGAGGCATCCAGCAGGGGTGAAAGATGCAGGCTGGGAGGCTAGGCCTGTCTCTCCTTTTTATGTTTTTATGCCTGCCTCTCCTTTTTATGTTTTTATGCCTGCTTTACATTCGTTGGAAGCTGATTAGATTGTGTCCACCAGATTAAGGGTGATCTGCTTTCCCCAGCCCACTGACTCAAATGTTACTCTCTTTCGGCAACACCCACACAGACACACCCAGAATTAATACTTTTTATGCCTCAATCCAATCAAGTTGACACTCAGTATTAACCATCACAAGTTCACCCCTAGTCAACTTGAACCCATACACATCTCCTGAGATCATACATAATCTCCAAATAAAGACAATCATAAGGTCATATTTACATCTAACATAATACAACTATCCTTTGCACAACTGGAAACGCACCAATCCCCAACCCAAATACTATTACATAAAGTTAACAATACTTAAATGTTGATATGAAGTCAATAAATCTTATGTCACATGATAAAAGAAAAAGAATTAAAATGAATATATTTTCTTAGTACAAGTGTATACAAACACAAACATGTTTTTAGCAAAAGAATGAGGAAATATTCATGACAATTACAGTCCTGGTTTCTGCAGCTGGTCATGTGGTCATAGCTGGTATAGATGACTACCTTCTTCTACTACCTATTCTGTATTCCCTTTGCCTTTAACAAACACCTCAGCAGGTTTTGTTATTTTTCCTGGTGGAGTAACCCAAACCTTCATTCCTGAGGGGTCTGGGCCATCTGTAGTCCTGCCTGAATTGAGCTGTTGTAGTTTCCCATTGACCTTGATCACAGGGCACGGTAATACTAAGACACGCTAATGGATCTCTTGTATTCCATGCACACTTTCCCATACCTCCATTGTGGAGTAGTAGACTGATTTCATCTTAGTAGTCCGGGTCAATCACCCTAGCCAACACAGTAACTCCCTTCTTAGCCTGTTGACTTAAAGGTAGGAGGATCCCAAAGTGTCCAGGTGGCGATCTTAACTTCCAGTTTAATGGAATTGTTCTTGTGTCTCCTGGTGGCACTGTTCCTCCCTCTGGAACTAAGACCTCTAGCAGCAGAATGTAATGTCATGGGAACAGGAAGCAAAAATTTTGAGGGGTGATGGTAAGTGATGCCATTTCCATTTTCACCCCGTGATTCCTGGACCTGTGAATCTTGGCTATGGGAGAAACAGTACCATATATTGGATGCTGATGCAGAGCATACATGGCCTTCTGGAGAACTTTGCCCCAGCCCTGCAAAGTATTGTCTCCTAGTTGGCGTTGTAATTGTGACTTCAAAAGGCCATTCTACCATTCTATCAATCCAGCTGCTTCAAGATGATGGGGAACATAGTAAGACCAGTGAATTCCATGAGCATGAGCCCACTGCTACACTTCTTTAGCTGTAACATGAGTGCCTTGGTCAGAGCCAATGCTATGTGGAATACCATGACTGTGGATAAGGCATTCTGTGAGTCCACGGATGGTAGTCTTGGCAGAAGCATTGCATTCAGGACAGGCTAACCCATATCTGGAGTGTCTGTTTCAGTGAGGACAAATTTCTGCCCTTTCCATGATGGGAAGAGGTGCAATATAATCAACCTGCTACCAGGTAGCTGGCTAATCACCCCAAAGAATGGTGCCATGTAGAGGGCTCAGTGTTCATCTCTGCTGCTGGCAAATTGGGCACTCAGCAGTGGCTATAGCCATGTCAGCCTTGGTGAATGGAAGTCCATGTTGCTGAACCCATGCGTAACTTCCATCCCTGCCACCATGGCCAGTTTGTTCATGGGCCCATTGGGCAATGACAGGGATGGCTGGGGAAAGAGTCTGAGTGGAGTCCACAGAATGAGTCATCCTATCCACTTGATTATTAAACTTCTCCTCTGCTGAGGTCACCCATTGGTGAGCACTCACATTGGATACAAATATCTTCACAGTTTTTGAACACTCAGAGAGGTCCATCCACATACCTCTTCCCCAAATTTCTTTGTCACCAATTTTCCAATCATGTTTCTTCCAAATTCCTGACCATCCAGCCAAACCTTTGGCTATGGCCCATGAATCAGTATGTAATCACACATCTGACCATTTCTCCTTTCATGCAAAGTGCACAACCAGGTGTACTGCTTGAAGTTCTGCCCACTGGGAAGATTTCCCTTCACTGCTGTCCTTCAGGGATGTCCTAGAAAGGGGCTGTAGTGCTACAGCTGTCCACTTTTGGGTGGTGCCTGCATATCATGCAGAACCATCTGTGAACCAGGCCTTAGTCTTCTCTTCCTCTGTCAACTGATCCTAGGGAACTCCTTATGAGGCCATCGGTGCAGGCTCGGGGAGAGAAGGCAGGGTGGCAGGAGTAAAGACCGTGGACATTTGAGCCACTTCCTCATGTAACTCACTTGTGCCTTCAGGACCTGCTCGAGCCTGATCACGTATATGTCAGTTCCAATTGATGATGGAATGTTGCTGTGCATGACCCACTTTATGGCTAGATGGGTCAGAAATCACTCAGGCCATGGTAGGCAGTTAAGGTCACATGGTGACTCAATGACCCATAGTCAAACATTCAGTTTCCACCAAAGCCCAGTAACAGGCCAAGTGCTGTCTCTCAAAAGGAGAGTAGCTATCTGCAGGAGATGACAGGGCCTTGATCCAAAATCCTAGAGGCTTCCACTGTGATTCGCCTATGGAGCTTCCCAAAGGCTAACACCTCAAGCACCACTGGATCTGATGGGTCATATGGCCCAAGTGGCAGAGCAGCTTGCACAGCAGCCTGGACCTGTTGCAGAGCCTTCTGCTGTTCTGGACCCCACTCAAAACTGTCAGGCTTTCAGGTCACTTAATAAATGGGCCAGAATAACACACCCAAATGAGGAATGTGTTGCCTCCAAAATCCAAATAGGCCCACAAGATGTTGTGCCTCTTTTTTGGTTGTAGGAGGGGCCAAATGCTGCAACTTATCCTTTATCTTAGAAGGAATATCTTGACAGGCCTCACACCACTGGACTCCAAGAAATTTTACTGAGGTAGAAGTTCCCTGAATTTTAGTCAAATTTACTTCCCATCCTTTGGCACATAAATGTCTTACCAATAAGTCCAGTGTGTTTGCTGCTTCTTGCTCACTGGATCCAATCAGCATGATGTCATCAATATAATGGACCAGTGTGATATCTTGCAGAAGTAAAAAGTGATCAAGCTATCTCTGAATAATATTATGACACAAAGCCGGATAGTATATCAGTATGTCCCCTGATGTAGGACAGTAAAGGTATATTGCTGGCCTTACCAGCTGAAGGCAAATTGCTTCAGGTGGGCCTTATGGACAGGAATGGAGAAAAAGGCATTTGCCAAGTCAATGGCTGCATACAAGTTACCAGGAGATGTGTTAACTTACTCAAGCAATGAAACCACATCTGGTACAGCAGCTGTAATTGGAGTCACCACTTGGTTAAGCTTACAATAATCCACTGTCATTCTCCAAGCTCCATCTGTCTTCTGCACAGGCCAAATGGGAGAGCTGAATGAGGATGTGGTGGGAATCGCCACCCCTGCATCTTTTAAGTCCTTGATGGTGGCAGTAATCTCCACAATCCCTCCAGGGATGTGGTATTCTTTTTGATTTGCAATTTTTCTAGGTGATGGCAGCTCCAATGGCTTCCATTTGGCCTTTCCCACAACAGTAGCCCTCACCCTACCAGTCAGGGAGCCAATGCAGGGGTTCTGCCAGCTGCTAAATATGTCTATACCAATTATGCATTCTGACACTGAGAAAATGACCACAGGATGAGTCCGGGGACCCACTGGGCCCACCGTAAGTCAAATCTGAGCTAAAACTCCATTAATTACCTGACCTCCATAAGCTCCTACTTAAACTGGAGAACCACAATGACAGTTTGGGTCCCCTGGAGTCAACGTCAGCTCAGAGCCAGTGTCCAGTAGTCCCTGAAATGTCT
The DNA here is from genome assembly GCF_000001405.40 of Homo sapiens. Taxonomy (NCBI): domain Eukaryota; kingdom Metazoa; phylum Chordata; class Mammalia; order Primates; family Hominidae; genus Homo; species Homo sapiens. The sequence continues at coordinate 126,650,099 of NC_000002.12, forward strand.
GATCATTTCCCTTTCCCCAGTGCACAGTTACCCTGGTAAAAGGCTGGAGGTCTCCTTGAGAAAGGATGAGAGAAAGATTCATTGCACAAACTGTCAGTAATGTATTGGGGTCCTTCATCAAGGGGACCCGGCCTGTAAACTGGGTCTGTAAACTGGCTCAAGTATGCAAATTGATTGAGGGGCCATGATTCTCTGTTTTCATAATTCAGATTAGTATTTTGTCCATTTGACCTAGAAGTTTTCCATTTGTATAATGTAAGTAGGAATGTGGTAGGCTTCCTATCAATTTCACTTCTAGGAACACCGTGATTATTTAGCTGATGCCAGAGCTCTACACAAGTCAGACTATTCTTATTGCCGCTTTGACTCTGCTGTCCATTACGGTAGCTATGGCCACCTTGCCTTTGACTGTTTAGTGCTGCCACGTGGCCCCTGCCACCTCAGGATCCAATTATTCCAATCGTATTTAAATTTTGTAGCTGAGTGACTGCAGTTCCCACAGTTAGATCTGACATACAGAGAAAAGCAATACAGGGCTCTTCAAAGATGCAGTTGCTGCCCTCAAAAATCTATTTCTCAAGGAATTGGTCAAGAGTATATCTTCTGGACCCTCCCAGTTGGGATGAGTAGGTCTAAAGTGACTAATGCACTCCACCATCCCAATCTCTCTAAGCCTCTGGATCCCTTCCTCTACATTAAACCAAGGGAGATCAAGCGTTTCCAGCTCACTCACAGTGGGCCATCTTTTAATCGATATTTCAGCTAACCAAGCAAATAAACTATTAGAACTTTTTTTTAACTCCCCAAGCTGCAACATTAAATGCAGAGTCCCTACTTAGTGGGCCCAAATCAATAAATTCAGCCTGATCCAACTCATGTTCCTTCCACCATTATCCCACACCCTTAATATCCATTCCCATGCCTGTGCTCCAGATTGCAGTTTACATAAATTAGAGAACTCAAACAGTTCTTTTCGAATGTAGTGCACCTCCTCATGGGTCACACTCTGCACCTCACCTCTAGGGGCCCACCAAGCCTTTAGTCTAGTTATAGGCCTAGAAGCAAACAGAGGTGTTGGGGGTGGCTTCTGAGGAGAATCAACATTATTTTGCCTGGCAACTGCCTCAGGCAGCGCAGGGTTTATCTCTTCAGACAAAGGTGGAAAGGCTGATAGCAGCATGGGTGGGGGAGAGGACGTTGCCACTACTGGGGATGGGGAAGCTGTTACTTCTGGCCAAAAATGTTCATCAGAGTTTATTAACTCAGTGTCCCCAGCTTCATCAGGGTCCTCCCACATGTCCCCATTCCAAGTTGCAGGGTCCCATTCTTTTCCAATCAATGCCCTCATTCTAACAGTAGACACCTGGTGAGGCTGTGCATGCATCTTTCATTGCAGGTCAGCCACTAGTATAAGAACTTGTGTCTGTTTTTCCACAATTTCAGCTCTTTCTCTATAGAAGTTCAGACTTTCGCTCAGGGCAGTCTTAGCAGATTTGAGGCTCAGTATCTGCTTCTGAAGCCGGGAGACAGAATCCCTGAGTTCATCATTTTTTTCATCACTTTGTCCCCGAACTTAGGGGCAACCAACCAGCTTCAATATGTTCCTTGTTTCTCCACATATGGTCAAAGGCATTATGTATAGGGTTACTAAACTACTGGCCTCTCACGAGTGAAGAATCAGGAGTGTCAAATGCATTTATTTTGCATAACTCTCTAAACAGTTCATGCCAAGGACTATCAGTGTTCTCCATACTATTAGAAGTAGATTCCTTAGCATTTTGGGGTCTAATCATCTTAAGCAGCCAACTCCAGAAACCCCAAAACAAATGAAGGAACTCCATCCTTCATATTCTGTTCCTCTAGAACCACTCCTGGTACGAATATCTGTGTTAGTCAAGGTTCTCTTAGAGGGACAGAACTAATAGGATCTGTATATATATATATAGTGTGGAGCTTATTAAGCATTAGCTTACATGATCACAAGGTCCCACAATAGGCTGTCTGCAAGCTGAGGAGCAAGGAGAGCCAGTCCAAATCCCAAAACTGAAGAACTTGGAGTCTGATGTTCCAGGGCAGAAAGCATCCAGCACGGGTGAAAGATGTAGGCTGGGAGGCCAGACCCATCCCTCCTTTTCATGTTTTTCTGCCTGCTCTATATTCCCTGGAAGCTGGTTAGATGGTGCCCACTAGATTAAGGGTGGATCTGCCTTCCCCAGCCCACTGACCCAAATGTTAATCTCTTTTGGCAACACTCTCATAGACATACCCAGGATTAATACTTTGTATCCTTCAATCCAATCAAGTTGACACTCAGTATTAACCATCACACCTCCAAATGAGGAAACAGTGTGAACAAAATATTCACCTAAAAGAAGCTGTGATTTGTAAATAAGCAACTGACAGCATATTCGGCCTCTCTGGTAATCAAAGAAAATGCTGACACAAATAACTATGTATGTTTCTTTTCTATGGAATTAACTATGATTTTAAGTTTGCTGTTTAATTCTGGCAAGAGACTCTGAGATAAACACTGGTACTCTTGATTGGGAAGAAAGTAAAGGTCACAGCCAGAACTTATGAATGTATCAAAAGCTTTAAATGCATTTGTAACCTTTGATTGAGTAATTCTGCTTGTCAGAATATACCCTAAGGAAAAAATTATGAAATCCAGATATTTATGTTCATATGGTTATCACAGCACTATTCAACCAGCAAAGAAAATGAAACAACCTAGTAATTAAAATGAGTTAAAGAGCTTTTCTACTTTTACATGAGAAAATGCTCATGACATAATGTTTAGTAGTAAAAGCTCAGCACTTGAAATCACGTATTCAGTAAAATCTCAAGAGTATAAAGCAAATATTCGTAAATGCATAAAAAAGACTAAAGGTAAATAACCTTAATGTGCTGGAGATTGCAAGCAATTCTTAGGGTTTAGGTATCTTTTTGGCTTTTTCTTTTTTATTTTTTCTTTTTGCACAAAGAGCATGTGTTACTGTGATGAGGGGCAAAACCTTTCATTAAAGGCCCAAGCAACATCTACCTACCACCATCTGTAAGGGCTCACCCAGGAGACAGCAACAGCAGCAGGGGACCGCCAACTCCACTCCCAATAAGGAACTAGCACTGAGGATTTGGAAGGCAGTTTCCCATGAGCAGTTTCTTCCCTGAAGAGGAAGAGAAAATTCATCTCCAGGACTGGATCATACCATCTCACATCTTGGAGGGCTCTGCAGCTTGTATCAGCCACAGACAGTCAATGAAGACACAGCTAGAACCGTCCATCCCGGCTGCACTGCAGAGCAAGTTCTTGTCACTGTGCTGAACTTCTGGGTTCTCATCTTTACAATGGACTCTTGGCAATACTCCGTTTAAGAGTATTTATGGGAACTAGACAAGATAAGAACTGGTTTATTATTGCAAGATATAGCTGAGTTTTTTTTTTAACTTCATTAATAAATATCCAACACATGAAGACACACTAATAATACATTTCTTGACTTATGTCAGACTGTTACCATATAATTAAATTTTTCACATAATTATTTTCCCTTCTTAAGAGTCATTTATTTAACATTAGACACTTTCATAGTTAAATTTTCTAAAATATGTCAAATGTTTCCCTGTTAGCTAATTTGCTACACACTAAGACACACTATTTACTTTCTTTTTCAAATGACTTGGGGTCCTTACTATGAACAAAGTATGTGTTAGAGGAGGAAGGGGGCCAATATCTTTAAGTAACTCCAGTGTACTCTCATTGTAATTACCTCTTTAATTATTATCGAATATATTACTCACAACAGCCTAACTTTGCAGATTGCTCCAATTTCCAGGCTGAGAAAAATGAGGCTCAGAGAAAGAAAGTGAAATGCTGAAGGTTACGCAGCTAGTAGGCAGTAGAGTAACTAACCCAGATTGAGTTCCAAAGCCCTGTGGTCTTTAATAGCGCAAGGAACTGTCACATCCTCCAGTGATGGCTGGAGCTGAGATTGCTTTAGTTCTGTAACAAATGCTACTTCGTTCTTGTATCTGACCTCTGCAGTTTGTGGGGCTTTCAATTTTCACTGTTTAGTTCGTTAGTTTATTAATTTTTGGCTTATTTTCTGTAAGGAATTCTCTGCAACATTTTGATGCCTTCAACCTGTCTTACCCTAAGAAATTAAGGAAATCTCTTATGATTACGTCTAAGGCCAGTAGGTTCTAAATGAGTCTGTAAAAGTGACTTCTCTAAGTGTGCTGCAATGACCTAATGACTTGTCCGTTGTTACCTGGCAGAACTTTCTGCTTCTTTCCAACTTTCCAGCTGCATTTCAGATAATTAAAGTTATTTTCTCTCAGGACAGAGGAGCGGGACTACTGTTCCACGTAGACGTATGTGTATGTATTACCAAAAAAAAAAGTTAAACTGTTAAAGTAATCACGGGTGCAGTGGCTCACGCCTGTAATCCCAGCACTTTGGAAGGCCAAGGTGGGTGGATCACCTGAGGTCGGGAGTTCGAGACCAGCCTGACCAACATGGAGAAACCCCGTCTCTACTAAAAATACAAAATTAGCCAGGCGTGGAGGCACATGCTGGTAATCCCAGCTACTCGAGAGGTTGAGGCAGGAGAATTGCTTGAACCCAGGAGGCGGAGGTTGTGGTGAGCCGAGATCACGCCGTTGGACTCCAGCCTGGGCAACAAGAGCAAAAACTCCGTCTCAGAAAAATAAATAAATAAATAAATAAAAATAAATTAATCATTACTCATTGCTGTTTATTAAATGCCTTTTCTGTTCCCACTGTGATTCTACAATCACTGCCTCTGTAAAACCCCGGAATGCAGGTGTTCTTGCCTCCATTTTATAGATGAGGAAATCAAGACTCAGGGCTTCCCCACCAGGCCAAAGGCATTCTGTGAGTAGTTTATTTCAATTCAACATGGCTGTGCTGCACATGGCAGTTGGAGTAAAGATCTATCAGCATCGGGGGTTCTTCATGATCTAACTAAAGTGAATCATGAGTGCTTTCCCACTGCGTCAAGAAGGCCTGGAGTTTGTGCAGCCCGGCTAGAGGTGAGCAAAGCCTCTGTGTTGCAAATCTCCAGGGCGCAGCCTCTCATTGTATTCAATGCAGATGACAGTCCCAAAGGCACCGCCCATACATTGTACAGACAGCTGGCCTGGCTCTCCGGATTGTGCAGGATAGGCCTTAATGGCAGAAGGTAGGGGAGAGGTGGGCGTCACAAAAGTGCTTGGGGAACTATAAAGTAAACAATGAAAAGCAGCACAGGAAGGTTCAGACATCACACAGGAGAAGCACAGGGTGTTCCCCTGGGTGGGGATTTAAAACAAGGGCCTCAAGTTCCCTGCCCTTGTCTCTGGGCAGAAGGGGCAGATAATGCTATGATACATTTTTTGTAGGTGGTGCCATTTGACTGCATTTAACCAACAAAGGTATGTATCGAAATCCACGTGGAGATTTTCATGGCAAAAGTAGAGCGAATTCACAAACTGCACTGTGTCTGGCAGCTTCAGACAAAAGCAATGGGAACAAATCACGACTCTTGTCCAGCAATTCTTCCTGTTTTGGAATGATCTTTGCTCAACAGCCCATCCATGAGTACAGGGCCCCCAAAGGCCAACAAGACAGGGACTCTCTCCAGGGACAAATGCCCCGCAGCTGAGAGAGGCCGCCCAGCTATCCAGCGGCCGCGCAGCCAGCCAAGATTTCAACACAGGTCTGCCCTATTTGGTCACCATCCCCGACAGTGCTGGGCCAGGCCATCATGTCACATTGGGGAGTTTTCCCTGCACTCCAGGGGGAATTCTCAACCACAACCTCTGTATCCGGTAGTGGCAGATGGAAAGAGAAACGGTTAGAAAAGCGTGGTTCTTGCGCAGGAAAGTTGGAGCAAAGAAGAGTTCAGAAGTGGGCGGGTGTGTGTTTAAAAAAAAAAAAGGGGGTGGAAACCCCACCAGCCAAGTCTGCAGAAAAAAAATAAATGAAGTCTGCCTATCTCCGGGCCAGAGCCCCTCCCCTCGGCCCGCGCGGGAGGAGTGTGACCCAGGTGCCGCTTCCTCTCGCCGCCGAGGGTCAGGAGCCCGGGAGCGCGACCCTCCCCCGGCCCGGCCTGGCCCGGCCTGGCCAGTCCCCGCGGTCTCTGCCCGGGCTGACGCCCAGGAATGTGGTCGACGAGAAGCCCCAACAGCACGGCGTGGCCTCTCAGCCTCGGTGAGTACCCGCCGTGGGGAAGGGTCCTGGGGACCCACTGGAGGCCGCGGCCCGCAGCAGCCAGGGGCCGAGCCACGGCCACGGACGCCCTGGTGTCCCGGTCCGTGCCGGGCCTCCAGGCGGAGGAGGCGTCCGCTGGGCTCAGATCCCCGACTCCAGCCCCGGTTCCCCGGCGCCTGGGCTGCGCGGAGTCCCTGTCCCGCGTCCCGGACCCCTACGCGCAGCCTCCACGCGCTCCGAGCTGGAGAAGCCGCCAGCCCGCCCTCCCAGGGCGTGTCGCCCGCTTTCTGTTTCTTTGTGCGGGGCATGTGAAATGTGTGGGGCCAGAATTGTCTCCCTAAAGAACAGTTAGGTGAGAGTTCACATCACAAGTTGCTTCTGTGCTGCTCCCCAGCCAGGGTCCGACCGGCCAGGCTCCGGTGAACTCCAGGCAACTCCAGCCTTGCCCAGGGACTTGCTCGCTCCGCTGGGCGCCGCAAAGGCACACAGATGCGAGGGAATCCTGCGGCCTGGATCCTTTGGGGATTTGTAATTCCTCGCTGCTGGTTTTCTCTTTTAAACCATCACGTTTTCTTGCTGAGAGGAAATCATCTGTGATGAAAGTCTTTGTAGATGCTTGGAAACATTGCTGGGCCTCTCTCTGCCCTCTTCCTCTGCCGTTGGACTTTTGCAATAAAAACTACCATTTGATTTTACCAAAAAACGTAATGTACATCCCTCTTACCCCCACCCTGCCGCGGTCTGATTCTTAGAGTCTGTCAGAGAGGAGATACCCTGAGCCTATCATGTGACAATGATACCTTATTGATATGATAATGATATGGGTATTGGAGACACCAACTCTTTTATAAGTCTTTGAAATCCAGGGGGTTGTGAGGCCTCACCCCTCACCCCGCCTGAGCTTGGAGCTTGGCGTGGAGGAGTGCTGCTTCGGTCTACGTGTGTACACGGCACTCCATGTGCCTGTGGTTGTGCTTGCGTCAGCCTGGGAGTGCGCAGGCATCAGTGGTGCTTGGGAGCGAGGCCCCTCAGTCTGCACTGGGATCATCTGCACTGCCTATAAACAAGGCAGCCTCTCTTAGCTCCAGTTTCCTCATCTGCAAAGTAGGAAAGTAGGAATAATAACAGGAGATAACTCATCCAGCAGCACGAAGTGCGTATAAATGTCCCGGCACGGAGTCTGACACATCCTAAGTGCTGGATCCGTGCTGGGCATGTTTATATAATTGCACATGAGACTGTGGTTCCCGGAGCACGTAACTTGAGCATATGTTTATGTGTGTGTATACGGCAGGTCCTGGGTTAAAGGGACAGGAGCCACTGTCATTATTCCAATTCAGTCACTGAGGAGGTGAGGCTGAGAGGCATTCTCATGTCTGAAGAGGATGGGCTTGCCTGACCCCCGCCCCCGTGCCCAGCCCAGCCCAGCAGCCCAAGCAGTTCTCCAGGACTCAGGTTTCAGACCTTCAACACTTGCCTTGGGAGACAAACAGCGGTGCAGCCCTTGCTTGCAAGCCATTCCACATTAGACTTCGGATTGATTTATGGCAGGATCCCTGCTGTGCGAGAACTGCAGGGGGGGTGGGGGGCGGCTATTTCTTGCTGCTAACTCAGGCAGGATGTGTCTATATCCTGTCTCAGTTTATGTAGCTGCTCATCAGAGCCAGAGGTTAGAGCGGAGAGGACCCACTTCCGCCAGGCCGGCCTGCTCTGCTCAGCTCAGCTGGGCTAGGCCCCAATGCCACAGTTACTGCGCGTGAGTCATGCACAGCAATCCATTGCCTTGCCCTTGGATGGAAGGGGTCAAGGCTCAGTGAGAAGACGGCCAGGTTTGGCAGCTTTATATAGAATTCACCGCCTCTGGCAGAAGCAGAGGATTGCATTAAGTGCCAAATGAAATTCCACCTCAGCCATTGCTCAATTCCTCCAGATGTCACTGGCACTGGGAGTCACATGATGCTGGTGGTCAGCAGCTGGACCCTTCCAAGGGTGCCCGTGGTTGGGCAAGTATTTCTGGGGACTTGCAGAGCTCCCTGGGGAGCAAAGGGTTGTGAAGTACAAGGCATTCTGCGCTTGTGGTGGGAACAAGTGAACCCATCTGCAGTGAGTAGGAAGAGGTCCCCTCAACAGAGGTGAGAGGTTGGGCCAAGTCAAGTCAGTTTGCCTCTTCAGGTGGCAGACCTGTATGTACATCTATGCCTCAAGTGCCTGTCTGAGGCCACAGCCAAAACATCTTCCAGTAACTGAGCATACCCAGTGGGCCAACAAGCACGCTCTAAATACAAAACCAAACAAACAGTAAAGTTAACAGTGAATGAAGAGTTAAAAATAGGAGAAAGACACCTTCTCCCTACCTCAATGGCAATTACTTTATTTATTGAGGATAATCCTTCTAGAAGTAAATTTGCTGATACAAATATTTCTTATTTTACATAATAAAAATGCATTTTATATATTTTACTTCATCTTGTTTTTTTTCCATCAGAATATCTCTTAAAGGTTATACCTTGTTATTTTCTTTAATCAGTTCCTCTGCTGATGGGCATTTAGGCTGTATGCAGACTTCATTTAATTTTTTTAAACCACACACAGCAGTCCTGTGACAATGAGTAAGGAGGATTTTACATGCATGTGTCTGTAAACTGTTAGGATAAATTCTCCCACCTCAGCATTTGATTTCTGGGACAAAGTGTGTATTCATTTAAAATGTTAGTAGATCTTAAGAAACTACCCTCCTAAAGGTCACACCGGTTTCTCATGCTCACAAATAGCCTATGAAAGTCACTATTTCCCTGCGTCCTCACTCACACTGCATTTTTTATCTTGGCCAAACTGAGAGGTAAAACAACAAAACAAACGCTGTCACTTTGGAATGAGCCTCTGTAATTAAGTGAGACTGAGCATGTTTTCTTACTTCCATAAGAGGTTGTATTACTTTTCGGGGAAGTGTCGGTTGATGCTTTTGTCCATTTCCTGTCAGCACCCCACCCCCGTGAGGAAACGTGCCCCAGAAGTGAAAGGACATGTCCTCATCACATGACGAGTGAGGGGCAGAGCAGAGGCCAGAGCAACATCCGTGCTGTGGAGTCAGCCCTGGGTTTGACTGCCCTCCAATGTTCACCAGCTTTGGGAGAGAGAGGAAATACCTCAGCACCTCAGTTTTCCCATCTGTGAGTGGGAATGATAACAGCCACTTCCCCAGAGTCACCCGAAGAGCAACAGCAGAAGGGCCTGGACCTGCTCCCAGTGGCAGAGGCTTGGGAGGTGGCTTTTGTTAGCGAAATTTATTGGAGCAAACCTGGCCTGAGGATGCTGGTAATTTCAGGAGTCACCCTCCAGACAGCTGTTGTTTTTCGCTTTTGATAAAATAACAACAAACTTAGATGCCGAGCCCTGGTAAGGGGCTTTCCTGGGTCTCCCCTGCACACCTGCTATGATAGGCATTTTCTTTTCTTTTTCTTTCTTTTCTTTTTTTTTTTTTTTTTGAGACAGAGTCTCGTGCTCTGTCACTCTGGCTGGAGTGCAGTGGTGTGATCTCAGGTCATTGCACCCTCCACCTCCTCCACCTCCTGCGTTGAAGAGATTCTCTGCCTCAACCTCCCAAGTAGCTAGGACTACCGGCATACGCCACCACACCCAGCTAATTTTTGTATTTTTTGTAGAGACTTTCGGATGAAACACCAGAGGCTCGGGGGAGATAAGCCGCCATAGGGCACCCAGACACTGAGGGCGCAGCCAGGCTGTAGTTACAAACTGCCAGACCCCACAGGCAACTGAGGCCAACCCAAGGAGAGAGTTGCAGGGTATGTGGGCCCACAGCTTGTATGTGCCAGGCAGGGCCTGCTGCTGTGGCTCTGCACACTGAGGAACTGCATGCACAGACACTCAGGACCCGCCTGCCTCCCCCAGCTCCTCAGCCGGGCCTGTGTCCCACCCCAGTCCACCGTTGTGTCCATGCTGTGCTTTCTGTGGTCAGGCCTGGCATGCTCTGGGCTGCTGCTGCCCTTGCCCGCCTTAGCAGCTGGCTCGGGGTGGCCCTCGAGCCCTCCCTCACGCACCGTCCCAGGCTTGCTGCCTTTCCAGCTGCACCTCTCACAACTGTTCACGACAGGCCCCTCAACACGCCGCGGGCCTGGCACACACTCACCTGCTGGTCTGCTAGGACCCAGTTTCCCAAGCCTAGAAAACGACCCACCACAGCCTTGGGCACAGTTTGCAGCCCTGACAGATTCCTGAGTCTGCCTTTTCCCAGAATTCTGACCTCTCCAGGGGCTCTGTGACCCCGCCTGTCCCCCACTCAGGGCCTGTCACAGACAGGGGTTTGCTGAGCCACTTTGAGGCAGGTGGATGATTGCAGGGATGACCCAAGGCCCACGCTCCCAGGACTGCCACCATTCCAATACCAAAAGAGCCTTTAAAAAGCCTTCACTCAGGAGCTCCTGGTCCAGAACTTGGCATGGACTTGGAGGCCAGTAAATACTAAGTTGAAATGGACAGGAGTCAACCCCAAACAAATTCTAAAGGCACAGTTGTTGGGCCCCAGGAATCCCACCTAGTCCTTCCCACCTTCTCACCCAGCTGGGGTTCATTTTCATATCCACTCCCTTCCCCTACCCCACCTCCCTCTCATCTTGGCCTGGGGTTTTCTTCAGATCCTTACATAATCGGAACTTCTGACAGAATGCTGGCTCCTCTCCTTAGACTATACATTTTCATTTTTCTACATTCTTCCAGAACAATGTTCCTATACAAAATCTTAACCCATGGCAGAAACTGGCAAGAGCCCATTTCCCATGTGCAGGCAGAGCCAGGCCGGCGACACTGGGTTCCTTCTTAGGCAAGGCGAGGGTTGGGTGGACCCTGGCATGACTTCTCCAGCCCCTGGAGAGCCTCTGCAGTTCTGACCCCTTCACAAGTGAGCCCTGGGCTTGGTGAGGGGTGCCTGCCTCGCCTGGCATCCCCCAGCTGTAGATGGGGGCAGAGCAAGACTTGCTGCCAACCTGCCTGGCTCTGTGGTCCCTGCTCCCTCTCCCGTTCTGCTGGCGTCACCACCCCTCCTTCAGAACTCTCTATGGAATTGCATTCTAGTCTCTCCTGCTTCTGCTTATGCATGTGAAAGCCAGATGCCCCTTCTCTCTCTCTCTTTTTTTTTTTTTTGATACGGAGTTTTGCTCTTGTTGCCCAGGCTGGAGTGCAATGGCGCAATCTTGGCTCACTGCAACCTGCGTCTCCTGGGTTCATGCAATTCTCCTGCCTCAGCCTGCCGAGTAGCTGGGATTACAGGCGTGCACCACCATGCCTGGCTAATTTTGTATTTTTAGTATAGACAGGGTTTCTCCATGTTGGTCAGGCTGGTCTCGAACTCCTGACCTCAGGTGATCCACCCTCCTTGGCCTCCCAAAGTGCTGGGATTGATTACAGGCATGAGCCACTGTGCCCAGCCTACCAGATGCCCCTTCTCTTATTGCCAAAACACTGTGGTCACACACTGCTTGGGGCCCAGCAGGCACAACAGTGACCTCTTTCCAGGGCTCAGGGGAGGAAGCTCCGCTTCGGGGCATGTAGAGCCAGCCCTGGGCAGGGTGGCCTTGGTTATCTCCCTGCACCCCTGGCACACCCTGATGGCTCTGTTTATCTGCACTTTGCACATGATGGTCTTGACTGACACATCCTCGCAGAGAGCCACTGCCAGGGCGCCTCACACCCGCTGCTCCCACACGCAGTGGGCATTTTTACGAGGGGCTCAGGCACAGGGTCTCCAGCTGACCCAGCCCAGCACTGCCACTCTTCCTCCTTGAACTCTGGCATGGAGAATCTTCACATTTTGTCAGCAGCCGATGAGCACATGTATTCTCAGCACAGTCTTAAAAGGGGGGAAATTATGGGTTGCCAGATCAAAACCTGATAAAACAATGATGCCTCTGGTGTGGGGCCCAGCCAAGCCCTTCTCCTGTATTCACCGGGCAACAGGGGCCCATTGGATATGAAATCCACTTTCGCTTGAGAAACTCATCCAGTGCTCTTGCTGAAACCTACACACAGGCCTTAGCAATGCTTGAAGCTTCAAGTTCAGGTTCCCCTTCTGTATTTTTTCTTAAACCTTTAGCTCAAATAGACTTTGTGTCAATTTGCTAGTGATAAAGGGTTAGCTTTGAAATCTGAGGATGAGGTTTTGGGTCTGGATCCACTATGAGCTGGCTGTGACCTGGGACAAGTTGCTGGTCCATCGTCTGGCACAGGGATGGCTTCACAGGGATGGGACCTGCCCAGCAGGGTCCCGCACTTCCTAGGTTTAATGCTCTGTCACTGCTATCTTCAAATTCTTCTCTTTTGAATAAGAGGCCTCATGTTTTTATTTTGCACTGGGCTCTGCAAATTCTACGGCTAGTCCTGAACCTGTCAATGGAGCTAATAACAGTCTCTACCTCAGGGCTTTGTTCGGAGGATTCAGTGCATTCTCACAGATAAACATCCTAGTGTAGTGCCTGGTATGTGCTCATAATTGTGCTTAATTGCTTCCGCTCACTGAGTGTGTGCGTGTGTGCTTAAACGCCAGCTTCCTCCCCACTGCCCTGCTCCCTCCTTGCTCTCCAGACTCCTCAGATGTTTGCCCCTTTGCCACTGAAAGTCATACCCAATGACAGGGGGCCATCTGCATCTGTGTGGTCCCACAGAGACCAGGGAAAGGCCCTCTCGCTCCCGATGCTGCTCCTTCATGGTTTTTATTGTTTTTGTTTTTCTTTTGAGATGGAATCTTGTTCTGTCCCCAGGCTGGAGTGCAGTGACATGATCTTGGCTCACTGCAACCTCCGACTCCCTGGTTCAAGCAATTCTCCTGCCTCAGCCTCCCGAGTTGCTGGGATTACAGACATGTGCCACCACGCCCAGCTAATTTTTGTATTTTTAGTAGAGATGTGGTTTCACCTTGTTGGCCAGGATTGTCTCAATCTCCTGACCTCCTGATCTGCCCACCTTGGCCTCCCAAAGTGCTGGGATTATAGGCATGAGCCACCACGCCCAGCCTCCTTCATGTTTTTATCCAAGAGTCAGCACTGCGGTGGAGACAGCCCAGAAAACACACGCAGGCCCTGCTCTTGGCCACGCACGCCAGCTGTGTGATGGGGAGCAAGCCTCTTACCTTCCGGAGCTCCATTTCCTCACATCACCCTGGAGAGAGGTCATCTTTGCCCCCACCTCATCGGGGCACCAGCCCCTCAACCACTCATACCTGGGCCATCTGGTTCTCCATGGAGAAGAGTAGGCTCTTTGAAAGCACCGTATGAGTGAAGGAATGAGTGAATGAGTCAGCAAACGGATGGAGGGATGTGAAGGTCCATCCATGTAGGCAAACAAGGTCTGCAAAGAGTGCCCTGGGCCCCAGCATTCACTGCACCCTCTCCCTGCCCTGGGCAAGGCCCTGACCCTGGTGCACTCTAAGCTCCTCTCAGCTCAGCCCCTGACCTCTCCCCTGTCTGCCAGTGCCCCTCCCCTGAGTGTGAAGCCGGGGGCCTCCTTCCCTCGGCTCACCTGGCCCTCATGCGCTCTACCTTTCAATGTCTTCTTTAGGCAGTCATTTCTCCTTTTTCCTTCATGCTCCCCTTTGAATGGGCTTGGAGCTGGGTCTCTCTAAGGTTCTGGTCTCTCTCTCTCTCTCTCTCTCTCTCTCTCTCTCTCTCTCTCTCTCTCTCTGGAGAAAGCTCCTTCTCAGCCTTTTCCAGCTTTTCCAGGTCCCAAACTCCTGGGAGGGGAGCCAGGCCTTGCTTGATCATGCCCTGGATGGATTTGTCATATTAATCCCTTTCCTTCAACTTCGGCAAAACTTCTCATTTTAGCGAAATTAATTTCAGTTATGGTTGAAAATCCTGAGTATTCCCTTTTTAAAAAATTTTCATAGTCTTTTTTTTTTCTTTGTCACTGATTCTTTACACTATCCTGAGCCATCCTCCTCATCTGGTGACAGTAGCCCTGTCTCAGAGAGTAGAGATGAGGCTCCACTCCACAGACGCCATCTCATTTAGCCCTCTGGCAGCCCCAGGGAGGTATTTTTATCTCCATTTTGCATGTGATGATACCGAAACTAGCAAGTGGATGTGACTTCCAGAGAACCTACCAGCCCCTCACACCTCCTTCTCTTCCCCCTCTACATTGAAAGCTCAGCCAGGGCCTGACCCCAGACGCAGTGCTCAGAGACCACAGTGCTTCTAGAGGCCCACAACAGTATTAGAGCTTCTTTTAAAATCAGAAGGAAGGAAATGAACCTCTAAGATCAAATAGTACATTTGCCTTTATACCAGTGCAGCTATACAATATGATTTCTAATATTTGGGAGGAGAAGGGACCCATAAGGTAAAGCACCTTGGCCCATGGAAGTCACCCTGTGACCTGAGCTCAGCCCATTGGAGGTTGAGGGGCTGAAGCCCACTGCCTCTGCTCTCCCTGCCTGAATCTGCCCCTTGCTCCCAGGGCTCTGATCCTCCTCTACGTTGGCAGTCCTGGTTCCTTAGCAGTTCTGTCTGTCACGGGAGGACTCCCTGGGCTGGGCATCTGCAGGGGCAGCCTCTACCTCTCCCTGTGGGACTTCACTAACACAGCTGGAGTAGATGCTAGGGAGGCTCAGGTCATGCACTACTTGCTGTCTTTCTCTCTCTCTCTCTCTCTCTCTCTCTGTGTCTCTCTCATTTTCTGTCTCTATCTTTCTCTTACTCTTTTGGCCTTTTAAGTCAGAAGAATAGGCTACTCTTCACTTACAAGTTTAAAAATAAGTTGTCTTTGCCCTATTTCATTATTGCAGAAGCAATTCATGTTCATTGTAGAATTGTAGGAACAAGATCAAGAGGAAGGATGTAGGAAGAATCTCTATGGGGAAGAGGGTGACTTTGAGATACAATCTCTTGCCCTGATCTGAGCTTTCAGTTACCTAAGGTACAGTACAGTAAGATACTGAGAGAGAGAGAGAGACTAGTTCATATAACTTTTATAGAGTACGTTGTTACAATTGTTTTACTTCATTATTCATTGTTGTTAATATCTTACTGTGTCTAATTTATAAAATAAACTTTATCATAGTTATTCGCATATAGGAAAACTATCATGTATGTAAGGTTCAGTCGTATCTCTGGTTTCAGGCATCCGCTGGGGGTCTTGGAAAGCATCCCCCATAGGTAAGGGGGAACCACCGATTCATGGGACAGATAGATGATCACCCAGTGGCAGCTCGAAGGGAGATTAGGGCACAGATAAGGCTGGAGGACATCAGTGTAAAGAGGCCACCCTGTGAGGGGCCCAGAAGGGAGCCCTGGAGACCCTCTGGGTGCATTGATCACCTCAGATGGGGGCCCAAGGGATGCCGACGCAGGGCAAAGCACTACAGCAGACTCGGCACAGGTGCCTGGGGCTGTGCACGCCCTGGCAAGCGCCCACTCTGCCCTGCTCCGCACCTAGTGAGGACGTGTAACACACACAGTGCCTCCTTTAATGCTGAAGGCATCACACAGATGCAGATATTATTAATTCCAGTTTAGGAAGACAAAAAGTGAGGCTCAAAGAGGTGATTTCCCCAGTGCTTCCCTGTGCATCACTGACACGCTCTCTCCTGGAAGCCAGGTGTGTCTTCCTCCAGCTCTGGGACTCTGCAGCCTGCCCTGCTGGGAGGGGGCTGCCCATGACCCCTTGCCCTTCTGCTCAGATCGTTACAGCCCTGAGGTCGCTCTCCTGGCCTCTGAAGAAAAGGCCTTTCTTTGTTCCCCCCACACCCGGAACCACTTGTGTTCCCTCTGCCGTCCTCCGCAGGCACCCACCTGTGTCCCAGCAGCTGCGAATGCAGTGCTCAGAGTGGTACACAAGGGCTGGGTTGTGACAGTCCTGCCAGCCCAGGCCAACCCACTCTTCCCCCGGGGAAGGAGTGGGCAGCTGCCTCCCAAGGTCACTACAGGGGCACTGGGAGAGAATAATGCCCCCACCAACTCCTGGCCAATTCCTGGAATGCCTCCACCGTGGAACCACCCCTGGGCTGGCAACTTTATTCTGTGTTAAAGTACAACAAGCCAGCCGGAGGATCATTGTCACTGCATGACTGCAATTTCTGTTACACTTTGCTAGGCACTTTCAAATCTGTTTCCACTCTTCATTCGAGACATACTAGTCTCCCTCTTTTGCAGGTAAATAAAGCAGACCTCAGGAAAGTTCAGTGACTTGGCAGAATTTACACAACCAGGTTGCAATAGAGGAGCCAGACTGGACCAGTCCTCGGTCCCTGTCTCCTTTGTGAGTGTACTGTTCAGGCCACTGAAACTCATTCATCATTCTTAAGTGGGAGGGGCTGAGGCTGAAGAGTCATTGCAAGTAAGAAACTGTGATGCTGGCCTTCCATTCTCCTGCCCCCCTCCCCTCCCTCCCTACACACACACACACACACACACACACACACACACACACACACACACACATATGCACGCACACACACAAGCACACACACATTTCTTCCTACACACCATCTCCTTGCGTTTCTTAGCAGCAGACAGGTATCAGCCCCAGACCTGAGGCAGACACTTGGGGATCTGGTTCGGGACAGGGCAGACAGGCATTTGGTGCATGGATCCTACTGACCTCCCAGAGATAACTAGAAACAAATGTAAGAACTGCTGCCTACAACATCTTTTGGCCTTGGGTGTTAGGTGCCACATGCTTTTGAAACTTTTTCTACTCCACTATTTTTAGGACTCTGTTCCCACTTCTTTGCTCAGTGTAGAGCATCTGCCATGTAGAATATCTCCTCATAGCCTCTTCTGTCTGCTTGTCACTCAAGGTCATTGTAGCCATCAGACCCCACCTAGCAGACAGAGGATTTAGAGACAGAGGATTTAGAGATACGTGGATTTAGAGAATTCAGCAAGGCTGTTTTGCTTATTTTTGGTTTGGGTTCAGCACTAAGTCTCCCATACCCTTCTGCAATGAATCCCTCTGGAGTGTATCAGTAAAGAAAACAGAAACAACCTTCCCCAATCATACCCCAGCAGTTAAATATTTGGGTCAGTTTCCAGACATGACTCCTACATGCATTGCCTATCACATGATCTGGATATCTTTTTTTTTTCTTTTTTTTTTTTTTGGAGATGGAGTCTCGCTCTTGTTGCACAGGCTGGGGTGCAGTGGCATGATATCGGCTCACCACAACCTCTTCCTCCCAGGTTCAAGCAATTCTCCTGCCTTAGCCTCCCGAGTAGCTGGGATTACAGGCATGCACCACCACGCCTGGCTAATTTTATATTTTTAGTAGAGACGGGGTTTCTCCATGTTGGTCAGGCTGGTCTCAAACTCCCGACCTCAGGTGATCCGCCCGCCTTGGCCTCCCAAAGTGCTGGGATTACAGGCATGAGCCACCACGCCTGGCCTGTGGAGTCCTTTTCTAAGTTCCAAGTCTGCAGGGACCTCTTGTGTAGCAGGTGACCTGAGCCCTGAGCCTTGAACTTTTCATCCACTTATAGTGAATACAGTCAAGAGCCCCACCATTCAGATCATCCCAGTCCAATCTGATGCATTTGATTTTAATCCAGGGAGTCCCTACTGCATGCAAGGTGCTGCACAGGAGACATAAAGGGACAAAGACCATATCTTCAAAGGGGCTTCAGCCTAGTAAGGAAGGGGAGATCCAGGAGCATCAGAAAACAGAATAAGTCAAAAAGCTGATTAGAGACACGTGGCCCAGCAGACTGCTTGCTGCACCTGGCTCAGACACAGGTAACAGTGCCAGGCTGCTTTGAGATTAAGGCCACATCTTCCTGAACTTTCAAAAGAAGGGGTTCTTCACCTGGGATCCCCACCCTAAAAGTCACACACACACAAAAGAGCGTCACAACTACAAATCTCTGTTGCAGTATTTTTGTTTTTGACTTTTTTTGCAGCAGTGGCAATTTTATAAAATTAATTCTTAGATGAAGTCTAGAAATACATAAGAGATAAAAGTCCATCTGACCCATTTGAGTAAGGAATAAGGCCTGGTGGCCACACCCCCAGGGCCCCTTGTGATGGCTCACTCCCGAGACAAGTTTGAGATCTCCTGCCTGGTGCCTTCCAGAGCCAGAGCAGTTAACTGATGCTCGGTCACTGTTTGCTCTCAGGGAGGACACTTTGAGGCCTGGATCTCAGATGATCCCTCCATAGCAGACGTCTCTACCCCATGCAGTTGTGAAATGCTCTCATTGTGGTTAAATATTTGCCTACAGCCAACTACAATGCACACACAGCTGTTTATCACTTTACCAATTAGTTCCATGAGAAAAATGCTATCAAACTTCAGAAGGTTTACGCTCAAACTCCAGGAAGAAATCTGAAATGTTAAAAAAGAGACTGGATACAAAATTGGATTGCGAGAGCAATTCATCCGCAAGCAATTACTAATCACTTTAGACATCCCTGGTTCCACCATCATTGGAAACACTTGGCGTTATGGTGGTTCTCCCCTGCCGTCAGTCCTCAGAATTGAGAGGGGACAAAGGTGTGAGATGAGATGGCTGCCCTCAAAGCCTTGTTGGGCTTCTTGGGACAGCAAGGTTCACATCATGACAGGAATAAAAAGCATCCAGTCTTCCTGGTGAGAAATTTCTTATCACACGAATTCAGGTTTCGGATCGAATTGCCTATGACTTACTGCGATTAGTTGCTGAACTGGCTCAATAGCTATGTAGCTACTTAGAGAATAACTTCAAGGAGTATAATTCCCCCAACGTAAATGGGTGCTTTTCTAGCTAATAGGAAATTATAGTAAATTTTGACCTAGTTAGACATAGTCGCAGCTTGTTGAATTAAAATCCTGTGCTTGAAGAGACAGGTTGTTGGTGATCAATGCTGACTGCTGAGGATGCTCTAACTCTGGAGAATGAATTGGTAAAGACAAGTTGCAGGGATACGAAGCAGGAAGAACAGTGCTGATGTCCAGAGCTCACTACGTGCGCAGTGTTGCCTGGCGACATTTGTCCCTGGTCATCATCCTGTGCTGCGAGTGGATGCTCCAGGCCATGCCCCCTCCTCAGGGTACAGGACATGTCTGTGAGTGTCAGGGCTGTGATTCAAGCCCAGGGGTTCCAACCCCTAGTCTATCTCTTAATCCCTGCACGGCACCACCCCTCCCTCATATGTGCGGAAACTGGGGAGTTTCAAGGAAGAACAGAGTATCCTCTCCCAAAAGGAGGGAGAGAAAGTTGGTTCAAGCAGGCTGTCGAGTACATTGATTTATATCAGGCCTTGGTAATTCGCCCTGGGTCATTTCTTATTTCAGAATCCTGGAGCCTCTGAAAAACCCTTTTGGGACAGGATATTTTTAAACAATTTATTTGAGCGAAATGAAGCTTGTCACTCACTGAGAAAACTAACAATGCTAGAGGAAGTCAAAATGCCTCTTTCAGGACGTGGCGGTCACAGGAGGATGAAATCCACGGTGTTCCTTCGAAGTTCCGATGAGCTAGTGTTTCCCGCTCATGGGCACTTCTGAGCCTTATTATTATTATTTCCTGGAGGCTTTTGTCCTCTGCCTAACTCTCTTCATGGTCCTAATCTCTTCTGTTTCCAGGGTGGTGCTTTTGGTAAAAGCCTTCTCTGAGGTTGCAACATCCCAGAGGCACAATTATCTGAGTTTCTGGCCACATCTCGTCTTCCTCGGCCCAGGGCTGTGGGAACAGAGGCTGAACTGTCTGGAGGATGAAAGGATGAAAGGCTGGCCTCTCACTGCCCTGCCTCCTGCCCTGAGAGCCCCAGTGGTTCTCAAAGACGGTTCTCCTTTGAATTCCCTGCGTGTGAGGCCCTCCCCAAGGAAAAACAAGTTCTCTCTGCTCCAGTTCATGATGTCTCCTTCTGAGACCGCAGCTCCCACTCAGGGAGGCTTGTGCTGCAGCACGCCACTGCCCAGAGCTGCTCTAGCCTCACTGGACCAAGCCTTAAGTTTAGCCAGGACTCACTTGCTGGGGCCCTTCTGGGACACCCCGATTCCACCCTGGGGCTCAGGATTGCCTGGAGAAGTCTCACTGTGCAGCGCCTCTCCAACCAGTGCACTCACAGAGGGGCACAAAGAGCCCAGCAGGCCACCCACCTCACCTCCCCATTGCTGTCTCGGCCCTGCCATGAGCCAGTGAGGGTGGCCTTGGGGTACTGGTTTCACCCCCTTTGGCCTCTGCTTCCCCAGCAATGCCTGTGTCCTCACAGGCACTTCTGTAATCCCTAGAAGGGACTGAGGCAGCAGGGATGTGCCTGCGCTCTGACAAGAAGCAGGATATCGCATGGGTCACAGGCTTCGAGGGGGCCAGGCTGGGCTACAGGCACAGCTCAGCCTCTTGGTGGCTTAGTCCCCACAGGCACCTTGCGTGAGAGGCTGTGGATGAAGTCCCAGACCTAGCACGGGGCACACACTCAGTAAATGTTAACCAGGGAGGGACCAGAAAGACTCAGAGACAGGGAGACTTCAACAGGAGGGCTGCAAACTGAGACCCACTGCCAAATCCAGCTGCCCCCTATCTGCACACTTGAAGCTTTCTTGGGGCCCAACAGCACCTATCATTTACGGAGTGTCATGTGCTGCTTCCCTGCTACAATAGCAGCATTGAATCTTTGCCATAGAGACCGGTGGCCCCCAAGCCTAAACTATTTACTGTCCAGCCCTTTATAGACTCCTGACTTTAACCAACAGGAGACTCTCTGATGGCACAACTTCTAGGCCTGGGCCCACCTGACCCCATTGCACCTCAACCCCGTGAGTGGATGGGAAGCCATGGAAGAAAAATCCACCCTGAGGTCAGGGAGCAGGCAGCAGCCAGGGAGGCCCACTAACCTGGGCCCACGAGAAGAGCATCAGTTCCCGTTCCCTGACCTTCCACTGCCCAGGCTGCTAGCGGGTAGGAGGGGCTCTTGTAGTCTTCCCCTCTCTCCTGCCCTCCTCCTACCTCCTCTGGAAATACAGGCACTCGGGGCTTTGCCTCTGCCCTGCAGAAAATCCCCACCTCACTGGGCAGGTGCCGGAGGGAGAGCCAGAGCAGGTGCAAGCATGCGAGGCAGGCTTCCCTGAGCCCGACAGCCAGGGACAACCAGCTAACACCCAAGTTCAGAAAACAGTGCTTTATCACAGGCACGAGCACAGGGGAGCAACCTCTCCACGCACGGGGCCAGGTGTCAGCTGTGCACTTGCATGCTTCCTTATTGGAACCTCTCCCTACCGGGAGGCCATCATTAGATTTGGAGATGGAGCCTCGGGGGTCAATGTGTGTCCGTATTCTTCCAGTCATAACCTGGTAGCTCCAGAGCTCAACCGTGGTCTCCTGGAGTCCACACTTCTGCTGACTGCCCTAGCACACACGTGGCCTGGGAGCTCAGATTCCACAAATGGTCACTGAGCACCAGCTGTGTGTCAGGCCCAGGCCAAAGCCCTGGGAATAAGACAGTGAACAAACCAGCAGGAATCCCAAGAGGACCTCACACTTTGGCGAGGTGGACACATGGGTAGGATGCCCAGTACATCAGATGGCACTAAGGGCTGGGTGGCCAGTGAAGCCGGGAAGGGAGATGGAAGGTGAGGAGTGAGGGGGTGCCATCTTATAGGGTGGCCATAGAAGGCTTCACTAAGGGTGGCAATGTTTGAGAAAGCCCTGAAAAAAGTGAGTGATCCAGACATGGGGCCATCTGAGAGAAGCATGACAGGCAGAGAGCACAGCAAGTGCAAGGGTCCTGAGGCAGGTGCAGGCCTGGTCTGACCAAGACACATCCAGGGCCAGGTGGCTGGGGGATGAGGGAGGGAAAAGGTAACTGAGAGATGCAGGTGGACAGGTGAGGTGGTAGAGAGATGAGGGGACCACCTCCCGGCACCTGTTACAGCATCCAGAATTCCACCATCCCCTCTAAGTCTTGGAGCCTTCAAGGCCCCTCCAGAAGGCTCATGACTCTGAGGAGGTGCCCTTCTGCATCTCACCTTAGCCCTAACAAGAGACTGAGAGGAAGGCCCGGGCAACCTGTGACATGCGGTGGGAGCTGGGAAGGAGGAAGAGAATAGTGAGCCCTCCTGCAGTCCCTGAAATGGGGGGCTTCACACAGTGCCCAATTTGCACATTCACCTGCACACACACAAACACACACATACACGCATACACACACAAACACACAGAGGCCAGCTTTCAGAGCCTGTCTGAAATTGTCAGATGTATCTTTCGGGTGCCTGGCCCTGCAGGGAATGAGTGTGAGTGTGGGTCCCCTGTCCCCTCAGCACCTGCAGTCCACAGAGCACACAGGACCCTTAGGGAGCAGGGAGAATGTGCATGGACCCCTCAACCGCAGCTCTGGGTCAGTGCGAGCCCTGGAGGCATCAGCCTCAGAGAGAGCACAGAGCAGCAACCTTCTCCCCTCAGGGTGGAGGGGCTGGCCCAGCAGTGGACAGAGAACAGAACTGTGAAAGGAGGTGGATAAGGGAGGTCTCGACCTGATGCTTCTAGGTCCAAGCTGCCACCTAACCTGGGGGAGGAAGGCCAGGAACCACACTCAGCCCCACCCACACTTCCCTGGCACAATGAAAGCACAGCCCATATACATAGCCTCCTTCTCCTCTCTGAAATCAGAGAGGCAGAGAGAACAGCTCGGCCTCACACAGCTCAGGCTAGAACCCAGTATTCCACCACCTCAGTCTTATCCTCACCCATGTCAGAGGTACAGACTAATGTAACTCACCCAGAAGGCAAGTCACACTCGAGGTCAGGATCCTAATACCCAGAAGGGTATTGGGAGACCCAGAAGGGTATTGGGAGGTACTTTTCATCTGCTTGATGTGATGAACGGTCCAGGGAGGGCAAGTGAGCGAAGCCCTCCAACCCAAGCACAAGGGCTCTTTCTGTGCTCTTTCTGTGTGCCTCCTGTCCTAAGTAATATGATGCCAGGACAAGAATCCAGTTGCTCCGGAAGAGACTGACTCCTGATTCCTGCGCTTCTCATCTTCACCTAACATCTTGGAAGTTGGCCCCCGGGCATCTGTCTGTACTTGGAATCGCTCATGCACACCAAAACACATTCACATTTCTTATCCCTCTGTCCTCACCACAGCCTGGGACAGTGGCAGGGTGGGGGTGGAGAAGGTGATCACGTTCACTGAGCCCTCCGTGTGCCAGTCGAGCTGCCAGTGTGCTCTCGGGAGGAGAGTGTCATTATGCCCTTGTTTAAAAGACAAGGTCTGGGGTCCTAACACAACTTGGTATCCTGAGTGTTCCTAAATAAATGGGATTGGAAAGGTGTGAAATAACAATCCTAAAGCCACACCAATAGCAAATGGCGGAGCCACGACTAGAATTCAGGTGTTTTCCACAACCTCTGTCCCCCACAGATTCCTGGGCAGGCAGACCGTGCCAACTCCTCTTCTCAGTTCAACCAGGTGCTTTAGGTACCATAATTTTAAGTGGACAAATGGTTTCATGCTTAAACACTGCCAGATCCTCTCCATGAGATGCACATGTGTACACACATACATGCACACACACTCACACACACACATGCACATGGGCACAGGCACACTGTTGGGAGACTTAAATGACACCTCTTAAATCCAGGAGGATCAGCCTCTTGGATTTAAGCTCGAGTCTCTGCTGAGCTTGGACCCTATGCGACCTGAGGGCTCCCAAGTCCTTCCAGAGCAGGACTGTGGTGCCTTGTCCTAAGAGACCCTGTCTCTGAATAGAAAGTAAGACACCCGCCTCCTGTCAGCAACATCAGGACACAAAGCCCGGACTCACAGGCAGGCTGTATGTGGCTGTGTCTGAGTGTGCCTGGGCATTGTATTATAATATTTCTTCCAAGGGCCTTCTTTCCATCCTCTTATTCAAGCAGATGGAAATGGCTCCTCCACCCAGGCCTGCCTCTGATAAGCCTCCGAGCGGGAGAAGCAGAACTGAGCCTCTTATCAGTCAGCTGCAGGGGTACCTGGTGGGCCTGTGCTGGGTGGCCTGGTGTTGATAAAATGGGCTTGGGCCAGCCGCTCACCAGCTTCTCCCTCAGACCCATCCCCAGGCCCCAACCTCTTAGAAATGGGAGCAGTGAGACCCAGAAAACTTCCTTACTTTCTGAGATACCAAAGCAAGGCAGGCTTCTGGGGGCTATGGGCAACAGGAAGGACCTGATGGGAAACAAGTGGGGGGGGAATACAGGCTCGGCAAGGCCGCGGGTGGAGAAAGGGGCACTAGAGAGGCCCTCGAGCCCTGAATGTGGTGGTGGGAGCTGGTGCCTCCCACAGGTGTGACAGGATTTTGCGTGTGCTGAGAATTCCCTGTGAGGCAGACTCTACTGCTCCCATGTGACGGCACTGAGCCTCAGAGAAGATGGAAGCCTTTTTTTAAGTGTTTTGTTCATTTAAGGTATGATGTGGTGTGGTCGGGTTGGAAGCCAGATCTGCTGGTGCCGAAAGCCCAAGCACCTTGCTCCTTCCTGGGAGCTCTGGCTGGAGGGGTTCACCCCTCCGAATCCCACCCCTGCCACACACACACACCCTGTTTGAGACAGCACATTTTACCTTCAGAAGTTAACTTTTTTCCTCAGCTTCTGTTACTGTTAACCCCCCAACACATTTGGTGAGTTCAAACGGAGGCTGGCATGCAATATTTGGGACATACTTGTATTCAAACAATTTTCATTTTTTATCTGAAAGTCAGATTTCACTGGCTTCCTGTATTGTGTCTGGCAGCTGTGGTAGAAAAGGACCTGAACATGGGTGTTTCTGAAAGGGTCCCAGATGATTCCAAGGTGCAGCCATAGCTGAGTGCCCAGGGTGAGTGGCTCCTGCTGAGCACACCCACCTGCTGCAGCCCTACCAGGCCCCGCCACAAAGCCCAGGGTGGACGGACCCTTCGTCATCAGAAACATCCTCCAAGGGGCTTTCCCAGATTCCCTTCCCATCCTTTGCATCCATCTCGTGGATTCCTCCCACAATGAACAGAAATCTATTTTGTATGTAAATGTAGAATCTGAGACACATCTTAATTTTTAATACTTTACTGTAATTGTGGAAGTGATTCAATAACGGGGCATGTGGAAACATAGAATAATAAATAATTATTCATAACCCTCCTACATCTCCCATCACACTGATGTTCCCTTCATTCGCTTCTACTCACACTCCTGCTTAAACCCCAAATTCTCAGACCGCCAGCCTCTCCTGCAGCTCCTACCTCATACCCAGACCCTTGTCTCTGTCCATCATCCACTCCTGTGAGCCTCTCATTGTGTCATCCTGATTCTTTCTCAGTAGCTTCAAAGTGCTATTCTAAACAATGGGCTCTCCTTTCCATCCCTACCCTGCTTCAAAACTCTAGAGAATCCCCTTCTCTATGACCTCTTCACCTGTCGTGGCTGTTCGTCACTACCCGAGAAAACGCAGACTTCTTAGTCTGATCTTCAGGATCCTTCATTGCCCTTTCCTCACCCAAGCAGGTGAGTAATAAAATTTATTAGTGATATTCACCGTAGTAGTGATGGTGGAAGAAGTAATAAGACAAGGAAAAGAAAAAGAGAAAAATAAGCTAATGATATGTACTGGGTTTAGCCATTTATATTCTTTCATTTTTTCCCACCTAAAACCACAGAGTTTATACTTCCCAAAACAACTCAGAAGTAGTTATGTTAAATGTGTAAAGAAAAATTAATGCATTTGTTTCATTATGAAACCATCTATACTTGAAAATGATACAATTATTTGAAATCTGTACAACCTGGCTTCTTCCAGCTGTGCTGTGAGCCCTCCACACAACCTGGCTTCTCTAGGAGCCTCTAATCCTGATTGAAGAAACAGATCCACCCCTGTAACTGCCTCATGTCTTTTTGGGTAACTGCTTTCACTCTGTTACTTGGTTTGCTTAAGCAAAGGTTTCTTGCCTTTATCAAGGAAATTAGCACACCAGTCTGACAGAAGAGTAGATTGTGTTTGTGCTTACCCTTCTTCTCCTAAAATTAAGTGTTAGCTTTCAAACTTGCTTTTGAAGTGCTAAGAACCCTGATGATAAATGATGAACAAAGCCTCCTGTTTACATTAGAAGCATCAAAACAGCAGGACTGGGCCAATTCACCCATTCCTGTTGATCATTAGACATTAACTGGTTGTCCAACTTCAACCACATCAACTACAAAATCCTGAAGTGAAACAAAGTCTAAGTTAGTTGACTTTTCTTTGATTAGTCTCTAGTGCATTTATCACTTTCTATGAAAGAAGCATCTAATTTAGATGGCAGTTGATTTGTGTCATGGGATTTCTTCTGACAGGAGGCAGAGTTATGTATGTGTTTATGGCTTCTTTGCCTTTAAAAGATTAATGTTGGGCAAATATAAATCACAAGACCTGGATAGGGGGCTGGGAAGATGGAGCAGGAGCTTGCCAGGGTGATGGATTGAGACGTATTTTAGAGGATTTTCATTGCTAGAAAAACACTGGGAAGATGTGGCAGAGGGGTGGTGGGGCAGGGACAGTGAAGAGAGATGGCTTTTTCTCCCTAAGCACAGAGAAAGGACAGGATGGGCACTTGAGCCAGGGCAGGTGGCTTTCTGGCTCTGTTTCAGAAGCAAAATGAAATTGAATTGGTAACTTCCTGAAGCTTCTTTCCTGCCCTGATACCCAGAAGACAGGATTGGAGGACAAAGGAGGGTTCACAGCACAGCTGGAAGTGCTCAAGGTACCCAGCTGCTCCAGGAGATAAAGTACTCCCTGCCTGCCCCAGTCACAGGAACTGGCCCCTGAAGCCAGGCTGCCACACCCTATCTTCCCATAGACCAAGTCTAGGCTTCTGTCCCCTGAGGCTGTGTGTGTGTGTCAGTGTGTGTGCATGTTTGTGTGTGCACCTGTCTGTGCATATGTGGAAAAGTGTGAGAGGAATGTGCATGAGAGTGTGTGTGTGCATGTGTGCCTGTGTGTGCATATGTGGGAGAGTGTGTGTAAGAGTATATGTGTATAAGTGTGTGAGTGCATGTGAGAGTGTGTGAGTGTGTTAGAGTGTGTGAGTGTGTGTGAGAATGTGTGTGATAGTGTGTAAGAAAGAATGTGTGTGTGAGTGTGAGAGAATGAGTAGGAGTGTGAGTGTGTTTATTAGTGTGTTAGAGTGTGTAAGTGTGTGAGAGAATGTGAGAGAGTAGGAGTGTGTGTGTATAAGAGTGTGACAGTGTGTGTGTGAGCACGTGTGAGTCTGAGTGTGTGTATGAGAGTGTGTGTGAGTCTGTGTGTGTGTGAGTCTGTGTGTATGTGAGTGTGTGTATGTGAGTGTATGTGTGTGAGTGTGTGAGTGTGTATGTTCATCCTTAAATATATGAGGACAATAAGAATAGCTCCCATGTGCCGGGCAACACCCCGAGAGCCACACTCAGTGCTGCTTTGTATGTGTTGCCTGCCGTAATCCTTCGCTAGGGATGAGCACACGAGGGTCCGGGAGGGGTGCTTGGAGTTGGGACCCAGAGCACCAGGACTTACTGTCAAATCTCTCTGGCACCAAAACGCATGCTCCCTATGCCACCTATCAGGATGCACCCTTAAAGCACTTTTAAGATGCTTTTTGGAAAGAGCCATTTGTTGGTGTGCATTTGTCTTCACCACTGCCCCAAACATAGCTGTCCAATATTCAGGTGAAAATGTCCCCCATCGGCCGGGTGCAGCGGCTCACGCCTGTAATCCCAGCACTTTGGGAGGCCAAGGTGGGCGGATCACGAGGTCAGGAGATCAAGACCATCCTGGCTAACACGGTGAAACCCCTTCTCTACTAAAAATACAAGAAAATTAGCCGGCCCTGGTGGCACGCACCTGTAATCCCAGCTACTCAGGAGGCTGAGGCAGGAGAATCACTTGAACCCAGGAGGCGGAGCTTGCAGTGAGCCGAGATGGCACCACTGCACTCCAGCCTGGGCCACAGACCAAGACTCCATCTCAAAAAAGGAAAGGAAAGGAAAGAGGAAAGAAAGAAAAGAAAAGAAAGAAAAAAATAAATGCCCCCCTTCTTTCCAACAGGCTTTCAAATGCGAGTCTGACATAAAAGACAGATCACAGCATCACCAACAGCAATGGCTAAGATGTACAGTGTATACACTACCCACAACCTTCACAGGCATCCTTTCCTGCGAGCCTGGTCACCACCCTCTGCTGCAGGCTCCCTCCCCATCCCACTGAGCCTGTGTGCCTCTGGCTCATACAGAGCCAGTGTGCCTCTGGCCGGCCTGAGTAGGGAGAATGCAGTGGCCTTTCCTGAACCCTTGAGTTCTCACGGAGCCCTCTCTGGCTAGGGAGGAGGAGAAGCCTTCTAGGGAATGAGGAGAAGCGGCCCCCTGCATCCTGCTCCTGCACTTTTCCTTCCTTCCAGCATCCTTCACCACTGCATCTCCACCCTTTGTGCCCATAAACTGTGGGTCCTGTTGTCTCTGGGCCACTTTGGCCTCCCCTTCCTCAGCACATCTCCTGGGGAAGCACGGCTATCTGCCTTGGGATGTAGCCACGAACCTCCTCCTTGGAGCCAATCCTCCTGAATGTTTGAACTGAGTTTCCAGGCAGCAGAATGTTCCCTCCTGCCTCCTGCCGCCCCTGCGGTCCTGCCCACTCCCCACACGGGCTCTGCTGCTCCTGCCTGTCAAACCCGGTGGAGGAAGGAGAAAAACACTTTCCACATCCTGTTAACCAACTGATGAGCCTTCTGGAAACCCAATAACAAAGCGTACCTAACTAAATCATCATTATTTACACATGCAGCCCAATCGAGGACATTTAGTCATGTAATTAAGTACCTAATTATGCTGAAAATGCAATTATATGATTTTTTAAATGAATTAAGTCCTCCAGAGAAGTGGTAAAGATTAGCACGCAGCATCTGTCTGGGGAGCAGGTACCTCGAAGGGCACCCAAATGTGACACCAAGCTGCACAGGGGCCAAATGGTCTGAACCCAGATCACATGTGTGAGCACACACGGGCCCACACAGGCTCACATGCAGAGGATGCCAGCTTCACCTCTGTGTCTCCAGGACTCTACAAAGGTCTGGTGCACACCAGGAACTTGATAAATGACAGTCATTAATGTCATTGGAAGCATAGTATACATCTATGGAGTGACTATTGAGCGACTTAGAGAATCTTAGGAAGGTTATTTATCCAGCATCTGAGAGGCAGGTGTGTAGAGAAAGAAAAAAAAATTGAGAGAAGGATCAGCCAGGATATGTCAGAGGATATTTTAAGCAACATCACTCATTCATTCAGATGCTAAAGCAAAAAAACACAGTCAGTGTCTTCTAGGAGCTCAAAAATTAGTGCAGAGTTGGCTGGGCCTGGTGGCTGACACCTGTAATACAAGCGCTTTGGGAGGCCGAGGCGGGTGGATCACCTGAGGTCGGGTGTTTGAGACCAGCCTGACCAACAAGGAGAAACCCCGTCTCTAAAAACACAAAATTTGCCAGGTGTGGTGGTGCATACCTGTAATCTCAACTACTCCGGAGGCTGAGGCAGGAGAATCGCTTCAATCCAGGAGGCGGAGGTTGCAGTGAGCCGAGATCGTGCCACTGCCCTCCAGCCTGGGCAACAAGAGTGAAAAATCCATCTAAAAAAAAATTAATTCAGAGACAGAAAAAGCATCTTAATGGTGATATGAACAGGTTGTTCAGCAAACTACAACTTGTGGGCCAAATGCAACCTGTGGCCTGTTTTTGTACAGTCAGGTAAGCTAACAATGATTTTTACCTCTTTACGGTGTTTCCTCACTTCCATCCCATGCAACTCAGGTTCCGAGGCCATAGTATTAATCACTCACTGTACATGCACAACTCCAGTGGGGGGTCCAGAGTGATCATTGCATCCAGGAGCCAAATCTCATATTTCTTTATAAATATTGAAACAAAACTGTGGAGCCAAATTGTTAATGAAAGAAAGATTCATTATATCTTGGAAAAGGAAGCCAATGATGTGAATAAGGATGAAGAGGTTGAAGATGGTCACAGGAATTGTCAGAGGAGGAGATGGAGAAAGATGAGGCCAAGAGGGGAAACTGAGTCTACACACTTCAGTGTAGGGTTTCCCTCCATGAGCCCAAAATCCAAGGGACAACCCGGAGCCTCCCCTCAAATAATCCTGGCAGCGGACTCTCAATGAGCATAGGAAGTGAGAGGAACCTTTCCAGTGTCTCTAGGAAACCGTTCACACTGGAGACCCCTGAGAGGACAGCTGAGTAACACACCAATAACAAACTCAGGGAGCTCGAGAAGCAAAGTCTGTGGCCAGCGGCCCTGTGATTCCAAATGCCCAGCCTCTGACCTGCTCCCTGAGAGGTCAGAACTTCCCTTCATTTCCACCTGCAGAAGCAAGGGACTGGGGGTGAACCATGGACTGAAGCCACAGCGCACATTTCTCAGTGTGCAATTGCAGCCCAGGGAAAGGGTGAAAGGAGCAGTGGTCACTGAATGTACTGTCTCTTTTCCACAACATGCATGTCTTTCTTGAAAATGAAAATGACTACTTGGAGCATCTCCTAACCAGGTTAGGCAAAGGATGTGTGGACACGAGACTCAGAGGGCCATTCAGAGAGGGTGGTCATGGTCCTACTATCCAACAACAGCCTGACGCCTGCTCACGGGAGACACCGCCAAGCAGGTGCAGGCATCCAGTGGGAACCTGGAGCAAGGCGGGCAGGTCAGGGCGGCGGGAAGGGACCTTAACAGACCTTCTAGTCGGCGACTTTGAAGATTCTTCAAGACAATAGCCAGTTCTGAAGATTCATCCCCGTTTCTTCACTGTAAAAATAACACGTTTTTTGTAGATGACTTGGAAAATACAGACAGCCATATGTTAGAAGTAAACAAAACCACTCCTAACCCGTCTACTTCTTAAAAGCCGGTACTTAACATTTGAAGCGTATTTCTTTTCATCGCTTTGTTTTAAGGTTTTTGTGGAATATTTTTCATCATTTCTATTTAGAGGGTCCCGTTTTCTTCACTTAACATCAATACCCTAAGCATTTCTTCCTGTTGCTAAGTTCACGTGCACCCCTTCCCTAACTGCATAATACTGGGTCATATGGGGGTATCATAATTGACATAACCAATGCCCAAATATGGAACATTTAGATTGCTCTCTCTCTTCAATTTTTCATTTTAGACTGCATTACCATCTACTTTCCCGAGCACGGACTTTTGTTCCTGTTCCAGATTGTTTCTCTAGGATCAATTCCTAGAAGTGGATTGCTTGATTCTCAGGGTGATACATATGCCAAATAGTATACCAGAGTATTGAAGGTACTTGTTTCTAGGAATCCCACTTTGACATATCGACGATGAGAATAATTAATATTCAAATAGCCTGACCTATGTCAGGCACTGTGTACCACAAACTAGCTTACAATGGGGCTACACTGTTGTGCCACCGGGTTTTACATGTGAAGAAACCATGGTTTGCAGTGAGCCAAGATTGCGCCATTGCACTCCAGCCTGGGCAACAGAGCAAAAACTTCATCCAAAAAAAAAAAAAAAAGAAAGAAAGAAAGAAAAGAAAAGAAAGAAAAGCTACATAGCATTCCTCAAAATGGTCTGGCCATGAGTATCGTCACTGAGGGGCCACTCCCTCACCTGTCTGCGCCATGCCTGGCAAGTGTGCTGACTTCACAGCAGGGCGGCCAGATGCCTGGCCCTGAGCCTGGCAGATGGGTGACCCCAGGAGCATGGTGCGCAGGATTGCACACCCTCACCCTCCTCAGGGAGGTGTCTGGGTGGAGCTGGGACTGGAAATAGGTGTGTCCAGGGTGTTCTGCGCTCCAGCCACCTCCGGTGGAGCTTGGAGCTGGCAAGTCAAGCAGATGCTGATTGGGATACACGGGCCTTCCTGGCTCCTCAGAACACCTGCACACAGCCATTTTCTTTGCCATTTTGGTACCCCAAACACCTATTTTTGGAGAAGCATTTCCCTGCTGCCTCACTGGAGCTCAGCTATCCTTAAATCAATCAGCAGTGGTCTGGTAGGTGGATCAGCTGGGAACACATGCTTAATTTCCCAACAACAAGGCCAAGGAGACTGCAGTCTCAGGAGCTATGGAGCAGAAGGGTGTGTGCATGGACCAGACCCCGGCACAAGGGCCCCAAATCCCTGAACCCAGCACCAGGCATGGGGGTAGACAGGGGACACGCAGAAGGAATAGATTCTCCGAGTCCTCCACTGTGCCCGGTCCTCATCTCTGTCAGGGTGGGGTTCTTGAGAGCCTGGTTGCCGCTCACTCTCAGATGGTATCTCCCGCTTCTCCCCTCAGCTTCAGTTCCCTCTTAAGGACTCTGTTCTCCTTCCACTTCCGCTGTGAAGATCCCTCAGCGTGATGAAGATGCAGGGGCAAGTCAGAGGTTACACAGTGGGGGCTGCCCTGCTAGTGTGCTGAAGCCACGCCAACTGTTCAGGGCAGCTTTCTGCTTCCAGGAAGAACACATTGACCTGGCTCCTTTCAACAGTCTGGGCGTTGTCTTAAGCCTGAGCTTCTTCAGTTGCCTGCTGACCCCAGACACCCCCTCCAGTCCCTACCCATCTCCAGCAGCCAGATGCTGACCAAGCCCCAGGAGCTTCCCAGACGTAAGAGCCACTAGAATCGCCTCCTCCCCACTCTTCCTGCCTCTTTCAAATTTGATTTCCCTAGAAATCTTCCGGCAGGGTGTGTCTGCTGGGGGTCAGGCTGGGGGAATTGTGGTTCTGCTTTCCTTCAGTCTATGCCATGAGTAAAGAAGGATATTTGTGAACAGGTGAGATGGCTCATGCCTGTAATCCCAACACTTTGGGAGGCCAAGGCGGGCGGATCATGTGAAGTCAGGAGTTCGAGACCAGCCTGGGCAACATGGCGAAAAACCCATCTCTACTGAAAATACAAAAATTAGCCAGACATGGTGGCAAGTGCCTGTAATCCCAGCTACTCGGGAGGCTGAGGCAGGGAGAATCACTTGAACCTGGGGGGCAGAGGTTGCAGTGAGTCTAGGTCACGCCATTGCACTCCAGCCTGGGCAACAGAGCGAGACTCTGTCTCAAAAAAAAAAGGATATTTGCTGCTTTCCTGATAAACTACAAATGCTGCACCATCCACAGCTGACAAAGTCCTCTCCCCAGTGGTGGACAAGGGCAACTCCACCTTGCTCAGCCAGCTTTTATCCCCAGATTCTTCCTCCTTCAGAGTGCCTTGCTGATTTCTGCTGTTGTCAGGATCCTGGACTTTGGAGACGATGGTTCCACTTTTTCATACTCTCGCCTCACAAGGGAGAAAAAGCACTCTTTCCTTTTACTTAGATGTCATAGCTCAACTGAGGCAGATTGGTTATGGTGTTGAAGTAAGGTTCTGTTTAAATTTTTTTTCTAAGGCTCAGGGCGAGTAACAGGGAAATCTATACAGAGGAAACCCTGGAACCAGACATTTCAAGTTCTAAGTCACGGCAGCCTCACTTTCTTTCCAGTTCCCCTCCTGGGAGTACATCCCAAAAGCAAGTGACTAGGTATGAAAAGTTATCCAGCAAGACTCCAAGATGTACATAAGGAAGAGATGTCCTTTCCTGACTCTGCCTTCTGAGTGTTGAGCCTCTGCTTCATCCCAATTTACTGACATAGGAATGACTGTCTTCTCCAGGGCAGAGAGGCCACATCTCCTCCCCCCTCACCTTTGCAGGCCTCTACACTTCCATCCAGATGGTGCAGTGCAGCCTGCGTGGGTCCAATTCTGTCATCGATGTGGTGTTTTGATACCGCAGCAGCAGATAAGACCGGATAAGGGTTAGGAGGAGGAAAGCACTGCTGATCATCTTATAGAGTGTCAAAGCAGTACAGCTAAATTGCACAGCACCTTGGCAGCCTTGGGGATTGTTGGGGGACTGTTGTAAGGTCACCCATACAGACCTTCAGGGCAATCATTTTGACCTTGAGACTTTCAGACACGTTCTGAACAGGCTGGTCAAGTTCACATCAACCTCACCTGTGTATTCCATCTGCAAGACCAGACGAATGCACATGTGCTTTATGCACAGATAGGAAGAGTGGCCATGCCTGAGAGTGACGGCAGATTGAAGCCCTCATAGCATACATCCAGCAGGTCCCTGGAGCCCATGGTGATCAGGCATCCAGGGAAGCTCTCCACCCAACCCAGAGGCTTACTGACCACTCTATCATCATGGCCTTCCCTTCATGTATCCCTCCCACCACCATGCCCACTACCACACTGGCATTGCCCACCCACTATCTCAGAAGGACAGACTTGGGGCCACCTCTTCAGGAAGCCTTTCCTGAGGATACTGGAGATCTATGGGTTCCAACAGAGAGCAACCTTTTCCCAACTTACCCACATGCATTTGTCCTTGTCGGTTACACAGCGTGCTCCTGATGGCAGGGACTTGGCCTTAACGGTGGAGCATATGGCTGGAGCGTAGAAGGTGCTACAAAAGGTTTGCTGAAGGAAAGAATGAACCGGCACAATTATGAGCATCCCCATTGCCATAGAATCCTAGAGTCCTGGGGCTCAGTCTCACAGTTGTGTCTCCACAAGTCTCCCTAGCACCTCGTCAATGCTCATTTTGACGCTTCATCACATAGAGACTGTGGGCAGTCTGACTTTTGCACCTCCCCAGCCAAGTCATATGCTTCAGGGGGACGCGCACCATATTCTCCTCTCCCCTGTAACTCTGTGGCTGAATAAATGCTAACTGCTTAGCCAACACTGGCTGGCTTCTAGGAGAAATGGATGCGTGGGTAATAAGCTATTCATTTATTTCTTGGGGGCACTTTATTCTGAGACCCTACAGCCTGTACACTGCGTCTTTTCCGGAAGCAATGATAGCCAGCCATCAAGGGCAAGTAAACGCATTTGACCTTTCCTACCAAAAAGAAAAGTTAGTTAATGTACTTCAACTCTCATCTGATTTCTGCTTCACTTGTGCAAGGATGCTCAGGAATCTAGAGTAGGAAGAAAAACCACAGTGCTAGCTGAGAAGCACTTACCATGTCCCCAAAGGTTACTGTTCCTTCCCCCATTGCTGTCTGGCTCTTGAACCCCAAATCAGATTTGCACAAAGCCTTTCTGCTTCAGAGTGCTTGTTAAATTGACTTTTCTTTCTTTCTTTTTTTTTTTTGAGAGGGATTCTCACTCTGTCGCCCAGGTTGGAGTGCAATGATGCAATCTCAGCTCACTACAACCTCCACCTCCCAGGTTCAAGTGATTCTCCTGCCTTAGCCTCCTGAGTAGCTGGGATTACAGGCACCCGCCAGCATGCCCAACTAATTTTTGTATTTTTAGTAGAGATGGAATTTCACCATGTTGGTCAGGCTGGTCTTGAACTCCTGACCTCAGGTGTTCCACCCACCTCAGCCTCCCAAAGTTGGGATTACAGGCATGAGCCACTGCACCCGGCCTGGTAAATTGACTTTTCTAACCAGGCTTGTAGGTTCCTCGCAATTGAACACTCCAGGTAACTGCCACAGCACCTGGCCAACTGTCAAGCAGTCAACGTTGCTGTTGCTGCTGCATCACTGTCATCAACAAGGTTTGTCATTGCAGGAAGTCTCCAAGGACCCCCATGAAACACCTGCATTTCCTGTCATGATTTTGAGGCTGAAATCATCTTCCTCCTCCCAGAACACCTAGGTGTTCTAGTCTGAAGCCATCCTCACTCTCAACTCCCCTCCTTCGAGCCCTCACCCTGTGCCTGAATTCTTCCTTCTTTGCTGGGACAGATGGACAGGAGGAAGACAGGAAGTGGGGAACCCCTTCAACAACTCCTATGGCAGAGGGGAGCCATAGGAGATGGGCCGGGAAATGTAAAGACCAGCCCACGCAGGAAAAAAAGAGAACTTTTTAGCACAGTGTCATCTGAAAATGCAAGAGAAGAGAGGCTCTTGGTGGCAACAGAGGAGTGTGACTTCCAGCCTCAGGGCTAGCACCTGACCCCTGCTCTCCGTCCACATCTGAAAAATACCACTGGCCCTGAGAATCCATTGCAACTGAGGTTCTGCACCCCAACAGCTGCACTCAAGCTGCCAACTGAAGCAGAGAGCACTGCCCGCACTGCAGGGTTGTGCCTGTGTGCCCCGCTGCCTCCAGGGGTGGCTGCCTTCTGCCAGAGAATGGACAGCTGACATCCTGAGGACATAGAGAGTTAGTAGGAATGACTGTAGCCAATGGCAAATCCCATGGATGAAAAGCCACTCCCAACTCCACAAAGATGAGCATAGTGAAGGCTGCAGTTTAGTTGGTTCGTGGTTCCCCAGAAGGCTTTCAAACATTCAGCAGTTGTCATTCAGTGCCAGGCACCCAGTCTAATGCTGAGTATAGAGTTGTGAGCAAGACAAGCCTGAACGTGTGGAGCTTCCTGTCTGGTAGGGTGTTGCAGGGGGCCGGGGGGACCTTGCAACCTGGAGGAGGGCTGGGAAGAAAAAAAGTAGGATGCTTGGGTCTTTCCAAAAAATAGGTCCTCTCATGTCTGTCCAATCGTTGTGCTGGGTAATTGTCTATTTCTGATACCAGACCCAAGCTTGGCCGTAATCAACACCTTATTCTGCCATGAACCCACCCCCAAGGCTGCCCGCAGATCACCCCCATCCTAGTTGCTGAGCTCAGCATGATCCTAATCTCAACCTCAGAAGTATCCCTCAGCTCCAGCAAGGGGCAGGCTTTCATTCCAGGCCCCTTAAGCTGGATGCAGACCAACCACCTACTTTCTGGGCTGGATCTGAGCTCACTCAGCCAGTCTTCTCCAAAGACCTGATATCACTGCTGCTAGCTGAATGGGTACAGTGTAAGGGAGTGCGCCAAGGGGGGCTCTCACCCCTCCATCTCCAGAGGCTTCCGGAGCCTTGGAGCCGTGGATGGCAAGCAGACACTGGGGAGAAAGCTGAGAAGTGGGGAGAGCTGCCTTAGATGCTGAGCTCTCTGCCTGGAATGCTTATAGGCTTTGTGCAGCAAACTCCTATTTGCCCTTAAAGGACTAATCCTGATGTCACCGCTTCTGGAAGCCCTCTTTACACCAGCACTTCCCAGCCTACAGCATGAATCAGAATCTACTATAGTAATTACTGGGTCCCAGTCCTAGTGTTTTTCTTCAGTAGGTCTGGGCTGGGGCCTGAGAATTTCTATTTCTAACAGGCTCCCAGAGGATGCTGTGTATCCAGAGACTATGCTTTGAGAATTGCTGTCTCACAGCATCCACACCTTCCCAGACAGCCTTGAGCTTCCTCTCTATGCTGATTCTGATCTATCAATATAGGGCAGCTCTGGTTGGGCTGAAATGTCACTCCCCTGGAGTCTGTCACATTGTGAAACATGTGTAAATTCAGCTCCACACACTTGGTGGGGTGGGGGGCATGGAGAGAGTAGTTCCAGCTGAGGGAACTTTCCTGCCCACCACGCTCCTCAGAGGGCATGAGCTTGGAGGGAGCCCACATTGGGAGGCCCAGCTGGCAATCCCAATGGTCTCCCAATGAGGCCCCGAAGCTCTCAGGTCCTACCTCCCCTCCCAGCCTGGCTGCCCTGCTGGAAGTGTGTGTAGTCTCCCAGTATACAGATTTGAGTACAAGGTCCCTAACCAGAAGCCAAGAAATGCACCCCAAGTTGTTCAAGCCAAATATCTCACCTGGAAACCAGCTTACCAAGGCTCTACACTTTGCAGTGCCCTGTAAGGCTAAACACACTGACTCAAGGCTGCCAGGGCTTCAAATGATTGACTTCTGACTCTCAAGGTACAAGCCGGGGAAAATAACACTTTTCTGGGACGCAGCTGCCAAATCTGGAAAATGGGGCTAATAATAACTCCTATCGAATGGAAATGTTGCAAGGTCTGAGTTAAAATACATTAAATGTTGAGAGCAGCACCTGGCATTTAGTATGAAATTATTAACTGTTTTAAAGGAAGGGAAAATAACAGTCCCTTCTAACCCTGATTGTGTTGGACAAACTGTCATAAGAAATGCTGGTCTTTACCTGGAAAATTTCTAAGGGCAGTTCTGGGTATTTGAGCTTCTATAACCATCCATGCCTACTTAAGCAAGATGTTATTCTTTCTTTCCGAACTTTGAGGTGCATAGTGGTTAGAAAAGTCTAGAACTCCACCACTAAATCCATTCATTTATACATGCATGCATTTACTCATGCATTCAGTGAATATTTATTGAGTACCTACTATGAGCTAGATACTAAATTGGAGGCTGCACTTGTTCACTGTAATAAAGTCTAGCACCCACTTGAACTTGCTATGGCTCCTGCTTCAGGTCTTGCTACTGAGAAGCACTGTGAATGCTGGATCCTCTACCCTGCCTGGTTCCTGGTTCCCAAGGTGCTGACTCCAGACCCAGAGTTCACTGGGTCTCTTGGCGGCCTCAGTGCCTTGTATTATCTTCTTCCCCACCTCCAAGCTCCTTGGTGGCCCCAGACACCACTAGCTTGGCCCACCTGCTTCCTGCTGTGGACCCCTAGCTGGGAGTCTGTTTTCCCCTCACCCACTATGACTCCTGACTCCAGCAGGCAGTTACTTATAAGAAAGAGGCATCTGGCAGCTGCACTGGGGAGAATGACCTCATAGCACTATAATTAAAGTGATCATCTGAGTGGAAATGACTATTATGAAGCATCCTTCTCTGTTTTATTATGTAGAGCCATTGTAATGGGAATACGGGATTTCCTATGTTAATGCTGATATTTCTGTGATCCAATAAATCCTTCTTCACAATCATCTCCCAGAGGAAAGAAGGCATTCTGTGCAGCAGCTCTAGGAAACATCAGGTCCCCAATGTCCTAGACATCCTACCCTCTTTGGCCAGGCCATTAAGCTGTGAAAAAACACACTCAGTAACTTGGATAATGTCATAGAGTGGTCCTTCCCACAGCAGAGTCAATGTAAAGACCTATGGGAGGGCTTCAGGAATGACTCCTCAGACAGGAGCCCTGGGAAGGGCTTCTCCAAGAGAGAAAGTGCACTCCAGAGGCAAGAGCACTGGCCAAGTCCTGACCTGATACCGGATGAGCTGTGTGATCATGGGCACATCACGTCTCTGAGCCTTGGTGTTCTTCCTGTGAGATGGGCCAATAACACCAGGCACCTCATAGGATGGATGTGAAGACTGCATGATAGAGTAGATAGAAGGCAGTTAAAGCAACACCTGGTGCTATGGTTTGGATGTGGTTTGACCCTGCAAAAGCTCATGTTGAAATTTGGTTCCCAAGGTGGCAGTGATGGGAGGTGGGACCTAGTGGGGGATAGTTGAGTCACAGGGGCAGATCCCTCATGCATACATTAATACCCCCTTGAGGGAGGGAGGGAGTTCTAGCTGTCGTGAGACTGGATTAGTCACTGGAGAGCAGGTTGTTATAAAAGCAAATTCAGCTTTCTAAACTCTCTTGCTTTCTATATCACCTTGTGGTCTCTTTGCGAATGTCAGATCCCCTTCTGCTTTTTGCCATGAGTGGGAGCAGTATGAGGCCCTCACCAGATGCAGCTGCCCAATTTGGACTTCCCAGCCACTAGAACTGTGAGCCAAACAAACCTCTCTTCTTTACAAATTACCCAAGTATTCAGCTATAGCAACTCAAATTGGACTGAGACACCTGGTGTGAGCATCAGACACTCCACAAACATTCTTTCTTAAACACAACAAGAGTCCCTGCCTTCATACACAGCACAGATATCTGTTGAGCATCTACCACATGCAGGCACCACTCTCAGTGGAGGCATACTGCAGAGAACTTAAATGGGCCTGGAGTGACCTGGTGGTTCAGGTTCAAACAGTTCCATCCCAGTCAGTGACCAAGCAGAACCTGGTTCCTGGTCTGTGCACCCCTGCTAGGAGTCGGTGGGTGCACCACACTGTCTCTGTCCACTTGAACCCATTCTCAGAGCTGCTCACACCTGAGCAAAGGATGCAGCTTGGGCCAAGGTGCTGCTAGGCATGGAGAGTCTTCCTCTCTGACCTCAGATTCTTGTCCTCTGTTCACAGAGCCTGATCCGGGGATGGCCTCTGCCTCCACCACAATGCATACTACCACCATTGCAGGTGAGTTCTCATCACAGAGCCTCACCATAATGGAAACTGCCGTGACTTCAGATGAGCTCTCATCACAGAGCCCTTTAAGCAGCCAGGGTTGGGGGACTTGGTGAAAACATCCAGGGGAGAACTGACCTAAGGACTTGGACAGGGGTGGCTGTGGCCATTTTTTCTCTCCCTCAGAGGTGGTTTTGAATGTGGAATGGAGGAGTCTACCCCTGGGTAAATAAATATACATAGGTATGTCATATGTATCTGTATTTATATTTATTGGCCTTTCTCAGGGCTGTTGACTCACAGGAACTCAGGAGCTGGAGAGGCAGCAGTTTTGGTGAGGGAGGTTGAGGGTGGAGGTGAGATGAGGGTAGACTGACCAGGCTACTTAGACTTCTCCACCGTCTCCCTCATCCCACATTATTTTCTTCCCTGGGTCCATGACCCCCAACCCTCCATCCTCAAGGAAACTTGAGCCTGCCTTTGCCTTGCTTTGAACCCTGAGCAACGGGCTCCCCATGGGTCATGGCTGTGACTGCAAACTGTGTTTGAAGAACAACCAAGTTTGGGAGGTGCTGTGTGCTCTGCGACCTTCTTTGAGATCCACACTTCTCAGCAGCTTATTAATAACTCAGGAAACATCTACAATTTGAAAAGAAAGAAAAAGCAGCAGAAGCAAGCAATCAAAGACACCTGTTGGACTCTGTGTAACCTGGCATTCTCCAACTCATTGCACCACTGAGCTTTTATTCTTCCTAGGTGATATTATTAACATTATGCAGATACAAGTGTTCCCCTGAAGGCAGTAGGAAGTTTAGGAAATTGTTCTATAAAGGTGGGACTTGGGAGCAGTTTCAGACTTTCCATATTCTTCAGCAGTCCCTCCCCAAGGCCTCCAAATAAACCTGCATTCTAAGAAAAGACAGAGGCTTGCTCTGCAGCTTCAAAGTAAATGCCCAAACTCAAAACACCCCCACCCCATGAGACTGCTGCCCCCTCACTCTCAAGGTCCTGAGTGATCTGACCCCTCCTGAGCAGCCTTACACTGTACTTCCCCACCCCTCTGGAGTCCCAGCAGAAGTGAGGGGTGACTGCCCCTCGCACAGCCAACACCTTGGCATTCTCTGCGTTACCCTCTCCCACTTCAGTCCTTTGTGTGGCCAAGTCCTGCTCCTCCTGCAGACTCACCCCAGTCCTCAATCGCCAGGAGGGAATGGGAGCAGGGTAGGCTGAGGAGCAGTCATCGGGCCATTGAAAAACACAAACCACACAACCTGCCCCAAGCACAGTTAATAGCCTCATTTTTCCCCCTGTATAGTGTACATACAGCAACCAGCTCTGCCCTGTTTTCTGGGACTTCCCTGGTTTTAGAATGAATAATCTCCAAGCAGTGTTCTTGCAACTGTTGCAAGGACCATGTTAAATTGCTTTAAATGTTGAGACCTGCACCTGGCACCTAGTAAGCGATTGTTAGTTGTTTTAAAGGAAGAGGAAATAACAGTC
The DNA here is from genome assembly GCF_000001405.40 of Homo sapiens. Lineage (NCBI taxonomy): Eukaryota > Metazoa > Chordata > Mammalia > Primates > Hominidae > Homo > Homo sapiens. The sequence continues at coordinate 126,691,800 of NC_000002.12, forward strand.
TCTTCTAACGCTGATTGTGTTGGACAAACTGTCCTAATAAATGCTGTCTTCACCTGGAAAATTTCTGAGGGCAGTTCTGGGTATTTGAGCTTCTATAACCATCCATGCCTACTTAAGCAAGGTGTTATTCTTTCTTTCTGAACTTTGAGGTGCTTGTTGATTGGAAAAGTCTAGAACCCCACCACTAAATCCATTCATTTATATATGCATGCATTTACTCATGCATTCAGTGAATATTTATTGAGTACCTACTATGTGCTAGATACTAAACTGGAGGCTGCACTTGTTCACTCTATATAATAAAGTCTAGCACCCACTTGAACTTGCTACGGCCCTTGCTTCAGGTCTTGCTACTGAGAAACACCGTGAATGCTGGATCCTATACCCTGCCTGGTTCCTGGCTCCCGAGACCCAGATCCTGAGCCAGTGTTCACTGGGTCCCTGGGCTGCCTCAGTGCCTTGTATTATCTTCTTCCCCACCTCCAAGCTCCTTGGTGGCCCCAGACACCCCTAGCTTGGCCCATCTGTGTCCTGCTGTGGACCCCTAGCTGGGAGTCTGTTTTCCCCTCACCCATTATGACTCCTGACTCCAGCAGGCAGTTACTTATAAGAAAGAGGCATCTGGCAGCTGCACTGGGGAGAATGACCTCATAGCACTATAATTAAAGTGATTATCTGAGTGGAAATGACTATTATGAAGCATCCTTCTCTGTTTTATTATGTAGAGCCATTGTAATGGGAACGTGGGATTTCCTATGTTAACACTGATATTTCTGTGATCCAATAAATCCTTCTTCACAATCATCTCCCAGAGGAGAGAAGGCATTCTGTGCAGCAGCTCTAGGAAACATCCCGGTCCCCAATGTCCTAGACATCCTACCCTCTTTGGCCAGGTCATTAAGCTGTGAAAAAACACACTCAGTAACTTGGATAGTGTCATAGAGTGGTCCTTCCCACAGCAGAGTCAATGTAAAGACCTATGGGAGGGCTTCAGGAATGACTCCTCAGACAGGAGCCCTGGGAAGGGCTTCTCCAAGAGAGAAAGTGCACTCCAGAGGCAAGAGCACTGGCCAAGTCCTGACCTGATATCGGATGAGCTGTGTGATCAAGGGCACATCACGTCTCTGAACCTTGGTGTTCTTCCTGTGAGATGGGCCATTAACACCAGGCACCTCATAGGATGGATGTGAAGACTGCATGATAGAGTAGATAGAAGGCAGTTAAAGCAACACCTGGTGCTATGGTTTGGATGTGGTTTGACCCTGCAAAAGCTCATGTTGAAATCTGATTCCCAAGGTGGCAGTGATGGGAGGTGGGACCTAGTGGGAGATATTTGAGTCACAGGGGCAGATCCCTCATGCATACATTAATACCCCCTTGAGGGAGGGAGGGAGTTCTAGCTGTCGTGAGACTGGATTAGTCACTGGAGAGCAGGTTGTTATAAAAGCAAATTCAGCTTTCTAAACTCTCTTGCTTTCTATATCACCTTGTGGTCTCTTTGCGAATGTCAGATCCCCTTCTGCTTTTTGCCATGAGTGGGAGTAGTATGAGGCCCTCACCAGATGCAGCTGCCCAATTTGGACTTCCCAGCCACTAGAACTGTGAGCCAAATAAACCTCTCTTCTTTATAAATTACCCAAGTATTCAGCTATAGCAACACAAAATGGACTGAGACACCTGGTGTGAGCATCAGACACTCCACAAACATTCTTTCTTAAACACAACAAGAGTCCCTGCCTTCATACACAGCACAGATATCTGTTGAGCATCTACCACGTGCAGCACCACTCTCAGTGCAGGCATTAGGCAGATAACTCAAATGGGCCTGGAGTGACCTGGTGGTTCAGGTTCAAACAGTTCCATCCCAGTCAGTGACCAAGCAGAACCTGGTTCCTGGTCTGTGCATCCCTGCTAGGAGCAGTGGGTGCGCCGCACTGCTCCTTTCCACTTGGACCCATTCTCAGAGCTGCTCACACCTGAGCAAAGGATGCAGCTTGGGCCAAGGTGCTGCTAGGCATGGAGAATCTTCCTCTCTGACCTCAGATTCTTGTCCTCTGTTCACAGAGCCTGATCCAGGGATGTCTGGATGGCCGGATGGCAGAATGGAGACCTCCACCCCCACCATAATGGACATTGTCGTCATTGCAGGTGAGCTCTCATCACAGAGCCCTTCAAGCAGCCAGGGTGGGGGGCCTTGGTGAAAACATCCAGGGGAGAACTGACCTAAGGACTTGGGCAGTGGTGGCTGTGGCCATTTTTTCTCTCCCTCAGAGGTGGTTTTGAATGTGGAATGGAGGAGTCTAGCCCTGGGTAAATATATATATACATGCATACATCGTACGTATCTATGTATGTATTTATTGGCCTTTCTCAGGGCTTTTGACTCACAGGAACTCAGGAGCTGGAGAGGCAGCAGTTTTGGTGAAGGAGGTTGAGGGTGGAGGTGAGATGAGGGTAGACTGACCAGGCTACTTAGACTTCTCCACCATCTCCCTCATCCCACATTATTTTCTGCCCTGGGTCCATGACCCTCAACCCTCCATCCTCAAGGAAACTTGATCCTGCCTTTGCCTTGCTTTGAACCCTGGGCAAGGGGCTCCCCATGGGTCATGGCTGTGACTGCAAACTGTGTTTGAAGAACAACCAAGTTTGGGAGGTGCTGTGTGCTCTGCGACCTTCTTTGAGATCCACACTTCTCAGCAGCTTATTAATAACTCAGGAAACATCTACAATTTGAAAAGAAAGAAAAAGCAGCAGAAGCAAGCAATCAAAGACACCTGTTGGACTCTGTGTAACCTGGCATTCTCCAACTCATTGCACCACTGAGCTTTTATTCTTCCTAGATGATATTATTAACATTATGCAGATACAAGTGTTCCCCTGAAGGCAGTAGGAAGTTTAGGAAATTGTTCTATAAAGGTGGGACTTGGGAGCAGTTTCAGACTTTCCATATTCTTCAGCAGTCCCTCCCCAAGGCCTCCAAATAAACCTGCATTCTAAGAAAAGACAGGCTTGCTCTGCAGCTTCAAAGTAAATGCCCAAACTCAAAACACCCCCACCCCATGAGACTGCTGCCCCCTCACTTTCAAGGTCCTGAGTGATCTGACCCCTCCTGAGCAGCTTCACACTGTACTTCCCCACCCCTCTGGAGTCCCAGCAGAAGTGAGGGGTGACCGCCCCTCGCACAGCCACCACCTTGGCATCCTCTGCATTACCCTCTCCCACTTCAGTCCTTTGTGTGGCCAAGTCCTGCTCCTCCAGCAGATTCGCCCCGTCCTCAGTCCCCAGGAGGGAATGGGAGCAGGGTAGGGTGAGGAGCAGCCATCAGGCCATTGAAAAACACAAACCACACAACCTTCCCCAAGCACAGTTAATAGCCTCATCTTTTTTCCCCCTGTATAGTGTACATAGAGCAACCAGCTCTGCCCTGTTTTCTGGGACTTTCCTGGTTTTAGAACGGAAAATCTCCAAACAAGGTTCAGTCCTGGGGTATGATTCTAACGTGTCTGCAGAGTGCTTAGAGTGGTTAGTAGCAGAACTGTGAGGAAGAAAAAGAAAAGGGAGGGAAGGAAGGAGAGGAGGGAAGAGGAAAGGAGAATCATTTTAGGAAGGCACAGGTTACAGTGCCACCACACAACAGGTTGGTGAAGCATGGGGAAGGAATGAACTGGCCTGTTTGGTGTTGGTACAGTTGTCTCCAGTGTACACGGTTCAACTTATGAGTTCTTGAGTTTGGAATGGCGTGAATGCAAAAGCATTCAGTAGAAACGGTACTTTGAATTTTGAACTTTGACCATTTCCCAGGCTGGCAATATATAGTATGATACACTATATTATAAAATAGTCTCTGGGTCAGATGATTTTGCATGACTTTAGGTTAATGTTAAGTGTTCTGAGCCTGCTTAAGGTAGGCTAGGCCAAGCTTCGATGCTCAGTAGGTTTGGAGTATTAAATGCATTTTTCATTTACAGTATTTTTAACTTATTATGGGCTTACAGGAACCTGGCTCCCATCATAAATCAAGGAGCATCTCTTTTGGTTGTGGCATTGTATCTGTCCTCACACAACCCCTGTGGGTCTTGACCACCATCCCAGGCCCCAGAGCCCCTGCCTCAGACTGACCCTTGCACCTCTTCCCACCTGCAGGTGTGATTGCTGCTGTGGCCATCGTCCTAGTCTCCCTCCTCTTCGTCATGCTGCGCTACATGTACCGGCACAAGGGCACGTACCACACCAATGAGGCCAAGGGCACGGAGTTTGCTGAGAGTGCAGATGCAGCCCTGCAGGGAGACCCTGCCCTCCAAGATGCTGGTGATAGCAGCAGAAAGGAGTACTTTATTTGAGGGACAACAGACTTCACTTCCCTGAATGCCTCCCCCATCTCCATCAGGAAAAATACACCCCATCGCCCAGCACCCCTGCTGATACCACCAGACAGAGAGAGAGAGCACTTGATTCTTCCCGAGATAGCCACCTGGAAACACTAGGTGCCTGCCCAGGGAGGAACGGAGGAGGACTCGCGCTACAAGAGGCCACTCCCAGGGACCCAGGGAGGCGATGGCCACCCCAGAGGCCACCTTTTGCTCCACGGAGGTGGGAGAAAATCTGGGCACATGGGGCCCCCTGGGCAGTGCAGGACAACATCAGCTCACTGGCAGGAAAGTCCTTGTTGAGGGTGAGGGGGTGCTGGGGTACCCGGGGGCTGGGGAAGCAAGGAAATAAGTCATCTGTATGCTGACTGGGGATAATGGCATCAAATGTCAGTCCTTGACATTTGGGGGGAACAGCAGGTGCCAGAGCTAAAAGGTACCTTTGTCTGCCATTGATCCAGCTCAGAACGATTGGAAATAAATTTGAAATGTAACCGAGCATTCCGAGTCCAACAGTATTACTGTAGTTATCTGGGGAAAGATAAACGCCACCCAGGGCTTGCTTTTCACCTGTGCAATATTATATTCTCTGACGGGGCCAGGACAGTTCATTTCTGGCTCTTGTGGGGGCCAGTTCCCAGAGAGCACAGCCAGTACAGGCGGCTCCCAAGCCTGCCAAGGGAGGAAGGACAAGTGACCAGCTTTCCTTTCCCTACAGGGGCACCAGCTGCAGGAAACAAAAGGAAGGGTGAAATGTCCCTCTAGAAATAGCCGTTCCCAGTGGCCAGGGCACTAGCTGAAGTGTTGATTTTCCAAGGTGCAGTATTAGAACAAATGGACCTGATCCAAAAATATGAGTGAGTCTTGTCCTTCCAATCACAGTGACCGTGGCACCCAGGGGTGGAAGCAGAGGCTGCAGAGCTCCGCTCGATGGCTTTGGGTCCCAGCTCCCCTTTCCTGGTCCCAGGACCTTGAACAACTTGTTTGACCCCTCTGGCCCCCGTGTTCTCCTCCCTCACGTACAAATGATGCTGATAATGACACCTCTGTTGTGCCTGACTCCCAGCGTTGAGGGTCAAGTGCTCAGACCTCCCTGTCTTCCAGTGTCAGCAACTGTGTGCAGCGGTAAACAAACATTCTTCATTGCACTACTTCTGCACACTTCCTGAGGAGTAGCTGTCACTCAAAATCACAGAGTAACAGGAAGAGAAGATGAACTGGTTAACCATCCCCTTCCAGGCGAGTTTTTCCAAGATTCCCAACAGCTCAGCTGTCACTCCAAGGACCAGCAGCTATGAGGTTAAAGACTGCACGCCAGGTGCTGGGGTCACCTAGGTACTCCCTGGGGCTCAGGATTCTTGAGGCTGCACCATCTCCACTTGGGAGTTGGCAGAAAGGTCCCAAAGATCTCCCTGGGAGGATTACGGGGAATGTGAGCTCAGTGGGGGGTCCACCTGTCAGAGGAGCTGGCAATCCTGGGGCCGTGGTGGGGGAGATGAGCTGGGAGCTCACAGAAGCAGTGATGGCAGAAGCCTGGTCCAAAAGTGAGACCTTTTCCTGGTGACCCGAGCTCGCAGGCCTTCATCTATGAAATAAAGGGCTTGGCTGTATCTGCATGGCCCACACTGATCTTCAGAACACCAGTGTGGCAAAAATGGCGATAAATAGGCCCAATGAATATGCACAAGTCAGTTTAGAAAATGATGTATCATGTAAAGTGAAAGCAGTGCAGGCTCCTCAGCGTCTTCACTGGCCCAGTGTGGATGCTGACACTGGTGGGAGGGGAGCTGTGCACATAGCCTTTCCCAAGCATGTTGAACCAGAGACCCCATTTGCTCACACGATACCTGCTAGGAACTCGTGGACCAAGTGGTCCTCGGAGCACATTTTGGAAACACTCAGGTAAATGGTTTCTAACATCCCCTCCTGTGGCAATGCCATTTCAGGTTTTTGAGCACCCACATCTTCCAGGTTTGGGAGCACAGATCACTGTCCAGTGAGCACAGAGGAGGCACCAGAACCTACACATAGACACTCATTGGGGTGAAAAGGCTCCAGAAGAGGATGAGCCCAGGGCTCTCGAGGCCTCCTAGAGAGCAGGTGCCTATGTGGGGGAAGGATGATGGTAACTCATTCCTTTCTCCCTCATTGGGCCCAGGGGCTGTCTATACTAAGCTTGACTCCCTGGCCACTCACCTCCCCTTCCTCACCTCCCTTTATCCTCACTCTTTTGCCTGCCTAGTGTCCTGGAAAACAATTGAAACACAGTCTGCTCCCAGTCTACTGGGTCCCCAGACCCAGCCAGAATCAGGCTCAGCAGCAGTAGTGATGACATGGAAGCTGCAGAGCTGGTTTGTCCCAGGTGGCCTAGCTCAGATGCCACGAGGAGGGAACTGTTGCAGGCTAACTGCAGAGGCCAGATGGCCACACCAGAGAGCAGGGCAACTTAAAGAGATAATGCACACACACACACAGAGTGCACACTGGTGGACACTTGTGGGCAATTAATAATCCTCTCTTAGATTAGGGACCAGGTTTTTAAATCTGATACTTCCTCCAGCAATGCACTAAGTCATTCTGCAGCACGTCTGCAACCAGTGTTAGTTGGGGTAAATAATGCACAAATTTGCACACACCAAAGAGTCAAAAAGACTGTTAAGAAGGAAGAAAGAGGAGAGGAAAGGAAGAGAGGGGATGGGGCAGAGAAGGGCTGGAAGAAGAGGGAAAGGGACAGAGCTCTGTCTGTAGAAAATCCCAGCTTCTTTGCACATAAGCCTCCTTTAATCCTCGAAATAATCCTGGCAAGTGGATATCCTTATCCTCCCTTTAGATCTGTAGAAATTGAGGTGCAGAAAGGTCAATGAGCTTTACTGGAGGTCTCACAGTTTCTAATGGCAGAGGAGCCATTTAACTCAGGCCTGTCTGGCCTCCCTTCAGGAGGTTGAGATGAGTCAGCAGGAGCTGCCCAGGGAGCAGAGCAGGTGGCATCAAGACTCATGGATGCTGGCATGACTGACCAGTGCTGGGATCAGAGAATCCCCAGCCAGGTCTCTGCCACCCAGTGGCCCTGGACAGTGATGGCCCAGGCACCTCTGCCAGCATCCCCATCCCTAGTCAGAGCTGGCCTGGTTGAGAGGTCTCTCCTGGTGGCGAGAGATAATGCAGTGGAGCCTATCTGCTCTTGGTGGGATGATTAGCTTATAGAGATAGCAAGTGCTGCCAGCCCGGTCACACCTCATCCACACTTCCAGCACCCAGGACGCTTGCACCCAGGCCAGTCTTATGAAAAGGAAAGTGATCATCTAGATTACATCATGCCAAAGCATCCCTACCAACACTTCTTAGATGATTTGTGCTTCTTCAAAGTGCTCATTCCCAAACTAAGAGTATTTAGTGATTAAATTTCAGATTCAGAGACAGATAGATAATATATATGTGTGTGTGTCTGAGTATATAGCTGTAATCCACAAACATTTATTAGGTACCATGTAAGTGTTGAAATTACATAGCTGAATATAGCAGCCTCTGCCTTCAGGGGTCCCTAGCTTAGGGGAGAAGATAAACATGTAAATATATATAAGCCCTAAAGTATTATGGATGCTGAGAGAGTAGTGATACAGATCAATTTAAAACACTAAGGAGAGAGAGATCAGTTCTATCTTGGGAGTGAGATGGACTTAGGAAAGGCTTTAGAGAAGAAGGGAGGCTTGGGCCAGTTGCACAGTATATAAGGGCTTGACCACAGAGCGGCTTCAGTCCCAAGCTAAGAAATTAGGACTTTGTTGCATAGGTAATAAAGAGTCACTGAAGGAACAAGTCAGTCTCTATCATATGGATAAGATAATGATCAAGTTAAACAAGACAAAAGATGAAAATGCACCATGGAAATTCACAAAGGGGCTTCAAAAGATCTAGCAAGGCTCAGACCCTGCCTGTGGAGCTGGAGGCCTCCCCACCCTGGGGCTCACCCACTCCTCCAGCTGCTCCATTGTTTAGTCTGAATTTCACATGACTTGGCCCATCCTGCCTGGAGAGAGATGGATCTCATCTATTCACCAGAAGAAGCGGCAGGAGGTCAAGGCTTTGAGCCAATTGTTATGTAAATATTAGAGAGAATTTTTTCTTCTTTTTTTAATGGAAGGAACTCCCCTTCATGATTTTATCTTTTTGTCCTCCCTGGAGAGAATCTGCTCAATTGTTTTTCATTCCTTACCTAAAGATTTTTATCATCATAGCAACGGGAATGATTTAGGGGCCAACAGTACTTTAGCTGGCCCACTGCCACAAGTAGAACTACAGGCATTTTAATGTTTGCAATTTAGCATGTCAGCATGATGCTATGAAAAGAGAGTGGCTCTGGAATTGGACAGACTTGGACAAAAATCTCATCTCAGGCACTAACTAGCTCTGCGTGACCTAGGAAGAGTTACTTAACTTCTCCGTGCTCCACGGTTCTTACCAGTAACATGGTGACAAAATATTTGCATTTTCATGTTTTGAATAGTAAGTTAAAGGAAGATATAAACTTGCCAAGAATTGTGAAGGGTCTGAGGTTTTGCCCTGCTTTTAAGTGAGCAATTCGGCCTATACCAGTTTCATAGATGCTGACAGAAGACATGAGATACCTGGGTCAGAGATAAAGGCACTTACAGCCCAGCAAGCAGCATGACATCAGCATATTTGAATGGCATCTCTTCATCTCCAAGTTAGACGTGGGTGATGTGGGTGATCTCAGAGGATGTTTATCCATATGGTGGGTGGAGTTCCAGAAGAGAAATCTTGAACCAAGAAAATCAGAATCTCATAATGGGCAGTAAAATGCCTGCCTTTTGCACTGGAGGGAGCTACTACTGGGTCTTCCAAGTCTGTTTAATACACAAACATCCTGGAAAAGGTAGTCAAGAACACAGTGCAGTTCCTGCCTCACTCAACAGATGTGAAAAATGCAAGAGACCCATGGAGAATTGTCTCCCAAAAAGGTAGGCACTGCCTAACATTGTGCCTGGTACCTGTGAGTACTCAATAAATACATGTTGAATGAACAATGCAATGAACTAAATAACAGGGCTCATAGGTCTTTAAAGTGTCCCAGCTTTCTCTCCAGAAAATCAAAAACATCTTCTGTTTCTCAAACCACATGCAAGAGTTTAAAGCAGAAAACTTTTCTCCATCCTCTGGCCAGTGTATGAGAGATCTCACTGCAGGCTTGGTCTTTTTTATTGGTTTGCTATGACAGGAACACATAGAGGCATACAGCTGTGAGAATGTTTTGGTTCATGGGTGGATCCATAAATCCAGAGCCCTGGCAATAAGGTTGGGTGGAGTTCGCCAGCCTCTATTCTAAGATCATCCTGTAATCAAGAGGTCTCTTGCCAACATTATAGACCTCCAAAGCTGATGTTAAGATATGCAGATCTCCTAGTTTTTTTAGAACCAAATACAAAAAAAAAGCCACCTTTTATTTTTCAAGTAGCTGAAATTATTATCATTTTTTTTCTCTCAAAAAGTACTTAGAAACAAGTTCTATATTCAGCTTTCTCAAGATAAAGCTTCCTCTGGGCTTACTGAGATTCCCCAAGTCAGAGTGAGGCCACTCCTTTCTCCAGGGAAGGACCTTTTTTGTTTTGTTTTGTTTTGTTTTGTTTTTGAGACAGAGTTTTGCTCTCGTTGCCCAAGCTGGAGTGTAATGATGCAATCTCGGCTCACTGCAACCTCCGCCTCCCAGGTTCAAGCAATTCTCCTGTCTCAGCTTCCCAAGTAGCTGGGATTACAGGCGTCCACCACCATGCCCAGCTAATTTTTTGTATTTTTAGTAGAGAAGGGGTTTCACCATGTTGGCCAGGCTGGCCTTGAACTCCTGACCTCAGGTAATTCGCCCACCTCAGCCTCCCAAAGTGTTGGGATTACAGGCGTGAGCCACCGCGCTCAGCCCAGGAAGGACCATTTTGTTCATAGCTGCAGTGCACGGACATTGTCTTCTTAAGGTAACAAATGGAGGTGTTAGGGTGAAAGGATGGTAGGCATCCAGACCTCAGCTCCCAGGCAGAGATAACACCATTAATTCCTTCATTCGGAACACAAATGTTCTCTGCATTTACACTACAGGTGGTGCAATGCCAGAGATTTGGAGCTGAGCAAGGCCTTACTGGCTCCCTGGAGGACACTGGCTGCAATAAGAGATGTGTTAAAATAGTTCAAGCTGCAAGGGTTCCATCACAGAGGACCAAATGGCCTGAGGGGAAGTCAGGGAAGGATTGTTGGAGGGAGAATTCTGACATGGGTTTTGAAGGAGCTATCTAGGTGAGGGGATGACAAATGCAGAGAAATCGAGGTGATATTGGAACCTGCAAGTGTGCAGTTCTTCCTGCAGCTTCAGGCATGTATGGAAGTAACCAAGGATGACTCCGACACAGAGACTGCAAAGAACCAGCTAATGAGGGGGCTGGCCACTATGCTGTAATTGAAGGTGGTAAGAGCCCTTTACAGGAGGAAAGTGGGTGCAGATATGGTCAGATTTGCAAATTATGTTGCATCCAATGTTGAGAGGAATTAGAGGTTGTACTCTGGGGAGGAAGACAGCCTAGAAATTACTGAGGCCTGAACAGGGAAAAGCACCTTATGAGAGATCTTTCAGGATGAGACAAAATCCAGTTAATTTTTTTTTTAAATAAAAATATGGAACGCTTCATGAATGTGCATGTTATCCGTGCACAGGGGCCGTGCTAATCTCTGTATCATTCCAATTTTAGTATATGTGCTGCGTAAGTGAGCACCAAAATCCTCTTTTAACACAATTGTGAATCAATATGACCCTGAATTGGTTATGAAGCACCATGTGTACAGAACACAATAGCCCCTGGAGCAAAAGATCAAACTAGACCTGTTGAGTTTGTGGATGAAGACCGTTCATCTGCCTTTGTACTAAAATCTCTATGGAATAAACCAAGTTTTTAAGTATCACATAGACACATCTGCAGCTCCTCTGCAACAAAAGATACCTAACCAGGATCCCAAAGAGAAAATGAAAGCAAAGGATTCAGAAGGGCTACCTCATGAGGCCTGGCCTCTATGCCTCTGGGAGGCCAGGGGGAAGGCCATTCCACCCAGACTTTTGACCTGAGTCAGAAATTTTACCCTGCAAGTTTTCTTCTTTGGGATGAGTATTAGAAAGCTCTCTGCCAAGTACGTCCCTCCAGGCAGGGAGGAAGCAGGGAGAATAGTGAGAAGGCCCACCACCTTCCCTCTTCATCTGGAGACAGGAGAGCCGAAAGGGATGCCGAGGCATGTGTGTGGAGTGTGTGGTGGGAGGGACACAGGAGGGAAGAAAATGTAGATGATTCCAAGTTCACTACTCTTCCCCGGCTCAGCTCTGACACGCTTCTCAGGTCGGAATGCCATCCTGTGCCCATGTGAGAACATGAGACCAAAAAAAGGCTGTGCTAGAAGTCAGGCAAGTGTTTCAGACAAGGTCATAAAATCCAGTATGGGACTCGTGTCCCACTTTCTCATTTTCCTAAGAAATGAGGTCATGGAGATGCCAGAGGGAGCAGGCTTCACATATGTTATAAGTACTGGATACCTGTGCAATGCTATCATCTGTTCCATACTGGGCACCTGTGCAATGCTGGCTAGCTGTGGAATACTAGCCACCTGGGCAATACTGGCACCTGTACAATACTAGCATCTAAGCAGTACTGAACAGCTGTGTACCACTAGCATCTGAGTAATATCAACACATGTGCTATGCAGAATACCTGTGCAATACTGGCCCCTATGCAATACTGAGCACCTATTCTATACTGGGCACCTGAGCAATACTGGCTCCCATGCAATACTGGACAGCTGTACAACATTGGCATCAAACAATGTTTGCACCTGGGCAATACGTACCTGTGTAATACTGGGTATAGCTGTGCAGTACTAGCATCTGATCAATACTGGCACCTGTGCAATACTAGATATTTGTGCAATACTAGATACCAGAGCAATACTAGTCATCCATTCAATACTGGGTACCTGTGCAATTACTAGACACCACATGTGGGCTGACAATTGAATGAATCTGTTGGTGTCTTGCAGTTGATACTCACTAGGTGAATAAGACAAGGCAGCTCCTGGGAGATGACATGGAGCAGAGTCAGGTGGCTCTCCTCTTGGAGTTTTGTTCCTCATTAGTAAAAAAGGGGTGATAGGCCAGGTGCAGTGGCTCACATCTGTAATCCCAGCACTTTGGGAGGCCGAGGTGGGTGGATCACTTGAGACCAGGAGTTGGAGGCTAGCCTGGCCAGCATAGCAAAACTCTGTCTCTACTAAAAATACAAAAATTAGCCAGTTGTGGTGGCGCGTGTCTGTAATCCCAGCTACTCAGGAGGCTGAGGCAGGAGAACTGCTTGAACCCAGGAGGCAGAGGTTGCAGTAAGCCAAGATTGGGCCATTGCACTCCAGCCTGGGTGACACAGTGAGACTCTGTCTCAAAAACAAACAAACAAAAAAACCCCCAATAAAAGGGGGGGGTGGGGGTTGATAAACCTTGCTCCTTTCTTCTTCCTTAAACTTAGAATTAGCCAATGTAGTGAGATGCAGAGGTGCCTAAAAGTGAAGAAAGCTCTTTACCATGAGTATTTTTCATTCCTTTCAATACCCTGTTGAAATGTATTATCAGAAAGATATTTTTTGTTTGTTTACATGGAGAGAGATTTTCCCCTCACAGACATGTTTGATTTTTAAAACAAGGCTGGAGATTTTAAATAGCAAAGCTGAATTGGAATTCTTGGCAGCTAACAGCAGCTACCCCCCAGGGAGGTAGAAGGAAGTTCTGTAGCTTGTTTATTCCACCCACTATTAATCACCTGCCATTGAAAAATGATTCTAACAGGAAAAAAATGTGCAGCTGCCTTACTAATAAAAAATACATATATGCATGTATATTTGTATATATGTATGTATATATACACCACTGACCCTTGAACAACACAGATTTGAACTGAGCAGGTTCACTCGTATGCAGATTTTCTTCCACCTCTGCCACCCCTGAGACAGCAAGACCAACCCCGCCTCCTCCTCAGCATACTCAACATGAAGATGAAAATCTTTCTGATGATCCACTTGCACTTAATGAATAGTAAATATATCAAATATATTTTCTCTTCCTTATGATTTTCTTTCTTTATAATTTTCTTGAGACATAGGTCTCTCTCTGTTGCCCAGGTTGCAGTGCAGCAGTAGAATCATACCTCACTGCAGCCTTGGACTCCTGGGCTCAAGCAACCCTCCCACCTGAGCCTCCCAAGTAGCTGGGATTACAAGTGCAAGCCACCTCACGCAGTCCTTATGATTTTCTTAGTGATGTTTTCTTTTCTCTAGCTTACTTTATGATGAGAATATACTATATGATACATACAACAATTGATTAAGGTTATAGGTAAGGCGTCTACTCAACAGTAATCTATTAGTAGTTAAGTTTTGGGAAAGTCAAAAGACTTATTCATGTATTTCTGACTGTGTAGGGATGGGGGTGGTATTCCTAACCCTCACATTGTTCAAGGGTCAACTTTATAGGGATGTAGATATAGATAGATAGATTCGATTTAGATATAGATAGGTAGATGTATATGTATACACTTGTATATATACATGTATGTGCATATATATGTGTAGTAAATATGGGTGTACCTGTGTGTATTGCATTTTAACATATTAAATTAGGCCAGAGATCATTTGAAAGACTCTTACCCAAAGTCACTAGGCTCGCACTGGCTAGTGAATATAAACGTGGGCATGACCTCTCTGACAGTACATGTGGCAGTGTGCCAAGAATCTTGTAACTGTTCGTATTCTTTGATCCAAAAATTCTACCTCTAAAAGTCTATCCTGAAAACAATATGCTGAAATATGGGCCAAAATTTCCGTTTAAAAAAGGCTTATAACAGCTCTATTTGCCATAGAAAAAAAATAGAACTATTTAAATTTGCATCATTAGGGGAATGTTAAGAGAATTATGATGCAGACTTGCAATTAAATATTCTACAGCAAGAAAATGATGTTACAAAGAATTTTTAATAAGTTGAGGAAATGCTTATGATATAATGTTAAGTGAAAAACAGTAAAATACACAATATACCCACTGTAAACTCAAGCATGCCAAAAAAGCACAGAAAAGATTGGAAAATTTCACCTGCATATTAAGGGTAATTACTTAGGGTACTAGGACCATTAAAAGAAGTTCCATCAGAATCAAGAAGTTTTCCAAGACCCCACCCGCTTCAGAGGCTGAGACAGGAGGGAGCATCAGCTTGTGCCTCTTCTCTTTGCCTTCCAGGATCAGACACCTTTATGAATGTCTTTATGGGTCATTGTTTCCAGATACTTTTCTCCTACCAAGTACTTTTCCACATCCCCTACCAAAAATATATAATAAAAAGAATTTTAAAAATTAGATGAGCCTCACCAAGAATTGGCACTGTTGTAAATTGCAGAGTATTTCCCAGCCCACGCCCAAGGGGGTGGTCTTTAGAATCAAAAGAGAAAAAGTGAATCATCAAGATTATCACCCAAACTACAGTCAAGGCCCTTCGTTCAGAGAGGGATTCCAGACCTGTGCCCAGCTGCACTGCTAACATGCCATGAGTGTTTGGAAGCGAACTAGGGTGGGACTGACTGGTGAAATGGGAGAGAACTAGGGCCCTCAGATGCTAGAAGGCCAGCTAAGAGATGGGGCAAGGGATTTTCTAAGGCTACACAGTGCATTAGACATGAGTTCTGACTAACATTTCTAAGTGTACTAAGCATTTACTATGTACAAGGTATAATCTATTAACTCATTTAATGCTC
Source organism: Homo sapiens (assembly GCF_000001405.40). NCBI lineage: Eukaryota > Metazoa > Chordata > Mammalia > Primates > Hominidae > Homo > Homo sapiens. Next base: position 126,707,000 of record NC_000002.12, read on the forward strand.
AAAACAATCCTTTGAGGTAGGTATTATTATTTTCTCCCCATGTTACAGATGAGGATATAGAGAAAATAAACGTTAGAAAGCTCACCCAAATTGCATAGCACGAAGTGGCAAAGCCCAGAGCTGAACCCAGGCTTTAGCCAGTACACATAATAACTACACAATGTGTTAGAAAATGCTAGCTCTGAGACGGAAGATCCACACTGAGATCTGGGAATGTGGGGTTTAGCCAAGGGACCTGCAGAAGAATTGCTCTAAGAGGGCCCAGACACCCTCCTGCTTGCCTCAAGGCGAGTGGGGATGCCAAGCCAGCATCCCCATTTGCAGAGCTGGCATCTATTCCCATTGAAGTAGGTACTTTCCCAAGCAAACCCTCAGGAGCAGGGCAAACATGTTCTCAGAGATACCCCACAAGGTAGCTGTCCCTTTGGGATTTCCCTGCTTTACCAGAGATGTCTGCCTGGGATGGGATAATGGAGGTGGTAATGGTACATCCTTCCAGAAATGTCTTATCTGGATACAAACAGTTAATTCTCAGGATAGAGGAAAGCCCTGGGGGATGGTGTTGCCCTAGATTCAAGTGGGAAGCTTTGTTCCTAGGCCAAGGCAGAGCAGGACTTGCAGGGCCCTGAGACAGCCCAGCACCACCCATACACCATAGTGGGAGAACATACCTTCATTCCAAGTCACCAAGCGTGCATGCAGGACCTTCTATGTGCCTGGTCCTGTGTGTACACTAGGTCTATAGAGAAGAATACCTGTCCTCAGGGAGGTCCCAGAGGCAGCAACAATAATAGAAAGTAACCCCCAAATGGCAATAAAGCTTGCTAACTATAGGGAGAGAGAAAACTACAGGGAGAGAGAAAACTGCAGGATGCTTCAATGGTCATCTTCAATGACCCAGAAGATGGTGGGATGGAGAGAGAGGAGCTGGTCAAGAAAACCTCAGAGGAAGAACTCTGTTAGTACTGAATGGGTAAGAACGTATGATTGAGTTATCAGAGTTATCAGTTATCTGAGCTAGCAAATGGAGGATTTCAGGAAGAGGTAAATGATTAGGTAGAAATGGCTGTGACATGTCCAAAGTGCTGTGAGTCGCTGGAGCATATAGGTGGAGTGGGGAAGGTGGCAGGAGGCAAGCCTAGAGAAGGAAACAGGAAGATGCTCACTGACAGCCCTGCGGGTCCAGCTGTGAAGTTTCTACTTTGCTCTGTAATCCTCCTGGGATCCCCAGGAGGATTCTCAGCAGGGAGTGGCATCACCAAATTTGGAATTCAGAAACATCGCTTTTAGTGTCATGAGAGGGAATCTTCCTTCACCACAGGCCAAAATGATAAAACTCCTGCCATTTTTCAAAGTTCCTAATTTAGAAGAACCCATTATCTCTAGAAAGGAAGTGAAGAGCATGCAAATACGTTCCCTGGGTATCTCACCTTACAATTCCTTAACATTCACCTACTAAGACATTAAAGTCCACAAGCATGTAAACTTTTACAGCACATGAACCTGCACCCCTTTCTCAGATTACATGACAAAGCAAAACTAGGCTGAACGCTCATGCAGCAAAGGAAAGCTCATTTAATTTAGGCTTAATATCATTATTATCACTTTTTTTTTCTTTTGAGATGGAGTCTCGCTCTGTCACTAGACTGGAGTGCAATGGCACAGTCTTGGCTCACTGCAACCTCCACCTCCTGGGTTCAAGCAATTCTCCTGCCTCAGCCTCCCAAGTAGCTGGGACTACAGGAACCCACCACCATGCCCATATAATTTTTGTATTTTTAGTAGAGATGGGGTTTCACCATGTTGGCCAGGATGGTCTCAGTCTCTTTTATATACTTTGACTTTCTGTCAAGATAGCACATGTAAACTTCCTCTTTAGATGCATCCCTTCTGTTCTGAATATATGGTTATAAGAGAGAAAGCACTGAAGAGGGAAAGTAGCCTCAAATGCAAGGAGGACGTTTCTGTGGACTCAGAAAAGAAATAAAAATGCAGAAAGGCACCAGCTTGCTGACTGAGGAAGTAAAAGTATTTGCCTGGCAAGGGAGACCCAGAGTTAGAAAACCAGACTCATAGCAAATGGGCCCCGCAAGCACCAAGTATGTTAAGCAAAATTAAGTCCATACTTCAGATGTGTGCCAAAAATATATGGAGGACTGAGTAATGAAAGCTAGACTACATCTAATCCGATTTTCAGAAGGGGAAGAAATGGTGGGAGGTAATAGGTGACTGAGAACTTCCCAGGATTAATTAAAGGCACCAATCTTCAGAATACAGAAATCCCAAAGACCCAAATAGGATAAATACAAAGAATCCACACCTAGCCATATCATAGTGAAAGTGCTAAATAGTGATGAGAATAAGAATGTATTAGCAGTAATGTGAGAGAAAATACAGGCTAAATTTTAACGTGTCAACAGTATTTTGGCAAATGTCTTCTCAACAGCAACAAAGGAAGCCATGAAAACAGGAATAATACTTTCAAGGAGAAAGTAGAAAAAATTGTCAACCTAGAATTCATATTTGACAAGAACATGATGATAAAATATAAGTAAATCTAAACAAATACTGATTTTATACAAATAATAATTATTATTATGTCCAATAAGATTAGAAATATGGTTAAAACTAAAAGACTGGGCATCAATACTGTATTTAGAAAGGAGTTAAAATTAACATGTTCTTGGTTCCTATATTGTTTGGGGAAATTATAATTTATTAAATTTTGACTTTGATAAGTTAAACAGACCTGTTAAATACATAACAGAAAAACATGTATAAATTCTAAACCAGAGCCCCCAAAAAATGGAATAAGAAAAAATATCTAATCAATTCAAAAGAAAGCAAGAGAAACAAATATAGAAAAGATTGGACAGAAAGTACAAAATGACTTATTAGAAACCAATCAATTATATTAGAAATACAATTAATGCAAATCTATTAAATTTTCCACTTAAAAGAGAAGATTGTCATAATAGAAAAGTAAAACACGCTATTTATAAGAAATAGGTCTAAAACATATCAATGCAGAAAGGATAAAAGTGAAAAAGTAAAAAAAAATGCAAATATCAACTCCCCAAAGCTAATATAATAGTTATAAACTTGTATGCATCTAGAAATACGGTTTTGAAATATATAAAGCAAAAGTTGGCAGGAAGTTCACAGAGAAATAGACAAATCCATCATTATTTCAGGAGATATTGACACAGCTGTCTTGCAAAGAGAGGAAAAAAGGAAGGAAGGGAGAGAGAGAAAGAAGGAGACACACAAGATTTGAAAAATACACCAGTCTTGATATAATAGAGATCAAGAAGGAAGGTAGGTAGGTAGGTGGATAGGAAGGTAGGTAGAGATGATAGAAGATAGAAGATAACAATGGACGGATAGATAGATAATAATTAGTATCCACAGCATCCAACAGTAAAGAAATACACATTCTCTTCAAGTCTACATAGAATATTTACAAAAATTGAGCTGGGCACAGTGGCTCATGCCTGTAATCCCAGCACTTTGGGAGGCCGAAGTGGGCAGATCATGAGGCCAGGAGTTCAAGGCCAGCCTGGGCAATGTAGTGGAACCCCTCCTCTACTAAAAAAATATGAAAATTAGCCAAGCATAGTGGTGTGCACCTGTAGTCCCAGCTACTCAGGAAGCTGAGGCAGGAGAATCGCTTGAACACAGGAGGCGGAGGTTGCAGTGAACCGAGATTGTGCCACTGCACTCTGGCCTGGGCGACAGAGTGAGACTCCATCACAAACAAACAAACAAAAAACAAATATTTACGAAAATTGTTAACATACTAAGACCAAAAAAAAAAAGTCTCAACTACTGTCAAAGGATTGGTGTCTTGGTATCTTATAAACCCTAATCTCTGGCCATGATGAAATTAAGTTAAAAATCAATAACATAAAGATAATTTATATATATATTATATATACACACACAAATTATATATATATTAAAAATATATATATACACACACGCAAATTCAACAACATATTTCAGAATAACACGAGTCAAAGAAGAAATAATAATAGAAATTAGAAAATATTTAAAAGACTGCATATGAAAATGAAATGAAATGCTAATTTGATATTCAAAGGGTCTTCAAAACATTCATAGAAAATGCTTATAAAAAAACTAAGCATGGATTTGAAAATTTTTTTGCATCAAAACAAACTCATACTAACTTGTTATAACATGTCTGTCAGGATCTAGTTTGAGGCACTAAGAAGGATAAGACATCGTTTTGAAAAGGGCCCTTATCAAAGCAACATGAATTCTGCTAAAATTGAAGCAAAAACAAATGCAAATTTGTGGTGAAGCTTAGGTAGGTGGAAGAAGGATGAAATTATTGGTACCTTATGAAAAGTTTGTGGAAACAATGCCCCCAAAATCAGCAGTTTGCATATGGATAACTTCTTTAAAGAAAGGACAAGAAGATGTTGAAGATGAAGCCCATAGTGGCCAACCATTCACATCAACTTGTGAGAAAAAATATTAATGTTGCTCATGCCCTAATCGAGGAGGGCTGAAGATTAGCAGCAGAAACAAGAGACACCACCATAGACATCTCAAATCATTCAGCTTACAAAACTCTGACTAAGAAATTAAAGTTGAACGAACTTTCCACTTGATGGGTGCCCAAGCCATTGTGCCCAGATCTGCTGCAGACAGGACCAGATCTCCCAATGGAAATTTTAAACAAGTGGAATCAAGATCCTGAACCATTCCTTCAAAGAACCGCAACAGGAGATAAAATGTGGCTTTACCTGAAGACAAAGCACAATCAAAGCGATGGCTACCAAGAGGTGGAAGTGGTCTATTCAAAGCAAAAGCGGATGGGTCAAGAGCAGAGGTCATGGGAACAGCTTTTCAGATGCTCAAGGCATTTTACTTGTTGACTTTCTGGAGAACCAAAGAACCATAACATCTACTTATTATGAGAGTATGTTGAGAAAGGTAGCAGTTTCTGCTTTAGCAAAAAAATGCCTGGGGAAGCTTACCCAGAGGATCCTTCTCCACCACTACAATGACCCTGCTCATTCCTCTCATCAAACAAGGGCAATTTCATGAGAGTTTTTATCGGATATCATGAGGCATCTGCCTTCCATCCTGATTTGGCTCCTTCTGACTTCTTTTTGCTTTCTAATCTTAAAAAGTTTGTAAGGGGCACCCATTCTTCTTCAGCTAATAATGTAAAAAAGACTGCATTGACATGGTTAAATTCCAAGGACCCTCAGTTCTTTAGGGATGGACTGACTGGCTGGCTTCATTGCTTGCAAAAGTGTCTTGAACTTGATGGTGCTTATGTTGAGAAATAAAGTTTATGTTTTTAATTTTTATCTTTTAATTAAATTTTCCATGAAATTTTTGAAGTTCCCTTGTATGGATGGAAACGTATATCCTTAAATGTTAATAGTAGGAACAAGAAAGGCTACAATTTAATGAACTAAACATCTTAAGAAAAACAATAGAACAAACCTAAAGAAAATGGAAGGGAGAGTACACTAAAGATGAAAGCAAAAATTAATGAAAAATAAGCATATACAATAGACAAAAAATGCTAAAAATTGGTTCTTTGAAATGGTAAATTTTAAAACTTCAGGCAAAAGTAATCAAGAAAAACTTGAGAGAAGGCATGAATAAATAATTTAGGAGTAAAAGAGAAAACATAACTTCAAATTCTGCGTGATTAAGAAGGCAATACAAGGACAGCAACATTATACCAATAAACTTGAAAACTTAGATAATATGTGCAAATTCATTAAAAATATAACTTACCAACACTGAGGAAAACTAAAAAACAAAAATTTTGAATGGTTCTATAGCCACTTAATGGAGCAGTAGCTAGAAAGATCCCTTTCCACAGAGAGAGCACCGGGTCTGAGTTCCACAGAGAGCTGTATCAAATACCCAAGAGATGAACAATTCCAAATTTACTGAGAATCCTCCAGAAAATAGACAATGGGATCATTTTATGAAGCTGGCATACCATGGATTCCCAAATCCAACCACAACAGTGTAAGAAAATAAAATTACAGGCAACCTGTCTCTCATGAACCCAGATGTAAGAAAATCTTAAAATATATTAGCAAACTGAATCCAGCAATGTATAAGAAAGCTTATATATCACCATTGGGTTTATTCTGGTAGTGTAAGGTGGATTTAACATTTTTTAAAATCAATGAATGAAAGTCATACATTCACAGTTCAAAGGGAAAGATCAGTATCTCTTAGTTGAAGAAAAAGCATTTGATACAACTTTACTTTCATTATAAAAATTCCTAGCAAGCTAGAAATAGAAAGTTTCTCAACCCAATAATGCAAACATCACATAGAAGAGTGGCATGTTAAAAGCATTTCCCTAAGGTTAGGAGGAGGTAAAGGGCCCATTATCACTGCTTCCATTAAACATCATACTGCGGGTCCCAGCTCCCAAAGACAGGCAAGGAAAATATTGTTATGAAGATCAGGCAAGAACAGCCAAAACAGTCAGTACTTGCAGATACTATGACTGTCCATGTAGAAAATCCAGAGAATCTACAGGTGAATTATTGAATTAATAAGAGAATTTACCATTACTCTGTAGGGTACTAGTAGAGGTCACTTTTTAAAATTGCATTTCTATACACTAACATTTTAAAATGTCATTTGTAAAGGTATCATTTAAAATTGTCTCAAGCTTATAAAGTTCACAAGAGTAGATTTAACAAAGGATATACCTGACCTATATGGACAAAATTATAAGCCTGATTTAAAAACATTAAAGAATATCCGTTGTCTATGTCTTCAATGCATTCCAAAGCACACAAAGCACTTATTGTGTTTTGAACACAAAAGTGGTTGGATTTTTTGTTTTTGTCGTATTGTGGTTGTGATTGTGTAGCTTGATCTGCTGCTTCTGATACTGACAAAGAGGAACAAAGATTAAGAATAGCCAAGATGGTCCTGAAGATGCAGACTTAGACAGGAGGACTCACCCTGTCAAAGACTAGGAATTATTACACATCTCAAGTAATTAGGCAATGAGGTATTGGTGCAGAAGGGGAGAAAAGACAAATGGAAATGAGTAGGGAGCCAAAAATTAGAGCAGCACATCCATTCAACCTAATTCGTGACAGAACTAGATTGAACTTCTAGGAGAAAACTCTGACTTTTGAGGAAATAAAGAAAATATGTTTTCTAAGGTCTTGATCCTTCTCTGAACTTTCTCATTTCTGCTATTGGTGCTGGTGTCTCTGGGCCCAAGAAGATCTGGGGCCCAGGCCTCAGGAAGGGGCACTGTTCGGGTGTTGCTGGTGCGTCTCAGGGGAACAGTTCAGAGGCTGCAATGGAAAGGAACTGTCACTACTATGAGGAAGAACCAGGGCTGGCTGATTCTCCCAGGAACAGGGAGGAGACAGAAAGGCCACAAGAAACAGGGAGGAGCCATTCCCAGGCTTGCCTCACAGAGGATCATGGGGGCAATTAGAGGAGCCTAACAAAGAGAAGCTGGCAAGGTAGAAACCTGGTTTGCAGTCTCAAGTTCGGCATTGCAAAATGTAAAAGGGTGGAGCTGGGGCTGAGAGACAACAGCTTCATATTAAACTGAACAGGATTCAAGAGCCAGGGTGACCTGGTGCCTGGGTCCCTCTTTTAGACTCCCTGTCTCTGTGCTTCTGACCCACATTTTGTTCCAGCCTTTTCCTCACTTCACGCCTCTGCCTTAGGCTCCTCACCACTCATCTGCTTCCTCTACCTCACTTATTCTTCCAGGTTCAAGTCAAATGGCAACCCCCTCCCCAGGGTGACCTCAGCCTGCTCCCAATTCCTTCCTGGACACCCCGAAAGCATGGCTTCTGAACTCAACCACCTCTGTCAGCTTTGCCTTGTCTGTGAGAGCCTTGGGACACCAGCAGGCTAGAGCACAAGACCCAGGGTCCGGGATTCAGAAGAGGGTCCTGATGCTGCCCAAGAAACATCATCTCCTCCCACTTGCCATCCACACTGGCCCCAGCAACCAGGATTGAATCAACGCCTGAGCTTTGCTCTAGCAGTGCAGGTGGACAAGACTTCCTCTGAGACTCATCGATCAAAACACCACTTCATTGTTAATTATGGTCCCATGAAGCCCTAGATATCTGAAGCCTCTGATCCCTCTTGTCCATCTTCCCAAAGTACCACAAGACCATTTCCCTTCTTCAAGGACACACCCCTCCCGCTGCTGCTCTGCAATTTATATAGGACCCTCCAGGTTCACAGACACACACCCTCCAGCCACAGTTGATTGGCCCAGGGGGAAGTACCTGATCCAAGCTCAGCCAATCACAGTACTTCACACCCACCCCATTTATAGTTGATTCCTTCCAAAGACGGCATTTGACTCAAGTTGGGCTGACTCAGGGCCCTTCAGTGGGATTTTTTAATTGAGTCCAGAGAACATATGTCTCAGTCCTCCTGTGCTGGTGGGATGCAAGGGGATGCAAGGTGATGCCAGGCAACTCGGTTGAAAGCTCTGGGCAAGCATGTTGCCCTCCATGGACACAGTGGAGAAAATACAATTTTTAAAATGAAATCCTACAGAGGACCAGTGTAACTTGGTCACATATGCAAGCATCACATGCTCTTTCCTCAGGAATAACAGTTGAAGAAACTAGGGGAAGGAAATTGACAGCCTCCTGCACTGATCCTCTGAAACAGAGCTCCACATCCCACCCACAGCTATATAGGCTTTTGATCTCACAGTGCTCCCTGCACAGGGTTTTTAAAAACATTGGATTACTTGCCCACACTTAAAAATTGATAGACATCCTATAAATATCTGAATTTCTGGATTCTCTTGAAAAATTAGAGAAGCCAGAAATAGTAGGCATTTTCCTCTGCTGCAACAATATGCTGGAAGCACGTGACAGTGCCTGCTTCAGGCTGGGCACATTCTCCTGTGGATTCTAGTCTTCTTTAAACCCCATCCCTTAGCCTACCTGAAGCCATGTGTTGGCTGCCATTCCTCACTGTCTCTGCACTGTTCCTTTATGGGAGATAAAGAGCTGGACCAGGAAGGCCATGCATTTTGAGAAGTTTGGGAGAGAGTGTGTTACTTTGTGGGACAAAAGAGTGCTCCTGCATGATTAACACAAAAACAAAATCTGTGCCAAAATAATACAGTTGAAGATGTCATTCTGAAACGAATGACTGTCAGCTCATACATCGTGCCCAGTCCACTCAGGGCAACGCTGGGTGGCCCTTCTGGGTGTGTGGTTCTGCAAGAGCTGCTCTAGAATAGTCATCATTGTGGGCACCAGTAATCCAAACTCAAGGCCAGCGGTTAGGACCCAAAGGGCAAGTTGTGCTATTCACACACAGAAGGTGCACTCTGGGATTTATATTCTACTGTCTTGGTTTTGTTTCTGTTGTTATAACAACAGAATGGGTAATTTATAAAGAAGAGACGTTTCTTTCTCACATTTCTGGAGGCTGGGAAGCGCAACATCAAGACCCCAGCAGGTGTGGCGTCTGCTGAGGGCCCAGCTTCGCTTCCCTGATGGCACTGCGTGGCTGTGACCTCCAGAGGAGAGGAGTACTGTGTCCTCACATGGCAGAAAAGGTGGAAGGGTGAAAGGAGACCTACCTAGCTCCCCCAATCCTTTGGTCAGTGACTAATTCCATCCACCAGGAAGGGGCCTCATGGCCTAATCACTTTCTGGAGGGCTTACTGCTTTTTTTTTCTTTTCTTTTCTTTTTTTTTTTTTTTGAGATAGATTCTCATTCTGTTGCCAGGCTGGAGTCCAGTGGCACGATCTTGGCACACTGCAACCTCTGCCTCCCGAGTTCAAGCAATTCTCCTGCCTCAGCCTCCTGAGTAGGTGGGACTACAGGCGCGTGCCACTACACCCAGTTAGTTTTTGTATTTTTAGTAGAGATGGGGTTTCACCATGTTGGCCAGGATGGTCTCCATCTCTTGACCTCGTGATCCGCCTGCCTTAGCCTCCCAAAGTGCTGGGATTACAGGCGGGAGCCACTGTGCCCGGCCTGCCTCACTCTTAATACTGCTGCACTGGGGATTAAGTTTCAGCATTAATTTTGGAGGAGACACAAACATTCAAACTATAGCATCTACATATGGAAAATTAACACATGAGACTGTGTTATGAAATGCAGTGATCTTGCTTTGTGTCCCTTGAAGGTCTGTGGCCAGGAATATCAAACTCCCCATGCTTACAGGGAAACAAAAAAAATCTCCAAGAAGTAGAAACATAATCTTCCAGGAAGGAGTTAATGTTCAAAATGTATGTTTTCATCAGTAGGACTTGGTAGGATGTGAATAAAAATTTACGTATCTTATTTATCTAGCAGTGTTGGCCTGCCTGCCTCATCAGGAATACTCACAGTTTCTAATAAAAAATTCAATTTACTAACTTACTTTTCATCTGCCATCCTGTGCCTCTCCATTCCCAGTCAACCGCTTCATAAAAGTCACCATGTCGGCTGGGCGTGGTGGCTCATGCCTGTAATCCCAGCACTTTGGAAGGCCGAGGCGGGTGGATCATGAGATCAAGATATCGAGACCATCCTCGCTAACACGGTGAAACCCCGTCTCTACTAAAACTACAAAAATTAGCTGGGAGTGGTGGCATGCACCTGTAGTCCCAGCTACTCAGGAGGTTGAGGCAGGAGAATTGCTTGAACCTGGGAGGCAGAGGTTCCAGTGAGCTGAGATTGCGCCACTGCACTCTAGACTGGTGACAGAGTGAGACTTCATGAAAAAAAAAAAAAAAGTCACCATGCCCCCCACGTCCAGCCCAGATACATTCCACTGGCTGTCGGGAGTAGGTGGAGGAGGCTTTTAAAGGCAATGAAGTGTAATAATAGCTCTTCATTTAGTGCTTAGTATGTACAAGATACGTGCTTCATATGCTGGCCTGACCTTAGTGCATATTATCTCACTGAATCCTCATAATAACCATGCGTGGGGTGTATTATTTCATCTTGTAGTAAATAAGGAGACCTGGCTCCCAGGGGTCAGGGGCTCCAGCACACTAGTTTTCTCTTCCTCAAATCAGTCAAGCTCTTTCCACTTCAGGGCCTTTGTGTCTGCCGACTCCTCTCTCCAGAACACTTCTCCCTGATCTTCAAATGCCTGGCTCTTTCTTATCCAGATGCCAGCTCCTCAGAAGTCTGCTCTGGTCATCGCACCTGCTCTCCTGTCCCCAGCCTGCTCCCTCACTTCGCCATGTTACTCCTTCACAGGTATCTAATAAGCGTTCTCTGTCTGAATGACCCCTGATCCTGTGATTCTTTGGATTTTTCATGTAACTTTCTTCTTGGAAACCTCTCCTAACTCAAAAAGGTAATCTCAAGATCAAATCCACACTGATGCCTGTAGCCCTCAAGGTACCCCACTGTCTGGGGCCAGTGAGCCCTTCCAGGGTTGTCATCAATCTATCTATCTCTTCAACCACCCCCCAACCTGACCACACAAATGAGAAGGGCTTTAAATACACCCCAAGGGCAGTTTAGAAAGAAAAATGGAGCCCAAGGATGTATGTGGTGCAGGATATGGGCAGCCTGGCTCTTCAGACACAGTGAGTGACAGAGTGCATTACAGCCAGCAGAGGTGACCCGGGAAAAGGGAATGGTGAGGGGTGCTACAGGACGTGTGGGGTTGGGGTGGGTGCTGTGGAGGGTGATGCAGGGGCGAGTCTTGGTATTTGGGCTGGTGCTTCTGTTGATGGTGGGGTTGGAGTTGCGATGGGGTAATCTGCCAATCTTGGAGGTGGGATGGGGTATTAATGATAACGGTTGTAGTTTCACGGTTGGGATGGGGTAAGGATAGTGGCGATTATAGTTATATGTTTGTTTATTTGTTCATTCATTTACTCATTTGTTTTTTCCAGCTGACATTCACTCATTCATATGGACATTCATTTTTTCTTACACCCTTTGTTTGGAGGCAGCAGAGGTGGCAGTGAGGATGGATAGAGATGGGGTGACCGAGATGGCAGGCATCACATTGGGACCATTTGCATCTAACCCCAGATCACTGAGCTGACAGAGCTTCAGGGTCTTCCTTGCAGGTTCTCACCTAAGTCACTATCCAATTGGGATAACCCAGAGGTAACCCAATCCCAAGGCCCTTGGCAATCATCACATCCATTAGGACACTTGAAATGATGCAGATGTGTTGGTCGAGGGACACACAGGACTTAGGTGTGGAAAACCTGTGACTCTGAGAGTGAGGTGCTGGACAAATCCCCTGTAGACAGATCCAGGTGCCAGCCCCACAGGGCTGCTTCACCCCCACTCCTCCCAGGCGTCCCCCCACCACCAGCTCACAGAAAAGTCAGCTGAGGGATCAATCTGCTTACCATGCATTGTTCCAAGGCAGCTGATGGCAGAGTATTAATAGCTCAGCGGTCCTGGCAACAGCCAGCCGGAAAAAGCAGGCAGAGGCCATTGATAATCTGGCTGTGGAATCTTGGGCCTGTGCATGTCCTGAGTGCTCTGAGGGCAGAAAAAGCCCAGGGGCCTTCTGCTGAGCCATGGACCCAAATGGGCCAGTTTGCAGCTGGATGAAACTCAGTCAATAAGAGCTGAGCAGATCAAGTCAAATCAAATGAAGCTCACCCCCAATCTCAGCCACTTTCTAAAGAGGGAAGAGGTTTCAGGAAGGAAGATGAAAGCAAGTGACTTGGTTTGTGCTATTTTTGGAGGGGTGCAGGCATGCAATGAGGTCTGCAATTCTTTATTTGTTCATTTATTTACTCATTTGTTCTTTCAGCTGACACTCATTCATATGGGCATTCATTTTTTCTTACACCATTTGCTCAGTCAATAGAACAGTTGGCTGAGTGTTTCAGGACACAGGACCTATAAGAGGCAAGAGCACCTCACTTTAAACTGTGAAGCAGGATGTAGCAAACATGCATCCAGGAGTGCAGTCCTTGAGTGAAGTAGGAAGTCGGGGGATTGGGATGAGATTAGCAGGAAAGGCTTCCTTCCTGCTATTATAAAAGGGCCAGCCATTCCAAGCTGAAAGAATGTCATAAGCAAAGGGGAGGTGGCAGACATAGAGAGAGTGCGTTCAAGGCGAATGGAACAGGCTACTGTGGGCCTTGAGGGAAGTGGGAGAGCTGACTAGAGATGTGAGGATGAAGGAGGGAGATGACACATCCAAGCCCTGACCCAACACCCAGACTCATCAGCCCTGACTCCCAGCTGCTGAATCTTGTGCAGAGGAAACAAGGTTTGAGGATCATGTTCTCATGCATCTGACTCACCTGGGGAGAATTCCAACACTGTCACAGCCAGTCCCCACCTCAGACCCCCGAATCAGGATCCATAGAGGTCAGCTTCAGCATGTCCACTTGGGGGAAATAAATGCCAGCGTGAGCCTGAAGACACACGTGATTAGGAAGCAGCACTCTGAGGGAACATGGAAAAGCCAAAAAGGAAGCCGACAGACAAGAGTGTCCTGGGATGATCTGGTGGTTGTCACCTTCATTTTCAGAGACTCACCCAACCCATAACAGACTGCCCAGTACTTCAGTGTCAGCAAGGAGCGCCAGAATGCATTCCGAACTCCCTGGCTGGGCCTAAGTCTTGCAGAGCTGCAGCCTCCATCTGAGAGCTGATGGCGGCCTCCCACCTACAAGGCTTTTCCTTCAGTATGCTCAAGGCTGGCCCCCTCCAGACTCCATTCATAACCCCCCTGTGGAGAGAGACTCTGGCCATCCCTCCCACAGGCAATGTCCAAGGGGCTGTAGCACCTTCCAGTTGTCGCATCTCTATCAGTGTTGGCCTTTTGTCTTGTCCTCTGCCACCTGCCCTGTGAACACTCCACAGTGACTTGAGCTGAGGGGAGCCCCTCCAGGCTTAGTCACACAGCCTGGGGAAGTCTGGAGGCTGAATCATAGGTTAGAGAGTGTCAGGGCCCTGGTTGCGGCCATGCTGGGGCCAGCAGCACTCTCTGGATAGAGAAATTCAAGCTGCAGTTCTTTCTTCCCTCTGACCCTCAATGTCTTTATGAGTAAATGAGCTGGTTGCACACTATCTCCAAAATCTCCCCAGCTGCAAGACTCCCTATGAACTATGGAAAACTGTGGTCTACTTTCTTCAGTTGGCCTTTGGCTACTGAGCCTCTCCAAGCAGAGGCCAACTCTTCAGTCAACCTTTGCTTCTGCAGGTAAAGCCTAAATCCTCTTCTAAAAAAGTAGCGATTGAGACAAGGAGAGGTATAGTCCATAGTGATGCGAGAGGCCATCTGCCCAGGAGTGGAGGACCAGGCCTGGGTGTTAGGATGAGTTGCCTTGGCTTTCTCTTTGGCCCAACAGTGTTTTGGGGTCCTAGAGGCTCAGGGAGGGAGTTCAGGACCATGGGGGACTCTGTGTGTGGAGAGGGGGCAGGATAAGCTAAGCCCTGCAAAATGGGACAGCAAATGGGACAAAAAGGAAAGACCCTGTGAAGGGCTTCTAGATTATAGAAACAGCAGTGACTAATCTCATGTGTGCTTATTGTTTGATTGATTGAATTGGAAAGGGGAATATATGCAACATGATTTAAATTTCAAGTGCAACATTCAACACATTTGGACCAGAAAGCAAATCTCCCATTCATCTTTCTCTCCAGCAACCTAATCCCTACTATGTTACAGGATACCTGTACAACATTCCTTAGATATTCTATGTGTGTGCATGAGACTCAGTGTGGAGTTGTCCTCTTCTCCATTGTAATCTCCTAGGTCATGCCCAAGCTTCTAAGGAAGTCGTGTTAAATGCCAGATCTTAGCGTTTGTTATGCTTTGGGCAAACAAAGGAGGGTCCTGTTTCCATGCACAGGGAGAAGAGACAGGGGTAGAGCAGGACAATTGTCAAAAGTGGTCAGAGCACAGAAAAGCTGATCAGCAAACCAGATGCTGCTTCAGCAGGAGGGGATGAGGTACCCCAGGTCGGATCTGCAGAACACAGGCAGAGGCTCTGACGACCCTCAGTGACGCTGGACAGAGTGGCTCTCAGAGACTGGTGTGTTCTGCAACTCTAACTTTCTACAAGGAGCAGTTTAGCTGCCAAGAGAGCTGGACCCCCTGCTAAAGACTGCCCCCAGTGCTTTTAGAAACTACCAGTAATGAACAAAAAATCCCAAATGATAATGACTAAGTGGCTCCATGCTACGCTCCTGGACCAGGCAAAACCTGGAGTGAGAGCACATCCCTCCAGGAATTCAAGCATCTGGTGCACATTTGAAGAGTCACATGGGTGATGGGGGGGCTATTGGCCAACAGCTGGAAACAAGAAACAATTATCCCTTATTGGCAAACTTGGGGTAATAATCACTGGCAAGATTAGGCCTAGGCAAAATGAGTGCAAAGAACTCACCACACTGCCTGGCACAGAGCAACAAAACAGTTCTTCCTGATCCATTAGTTCTTGCTTGTGGCTATGCACTGTTCACTCCAGAATGTCCCCCAGTGGCTAATCGAGCCCCTGATTCCCCCAGGGTCTCCTTTCTTCCTCCCACAGGATCAGCTCACCTTCTCTTCCTCAGTGGACCAGACATTCAGTGGTCCAATGATTCCCTGGGGATTCCCCGAGTCTGGCTGTGAAGCAGGATGCAGATGCCTCTGCATCCATGCTCCTATAAAAATAGCACTCCACAGTCATCATCATAATTTCATTGTGAATCCCAACAGAGAGACAACAGAAACGACCCCTCAGGGATTTCTATGATGTGTGGGATGTAGCAGATGCCATGGGCCTAACCAGAAGCCCCTCCTGCCCACGTGTCTGGAGCACAGCCCACCCTCTACCATGAGGCCCAGAAGAGTAGCCCTACCAGCCCGCACTGCCTGCAGAGTTTTGGGCACAGGGCCAGCCCTGGCCAATAGCACTAATAGGAATTCTGCCATGGACTCCAAGGAAAAGATTTTTTTCCCTATTGATAAGGAATGGCTGAGTAGGAGAACTCTGTTTTTCTGCTGCATGGAAAGGCCGCAGTCTTCCTGCAACCACTGAGAGTGGCATCACAGCAGACAGCAGTGGCAGAGGGGAAAGATGAAAAACCAGTGGGGTCCCTGAGGACCTCTGGAGCGACCACATCAACTCTGGGACCACCCACACCTATGCTTTTGCTGTGGCATATCATACATACCCTTGTTCTTATAGCTGTTTTACTTTGGGTCTTCTTTGCTTTCAATCCAAAGCATCTTGAATTTGTTGTTGTTGTTCTTGTTGTTGTTGTTTAAATGTTTGTTTTCAAAGCCATCTTCCTGGTTGTTATTCCCTATTTCCCTGCTTGAGGAAGCCAGTGGAATGGGTTTCTCCTCTGCTCCCTCCCTGAGAGGATGACTCGAGCCCACTCCTTGCTTGTCCTCCTCCTGTCTGTCACAGAAGCTCAGGGCTCAAAGGAGTTAGATCAGAGCAATAGGTTTGAGCCAACCAGCACCCCCAAGCCTCAAGTGGTCATGTGCATCCCAATAAAAAGATCAGTGTAAAATAAAATCTGTCCATGTTCCCTTCCCATGCTTGTCATACAAATGCTTGTAGCCTGACTTCAGCAGAAACCATCCACACCCCAGGCCTTCTGAGTGTGGATGTTCCAGCTTTTTCCTGCCAAGACTCTGGCTGCCAAGACCCAAAGCTGTGCAGAGAGAATAGGCTGTCCCAGGAAGGAGGTTCCATGCTCTCTTCCATGGAGAGCTGAGTGTGGCTGATTGGCCTGGGCAATGGTGAAGCAAAGGGCCTCTGTGTAGTCCTTGTGATTGGTCCATAGACATTTAGAATTTCTCTCTAACTTGAGGACCAAGGTTCTATGGAGGCAGTAGCTTCAGTGAGTGGAACGGAGCAAAAAAAAGCATAAAAAATTATGTCACCTGGGAGGAGCACTGGCCCTAAGAAGACAAAGAGCTCTCTGTGGCAAAGGCTACCAGCCTGGACAGAAGCAGAGGAGGGGAGCAGGAGATGGCTAGGAGTGAAGGAGGAGCGTAGAAACCTCTCACTCTTGCCTGCTCCTCTCCACTTTTTCTCCCTTTCTCCTCCTCCAACTTTTGTTTTCCCACCTTTCTCACTTCCTCTCCAGCACTTTAACCTCTCATCTCTCCATTTGTTTCCTCTTCCCCTGTTGCTCCCTCCCTTTTGATGGCTTCATCCTTTCTCTCACCCCATGGATGAGATGTCCTGAGATGAAAGCCAGAAGATGATGCCATCAACAATCTGACCTTAGGCTTCTGCAGCTTCTGACAACTGTGGGCAGTTGGGGCTTTTATTATATTATTAAGCCCTGACATTGCAGTTGCTAGTTATAGACTAGTATTCAGAAACAGTGTGTGCAGAAGGATTTAAATTGAAGGTTGTCTGAGTTGCCAAAATATATAACAACCAGAGAGTGTGACATTAGCAACGTGGCAGAGTAAGAAGCCCTAGATCCTCCTTTCCTCCACAAACACACCGATTCAGAAATAATTCTGAAATTAGGAATTATTAAAATTATTCTTAAATAATTAA
Organism: Homo sapiens; assembly: GCF_000001405.40. Taxonomy (NCBI): domain Eukaryota; kingdom Metazoa; phylum Chordata; class Mammalia; order Primates; family Hominidae; genus Homo; species Homo sapiens. The sequence continues at coordinate 126,724,477 of NC_000002.12, forward strand.
ATTTTTTAAATTAATTTTTTTAATTAAAAACCATTATTCTTACATTATCAAAATTATTGAGCCTCACTGAAAGGCTCCTGCACCCCAAGAGAATGTGCAACCAGACTTATCAAAGCTTGTAAAAACTTTCAGGACACCCTGCACCAGAGATTCTGCCTCCAGAACAGGATCATATGATTAGAAAAGACCCCATTAGCTCCCAGCTTCTCCCAAAAAGGGCAAGGTTTGATTCACTGTTCAATGTCCCAACTTCCTCAGGAGGGTTTGCCAGAGAATTAACTTTGTCCTGCCAGTCTTGGGACATGAATAAGTCCACCACAGCCTCATAGCCTGAGGAACAGTGAAGATGGCAGCTTGGGCTGATAAAAAGCATAGCCCTCTTCCTTCTGGTTAAACACAGAGCTAGTGGGCATAAACCACAGCTGCCTGCTTCTCCTTGGGGGAGAGGAAGAGCTGATAAAAGCCCTCAGAATCTCTGACCCAGCTGATGGTTGGGAGTCTTCTGTACAGGGCCAGTCTGAGAGATCCTGCTTTGTCTAAGGCACAAATGTGAATACAGAGTCCAACACAATGAAGAACAGGCAAAGTGTTCCAAACAAAGAAATAAGAAATATCTCCAAAAACTAGTCCTAATAAAGCAGAATTATATGATTTACCTGACAGAGAATGTAAAATAGTTCTTTTAAAGATGTTCACCAAGAGAACAATGCATAAGCTAAGTGAGAATTTCAACAAAGAGACAGAAAATATTTTAAAGTACCAAATAGAAATTATGGAGTGGAAGAACACAATAACTGAATTGAAAAATCCACTGAAGAGTTCAATAGCAGACTATATCAAGCAGAAGAAAGAATCAGCCACTTGAAGACAAGTCACTAGAAATAATTCAGTCAGAGGAGAAGAAAAAGAATGAAAGAGAGTAAAGAAAGCTTAAGGGAATTGTGAGACACCATCGGGTGAACCAATACATGCATTGTGGAAGTTTCAGAAGGCAAAGAGACAGAAAGGATCGGAAAGCTCATTAAAAAAAATTAATGGCTGAAAACATCCCAAATCTGAGGAATGAGTTGGACCCACATCCAAGAATCCCAAAGAACACCAAAAAGTGAATCCAAATATATCCACACCAAGACACAGTGTATTCAAATTGCCAAAAGTCAAAAACAGAAAGTTTTGAAAGTAGAAAGAGAAAAGCAACTTGTCACATAAAAAGAAACTCTGATGAGACTATCAGTGAATTATTCAACAGAAACTTTGTAGGCCTGGAAACAATAGGACAATATATTCAAAGTGCTAAGAGAAAAAGACTGCCAACCAAGAACACTACACCCAGCAAAATTCTCCTTCAAAACTGAAGGAGAGACAAAGATGTTCACAGACAAACAAAAGCTGAGGGAGTTCTGTACCAGTAGACCTGCCATCCAAAAAATGCTAAAGAAATTTTTCAAGTTGAAATAGAATGATGCTAAAGAGCAATATGATATCATTAGAAAGTATAAAACTCATTGGTAAAGGTAAATATACAGAAATGTAAAATATTATATTACTGTAGTATAAAAGTGGGTGATTCACTTTTAATTCTAGTATGAAAGACAAAAGCACAGAAAGTAAACTAAAGCATGTTTAAATATTTACAGTATGAATAAATGTAAATCATGACCGCAGTAACATAAAGTGATCAGAGAATAAATTAAAGTGTATAGTTTCTATACGTAATTGAACTTAAGTTGTTATCAGCTTAAAATAGACTGTTATAGTTGAAGATAGTTTATATAAGCCCCAAGGTAATCACACAAATAAAAATAGCTGTGGAAGTTACACAAAACAAAAAAAGAAAGGAATTAAAGCATATCAATACAAAAAAAATTATCAAAACACAAGGGAAGACAGCAAGAGAAAAAAAGGCAGATAAAAGAACTACAAGACTAAGAGAAACAACTAACCAAAAAATAGCAATAGTAATTTTTTCTCTATCAATAATTACCTAAATTTAAATGGATGAAAATCATTACCAAAAGACATAGAGTCACTCAATAATTTTATTTAAAAAAAAAACTAATTATATGCTGTCTATGAAAAACTCACTTTAGATTTAAAGACACACATAGGCTCAATATAAAGAGATAAAAAGGTACTTCATGTAAATGGCAACCAAAAGAGAGAGGGGGTGGTTAGACTTATATCAGACAAAATAGACTTTAGTCAAAACTTCCACAAGAAACCAAGGGGAAATTTTGTCATTATAAAATGGTCACTTCACCCGGAAGATATAACAATCATAAATATATATACACCTAACATCGGAGCACTTAAATATATAAAGCAAACATTAATAGAACTGAAGGGAGAAACAGAAAGCAATGCAATAATAGTAGGAGACTTCAGTACCCCACTTTCAATAATGAATAGAGCATTTATACAGAAAATAAGGAAACAGAGGACTTGAGAAACATTACAAAGCAAATGAACCTAACAGATATATACAGAGCATTCCATCCAACAGCAACAAAATAAGCACCCCTCTCAAGTGCACACGGATCTTTCTCTAGGATAGATAACATGTTAGGTCATAAAACAAGTTCTAACAAATTTAGGAAGACTGAAATCATAGCAAGTGTTTTTTTTTCTAACCATAATAGAATGAAACTATAAATAAATAGTGAAAAGAGAACTGGAAAATTCACAAGTATGTGGAAATTAAAAAACATACTCTTGAACAACCACTGGGTTAAAAAAGAAATTTTTTAAAGGAATCAGAAAATACTTTAAGACAAACAAAAAATGGAAGCACAGCAGACCAAAATTTATGGAATGCAGCAAAACAGGACTAAGAGGGAAGTTCGTAGGGATAAATGCCAAATTGAAAAAGAAGAAATATCCCAAATAAGTAACCTAACTTTATACCTCAAATAGAAAAGAACAACTAAGCACAGAGTCAGCAGAAGGAAGGAAATAACAAAGATTCAAGCAGAAATAAATAAAATAAAAAATAGAAAAACAATTGGAAAAAAATCAATGAAATTGAGTTGTTTTTCTTTTGAAAAGAATAGAACAAAGTTAACAAACCCTTAACTGAACAAAGGAAAAAAGAGAGAGAAGACTCAAATAAAATGTTAAATGTAAGAAAAGACATTGTAGTTGATACCACAGAAACACAAAGCAACATAAGATACTACTATAAACAATTATATGCCAACAAATTGGAAAACCTAGAAGAAGTTGATAAATGTTTAGAAACTTGCAAACTACAAAAAACTAAATCATTAAAAATAGGAAATCTGAATAGACCTATAAATGATATGAAGATTGAGCCAGTAATCTAAAGTTTTCCAACAGAGAGAAGCCCAAGACTAGAAGGCTTCACTGGTGAATTCTACCAAACATTCAAAGAAGAATTAACACCAATCCTTCTTAAACTTTTCCAAGAAATTGAAGAGCAAGAATACTTCTAAATACTTTTTATGAGGATGGTATTACCCTGATATGAAAGCTAGATAAAGGCACCACAAGAAAAGAAAATAACAAGCCAGTATCTCTGATGTGTACAGATGCAAAAATCCTCAACAAAATACTAGTGAACTGAATTGAACAGCACAGTAAAAGGATCATATACCATGACCAAGTGGAATGTATCCCTGGAATGCAAAGATGGTTCAAAATGCAAAATTTAATTAATATAATACATAAACAGAATAAAAGATAAAAATCACACAATAATATGTATCATAGATGCAGAAAAAGTGCCTGACAAAATTTAACACCCTTTTATGATTTAAAAAACCTTTCAATGAGCTATGAATAAAAGAAAATTACTTCAATGTAATAAAGGGCCATGAATGAAAAACCTACAGCTGACATCACACTCAGTAGCAACCATCTTAAAGCTTTTCCTCCAAGATGAAAAACAAGGACAAGGATGCCCATTCTGCCCATTCTATTCAACATAGTACTAGAAGGCCTATCCAGAAAAATTAGGCAAGAAAAAGAAATAAAAGGCATTCAAATCACAAAGAAAGTAAAATTATCCCTCTTTGCAGATGACATATTATATATAGAAATTTCTAAAGACTTTATAGAAAAACTGTTAGAACAACTAAACAAATTCAATAAAGTTGGAGGATACAAAATAAATTTACAAAAATTCAGTTATGTTTCTGTACGCTAATAATGAACTATTTGGAAAGGAAATTAGGAAAATGAGTTTATTTATAATAGCGCTAAATGAATAAGATATCTAGGGATTAACTTAACTAAGGAAGAGAAAGACTTGAACATTGAAAACTACAAAATATTGGTAATAGAAATGAAAAAAATATTTAAAAATGGAAAGATAGCTTATGTTCATGTATCAGAAGACCTAATATTGTTAAAATGTCCAACTACCCAAAGTGATGTACAGATTCAAATCAATCCCTGTCAAAATCCCCTTGGTATTGGTTACAGAAATAGAAAAAACAATTCCAAAATAAATACGAAATAAAAAACCACGAATAGCCAGATCAGTTTTAAGTAAAAAAAAAGACCAAAGCTGGAGGCATCATACATTCTGATTTCAAGCATTGATGTTATGGACTCATCTGCCAGGATTTGATTCCAAGCTCCACGCTCAGCAGCTGTATGACCTCAGGTAACACACTTAACCTCTATACCTCAGTATACTGAAGATAAAATGGGCATGATGATGACATCAGGTTCATCAGCCAGTTGTGAGGCTGAAGGATGTAGCTAGAGAAAGGCTGGCACAAAACCAGGACTCATGATGTGCAGGCTACCCTCCTATCGCTTCTATGGTGAACTTCTCACAAACTGAGTATGCGATACCCCCAACACCTCATAAAACTCAAACGTGAAGGGGCTAAAGAAACTGGGCAAAGACCCAGGCAGTACCCCAGTCTCAGTCAAGGCATCTCGGACAGCAGGCTGGGAAAGAAGGCAGAGCCTCCAAAGAGCTCAGCAGGCAGAGGGGGCTCCATTGTCAAGGCCCAAGAGCTAGGTTTCCCTAGGAACCCTGCAGAGGCCACAGCTGAGCCAGAGGTCAGAGATAGATAGAGACCCAGGATTCTGAGAGGGGATGGTAACCCCAAGTCCTCGTCTTTGTCCCTAGCCAGCTGGACCAGCAAACCAGAGCTGAACAGGATGAGGTGTGAGGCCCAAAGGGCTCTCCTCTCATCGAGCTGTGACATGCTGTTTCCAACACACCAGGTACAGAAGGGGCCACCTGTAAAGGCTGAGATGGAGGTCTCAAGGGACAGAGCCCAAATTGACCCTGTGAGGGAGGAAAAGCCAGGCAGAATCCCTGGGGAAGGTTTGGAGACACCACTCCCCACTGGAGAGGTGTCAGACCTGTACTGTGAAAACTGGGGATATGAGAAGCCCATAGAAGCAGGGAGGGGATGCAGGCAAGACCTCCTGTCATCCCTCTGCATGGCTCAGCCACAGAAGAGGCTGCACTCACCCCAGCAGAGAAACCTCCAAGATAGGGCAGGAACAGGGGAGAATCTGTCCATTGCTCACTCAAGCCACAGACTCCCTGGAACGGAGAGCCAGCTCCTGAAATCACCATGGTGAGAGTGTCCACACTCCAGTATCAGCACATGCTGCAGATCAGGGCTGCTTTTCTGCAGATGCCATTGCTCTGCTCAGTAGTACCAGTACACCCCTGATTGTAGCACAGCGTGGTCAGTGCTGAAGGCGGGAAAGTGAACAGTCTGACCCGACCTGGGATCAGCACAGGCAGTGCAGGGGAGCAGTCATGTAGTACCCCAGAACCCTGCATGGGGGCCAGTGGGCAGAGGTGCATTCCAGGCAGTATGTGTACCGTGGACAAAGCCAAGAGGTAAGAATCGTCCCATCCAGCTCCAGCGCAGGTGCCCTGGGACCCTCACTGAGCAACAGAGACACTTGGATGATTCACTAGGAACCAGCCTCCTCTGGGCTCCAGGGTTACGGCAGCCTCTGATGGAGTCGGCTGGACCCAGGGCCCACCACAGACTGAATCTCCCATGCAAGGTGCCTAGAAGAGGAGTTCACGCTCCTCTCCAGTGCCCCCGTAAGCCCGCTGACTTTCACAAGCCCTTGTCATGCTTGGACATGAGACATTTATTGAAGTTAGATGACAGTCAGGAGAGCTCTCTGGTTCCTCTCTAGCGGTAAATAAATGTCACAGGGAAATGCCCTGACACTGTCCCTGGTAAGGAGGAAATGTGAGAAACCCAGAGAGAGCCCTGGAAAACCGCCTGCAAGAGGCCCTGATGGGCAGAACCCGATCATCCTGCACTGTGGGGCTGGGGCTTCCTGCACTGCTGTGTGGGTGGTGATGGTCACAAACCTTCCAGCTCACCTGAAAAATGACAAGGTAGATCCTAACCAGGGTTCTCAAACCTGGCTGCCCATCAAAATCTCCCCAGATGAGGCTTGTGAATGGAGGGCTCAGACTGGCACACCTCAGGGTCGCTAAAGAGGGACGACCCCTCAGCACGTGCTTCTGATGCCAGATAACAGCACTAATCACAGCATCTCCTGTGATGGGTCCTTGCCAAATTAAAACTGGTCCAAACAGCCTCCAGATCTGACTCCCAATTTTTAAGAAATGTGGGGGATAGAATAACAAGTTAAATTATACCACAAAGATGCAATTGGCCAGACCTAGTACGTGGGACATTCTACAAAACAAATAACCCACTTTTTTCAGCGAATAAAGAAAAAGAGGAGGAGAAGGGAAGTGCTCATGGTGAGCCACTGGTTCTCAGTAAAGGCTTAACTGCACCCTTTTTCTTTCCAATGTTGAATACATAACCAAAATCCACTTATCTCTACTTCACAGACCACTCTCTTTTTTCCCTTTGTCCAGAGCTTTCTCTCTGGTAATTAGTTGTTATTTCATAATGCAGTCTTAATAGTTCAATAAAAGCACACAGAAGGGGCATTCAGTGATTCAGTGGGGGTGGAATGTGGTGGTCCTTGGTGAAGTCCCCTGTCTGCCATGGGCCAGCTGCCGCTGAGCTTGTCTGAGCCGGGATGGTCACAGGGGAGCTGTCACCAATGCAACAGGGATCCTTGGGTACAGGGGGCTGCCTCGGTGGGGAGGGGCTCACAGAACCAGTTTGGAAAGGTCCAGATTCCACAATGGGAGGTTCACGGGGTGAAGTCAGGCCAGCACAGTGAGGGGCTGCTTGAGAATAGGAACCAGGAGAAGCCACCACAGCAAGCCGGAGGAGAGGCCTGTGCCCAGGTAAGAGAGCAAGGCCACCTCAGCATGCAGCAGAACAGGGGTTGCAAAAACATTCTCAGAGAAGAGCCCAAAAAGATGCAGCAGCAGCAGCAGCAGCAGCAGCAGGCAGTGAGGCAGAGGCGAGAGGAAGCTGAGACAGTTCCCACAGGCCCAGTCCAATGTCCTGGGCCCCAGAGCCACCCTGGGCTGCTCTCAGGCCATGAAAACCCTGATAGCCCCAGCCCTGAGTCCTCTGCTTTCCACCTTCACAGCCCCAAGGGAAAGATGCCTGCCATTGTCACCCTCCCTGCCACCCCAACCCAAGTATTGTCTCCCCTGGATCAGCTCAGCCCTAGCCCTGCCTGCAAAAGAAGGAAGGGCAGGCTGGGCATGGTGGCTCACACCTGTAATCCAAGCACTTTGGGAGGCCGAGGCAAGTGGATCACCTGAGTTCGAGACCAGCCTGGCCAACAGGGCGAAACCCCGTCTCTACTAAAAATACAAAAATTAGCCAGGCGTGGTGGTGGGTGCCTGTAATCCCAGCTACTCGGGAGACTGAGGCAGGAGAATTGCTTGAATCTGGGAGGCTGTGGTTGCAGTGAGCCAAGATCGCACCAGTGCACTCCAGCTTGGGTGACAGAGTGAGACACCATCTCAAGAAAAAAGAAAAAGAAGAAGGAAGGGCAGTGTGTGTGCGTGGTGATGGGAGGGGAGCCAAATGTGTGGGAGACCAGGCACCATGGTTCATTCCCACACCAGTGGGAGCAGAATAGGGTGCAAGGGCAAGGAGGGTCATTGAGGATTTGGGTGGCATGACAGGTGGTGAAAGCAATCTCTCCTCATGCACCCTCTCTGTGCCAGACCCGTGAATGTCCAGTAGATCTAGTATGCCCAACAGCAACTTCACTGAATGACAGAAATTAAAGACAAGGACTCTGAAGTCCAAAGAGGTGCAGTAATTTGCCCAAAGTCCCAGAGAACTCTCGATCTCACTCATTCTGATCCATAGACATTCTCTTTTTCATCACAGCACACTCGGCAAGGCAGCCAGGGCTCAGGTGGGTGGGACTGTCTACACGGGGGCTGCTTGTTCCAATAACTTAAGGGAGGAAGAGAGGCTGGTGAGCATCAGGGATATTTAGGATTTGACCGAGAAGTGATGCAATCTGCTCACCCTCTTCCCAGTGAGGTCGGGGGAGCCCACAGCTGAGAAAATGTGGGGCAGGGGTGGGTGGAAACTCTTAGGGAGGATAGTGAGGTGTATAGTCCTAAGGGAGAAGCCAGTCAGAAAAGGGAGGTCCCAGTGAAGAAGGAAGCCAGGCGATGGGCTGACAGGAAGCAGTGCTCTGGGAGTGTGAGGAGGCACCAGCAGGTCCAGGAAGGAGGAGGAAGACTTTCAAAGATGAAGCAGCCAGCACCTCCAAGAGGCCCTGCAGACGTGGAGCACCCAGGGCAGACATACGGCTCTGCAGGTCCTGGAGGGGACTCCTGCTTGGGGAGGGGGCTGCAGAGGCCAGCAGGACAGACATTGGTGTTTGTAAGAGATAGAAAGCTGCCATGGCACCCAGGGGAAGGGGGCCGAAGAGGTGAGTGCAGTTGCTCAGGACCTGGAGCAAAAGTCCTGCTTCTGTGAGGGCAGGGAGGAGGGGGCAGGCAGCAGAGTCCCACAGAAGGAGAGTTGAGCCTTGGTAAAGCAGTTGATGGTGTCCCTAAGTCCCACCTAAAATCCCCTCAATTCACCCAGCTCTTCAATCATCCCACACACATACTATGTGCCAGAGTCTGTGATGGGCACTGGCTGAAGAGATGAGCAGGAAACCGTCCACCCCTCAGGGCCGTCTGATGGGGAAGATGGGTGGACCATCATGGATGGGAGTCATGGCAAAGTCATGGCACAGAGCTTGCTAAGACCCTGCCCAGCCAGGCCTCTGGGAGGAGGATACAGCTGCACCCCCAGGGACGTGGAGCCCAGTGGTGACTGTCTGCAGGGAGCCTAGGGAGCCTGAGAGAGGGACAGAAAATGACGCCAGGACAGGCATTCTGGGGCAGGCTTTAGGTGCTATTTTGTGAAGTCATTTTAACCAGGCCATGGTTAGGAAGGGATTATTATTTCATTTATATATCAAGAAAACTAAAGCTTACTGCAATGGTAAATTTTATGTCAACTTGGCTTGGCCATCATGCCCAGATATTATTCTGGATGTTTCTGTAAAGGTGATTTTTGGGAGAGATTAACGTTGAAATCCATGGGCTTTGAGTAAAGCAGATTGCCATCCACAAAGCAGGTGGGCCACATCTAATCAGTTGAAGGACTTAATTGAACAAAGATGGACCAAGCAAGAAGGAATTCTGCCAGCAGATATTTCTGGACTCAAACTGCAACTCCTCCTTGGGTCTCTGGCCTTCTGGCCTAACCTAACCTGCAGATTTCAGATTTACCAAGCCTCTGCAATCACATGAGACAATCCCTTAAAATCTCTCTCTCTCTCTCTCTCTCCACACACACACACAAACACATGCAAACACACCCTGTTGCTTCTGTGCTTAAGTTCTATGCCCAAAGACATGCCAATTGTATGAGGCTAGCAGATTTGAATCTAGGACAGCTGAAACCCCCCTAGCTGCCCTGGTCCACAGTAAACTTCACACTGATCCTTCAAGAAAGGAGAAAGAGGAAAGAAAGAAAGAAAATATCAGAAATTTAATCTATTTAGTCAACATAATTGATTGTCCTTTATTCTGAGAAATTGTTTTCCTTCTCTCAGTGTCAAAATGGACTTTTCTTGGAGAAATGATAAGTTCTGATTAGCAATTGTTGACTTTTACAATTTCTTAATTTGGGAAATTAACAGATGAAATTCCTTTCAATATATCAACTTTTAAAAATGTCACCGGCATCTCAAAAAACGCAAAGTCTAGGATCCCACTTCCAGGTGGCATGCTTGCTTGGACAAATGCACCTGACTTGAGGCTGTGAGTATTTCAGCAGCAGAGATGGCAGGGTGCAGGGACACAGGTCCACGCCAGTCCCAGCGGAGGGGGACAGCATTTGTGCCCGAGGAGGAAGCAAGCAGCAGAGGCCTGGGGGCTGTGGAAGAGGGGGAGCTGGCTACCCAGGAAGCCTCACCTACCTCTGTAACTCTGCTCCCATCTCCTCAACCAGTGCTGTGTATTCTGCTGCATAGCCCGTGTGCTGCAACTGAACAAAACTCAATTGCCTAGATTAACTTGGCACTTCGATAATGCACTTAACCTCTGAGCCCCAGATATTTAGTAAGACTAATGGCACCACCACTGGGCTTCTTTATTTTACAGAATTTCTCCTCTCTGCCTGTGCCTTGGGTTGCTGCTCATAAAGGCCTCCCTGCAGCCTTTCTCCAGCCTTGTAGTCATAACCATCACCTTCTGTTTCATCTCCTGAGATATTCAAGCCTTGCTCCTTCAGGGTCTCGGGACTCCTGCAGCTTCAGGATCCCTAAACATTATATATATATATATATATATAATCTCACACTCATAACCTGTTCCAGTTTCGAGGACTTCTTCTCTGGCCAGCAGTGTGGTCTTTGGACTAAGGGCCAGCTATGGGGTCCAGCCATATGGACCAGCTGTGTGACTCCTGCAGGTCTTAATAGTTCAAATGTAGATCAAAACACTTTCTCTTTTAATGTCAAATATGGCCAAGTGGAAGCCAAATAATACAAAGTGTTTCTCTGATTCAAAACTTCTTTTCTCTTTTAATTTTACTGGTGGAAATATTCCCACACCACCCTGTCTTCTAGCATCCTAAATCCAACTGAACATACCACTATGGATGGGGATAGTCTCTGGTTTACCATGACTGTGCTGTGCTGCCCCTGGACATTTTGGGGACAGAGGGGACACTCTGGCTCCTCTAAAGGGACTTAGACTGAGTGTTCCCTTTCTTTCTCAGTAACTTTTCTTTCTTTTCTTTTCTTTTTTTTTTTTTTTGAGATGGAGTCTCGCCCTGTCACCCATGTTGGAGTGCAATGGTGTGATCTCGGCTCACTGCAATCTCCACCTCCACCTCCTAGGTTCAAGCAATTCTCCTGCCTCAGCCTCCCAAGTAGCTGGGACTACAGGTGCACACCACCGCGCCTGATACTTTTGTATTTTTAGTTGAGACGCAGTTTCACCATGTTGGCCAGGCTGGTCTCAAACTCCTGCCCTTGTGATCTGCCCGCCTTGGCCTCCCAAAGTGCTGGGATTACAGGTGTGAGCCACTGCGCCCAGCCTCTCAGCAGCTTTTCTTTTGACCTTGGCCCACCTAGCGAATCAGGGCAACCTGGAGGTGGGGTTTGGATCCAAAGTGTTATACAGAAGGAATGTGAGTTCAGAGCGTGGCACAGACACAAGACCTGAAGGGCAATACAGGTGGGGATGCCACATGGAGCCTGATGGGTGAAAGCACCAGGGAACCATCAAGGCAGGTGGAATGAAAGCCCGAGGACAATCTGAGGTCAGGGGGCTGCAGCAGCTTTTTAACATTTCCCACTCCGACCACCTTGGGTGAGTTGAGTGCATTGTAAAAGCAGAGACAGGGGCATGGGTGTCTTTCTGTTGTTCTTTTCCTTTTTGCTAACCCTCGGGTACACATACCCACTGTTGTCTGCATGTCTGTGAAGGGCAGTCCTCCTCGCCACAATGACCACAACCACCACTACCACCATGACCGCATATGCCTTCCATGAATCTGCTATGACCTGGAGACAAAAGAAATAGAAACTTCTTATCTAACTTGGGATAAAATAGGAATAACTGAGCTGAAATGAGAACCTTGGAGACTTAACAAACCTCAAGTACCTAAATTTTCCTGCATGGCCCTTATACCAGCAGTTTGACTGCTGCAAGCCTGTGGTTTCAACTGGAAGCCCTTCTCACATCCCGTCACCACTTAGAGAAAGCATTTACAACCGTAATAACAACAGCTGTTTATTGCACACTTACCACAGGCTAGGCTCTTGGCCAGCCCACAGTATACACAACATTTAACTCCTTTCAGTGGCCCTGAGAGATTGGGCAGGTTAACTCCATGGAATATGATGATGCAACCTTGAGGCAGTTATGAACTTTGCTCGGGCCCCACAGCCAGTTAGTGATGGAGTCAGGATTCAGTATAAGGACTTTCTGGCTGCAAAGCCCTTTAATGTTTTTCCCAATACTTCCTGTGACCTGCACATGCCTGTAAGAGCCGCAAAAAGCCTTACAGAGACAACTGGGGGATTGAGGTTCTTGCCACACTTCCAATTAAAGCACACTTCATCTGAGGAAATTAGCTTCATCCACTGCATAGATAGATAGATAGATAGATAGATAGATAGATAGATAGATAGATAGATAGATAATAGAAGATGATAGATAAATAGATGATAGACAGATGATAGATAGATGATAGAATATGATAGATATTATGATAGATAGATGATAGATAGATAGATAGATAGATGATAGATAGATGATAGAGATAGATAGATAGATGATAGAATATGATAGATAGATAGATAGATGATATAAGATAGACAGATTGATAGATACATAGATACATAGATGATGATGATAGATAGATAGATAGATTAGATAGATAGATAGATAGATGATAGAAGAGGATAGAAAGATAGATAGTAGATAGGCTGATTGATAGATACATAGATGATAGATAGATTGATGATAGTAGATAGATACATTGATAATACATAGATAGATAGATAGACAGATGATAGATAGATAGAAGATGAAAGATGATAGAAAGATAGAAGATTGATTCATAGATACATAGATGATAGATACATAGATGACAGATAGATGATAGATAGATAGATAGATGATAGATAGATAGATAGATGATACATAGATAGATAGACAGACAGATAGATAGATGGGAATGGAAACTTGTTTTGGAAGACTGTTTAGCATTATTTACCGAAGCTGAACATAAGCATCCCACTTGTAAGTATTTTCCCAACAGAAATGTGTATCTATATGCACCAAATGATGTATTCGAATGTGTTCATTCCAGACAATCTGTAGTATCTTTAAACTTGGAGCAACAAGATTTCCACCAACAGGAGAATGGATGTTTAAATAGTGTGTGTTCATGCCATGGAATGCTGCTAGCTCCCTGCAGCAGTGTAGCAGGGCCTCCTGCAGAGGACATGGAGCCATAAGCCGAAGTCAGGACCCTAATCTTCCTATATTGCTCCACCTTTGCACCGTGTGTCTTCCCACAAGCATGAGACCTCCTTAGGGATGGAAATGGCCTCTATTTTTCTCATTTTTACTCCAGACTCACTCAGGTGCCATCAACTTTGGGAATACTCCCTGGCTTAGTTAACTGTTGCCTTTCTATGTCTCCAATATATTTCATCTTTCTACTTTCTTTATTAGACAGTGATAAACTTGTCTTATTACTTGTCTGCTTCTTTTTTGAAGCAGAGTCTTACTCTGTCACCCAGGCTGGAGTGCAGTGGCCAGATCTTGGCTCACTGCAACCTCTACCTCCCAGATTCGAGCAATTCTCCGGCCTCAGCCTCCCAAGTAGCTGGGACTACAGGTGCCTGCCACCATGCTGGGCTAATTTTTTTTACTTTTAGTAGAGATAGGTTTCACTATGTTGGCCAGGCTGGTCTCGAACTCCTGACCTCAGGTGATCCGCCCACTTTGGCCTCCCAGAGTGCTGGGATTACAGGCACGAGCCACCATGCCCAGCCCTACTTATCTGCTTCTTAAGGGCTGGAATTAAGTCTTTTATCTCTGTAATGTTTGGGCCTACAGGATCCGACCCTAGGGAAGAGCTCAATAGCTGTTTGTTGCATGGATGATGATGAGTGGTAAAACCAGTCCAGTGCCTGGAAAAGGAGTATGGGAGCTAAAAAGGAATCTAAGAAGGAAGCAGACATCATCAATAAGAGAGGTCTTACAACATTCAGAGATTGGCCCTCTGAGGAAAGAAATTGCAGCTGAGGCCGGGCGCTGTGGCTCACGCCTGTAATCCCAGCACTTTGGGAGGCCAAAGTGGGCGGATCACCTGAGATCAGGAATTCGAGATCAGCCTGGCCAACGTGGTGAAACCTCGTCTCTACTAAAAATACAAAAATTAGCCAGACGTGATGGTGGGCACCTGCAGTCCCAGCTACTCGGGAGGCTGAGGCAGGAGAATCGCTTGAAACTGGAAGGCGGAGGTTGCAGTGAGCCAAGATCGCGCCACTGTACTCCAGCCTGGGCAACAAGAGTGAAACTCCATCTCAAAAAACAACAACAACAAAGAAATTGCAGCTAAATGACTAAACTTGTTCTTGCCTTGGCTGTACTCTCACTGGTCCCACTGCCACCCTCACATAGACGCCAAGGGACCTCCTTTGACACACTGTCCCCACGAAGTTCACAAGCTGGTATTTTGGAAGGTGGGCCCAATTGGTAAAGAAAGGAACTCTACAAATTTTACTAAATCATCAGGGAAAAGAAGAAAGCTAAACACAGTTTTCTCTGAACAAAAATACAGCTTGGCTCACATAACACAGGCCATCTGGTCACATTCAAGTGAGCACATTCTCCAAAGCTCCCAAACCTGTACTAGACCATATTGGACACCAAAGATAAGAAGTTTGGCTTGGATTTCCTGGATCACAGTTATCTTTTGCTGCATAACCAACCAACTCAAAACTTGGTGTCTTAAGGCAAAAACTATTTTTCATTTGCTCAAAATTCTGTGAGTCAGACATTTGGCCCAGGTTCCAGCGGGAGGTCCTTCTGCTTGTCTTGTCTGAAGTCACATATATGACAGTGGTCACCAAGTGACTTAAATAAAGCCAGATGGTCAAAGATGCCTTCAGTCACATGTCTGATGTTAGCACTAACTAGGGGTTGCTAATTTAGGGAATCTTAGCTGGGAAGGATCGTCTCTGTTCAATGTGGACTTCATCCTGTAGGAAACTCGATCAGCCCTTTTCCACATGATGATCCCAGAGAAGTATGCCAAAAGAATGAGAGCGGAAGCTGTAAAGCCTCTCAAGGCCTAGGCTCAGAAGTTACACATCACTTCTTCCATATTCTTTTGGTCCAGGTAATTCACATGGCCAAGCCTGTAGTCGGTGTTGGAGGACACTGCTTGCATATAGGAAAGGGCACGATGGCAGCCACATCGCAAGTAATCTACAGGAGGCATTGCTTGCCTGCTCTGCAAACCCAGCCCCAGGCTGCTTCCACGAAATGGATACCATCTTTAATGTCCACCACCCAAGAAAATGCTGAACCCTTGGCAATTGTCAGTAACTGAGAGGAAAAGACCAGGAAGTACAAATGTGGTGGTAGAAATGAGGAGTTTGTCACGCCTGTAGTCCCAGCACTGTGGGAGGCTGAGGCAGGCTGATCATCTGAAGTCAGGAGTTCGAGACTAGCCCGGCCGACATGGTGAAACCCTGTCTCTACTAAAAATACAAAAATTAGCCGGGCATGGTGGCACACGCCTGTAGTCTCAGCTACTCAGGAGGCTGAGGCAGGAGAATTGCTTGAACCCAGGAGGCAGAGGTTGCAGGAGGTTGCAGTGAGCCAAGATCACACTACTGCACCCCAGCCTGGGCTACAAGCGGGACTCCGTCTCAAAAAAAAAATAATAATAATAATAAAAAATAAGGAGTTTGGATTAAGGCCCACTAAATTCCAGATGCAATCAATGTGGAGATTCAATCAGGCATATATGAATCTATAATTAAGAGAGAGGTCCTAGAAGGATATAAACATTTGTGAGTCAACATTACATAGATAATGTTTAAAGACAAAGGACTAGATAAAGTCACAAGAGTGTGAGCATACATAGAAAAGTGAAGCAGTTGTAAGATTAAGCCCTGGAGCACTCTTGCAATAAGAGATCAGAGAATTAAGGAGAAATCAGCAATAAAAACTGAGAAAGAGTGGTTTATGATGTTGGAGAAAAAAAAAGAATAGTGTTGTATCTTAGAAGCTGCACACAGAAAATATATCCAGAAGTAGTATATCATTTTGTCAAATACCACTTATAAGTCAAACAAGGACCAGGAATTTAATTTTTGGATGGTAAAAATCTGCCCCCAAATCTAGGTGACGTTTGGTTTGATTATTAGTTTTTAGATACAATACCAAAAGTACAATCCACGAAGTTTAAAAAGTAGAAATTTGGACTTTATTAAATTGAAAAGCTTCTGCTCAGTGAAAGACAACGTTAACAGAATCAAAAGGCAAGCCACAGGCTAAGGGGAAATATTTGCAAAACACATACCACATAAAAGACTTGTCTCCAAAATATACAAAGAACGCTTAAAATGCAACCAATTAAAACAACTCAATCAAAAAATGGGAAAAATATCTGAACAGATATCTCACTACAGAAAATATATAGATGGCAAATAAGCATATGAAAAAGTGCTCAATATCATTTTATCATTAGGGAAATGCGAGTTAAAACAATGAGATTCCACTACACACCCATTAGAATGGTTAACACTCACAAACGTAACTACTCACTTATTGCTTCGGGAATGCAGCATGGTAGAGTTACCTTGGAAGGTGGTTTAACAGTTTCTTAGAAAGCCGAACATAGTTTTACCCCATAATCCAGAAACTGCATGATTTGGTTTGGCTGTGCTCCCAACCCAAACCTCATCTTGAACTGTAGCTCCCATAATTCCCATGTGCTGTGGGAGGAACTCTGTGGGAGAAAATCAAGTCATGGGGGTGGTTTCCCCCATACTGTTCTCATGGTAGTGAATAAGTCTCACCAGATCTGATGCTTTTATGAGGGGAAACACTATTGCTTGGCTCTCATTCTCTCTTGTCTGCCATCATGTAAGACGTGCCTTTTGCCTTCCACCATGATTGCGAGGCCGCCCCAGCCACATGGAATTGTGAGTCCATTAAACCTCTTTTTCTTTATAAATTACCCAGGCTCACATATGTCTTTATCAGCAGCATGAAAATGGACTAATACACTGCATTTGTAGATATTTACCAATTGAGTTGGAAACTTACGATGACATAAAAGCCTGCTTGTGAATGTTTATAGCAGCTTTGTTCATAATGACCAAAAACTTGAAGTAAACAAAATGTTCTTTGATAGGTGAATGAATAAACAAACTATGGTACATTCATATGATAAAAAATTTATTCAACAATAAAAAGAAATGAGATATTAAACTGTAAAAGACATGGATGAATCTTAAATACATATTGATAAGTGAAAGAAGCCAGTTCTGAAAAAGCAGTATACTCTATCATTCCAATCATATGACATTGACAAAAAGATCAGTGGTAGCCGGGGAGAGGAGATGGTCGAACAGGTGAAACATGGAAGATATTTTAGAGCAGTGAAATGTTTTCTATGAAGCTGAAATGGTGGATATGTCCCATTAAGCATTTGTCAAAACCAATAGAACTTTAGAGCACACAGAGTGAATCCTTATTGCATGCAAATGTTTTTGATAATCATTTTATCAAAATAATTTTGATAAAATGGCTGAGGGACACTGGACTGCAAATGCAAGCCATGGCAAAAGAATCTGACTTACAAATGTATGAAACAACCTCGTTGAAGGAAATGGGAAGAAAAGGGACTGACCTAAGTAACTTTGGAAATGAGTGGAGTCTGTAAGACTAAAGATGAAAGAAATTGTACATAAATGCTACCTGATAACGTTTTCTCACAATGGGGCACTGGTTAATAATTCTGTATCACAGCCAGAAGTGGTGGCTCACGCCTGTAATCCCAGCACTTTGGGAGGCCAAGGCTGGCAGATTACCTGAGGTCAGGAGTTCGAGACCAGCCTGGCCCACATGGTGAAACCCCATCTCTACTAAAAATACAAAAATTAGTCAGATGTGTTGGTGCACACCTGTAATCCCAGCTACTCAGGAGGCTGAGGCAGGAGAATCACTTGAACCCGGTAGGCGGAGGTTGCAGTGAGCCAAGATTGTGCCACTGCACTCTAGCCTGGGTGACAGAGTAAGACTCCATCTCAAATAATAATAATAATAATAATTCTGATAATCACTGCACACATCTATTGGAATTGAACAATTAAGTAAAAGAATGGGAGATGGTGGGAGCTAGGTTTCTCACAGTTGGAGTGGGAGTTTAAAGATAAGTAAGAGAAGGAGACTAGAATTATTTATATGATAATGGATTAGAGTCAGATAATCAGTAAGAACTCATGTTAGCTTAGTATATGTAGAGATGGTTACATATAGAAATAGGAATAGATATGTATACATACACAGGTTAATATACATTTAAAGCAGTGACGTCCCAGTAGCAATTAGCACACCTAGTGCCCAGAGTATGGTTTCTACCATCATATTACAATAAAGGAACGCAGAGATCTTTGGATAAATGGCTGATTCTAGGACTAGGACAGGAACATCCTGTAGCATCCAAAACATCTTATAGGACTAGAAAGTAAGAAAGTGCTCAAAAAAAAAAAATGATAGGGGGATGTCAAACATCAACAGTGATAAGTCATATTGATAGCATATACCCTTGATATGATGTGTGAAAATCACACTTTTCTTCTATGTCCTTCCCTCCCCAAACCCATAACTCCAGTCTAGTCATGAGAGAAACATCACACACATCCCAATTGAGAGACGTTTCACAAAATATATAACCAGTACTCCTCAAAACTGTCAATAGGATCAAAACAAGGAAAGCGTGAAACTCCAGATACAGTGACATTGCACTAGATGTAATTGGTGTCCCAGGCCGGGCATGGTGGCTCGCGCCTCTAATCCCAGCATTTTGGGTGGACCACTGGAGGTCAGGAATTTGAGACCAGCCTGACCAACATGGTGAAACCCCCACCTCTACTAAAAATACAAAAATTAGCTGGGCGTGGTGGTGCATGCCTGTAATCCCAGATACTCAGGAGGCTGAGGCAGGAGAATTGTTTGAATCCGGGAGACAGAGGTTGCAGTGAGCCGAGATTATGCCATTGCACTCCAGCCTGTGCAACAGAGCGAGACTCCATCTCAGAAAAAAAAAAAAAAAAGAAAGATGTAATTGGTATTCCAGATGGGATCCTGGAACAGAAAAAGAACTTTAGGTAAAAAGTAAGAAAATCTGAATAACAAACATTGAATCAAGAGAGACAACTTCAAATGGTAGAACAACGTTGTTGCATTTCTACTTGTCGGCCCTACACCCTCTCCAACTTGGTGGCAGTCTTGAATATAGCAGCCCATATTCCCAGCATGGGCCCCTCAAGTCCCTAGTTCAGAGAGCAGAGCAGGTCTTAATTCTAAATTCGTGTTTGGATGCTCAAAACATTACAAGTCAAATGAGAAATCTGCATCCTCTGGGGGTGAAAGAGTTGAGATATAGAGTAGAACCTCTAAAGTCAGAGAGGAAAAGCTGCAGAGCTTCTTTGAGAAATTGGAACATTCAAAAACACCTGTGTATGCTATGGAATTTAGAAAGCCATTTGCATGCCTGGAACAAGATGCATCTCAGAAAAAGCCTGAGAAGATCCTAAGCTTTCACCGCTGGCTGATCTCTAAGACAAGCAGGATGTGAAGGCTAAGGCAGAGGAGTAAACAGCCTGGCTAACCAGTACCACAGCACAAAGCCAACCTGCAAAAAAAAAAAAAAAAAAAAACAACAACAGAGTGGTGGGGTCTCGTTGTTGTTGTTTTCATTTTTGTTTTGGATCTTCTTTGTTTTGTTTTTAACCACTGATACTCGAAAAAATATCTTTCAAAATCCTAACTGAACACCAGCTCAAGGAACAGACTTCAGAGACCACACGTGACAAAAAAAAAAAAACAAAAAACAGTGTTTGCAAAACATCTGGAAAAGTCACTAAACAAATGGACAACTGCAGCCTTCAACAATTAAAAACAGCAAACTCTAGTGAAGGGGAAAATCAGATTTCCAGAGATGCCACCTTATAATACCCAAATGTCCAACTTTTAACAAGAAATCACCAGGTCTAATAAACTTATGCTATTAGGCAAACAGTATGTAAAGATGTAATTTCTGATAACAACAACATAAAGTGGGGATAGAGTTGTAGGGGAGCAGAATTTCTGCTGTTGAGGCCGGTTGGTGGTATTTGTCCTGGAAGCCCTAACAGACTAATACAATCTGAAACCAACAAAGAGACTGAATCAGCAATAAAAACAATCTCCTAGACTGCTGACAAGGATGCGGAGAAATTGGAACCTTCATTCATTACCGATGGGAATAAAATGGCTCAGCCACTGCAGAAAACAGCTTAACCTTCCCTGAAAAAATGAAACATTGAATGACCTGTGATCCCAAAATTCCACTCCTAGGCATATTCCCCAAAGAACTGAAAACAGATACCCAAACTAGTACATATGTCAGTTTGTTCATATAAGCACTATTCACATGGCCAAAAGGTGGAACGAGCCCAAATGTCCATGATAAACAAACCATGGTATATATGTACAAAAGAACACTATTCAGCCATAAACCTGTACTGATACTACAACACTGATAAGCATTGAAAACGCTATGTAAGTGAAAGCCAGACACAGGCTATATTGGGGAAAACTGCTTAAGGGTAACAAATTTTCCTTTGAAGTGATAGAAATGTTGTAGAACTCAATAGATGTGGTATTTAAACAACACTGTAAATGTAGTGAATGCCAAATGGCTAATTTTATGTTATCTGAATTCCACCTCTTTTTTTAATTTTATTTTATTTGAGACAGAGTCTCACACTGTCACCCAGGCTGGAGTGCAGTGGCATGATCTCGGCTCACTGCAACCTCCACCTCCCGGGTTCAATTGATTCTCCTGCCTCAGCATCCCGAGTAGCTGGGACTACAGGCACACACCACCATGCCCGGCTAATTTTCGTATTTTCAGTAGAGATGGGGTTTCACCATGTTGGCCAGGCTGGTCTGAAATTCCTGACCTCAGGTGATCTGCCCCTCTTGGCCTCCCAAACTGCTGGGATTACAGGGGTGAGCCACCATGCCCAGCCACCTCAATTTTTTTAAAGGGCAACATGAGAGATCCTTGTGCTGACCTGTTCTGTATCTTGACTGCAGTGGTAGGA
This sequence comes from Homo sapiens, assembly GCF_000001405.40. Classification (NCBI taxonomy): domain Eukaryota; kingdom Metazoa; phylum Chordata; class Mammalia; order Primates; family Hominidae; genus Homo; species Homo sapiens. Next base: position 126,745,756 of record NC_000002.12, read on the forward strand.
ACGTGGACCTACACATGAGACGGCATTGTACAGAACTAGATGCACACAAACACACCTTCACACACACATGCGCACACACACGCGCACACACACATGAGTGCAATAAAACTAGGAAAACCTAAATAAGGCTTGTGGGTTGCATCAGCGTCAGTGTCCTGGTTATATTGCGCTATAGTTTTCCAAGATGTTGCTTTAGAGTCAATTGTGTAAGGGGCACACAGGACCTCTCTGTATTACTTCTTAAGCTGCATGTAAAGTTACAGAAACTCAGAGGGATGGCCTGGCCACCATATTTCTCACCATAAAAGGCCAGATGTGCCTCTTTCTGAAGGGGTCTCCAGGAATTTCAAAAGGCCTCCTCTCTGATTCACCACCAACTATGCTGGTGCCTGTTCATTTGATACTGTGACCATTTTTCCTCAAGTTGCCTGATTTTACATTTTTCCCTATGCCTAGGGCTGAACCTGGGTTCAAAACATTATTTCCTTTTTCAGAACCAAGTATTTTAATGAAATTCAATATTGCAGCTTCGTAGTGCCCATCTCGGCTGGAGTGACAGCTCATCAGCCACGTGCATGCTTGGTGTTTCCACAGGGGAAGAAGGAATGCAATTTTCTTATATTGTCTCAATTCCCCACCTAGGGAAAAATAAAGTAGCAAGGGGCATCCATTTTTAGGCATAAATCTCTTTTTTTAAGGAGAAGTGAAGGAAGGCTGGCGATGCAGCGGCTGGCTCTGCCTGCCTGGCTCCCACTCTGCTATGGAAAGACTGCTCACGTGAGAGTCCGGAGGGCTGCGATTTAATTGCAGTGAGACCCTGGGAAGCTGCTTCCTCTCTCCTGAACTTGCTTCTCTCATTTGTACCCTGTGGAAGTTAGATTGGATCCTTTAAAAAGTCCCTTCCAGCTCTAAAGTTCTCTGATTCTTCTTATTGCCATTATGAATCCAAGCTCTGCCACTCACTAGCTTGGCACTGATGTAACCCCCTGTGAGCCACAGACAGTACTGTATCCATCTCTACTAAATCAATAGATAAATAAGGCTGGTGGAATTTTGACTGGATTTTATTGAATCTATAGTTTGAGGAGAACTGACATCATACTACTAGGTCTTCTGACCCATGCATAACATATACCTCTCCACTTATTTAGATCTTTCATTTCTCTTAGCAATGTTTTATAGTTTTCAGAGTACAGGTCTAGCATTTTGTGGTCAAATTTATCTCAAAGTATTTAAATTTTTGTTATTCAAAGATGTTTTTATTTTAATTTCTGATTGTTTATTGACAGTCTACAGAAATACAATTAATTTTTCTGTATTGATCTTGAGTACTGCAAACTTGCTAAACTCAGCTATTAGTTCTAGTGCACTCAAAATTAAAGGTAGATTTTCTCTTTTTTTAATTCAATCTGGATGATATTTATTTTGTCTTCCTGCCTAATTGCACTAGTTAAAACCAGCTAGATCCAAGAAGCTTTCCCTTGTGGCCTTAGCAGGAATTCCCTTCCCAAGTGGAGATTTGGGGATATCTCCCCCAAGAGGAGGAGTTATTTCATGGTTTATAGGTACCATATTTTCTTTATCCAATCATCCACTGATGGACACTCATTTTGATTCCATATCTTGGCCATTGTGCATAGTTCTGAAATAAACGTATGAGTGCAGGTGTCTTTTTTGTATAATCCCAGTAACAGGATTGCTGGATTGAATGGTGGTTCTATTTTTAGTTATTTAAGAAATTTCCATACTTTTTTCCATAGGGGTTGTATAATCCCTGTTTTCCATAGGGGTTTTGCTAATTTATATTCCCACCAACAGTGTATAGCCATGCTCATGTAACAGAACTACACTAGTACCCCCTAAATCTATACAAATTTAAAAGGGCGCTCAAGTTGATGAGCGTTTCATTAAGAGTTTTCTGCATAGTGAAATGGGAACTCCCAAAATCCCTTCCTCTCGTGGACCATCTTTCAAAAGCACTGATGACAACAGGACAGGTAACATTTGAAGGTGCAGGTGCCCAGAGCAACTCAAGTCATGTGAAGTTAGTGGTTGGGGCTCTAGCATTTCAAGCAACCCAGGTGATCAGTCTGTAACAATACCTGCATGGGCCGTTTACTTCAGTACTTTTTGAGATAACAATGAGAATTGATGGTGAATAATTAAGCCCATGCTTTAACATGAAAATGCTTTAACAGAAATGCAATTAATTGTTCTATATTGATGAAAATGATATCCTATATCCATGAAGATGATATGAAATTTACTCTGTGTAATTAGGTTATCCTACTTTTTCAAGCTGGGGTTCAAATAATGTCACTCCACACCACATAGCTGTCCATAGAACAAACAGAACCTCTGCATGCCCAGATTAGGAGGAAGCCCAGGCCTGCAGAGCCATTCTCTCCACAAACATCACCTTGAGATGCCCTCCTTTGACATCCCAACATACGTGGGCTGCTCACTATCCTCCAAAAGTCAAAGCCTGGCCATCTTGGCCCATCTCTGGAGCCAGCAGACGGGGCACATCTGGGCACCCCAGGGCTTCCCCAGCCTCCTCGACTTGAAACTGTGGTGCTGTCATGGTAGCCTGGGCTGCTTGTCCCTTCAGATCCCACAGACAGCTCCTCAGGCTGGAGGGGACACACCTTCATTCAGGGCATCACTCAGCTTGGCTGTCACAGGCCCAAATGCACCTGGGGGTCCCCCTGTGATGGATGTAGGGCTCACCAGTAGCCTCTTTTCCCTGCACCCGCCTTCCCCTCTTGTGGCTGCTCTTCCCCAGCCTTTGTGCTTGGGCTCCTGAAGAGAGGGTAGGCAGTGGGGACTTTCCAGCTCTTAATCAAAATGTTTGCTTTTCTGTTTAACTGTGATTCTCCTGGGTATAGCTCTGCTGGCTGGAGCCAAGAGAGGAGTAAGTAGAAGGAAATAAAACCAAGCTGAATCCCTAGCAAGGGATCTTCTCCCTTTCCAGCAAAGAGGGTCCTCTGCTCTGATCCAAGTGTGCCTCATTCAACTAGAACATCTTCTCATCCTTCTCTCCTCTCTCTCTCTCTCACCTCCCCCACAACCCACCACACACACACACACACACACACACACACACACACACTCAGTGAGGGGCTTCAGTGGGTTATAATATCAACCTCCAGTGCCTTTCACCAAAGCCCTGATGAGAAACTAAAACAGAGATTCTGAGAACACCACGTGGGTCCACAGCCGTGCTCACTCTGGGTGGTGGTCTCTCAGTCACCCGCTCCTCAGCTCACTCAGGTCACAGAGCTTCCTCAGTAGCCAGCCTTTAGAGAGCAGTTGGCTTTTCAGAGGGTGTGCTGTCCTGCAGGCTGCATGTGCTGTGTGGCCAGCAGCTCCACAGTGGGCGAGGCTGGTTCCCGAGGCTGCGCGACCTGTCCTCCTGCAGAGGTTCACTCTAAGAGCCCATCAGTACCATCTGCATTTTCTCTACTTTTGTCAGAACAGGAACTTTTTAAACCCCAACTGATCACACAAGTCACCTCCAGGTTGCACTATGAAAACATAGACCCCTTTATGCTTCCTGATAACCACCATTGGACATCCCCTCTGACCACACACAACAGAGGAGTACTCTATAATTACTTCCTGCTTCACAGATAAATCTACACCGAGATTTCCCATTGTAATAGAAATACTTCTACGCACTATCTTTTCTCCTCCTCTATTGAAAATGCATAGAGGTTATGCTCCTCTTCTGATAGATTAGAAAGGTGAGAAATCAAGAAGTAAATTGGCCGACCAGAGAGTCTCAGTGTCTCCATCTTTAAAATGGGACTAATATCACCAACCCAAAGGGGTCCATGTGGGTTAATGGTGTAGGGAGAACAGCTACCACCATGGCCAGCAGGTAGTGAGTGCTCAGAATCATATCCCAGCTGTTACCTGCATGGTCATCAGAGACACAGAAGCAGAGGCAGAAGCTTTGACTTTCCCCTGGGCCACGTTAACATCCAAGCCTCTCCATCAGTGTTCTAAACACAGTGGATGCTGACCCCTAGGGGGTGTCTGGGAACTCTGTGGGGTGTTTGGGATTATCAGTATGATGGGTGGTACTTCTGCAGTACCTGGAAGAGTCCCAAACTCACTTCTGAATGTGCTGCTGGACATTTGTGTAGATGATAGGCCTGTTTATTATTTGAACTTTGTGTCATTTTACATATAAAAACAAAGTATATTCACCTAGTTTCACATACACTGAATCAAATGCAACAATTATGTGAATCAAGGGAAGAATTACTCCTTTACCAAGTATTGCTCTTCTTTTGGAAAAACCCTATCACAATGGCAATGCCTTTCCAAGAATTTGAGTCATCTCCAGCCCCAAACACCTGGACACACCTGCATCTGTGGCTGTCACTGCAGTCCCACAAGGGAGTACCTTCCATGTATAAGTACTTCTGCAGCTCTTATTTCAAAATGTCAAATGTAAAGAAAAACCTTTAATAAATTTTTTGTCCTTCTCTTCATACACATTTATTCATTTTAAGTACATGCAAACATTTGATTACATTATTACATTTGCTAGGAAAGCCAGACCTGAGCAATTACAATATATTGTATTTTACTATAGATTGCTTTGCTTTTATTTCTCCTTTCTACTATAATTATGCTCAGGGCTTCACTGTCTTTTTATACAATTATGTGTACAGGTAAGTTGTACTATCTATATTTCATTACTATATAATAAAGAGAATGTTACATAATATTTGATACAAAGCGGGTATTGGATCTGTTGGTCTTGAGAAGCACAATTCTATATTACTTAATGCCCCCAAGTATTCTGCTCTGCAAGAAAGCTCTTTTAGTAAAGGAAGAATGGGATTTGATTGCGATGAAGCATAAACTAACTTGGGGCTGAGGAGGTAATGTGAGCTAGACACACATTAAATATTTAGCTGGATTAGAACAACTGAGTCAGCATAAACCTCAGGCCTTAACACAGGTGTCTGATGAGATCACATTTCCGTCAGCCAGATGCCAGGGTGTCAGATCTCAAGCAGAAGGGAGACCGTTTAACAAGATTTTGGTTTCTCATTAAAGCTGAATATTGAACCACTTTCAGAAAGGGTAAACTACCTTTTCATTATTAGGAATAAAAGAATATTATTTTCTTTTAGCCACTCTCCCTACGCAATTAACCCACATGGACCCCCTCAGTTTGGTGATATTAGTCCCATTTTAAAGATGGAGACACTGAGACTCTCTGGTTGGCCAATTTGCTTAACTTCTTGATTTCTTGCTTTTCTAATCTATAAGAAGAGGAGTATAACCTCTATGCATTTTCAATAGAGGAGGGAAAAAGATAGTGAATGGAAGTATTTCCATTACAAGGAAATTTGGATATTTATCCAAACAAGGAAATAAGAATATTCACCCAAATTAACATTACTTGTAAAGCAGTTGTCTCAATGAACATAATTCTCTCTTGGTCATCTAATTGATCCTCAAGAAAGATAAATTGGAATAACGAATGTCCAGACAAACAAAGGCATGACTGCACAAATACAAAGGCTGTTGGGGCAAGGAGGAAAGCTCACTGAACTACCAGTAAGCACCTGTTCCAGGAGGGACCCGAAGACACTTGAGGCTGTGTACGGTCTGGAGTGGGGCTGTCTGGCCTCTGGGTCTGAGCACTCCCCTCCCATCTGTATCCCCTACCCACCCCCCGCCACCCCACAGATCACAAATCCCTACACTGAAGGAGAGGTGGGAATCATTCCTACGGGAGGAAGTGCCCAGGTGAAGGGCCTCTCATGCCAGGGCCTTTCAGCCACCACTGAAGATGCCTACCCTGATGCCCCCAGACAGCCTTCTTGCTAGCAAGGGCAGGCAAGCCCTTCATCTATCAAAATCCTCCTTCCTGGGCCCCACTGCCTCAAGGACTTGCCAGTTAATTTATTCAACAGATCCATTTGGGGGTGTCTATTCTTTCCAGGTGCTGGAGACAGGCGTCCAGCAAAGCAACCACGGTGCCTGCTCTCATGGAACTTGCAACCTGGCAGGGAGCAGACGTCAGATGGAGGAATAATCACATACACAGTGTGCAGTTATAACAGGGCTGTGTTAACCTGTGAAGGATGGAATATGGTGGGGGCGGGCATCAAGAAAGTTCTCCTTGGAAAGCAGTGCCTGCACCGAGAGTTGAAAGTTGGGTAGGAGTTAACTGGGAGAAAGGGAAGGAGAGCAGGCGGTGGAGAGTAATGGGGCGCCCTGTGGGAAGGCCCTGTAGTGGGTGGGACAGCACCAGACCCAACTGTCCCACAGGCCAGAGTAGAGGAGGTAGGGGCATGAGGTGTGTCTGGGCAGCAGGTACAGACCACGCCAGTCCTGTAGTCACATCGAGAGACATTATCTTAAGAGTGGTGCAAACCCATGCCAAAAGTTTATGCAGGGGAAGGACATTGACGTTTTCACATTTGGGAGCAATCACTGTGGCTGCAGACTAGAAAAAGCTGGATAAAGAGTGGATCAGCAATCTGGGAGATGAAGTAGGAAGCCACAGCCACAGCATGCCAGCACTCAGAGCAGGTGATTTTGGAGAGCTCCAGTCTGAGAGGCAAATCCTCACTAAGATGGGAGGGACTGAGAGTGTCTAGCATGCCACCTCTTAGACCCATGGGCTCCTAAAGTCCAGCCTCCAGAGAGTGCCGTCCTTGTACATTCCTCACACCTGACCATCCAGCCTCTGGCCAAGTTGTTCTGATGATGGTGAGGGGGTATCGCTGCTTTATGGAAAGTTCCAAATGCAGAAAACTTTTTCCTTATGATGAACTGGGATTTCCTGCCCATCTCTTGGGCCTCCTGCTCCCTTCAGACACTCAGTATAACTGGTGTGTTCCAATCTCCCCACTACCCTCTCCCCTCCCAACTCCAGGAAATCTGGGTGTGGAAAGAGCACAGACTCTGGGGTCCCCTTACCAAGAGATGACCTCGGGCAGACACTTACCTTGCCTGAGGCTGTTTCCTCTTCTGTAAAACTGGAGGAGCAGCCCATACAGCACACTCAAGGAAGGGGATTCCAGGAGTTGGCATCAATAATCCTGCCCAGCACTTAACAGCTCTCAAGGAGCCAACCGTGGGCCATCCCCTCAAACACTGCTCCTGGCTCCACTGCTGGATCCTTGGTGTAAATCACCCTGACTCCTCAGTGGGCATCTTCAAGGTCTTCCAGGGAAAGGCACATTCCCCACAGGCCTGGGGCCCTCCTCCCTGGCCCTGCCCCGATGTGAGGCAACCCTTAGGAAAAGCAGCAGGGTGGCAGGGGCCGAGGAGACCAGAGGGACCCAGGAAGGCAGAGGGGTCTTGGCTGCCTTAGGCCAAGACTGGCAGGTGGAGCATGGGCCAGGCACTTGGGAGCACAGCAGGTAAGCAAGGAGCCCAGGCCTGCAGCGCGGGACCCCAGGTAAAGGGGCTACTGCAGCCACCTGGATTGCATGAGCCACCCATGCTCAGTGCATGGGCAGACTTTGGGACACTACCCTATTCCCTGCTGGGAGGAAAATAACTCAACGGGGGCATTTTTGCCCCTGCTTCCAGGCCAAACAGTAAAGGAGGAAGCCAATGCTTTACAGGGAAATTCTGTGGTGCGTGTGCTGTGTGTGTGAGGAAGGGAGGGTGAGCTTGCCTGTGAGTGTGGGGCTGGGGATGGGGGCACACGTACTTGGAGATGCCTGGGCCTGCCCTGCACACACACGACCCGGCTCCCTGATCTCAGGGCTGTTGCATGGACGCTGAGGCATGAAACAGGGCATCCTTTCCTGGTCTACCCAACTTCAGGTGGGGGAACTCATTCAATTCTGCCTACGCTGTTTGCCCAGGTTTGAGCAGCGAAGAACCAGGCTCCATAACGCCCCTCAGGTGAGTGGGCAAGCTCACTGCTCCATCCCGTCCCTCCTCACAGGTGCGCAGCCCTGACTTTCACCTGGAGCTTCTGAAGATGCGGCGCCAGCTGCAAGCCCTTCTCTGGAGGAAGAGGCAGCTTCCGGGTGTCTCCAGGATATTTGCCTCAAGCCTCACACCTGCTGGGTGAGAATGACCAAAGGCAAAACTGATGCCCTGGAACACACACTGGACAAATTCAGGGCTCCTTCCTGGCCCCTGCAAGATTAGCCAGCAGGCCCAAGACTGGATACAGCTGCTGGGCAAACTTACACCATTCGATGACTTTAAAAATATTCAAGAGCAAGCAAAGCACTGTAATCAGTGATAAGAGCATAGCAGTCACCCCCACAGGCCAGGTGGAAGCCTCGTCACCACTTACTCACTGTGTGACCTTGGGCAGTTTAATTAACATCTCTAAGCCTCAAAGTCCCATGTCTGAAATGCAGATCCTGATAGCACCTACCTCAGAGGTTTGTGGTGAGGATTAAATGATAATCCATGAAAAATGCCTGGCCTAATAAACATGCTTGATAAATCTTACCTGTTGATTATTTGCGACAGTGAATACCTAGCGGTGGGTATTAGAATCCTGTTGGTGCAACTGCAGCTCAGGGGGTGGGACAACAGGCTGAAGGCCGCCAGCTAGGCAGTGGCAGGCCCAAAGGCCATGTGGGGTCTTATTTTTGCTGCCATGGGACAAGTGGTGGGCCCTGGTAACTGGCAGTGCCACAGGGGCCCTTGTTTGCCAAACACATCAGCTGCTGCTCAGGCATAGCCACGGGGCCAGTCCCAGGGCACACAGCATCCCAGCTGGGACAGAGGAAGAGAACCTGGGGCCAGGGCTTCACCAGCTGGTCCACCTCCCTTCCTGGACCTTCAAAATAGACTCAGTCTCATCAGAGCAACAGGAAGTGGGACCCTGATCTTAATCCAGTTTCACACCACACAGGCCCAGTTTGGGGTTGTGCCAGGGCCTGAGTTAAGGTGCCCTCCAGGGCACTGGTTACCTCCTCACATGGTGTCCTCACTCTACAAATCTCCAGGAGACATCCTTGTCTCACCTTTCTGCTTGTGATGATTTTATCTCTTAGAAACAACAATAGCAACCACCAGCCCAGGGTTTACCTTGTGCCAGACACTTGTAAGTGCTTTACATGTCTTAACGCTTCAACCTCATCACACCCTGAAGTGGGCACTGTTATTATCCTCATGTTACAGATAAAAAAGCTGAAGCCCAGCTTAACCCGAGAGGTTAAGTAACTTGCCCACAGACACACAGCTAGTAAGTGGCAGTGCTTGGATTCAAATCCAGATATTCTGGCACCAAAGGCTGGATTTTTAAAAATAATTTCAAATTTACAAAAAAAAAAGTTGTAAGAATATTGCAAAGAACCTTATATACCAATGGTTAACATTTTACTCTATTTTTGTTTTATCATCATCTTTTTTTCATTCCTTCTCTCAGTTATTTGAATATTTAAAAATATGTTGCTGGCATGTCCCTTAACCCCTAAATGCCTCTGCATGGAAAACCTAAAAATAATGACATTCACTTACATACCCAGATTGTATTTATCAGAATGAGGATATTTGACACTAATGTAATACTATTTTCTACACGAAAAAACTTATTAATATTTCATCCATTCATAATAATACTTTTCTTGGCTACTATATTTTGTGGTAAAGAATTTTTGTGTCTCTTTGGTTTCCTTTAACATGGAATGATTTCTTGGCCTTTCTTTGTCTTTTATGATACTGACATTTTTTAAGAGTACAAAGCTTTTTTTAAAAAAATTCCCTTAATTTGGGTTTGTCTGATGTTTTCTCATAATTACATTCCAGTTATGCATTTTTGACAGGAGTACTCAGAAATGACGTGCTCTCAGCACATCATATTAGCAGGCACATGACTGTGACTTAGTCCCATTTCTGGTGATATTAACTTTGATCATTTGCTTAAGGTGATGCCTGCCAGGCTTCTCCACAATAAAGCTGCTATATTTCCCATTGTAATTAGTGTATATAATTTGTGGGGAGATACTTTGAAATTGTGTAAATGGCCTATTGTCATCAAACTTTCCCTACAGCCTTAGTGCCCACTGACAGTTCCTATCTGAATTAAGTGATGAAGGGTGGCTCTTGAATGTGGTGAAGTGTGGCTCTCCAGCTCCATCATTCTTTCCACATTTCTCTTCTCCCCCCCTCATTCATTTACTATCAGTAGGGACTCAAGGATTCTTACTTTTCTCATGCATTATAATTCATCACTATCATCCTTTATTTTGATGCTTGAATTGTCTCAGGAGGTGGCCAGTGGGCCCTTCCTCCCGGTCCCTATCATTCTTGAAACATTCTCTTTCCTGCACAAGAGATTTCAGCCTCATTCTGTATTCTCTCTGTCCCAGTCTCTCTGTCCCATGGCCCCAAGGAGCCCTGGTTCCTTTTAGTTGACATGGTTGTTAGAAACCAAGGTCTGCACACCAAGGGTACTCATTACTGCTGCTGTGTCATTGCTTCATGTTTTGTGCCACTCCCTCCTCCCAGGATGTCTTCCCCATCATCTTTCCAGCTAATTCTTACTTCCCCTTCAACTCTCCACTCAAATGCTGCCATCTCTGGAAGTCAGCCCTGACTCCCCCATGCTGACTCAGAGCTCTAGGACACCGAGGACACAGTCTTGTCCTTGCAGCCATGGGGCCACTTAGAATTGCCTGTTGACACCTCTGCCTGCCTGCCTGAGCTGAGCTCCTCTGGGCCAGTATTGTTTCCTATTCATGAAGTCTTTGTTAAACCAATTCTAATTCTGGAGAAATGTCTGAGGCATACTCAATAGCACCACCACTTCAGCCACATTACAAATACTATTTGGTGTATACAGGTTCCTAGCTCATGTTTAGCCAGGCCTTTGGGTGCATGGAGAATCAGAATGGGGTGGTATCTTCTGGAGACTTGTCTCTCTGACCTCACATCTTTCTCTTGGCTCCCCAGATGGCCTGCAACTAGCCTTGGGGAGAACCAAACTGCTTACTTTTCACATGTCAACATGATGCTTTCTTTATACATTCAACTGATGACAATCATTCCTGTAAGGGCACTTTGCATATTACAGCAACATTGCTCATTCCTGACCAAAGGAGTAAATACGCCTGTGTCTGCTTCTTTGTCCCTGAGCTAATTGTTAGGTGAAAAATAAATATATAACAGACAGAATTCCTTTTACAGAATATTAAGATCTGAGATTTTATCCATTCATTCATTCACTCACTTATTAAACATATATATAAGACATCTATTTATTACTATTAGCAATACTTTTTTGAGTAATAGAAAGACAATAAATCATGATTCCTAAAGTCAGGTGGCTGATAGTCTGTCTGGAGAGATAAAGTATATAAACATAATAACTTAAATACAATAAAGAATGAGATAAATGGTGTAAGATAGAAATAAAGTGTTTGAGAAAAAACTATTTCTCATTAAGAGGATCTGTTTGTTAAAGAGCCTTGGAAGCACAGACAATAGTGTAAAGATGACTACAAAGTTAAAGGGAAGAGTGATAAATCTATTTTAATTAATGGGGAACATTTTAGATAGCCAAAGTGGTCCACTGTTGATACGATTTGGCTATGTCCCCACCCAAATCTCATCTTGAATTGTAGTTCCCATAATCCCAACATGTCGTGGGAGGGTGATTTAATCATGGTAAGAGGTAATTTAATCATGGGGGCAATTACTCTCAAGCTATTCTTATGATAGTGAATGAGTTCTCATGAGAGCTGAAGGTTTTATAAGGATCTTCCCCCTTTTGCTCAACACTTCTCCTTGCTGCCGCCATGTGAAGAAGGACGTATTTGCTTCCACTTCTGCCATGATTGTAAGTTTCCTAAGGCCTCCCCAACCTGCAGAACTGTGAGTCAATTAAACCTCTTTCCTTTATGAATTACCCAGACTCAAGTATGTCTTTATTAGCAGCCTGAGAATGGACTAATACAACTGTCTGTTACCGTTCCTTTAAGCAATGATGCAAGTAGCTCTCTTGTTCATTACGTTCAGCCACAACACTCATGCCCATCATGGCTCAACACTAACCATGGCTCAGGTAGGTGGGAGAGAATGGCTGCAAATCCCCTGGGAGCAGGAGGGAAGGTGGAGGGAGAAGGTGTAGCTTGAAAAAGAACCCTTCCCTCAATATTCTAACATATCTCCCTACTGAAACAATCTTAGAAGTAAATTGTCTGACTTTTTTAAGACCTGAAATAAGAACATCAATTTGCTCCCAAAAGCCTGAGAGAAGTGATTCCTACAACCTTGATATAACTTGCAAAGTTAAGCATTGAAAACAACTTCATAAGATAAACGTATTTTATAAGCTTAATTTCTGAGTCAACACCTATATAAAAACCATGTGTATTTTTCTGAAATGGCATTAAATATATAACCTTAAAAATAGCAAGAAATCACTAAATCTCTAAAAAACTAACAAATAAATAGGTATGTTACATTACCAGCCCCTAATGAGGACTGATAGATAAATAAAACAGTAGACTAACAAAAATAATAGAAAAAAACACGCACTGATTTTTTGCTTTTGGTTCGATATGGCTGCTTAAAAGTAATTTGCATTGTAAATATCTTGTTTCTGCATTAAGTGTATGCTTTTTGCCACTGTGGCATCTCTTTGCTCACCTCCGCATACTGGGGCTAAGGTGAGTTCTTCCACCTCTTTGTTTACTTGCCTTGCTCTGTTGAATAATTCACTGCTTGATGCAGGAGTTTCCAGGGGCTGCAGAGCAGAACTCAAAGCTGGTGGAGGTTGTGAAGCCCAGGAGTGGCAACTTTTTGCCTTTAATTAAAGTTCCTGCCCAGCTGATCCCATGCCCCAGCCAGGGAAGCAGTCTCTCTCTGACATTCTACATGAACACAAACAGCTTTACAAGCCAAGGAGCTGACTCCTTCACCCCACCAAACTCCTGCCTCTGCTAGCCTCCTGCAGTGTGAAACACCTTATAAATTAGAACAATTTATGGGGAATCATGTTGACAGACAGCAAAGGCTGTCAAAAGCAAAAAAAAAAAAAAAAAAAATCATGCAGGGTATGTTCCATCTCCAGCCTCACTGACTGAACATGCAAAATGGAGAATATTAAGTGACATTTGAGAATGCACCTTTTACATCTCACCTAAACCCATAAGAATGCACTGGAATGTCTGCATCTCTCACCTGCACAGGTGAGTCAGAGAGCCATCAAATGCATCTTTCAGACACTTTCAGCACCAGAGTTTAAAATCACACTTCCATAGAACATTCCTCACATGCTAGCTCAGTACTAATGCCTGTACTGGGGACGCAAAGCTGAGTCCCACAGACAGCCCTCTCCTGGAGGAACTCACAGACAGTGGGGGAAGAGAAAAGAAAGTAGATGAGGACCAAACACTGGGGTAAAGGATGGGAACAGAGAAGTATAGGGGAGGTCTTGAGGACACAGAGCCTCTTTCCCACGGAGTCAGATCATACTGAGTGAGTGGAACATTCTGTGCAGGGGAGACAGCCCCAGTAAAGGCCTAGGAGTGAGAAACGGCCTGACTAGGGAGAGAATAGAGTATGTACATTTCAGTGTTGTTGGGGCCCAGAGTTCAAGACAGGGAGAGGAGAGAGCTGAGGCTGAAGAAAGAGCTTGTGGCCAGATCCTGGACAACCTCTTATGTCAGGCTAAGGACCGTACTCGTCAGAGGGGGAAAGCAGCAGTCAGAAGACCCCAGTGCACAGAGATCCATGGTGTTGGTTGGTTGATCACAGTGTCCCTGGAAGAGAAACTGATGGGCAGCCTACTAAATTCTTACTTCATCTGTGTCATCAGAAGAACTCTAGGTCCAGTGAATAGATTCTGATTTGAATTACCAAAACAGAAAATTTCCCCAATCAACCAACTCCCAGACAAGCCAAGTTACAGATGCAGAGCCCCCTGAATACAAGGGAGGCCAGGTCCCCTTGAGGAAGGACCCCCACTATACTGCCCAAAATTTACACTATTAATCTTTTGCCCAGCCTTCCCCAAAGGAGCTTATGGCCATATACCAGGGTGACTGTGAATTGGGGGAAAGGAAATAATTAGACCTTTTGGGAACTACTGGACACTGGCTCTGAATTGACATTGATTCCAAGAGACCCCAGACATCACTGTGACCCACGAGTCAGCATAGGGGCTTAAGGAGGCTGTGTGGTCAATGGAGTTTTAGCTTAGTTCCATCTTACAGTGGGTCCTGGGGGTCCCCACATGCATCCTGCTGTTACTTCCCCAGTTCTGGAGTTCATCATTGCCACAGACATACTCAGCAGCAGGCAGAATCCCTGCATTGGTCCCCTGGTCTGTGGAGTGAGGGCTATGATGGTGAGAAAGACAAAGTAGAAGCCACTATAATTGCCTTTATCTACAAAAATAGTAAACCAAAATCAATTCCACACTCCTGGAGAGAAGGACTTGGAATATGCAGGGGTGGTGATTCCCACCACATCCCCATTCAACGTGCCCATCCGGCCTGTGCAGAAGACAGATGGATCTTGGAGAATGACAGTGGATTATCATAAGCTTAACCAGGTGGCGACTCCAATTGTAGCTGCTGTTCCAGATGTGGCTTCGTTTCTTAGACAAATTAACACATCCCCTGGTACCTGCTCTGCAGCCATTGATCTGGTGAGTACTTTCTTTTCCCTGTTTACCTATTAGTAAAGACCACAGAAGCAGTCTGCTTTCAGTTGCCCAGGTCTGTCTCAGGGGCATATCTCAGGAGTATAGCAACTCTCCACCCTTCTCTCATAGTTTAGTCTGCAGGGATTTTGATCACTCTTCTCTTCCAAAAGAGTCCATGAAATTGATGACGGGATGCTGACGAGTGAGCAAGATGCAGCAACTACTGCAGACATGTTGATAAAACATCTATGTGCTAGAGGCTGGGAAATAAATCCCACAAAAATTCAGGGTCCTTCCACTTCATCAAAACTTGTAGGGACCCAGTGTTCTAGGGCATATTGAGATATGTCTGCTAGTGTAAAGGACACAGTACTGCACCTGGCCCCTCCCACAACCAAACGAAGGGCACAGCACCCATGGGATGGTGGAGGACTTGGATTTTAGCAGCAACATATTCCTCATTTGGGTGTTCTACTCCAGCCTGTTTCCTGAGAACCCTGAAAAGCTGTTCATTTTGAATGGGGCATAAAACAAGAAAGAACACTCTGCAATGGGTCCAGACTGCTATGAAAGTTCATCTGCCACTTGGGCCACTGAATCCAGCATGAAGTGGCAGTGACAGGGACACTGTTCGGGGCCTGCAGCAGGCTCCTATACGTGAATCATAGTCCAGGATTCCAGAGTAAAACTGAGCCGTCCTCTGCAGATAACTACTCTCCTTTTGAGAAAGAGCTCTTGGCTGCTACTGGGTCTTAGTGAAGAGGCCAAGTTTCCATGCAACCTTAGCCCCCCATCATGAGTGGGATGTTGTCTTGCCCATCAAGCTCTAATGTTGTACATGCACAGCAGGATTCCATCATCAACTGGAAGTGGCACCTCACCTGCCTCACCCTCATCCCAGCCTGCTCAAACCCAAGGCCCCCTGCAACAGCCTGAGTATCAAAGGTGGGGTTTGAAATCCTTCCTGATATCAAACAGTAAAGACCAGAGGCACTTTAACTCAGCCTGACTCTAAACGTCCTACACAAAAAGAAGCACCTGCCCCTGAAACCAGACCAGGCTCCTGGAGAGGAATGACTAGGCCGCTGTCATGGAGGCTCTGGGCATGGACAGCTGCACAGAAGCCAAGGGCATAGTGGGCCGAGTTCATGCTTAGGGGGCACATTCCATTTTTCTTGCTCACATGTGTGGACACGGGAATTTGCAGGCCCCATTAATGACAGATTACTACAGAAAAACTGAAATGCTTGTGCTTCTGGGAGTTTGCCCCATTCTTCGTGGCACTCCCTGCATAAGTGATTTAATGCTGTGGCTGGGAGGCACTCAGAATAATATATTAATTTATTGGCATTTAGATTTATGGGCTTCAAGACATGCTAACTGAATATAATTAAAATTACCCAACCTGACCCTTGCTGTCCTTCAGGCTGTAAGACAGTTGAGAGAATTTATACTTCTCTGCAAACTTGGGAGTGCCTTGGAATCAGCCCAGTTTCGGGGTGACTGTGCTTCTTCATTCAGTCAAGGGAAGAAGGGAATAGCAGATATTAGCCACATTTTAAAGCCCTTATTCCAGTTTCAGAGGCATTTTTCTGGCTTACTATATAGATTTGATAACATAGTAGTCTCTTAAAGATTGCTGGGGAGGCAGTGACAAAAAAAGAAAAGGATTAATCAAAAGACAGTTAAGCTGGCTAAAAGCAACTGGGTCACAGGGCTTCTGAGCCCAGTCTCCAACCACATAAGCAGCAGCTACTGAAAGCCCAGCATATATGTGTATCAGATCCTCAAGTTGGACAACTTAAACCCATGTGATGTTTAACTATCAACTATATCTCAGTAAAGTTGGGGAAAAATAAAAGAAAATTAATTTACTATGTTTTTTTAAAAAACAAGTGGAAGCATACATTAAAGGCCCCACCCCCTCCAAAAAAAGTTTCTCCAACAGCAACCAAAGGAAGAGCAGGCCACAAGCTGGTGCTCTACACACCCAGACAGGAAGCCGCCCACCTCACCGAGGCTAACCTGCCCCACCCCAAAGAACACACTGGCAAGTCTGAAAAACGCTGAGCATTCTCACGAGCACCCTCAAGCCCAGAGTGAAGAAAACTGGAGTTGAAGGAGTGGGGGTCTTGTCCTTTCTTACTGAAAAAAATGGAAGTGGTTGCTGGCTACTGGGACATGAGTAAAGGTCTAACCCTCCCCTAACCCCACCTCTAGTAATGGGGAACAGGTTCATGCAGGTGTTTTTCCCAGTGTCAACACTTCAGCCATCTGAGGCAAGCCCCAGCCCAGGGCTCTCAGAGCCTGTACCCTATCCATCCCTGTGCCATGCCCTCAGGCTGCAGTAATCCAGTGAAACAGAGGCTCTCAAGGGGGAAGTAAGGTGCCTCAGACAAAGAAGAAAGTCACCACAGTGTTGAGTGGAGCAGACAGAAGCTCTGGACAATGCTGCCTGAGCAGAAGGCAAGATTAAAAAAAAAAAAAAAAGATTCACTTACACAAAGGAGCACAGATATGCACAGTATACACTAACACACACACACGTACACACACACTAACAATGAAGAAAAGGGAAAGAGCATTCAAGAACAAAGAACCCTACCTAGAAGAAAACATCACTCAAGGAGTGAAAAGAAATGTTCCAGAATTGCTTTAAAGTACAACTTAAAAGGGTGTAAAGTCAATAACAAGAGAGCTCAGTGACAGAATGATAAAACAGAACGAAGTGAAAAAACATTATAGACATACAGAAGCAAATTAATATCAAAACATCATTACAGATAACACATTAGAAACAGCAAGAAACAGAATAAACACTACTGAAAATAATTGCTTTTCTGCAGGAAAAGCTTCAGGAAATGTTTACTGAACAACACATACAGCACACTTACTGCATGCCAGTACTGTTCTAAGCACTTTACTAACTATTAATCCTCATAATAATCCTGAGGTAAGGACAAGTATTAACTGCATTTTACAAAGGACAAAAACAAGAAACTGAGAGGTTAAGTATCTTCCCAAGGTCACACAGCTAATATGTGGCAGTCTGGCTCCAGAGTCCTTGCAATGAACCATTTCACTATGACGAGTAATAATAATGTTAAAAATCCATAATAATAAAAATCACAACCACTTTTCCACGACTTGCTCTGGTCTGAGCACTGTTTCTTAAGAGCTTTACATATATTAAGTCTTTTAATCCTAGGAGCTGTCCTGAGATAGGTATATTATTCCAACTTTATATGAGGCAGCAGGCTCAGTGAGGTTAAGTGACTGGATAATGAACGTAGATGAAGAAAGGAAAGAGAGCAGAAAAGATACAGTAGTTTTCCTTTCTCTGAGGTTTCCATTACCTCTGATCAACTACAGTCTAAAAATATTAAATTGAAAATT
The DNA here is from genome assembly GCF_000001405.40 of Homo sapiens. NCBI lineage: Eukaryota > Metazoa > Chordata > Mammalia > Primates > Hominidae > Homo > Homo sapiens. Next base: position 126,763,760 of record NC_000002.12, read on the forward strand.
TTAGGAATGATCAATTCATAAGTTTTAAACTGTGCACTGTTCTGAACAGCAGCAATGAAATCCCACCAACCCACTCCATCCCATTTGGGACATGAATCATCTCCTTGGTCTCATGCATCTGTGTTGTATATATGACCTGCCCATTAGTTACTCACTAGCCATCCCAGTTATCAGATCAAAAAAACACAGCACAGTTGGCCTTCCATATCCATGGGTTCCACATCTGTGGATTCAACCAACTGTAGATAGTTGATTGATACACACGAAGTGGATGGTTGCAGCTGTACTGAACACATACATACTTTTTTCTTCTCATCATTCCCTACACAATATAGTCCAGCAACTATTTACACAGCATTTACTTTATATTAGGTATCATAAGTAATCTAGAATTGATTTAAAGTATAAAGAGGATGTTTGTAGATTACACTCCAATACTATGCCATTTTGTTTAAGGGGCTTGAGAATCCTCAAATTTTGGTATTCAGGGGAATCCTGAAACCAATCCCCCGTGGATACGGAGGGGATGACTATATACATAGGATTTGGTACTATCCTCGGTTTCAGGCATCCATTGGGGGCCTTGGAATGTATCTCCTGTGGATAAAGGACACTACTATAGCAGCGAGCGGAAACAGACAATAGGAATGAAAGCCTGTCCTAACACTTGCAATGGATAATGTCTTCTTTTCAAAGTTTCTGAAATTGCGGAGAAAAAAATAGTCTGTAGATTAAAAGAATGCACATTCTAATCGGGGAAATTTTTATATAAAGCACATAATACTGAAATGTCTTATTTCCTAGATAACTATTAAAATTAAAGAATAAGGAAAGAATTTTCCAGCCATTCTGACAGACAATAAATAACCTAAAAAGGTAAAAAGCATATATATGAATCCACAGCAATAGCAATGTCAAAGACAAGGGAGTATTGTCTACAAGTCCTGAAGGAAATAGCAGATCATAATATCCAGCCAAGATGCCATCGAAGCATAGAAACCAAGATGACTTTTAATATCACTTAGGCAATTGGTAAACTTATGCAAGCATGAAAAAAAAAGAAGCTCAGAGATTACCAAATCCAGTAGTCTTTCCCTGAAGCAGTACTTTGCAAAAAAAAAAAAAAAAAAAAAATCTAGACGTAAAAGGAATCAAAATAAAATCCAAGGATGAAGAAATGATTATTTAAAAAATGGTGGTGGGCGTAATATCCAGCCAAGATGCCATCTAAGTATAGAAACCAAGATGACTTTTAATGTCACTTAGGCAATAGATCAATTTATGCAGGCATGAAATAAGAAGCTCAGAGATTACCAAATCCAGTAGTCTTTCCCTGAAACAGTATTTTGCAAAAAGAAAAAAAAAATCTAGACAAAAGAGGAATCAAAATAAAAACTCAGGGATGAAGAAATGAGATTTTAAAAAATGGTGGTGAGCAGTGAATCTGTTTACATCTATAACTAATATGGAACAAATATAGGAACCCTGTTTATATAACAGAATATGGATGTTGTATGTCCAGATCAAATAAAACACAAATAACAATGAAAAGTTGGTCAGAGGTTATACAGGGGAAAAATGTAAATGGCACTGATACTCTCATCTTCCATAAATGGGAGTCAATCAATACTGTATAAAATTGACTAGCTAAAAATGTCTTCAACCTTGTAGTGATTTAATAATCTCTCTCCCTTTTAAACGTGACAGGATCTCGCTTATTTTGTTGCCTCTGATAGCCTTTGTCTAGACCTGGGTAGCAATAAATAATAATGAAACAAGCCATCATCTATGGCGTGCTCATTTTGCATCAGGCTCTGCAGCAAGCCTTGCAGATGCCCACCAAGCCTGGGGTCTGAAGGATGTCAGAGGGGTCTGAGTCTGAGTGGGTGGTGGAATAGCCCAAGAGGTCTGAGGCCACTACTGGGCTTCCAAGCACTGTGCTCACTTTGCTCCTAACCAAGCTGATCAGCTGGCAGCAGCTAGGAGTTCCATTCAACATCAGGCATCACAGAACAGGGACAAAGCAAACTGGCAATGGCCATGGCATCAAGGAGTTGGTCCTGCTGGGTCAACTCCTGTTCACTCACCTGGGAAGAAGGCAGTACATTTCAAAAATATTTCTATATGAAATTATTACACAGTGTGAGATTGTAAGTGCAAAAGCAAGGTAGAAAGTGCATTTTAAAAATTCTAATGGCAAGCACTGTTTGTATTTAAAGAAATGATTCAACATAAAACGTAGAGTGAAGGCTGCTCTCCAGATACCCGGTGAAGCTCAAACAGTGCTTGCTGAGCTGCCAGGCTGTGGAATTGGGGGGTGGGGTAAACCAAGTTTACTTTCATCTCCAAGGCCACAAAGACCACAAAGGCCACAAAGATGTCAATCTGGGATGTAACTCAAAAAATATGGAAGGTATGTTTTTATAAAAAAAATCTTTTCTATAATTGGACATAATTTCTATTTCAAGCCCCAATTCTGCTGATTCCAGAAAATTTAATCACATGCATTTCATGTGCATGATACTCTTTTCCTCTAGTGCGTTCAGTTTTCTTCCCAAGTTTCTCACCAGGGTGGTATCCGAGCTCTGAAGGACTTCATAGGGAGGGTGTCTGGTCCTTGGCCATGGCCTGTGGTGCTCCTGGGAGCTGCTGAGATGACCAGCACTCCATTGTTGTCTCTGGTCTCCACTGTCTAAGAGGATGTTCTCCTACAGAGGCTCCAGGCTCCCCTCTGGGCACTGTTCTCTCGCCAGCAAGTACTCCTCTCAGAAGCCTGAAAGTCTGCAGATGCTCTCCTGCCCCAGTCTGGGACATTCCAAGGTTTTCTCATTTATCTCACTGCCCGGTCCATTCTACTATGTCAGGCCAGGGGTGGTGGGAAGACAGGGGGCTCAAGGAATTTTCTGCTTCCCTGAGCCTCTTCCCACTCCAATCCCAAGGAAGGAAGCAAAGTCCTTCTCTACCCAGAGATGCCCAATCCACCCGACCCGAAGTGGCTCTGTTGTTCCTCCACACATAGGAACCTACAGGCAAGCACTGCTTCCTTTGGTCCCCCCAGGGAAAGTCCAAAATGTTTCAGCGTCAAAGTCTAAATTGAAAAGCAGTTGGGTTAAAAGAGGAATTACCAAGAACAAAATTCACACTGTTACTATATCAAAATACTGCCAGCCCCTTGGATACAATGTATATGACTGCAGACAGCACAACCACACACAGAAAGAGATGCATCTCTGTGAAGAGAGGGATAAGCTGCGATTTTCTGGAAAATCTCCTCATACCTTCCCCAGCCCGCTACTCCTCCCCTCTGCAGGATCCTCTAGGCTTCGCTGGCCTCCCTGATGTGGATCCCTGGACTCTGCAGAGCTCAGCTCCCTGCAGCTCTGAGCGCTCTGATGTGACGGCCTTGGGAGGGAGTATAGGCGGAGTGCCCAGTGCTGTGATCCACATGGGGATCCTAGGTCTGTGCCCCACCCCAGAGGAGGACACAGCAAGCCAGCGTGGTGTCTGTGAGGACCCCCAACCCCAGTGCCTATGCCAGGAACAGCCCCCGATAGCAGGACCTAGAGCCAGCAGCTTCTACGCAGGTGGAAACTGCTGGACACTTAAGATCGAAATCACGTTTGAGTCAACTGGCCCAAGTGTTCAACATCTAACATTAAGAGACAGCAGGGCTCAGTGACTCTACCCCCATCTTGTGATGTTGGTTTCACATGATTACCCACCTTCCCTGGCATCATCTCCACACTGGCGAGTGACTAGCGTATGGAAAATTCAATGAAAACATCCCCCTCTGCAGCAGTTGCTGCTCCTCCATTGCTTGCTCTTGTGTGCTCTCTCTCTCTCTCCCTCTCTCTCTTCTTTCCTCTCTCACTCTCTCATCTCAACAATTGGTGTCTTCTTTTATAAACAGGGATAGCAATAGCCCCATGCCCACTTGGGAAGGAAGCCCCCTCCCCAGGGGCAGTAGCACAAGAGGAGGCACCTCCTGGGGGCTCCAGAGTGTTTTCTCTGGGACAGCAATGCAAGGGAAGACTCAGAGGAAACACACACAGAGCTGGAGTCATGGGTGGGCTCCGATCCCAGCCTATCTGGAAATTTGCTCTGTCTCCTTACGGAGTTTCACTTGGCAAAACCTTGGGTTGCTTCTGACCACATCTCCTCTTAGGGTTGTGGAGGCTCAGATGGAGGACAAGTATGCACTTGGCACAATGCCGTGAGCACAGTACTGCTGGGAACCTCCGTGCCCACCCCCTTACCCAGCCTTTTTGTTCTGAAGAAGATGTATTAGTCTGTTCTCATGCTGCTATGAAGAAATACCCAAGACTGGGTAATTTATAAAGAAACAAGGTTTAATTGACTCACAGTTTTGCATGCCTGAGGAGTCCTCAGGAAACTTACAATCATGGTGGAAGGCACCTCTTCCCAGGGTGGCAGGAGACAGAATGAGTACCAAGTGAAGGAGGAAGCCCCTTATGAAATCATCAGATCTCATGAGAACTCACTCACTGTCATCAGAACAGTATGGGGGAAACCGACCCCATGATTCAATTATCTTCACCTCGTCCCGCCCTTGACACGTGGGGATTATTACAATTAAAGGTGAGATTTGGGTGGGGACACAGAGCCAAACCATTTCAGAGGAGAAGGCCAGTAAGGGCCTGGCCAGTTTCTTCTAGACCCCACCCTATGCTTGGCACCCCTAGACACATGGCATGGTCACCATGACCTTCTGGGCAGCCAATCTCTGCCACTTCCTGCTCCCACCAGGTCTTCCCAGATGAGGAGAGTCAGGCTCCACCGCATCCTCTGCATCTTTATTCTACCAAACTCCCAAGGAAGGGGGATTTGGTCATTTCTGGAATAATTCTTACTTACGTTGAGAACATGGGTATTTCCAGAAAATGAATTAAACAGACCAAATCCTTTGAAAAATTTTGCAACAGCCATTTCAGAGCTTCAGTGAACCCCAACAGGCATATGTTAGGGGTTCAGTGAAGCCAAGAGGAAGCTGTGTCTCCAGGAGAGGTGGGGGCCATGGAACAGCCCTCCACAGCAGGTCTCCTTCCTCACTGTCCAAGTCTTTAATGTAAGACATTCGAGTGGGTGTATGACCCCCATCACCTCTTTTAACCCCTGCACAGCTAATTTGAGGTGTTGTTTCTGTTTTACAGATGGGAAGCCAAGGCCAGAGGGTGAAAGAATTGGCCCGAGGTCCCTGGAAAAGTAAACAGAAGAGGTAGGGCCAGGAGAAGGGTCAGGCTGTCCCCAAATCCTACATACTTTGTAGGTGCCACCATCCTTCATGAAGGCTTTCATTGTTGGAAACATGATCTTAGAGTCAGGTCAGGGATGGAGAAGACACCAGGCACAAAGATGAACATGTCATGAGCATTATCTGGAGTTAGCCTCACAGCTCCTGCCTCCGGTGGGAAGGTGCACCCCCAGCTCACAAATGAGGAAGCTGGGATACAGCTTGGTTAAGTGACAAAGGTGGGAGTCACTCAGAAGCCCCTCCCCTACCGGTGGTTCTGGGGAAAGCAACAAGATGAAACCCAACCAGCCCTTACAGCAATGGGCCTGATACAGCTCAGCAAAACATGCCTTCTCCCTGGCCTGGCTGCTGAGCAACTTTCCACCTGCCTGCACCAACACATTGGACCCCAGGGTGTGCTGGGCTCTATGTGGGCACCAAGGAAGACTGTATCTGCCATAGAAATGCATTTGGCTCACACTGTCCGTATCACACTGATCTCATCTCTCCATCATACTGAGTCACAATCCATAAAAAAAGTGCTCAATTCTCATGGGCCCCTGCCCCATCCTTCTTTTCTGTTCAAGCCTCACACCTTGCATCCTGTCTCCACCCCACAACCCACTGCTCTCACCAGGTGTCTCACAGCCTCCTAATGACCACTTCCTACTCAGCCCATAGATCTGGGACCCTCCCACTACCCGGGACCCATGCCCTCAACTGTCAATAAGTGTCCGAGAGGATTAGCCTTCTCTCACATAAATAAAGACCCATAGGTGAGCTGTCCCAAAGCTGCTGTGGTGGCTCCAAGGTTATTAGGGACTCAGCCTCCTTCTACCCTTCTTCTCTGCCCTTTTTAGTACATGGATTTTCTCCTCTGGTAACCAAATGATCCAAGGTGGCTGTGAGAACTCCAGGCATCACATTCAAGTCCCAAGCAGCAGCAAGGTGCAAGTGGGGAAAGACAGAAGATTTTCCCAGTAACCCTATCTAATGACTTTTGTCTTACTTGCTACTCCTACCCCTGTTGAATTTGACAAATGCTGAGAAGCTGGGAAATACAGTTTTTCATCTGGGGCTATTGGCTGCTGGGTAGCCTCCTTCTCTCCTTGGGTGCCTTTATCTCCTGGCCATCCCTCCTCTGCCTTCTCTTTCAATACTGGGGATTTGTGGACCTCTTTCTCTTTTCTTTGCTCAGCCCTTCCCAAGACAATCTCATCCACACTTGTTTCTAGCTATCTTCTCTTCCCTGTCTCCCTGTAGCTTCTGATGATGGCCCTTAGTCCCTCGGTCTCTGCATGCCTCTGACTGCTAGCCCACCAAGGATGCTTCTCATGGATTGGCTCCGTGTCTCTGTGAATTCCTCCAGATCTGGTCTTCCCAATGTTGTCTTCCTTGGGGGCCATTGAGACTTCTTAGCAAACACAGCCCACTAATTGAATGATTTTCCAACAGGGCTGTGTTTTTCCTACTGTGACAAATCTGTCACTCTCTGCTACCATCCTATGTTTTGCCTCTTGTATGTCAAAGTCAATAGGGGTTGGAGAGCTGGGAGAGCAGGAACCAATGACACCAAGCCAGTGTCCCCTCTACAGTCATACTTGCTGGCCTGGTGCAGGCCCCACTCAAGGTCAGTGAATTCACCTGTCCCACTGTGTGCCTCTTTCCTGCAGCGCTCAGCCAGGCAGGGGCAGGTGGGGAGAAAGCAGAGTGAAGGGAGGGCTCACCCAGGAGTGCGGCTTTACCAGATTTGCTGGAGGGAAACACAGGTGAGGAAGTTTAGGGTATGGGAAAGCAAGCATGAAGGATTGTAGCAAGAAACATAAGAGGAATGCCAGGGTCTCATCCTCCTGGGTCAGGAGGAACAAGAGGGCAGAAAGGGGCTGCTGCCTTGGGAGGATGTAGAGGGATGAGATCTGAGGTCCCAAGATGGACAGCCGTGTGGGAGGAGGGAAGCTTTAAGCACAGAGTGGAGGGAGTTATTTTGAAGTGAAGAGTTCCCAGTAATAGCAAGGTTCCTGACTGATGTGGGTCATGAGCCGGCTGACCTGAACCCCCAGAGATGGTCCCCAGAGAAAACATCAAGGAAGACAGAGGCCAGCAGCCAGTGTGTATCAGATAGGTCATCAAGATGAAAGTTGACACCATAAAGAACAAGTGGAAAGCAGATCTGGAGGCAGGTGCATTCCTCGGGTGTCAAAGTTACAGGTTGGGCCACCAGAGGTCCCAGCCACCGGAAAGGCCACGGGCGGTGGAGCAAGGCCCCAGCAGAGCTTTGACTAGAGGTGGTGGAGCAAGGCCCCAGCAGAGCTCTGACTAGAGGACACACAAGTGGGGCCAGGAGGCAGCAGTGGGGCAAGGACACCAAGCCCCTTTTCTCCCCTGGGGGAGAAGACAGCTGCTGTGAGGACAGCTGCCCCATGACAGGAGGGAAGGGGCATTTCCGTAACGGGGAGCAGTGAGAGCCAGGGTACAGAGGTGGCTGGAAGCCCGAGACTGCAGCTGAGGCTGGGGCACACGGCTGAGGATGGAAGGGTCCACGCTGCAGGAGCAGGGGCTTCATGCTGTAGGTGACACCCCAGTTCTGGCACATGAGAAGCACTTTTAAAGGTTTTCTAAATGAAGAAGTGATGGACTTTTAAACAAGGGAGCCACGAAGAAACGCCGAGACTGATAATGAGCCCCTCAACGGGGAGGTGGAGGGTGTGTGAGGCGGCCGAGGCCGTGCGGGGCGTTAGGAAACAGGGCACAACGCGAAGCAGGAGGCACCGAGGGCCACAGGGAGCACAGAGTAGGGACGCTGAGGAAGGGAAGAGCTGGGGCAATGACCAGAAAGCATCGGTGGAATTTGACATTGAACGTGAGGGTGAGAAACACAGACTCAAAAAGGGCCCCACTTCCGGATTGAGCAGTTTCACAGGACTGCTGGGAGCCAGGCCTGCTCAGGCGCTCTGGAAAGGGCTGAGGGTCGGTGTGCTGTGTGCGCATACCCACGCCCACACCTTGGCCAGACCACGCCCACACCACGGCCAGGCCACGCCCTGCGGGTCTCGGACCGCTCACCTGGAACCTGCCGCCAGGTCCAGCTGATCTCAGGCTAGGTCGGACAGTGGGTCCGCGTCTAGGTTCCCTTCTAATGAAGCACTGCTTTTGGTTCCAAACCACACATCTTCCAACTGGAATGAGGATCCCACGGGTATCAGAAGGCTTAACTATCAAAATTATAGAAACCAGACAGAGGAGTTTAAGTTGATCATATGGGAAAAGAAGCCAATGAGTGCTCTGGGGCACGATACAGAAGGTGAATATACCACTCTGGGGTCTGGGCTCTGTATTAGGCTTTTCTCACACTGCTATAAAGAAATACTTGTTACTGAGTAATTTATAAAGAAATGAGGTTTAATTGGCTCAGGGTTCTGCAGGCTGTACAGAAAGCATAGAGGTTTCTCCTTGCTTCTGGGGAGGCTTCAGGAAACTTCCAATCATGGCAGAAGGAGAAGGGGGAGCCAGGTGCCTCACATAGTGTGAGCTGGAGCAAGGGTTGGGGGAAGTGCTATACACTTTTAAACAACCAGATCTCATGAGAACTCATTTATTATCAAGGGGACAGTACTAAGGGGGATGTTCCTAAACCATTAATAAGAAACCACCCGCATGATCCAATTCACCTCCCACCAGGCCCCACCTCCACCATTGGGTATTACAATTAGACATGAGATTTGGGCGGGGACACATATCCAAACCATATCAGGCTCTGAGAAGTGAATTTTTTAAAAATGTGTAAAATCTTTGCACCTGTCCCTCAAAAACAACAGGCTAATGGCAAATGCCACATGGGATTTCATGTGAAGGGCTGTTCCTGGGAAGCCTCAGGTGGCCAAGTTAGAACCAAGAGCTTTGGACCCAGGACCACCTGGGTTCAAAATCGCAGCTCCTCTGCTGGGTCGCTGCGGGCTGTCCTTGCACTTACCTGTTGAGTTCAGTGTCTACATTTGTAAAGGAGGTCAGTACCTCCTTTGTTGGGTTGCACCAACCAAAGGTTGCACCTCTTGGTTGTCCTGGAAATAAAAGAGAGGCTGTTTGTAAAGGCCTGGCATGATGCAGGCACTCTCAGGTGTGGAGACTTCCAGGAGGCAGAAGTGGGTGTAGCTAAAGGGCTCTGGGAATCCTGCCTGGAGGCTGTGGAATGTGAGGCCCACTAACCTTACTTGGAGACTGGAAAGGCTGGAAGGCATTCAAATCACAGAACTGGGGAGCAAAGGAGTGGAATTGTGGTGGCCTGCCCCGGAGTGGGTCAAGCAGGGAAAATTTTCTTCCAGGTTTCTGTTGGATAAACCCACCTAAGTTCCTCTCCATCAGCCAGTCCATCGGGCCTACTCTGAGATCCTCTGCCCTGGACCCTCACAGGCAAGAGGGGAGGACAATTCTCCCCCCTCTGGCCTGTTTCCTTGTCTTCTGCAGATCCCTGATTCTACAGTGAGGACAAATCACAGACTCAGGAAAGGGATGAAGACTTGTCGATATTTGTCCGGTGAAATTCAAGTGGAGGCTTCAGGCCACTGTGTTGCATGCATCTCCTCTGCAGGAGAGCACAAAATGCCCAGTCCGTCAGAGCATGCTCATTTCCCAGCCCTCAGCAGCAGTCCTGAGAGCTCCCGTACAGTAATATATTTATACGAATTAACATAGCTGCTATATGTGTGCCCTGGTAACACGTAGGATCTGTGATAGCCACATCACGCTATCTATTTTTATCCTCCCTGCACCTCTATGCTGTAGCGTGCACCTCTATCCACTTGGCTAACCAGAAAACTGAGGCTTAAGAAGGGGAAGTGACTTGCCAGGGGGACATGGCTAGTGAGTCTGGAAGTGAGACAGACAGCTCTAATACCAGAACTTGGGCTCTTGCTGTTATACCAGGAGGCTTTAGGAAGAGAAGGAAACTCCTACCCCAAATGAAGGTGAAGGAAGATTCCCTGGTCACATCACCCTCTAACCTTGCTTGAGCATAGGCTGGGCCTAGGCCTGCAGAGAGAAGCAGAGGGAAAACCCCCTTCCTCAAGGAGCTCCAAATTAGAGGAAGGCCTGGAGGCAGAGTGAAACCTGCATACAAGGCAGCATCCCAGGAAATGGGATGGAAATCAGCCAGGAAAAGCAAGGAAAAGGGCAGGCAAGAGCTACACTCTGGTAAGATGTGAGCAGTCCAGGACTCAGGCAGAGACAAATGCCAAGACCTGCTCCAGTGGTGCCAGGCAAGCCTGTCACCTCCTTGGGCCTCACTGAGATCCGTGTATCCTCCATACATGCACATCAATGCCAACCTTTGCAGGGTTATGGGAAGGATTAGGAGATAATGTGTGCCCAGCATCTACAGCAGAGCCTGACACACAGCGGTGGTCGCTAAGGGGAACTATTGACCCACTACACACAACATCACTGCTCCCAGCAAACACACATACTTACTCGCACATGCACATATGCACACAAACACACATATGCACACAGTGCACCTGCATCCACACACTAACACACGGTCACTCATACACGCACACACACACCTGCACATATGCACACACACCCTAGAAGAATCAGTCTGTCTTAGATCCCAAGATCTCTTCTGACTTTATAATTCTTGGTATTCCTGTTGGCCATGGTAGGTGGCTTAGTGTGGTGGGAGGGGGCAAACAGAAAACAGGAGTGCTATGGGAGGCTGGCTTATATAGTTTTGAGGTCTTCTCAAAGCCCCTTTCTCCGGGCTCCCTGGTGACACATGGACAGTGGTTGTCATTAGTACCACTGGCCGTTTTTCCAGGTTGCCACGTTTCCGAGCCCAAGGCAGATGGCACTTCCAAGCCCCTTGTGGTTGGGGCAGGTGGGGCTATGTTACTAGCTCTGTCCAGTGAGCTGTGAGCAGAAGGGATATGCCAAGTTTCTCTCCAGAACCCTGCTCTGTTGTGACACAGGCAGGCTGCATTGGACTTGGTCTGCTTTGTCAGCTGCACACAAGTGACGGTAATGAGCAGAGCTCCTGCTGACCACAATGCCCTGAAGTGCAAATGAGAAATAAACTGTCCAAGTTTTGAGCCACTGGTCTGTGGGTCGCCGTGACACCACCTGAGCTAGCTTGTCCTCACTGAAGAAGATTTGTCTGTCCTGCTGTAGGCACTGTGAGCTTCCAGCACATTCTGGAGCCAGCCTTGTTCTGGGTATCCATCCAACCATCTCACATTTCTTCAGTTTTCCATTTGATGGATACTCTGGTTTTCCTCATTCATTCATTTTAACAAACCCTCCAGAAGGCTGTCTCTGTGTCAGGCCTCCTGCAGGGCAACAAAGGAGAAATATGTCTTGCCCTGCCTTCAGGACATGCCCTGTCTTCTGTGGGGGACCAGAAACAGGTCAGTGCTGCACCAGAGGGACGAGGGGAGCCCAGGGGAGAGCACCTAACACACTAGCTGTCTAGGCAGCTTCCTGGAAAAAGTGATGACTTAGTTGATTCCTGAAACCTGAGAAAGTATTGGACAGAAAAAGAGGAACGGTATGTTCAAGGCAAGTGCAAAGGTAGGGGAGAGAACATGGCAAATTATAGGAGTACCTGTGTGTCCGTCTATTGTGTGTGCAGGCGCTGCTCATGTGCACATGTGTGGGTGTGGACACAAGTGTGTGCCTGTGTGAGTGCTTTGCAGATGTAGCACAGGCGGTAGAGGGAGGCAGCTGTGTGACCAGAGTTGAGACTAAAGACTTGATCAGGAGCAGCCAGGGACGGTGGCTCAGGCCTATAATCCCAGCACTTTGGGAGGCCAAGGCAGGTGGATCACTTGAGACCAGGAGTTTGAGACCACCGTGGCCAGCTACTCAGGGAGGCTGAGGCACAAGAATCCTTTAAACCCGGGAGGAGGTTGCAGCGAGCCGAGATTGCCTCACTGCACTCCAGCCTAGGTGAAGAGGAAGACCCTGTCTCAAAAAAAAAAAAGAAAGAAAAGAAAAAAGAAAGAACGGAAGAAAGAAATGAAAAGAAGGAAAGAAGAAGGAAAGAAAGAAGAAAAGACAAAACAAGACTTCAAGACGTCATAGCCTTGATCACTTGATCAGGGGCAATTCATGCTAAGGGGTTTAATTGATCCCAGAAGGCACTGGGGAGCCATAGAAGGTTTAGGCAGGATGAGTGGCCAAGATCGGTTTCTGCTTTGCTCTCTGGCTGCAGGCACAGAGGCAAGTCCTGAGGCTGTTGTAACAACACTGAATGAAGGTGCCCCACCTAGCCAGTGCAGAGCTGGGAAGAGGGAGGGATGGAGTCCCCAAGAGTCCTGCAGGAGCAGAGAAGGATGCAGGAGGAGGCGTCTCTATGGGGCAGGTGGGTGTCTTGGGGATGGGGCACGTGGCCTCAGTAAGAACATGAAGCCAGGAGAAGGGCAGGACTGGGGACCACCATAAGCCAGGCACGGCTCCCCCCTGGGTTCAGTCAGCCTGAGAGGCACACTGAGGACCTCACTTCAGGGCCACACAGCCCAGTTTCATCCCAGGCGCCTGCGAGTTTCCCGGAGACAACCACAGGGAGTGTGCCGCGATTAATTCCCGAGTGTGGTCACTCTGGACAAAGCCATTGGGAGTAGAAAGGGCAGCACACCTATACCCATTGTACAGCGGGGAAAGCGGGCAAGGGGTCGCTCACAGACCCCTTCGTGCCCCGGCCCCGCCCTGGCCCCGCCCCAGCCCCGCCCAGGCCCCGCCCCAGCCCCGCCCAGGCGCTTGGCCAGCTCTCCCCGCCCCCGCCTCACCCCAGCGGTCTGTCCCAGTGCCAGTACACTTTCTGCTCTCCCAGCCGGGCACCTTCGGGCTTAGGGATCCCTTGGAGGGAAGCCCGCCGGGAAGCTGAAGACAGTGGTCACCGCCCTCGGTCATTACTTCCCGGGACCCGGACCCTAACCCTGCGCCACATCTCCACCCGCCCCCAGCCGTGTCCTGGCTGCGCAGCTGGAAAGGTTGAGCAGCTCACTGCTGTCCCTCTGTTCGGCCTTGGACACATCGCCTGAACTCCTGGGCGCCTCTGCTGTTAAGTGGGGGACAGCACTATTTACTGGGGAGGAAAACTCCAGGAATGTGGACCCTGGGGCCACGCAGGGGTTGGGAAGTGAAGGGCAGGGAACGCGGGCGGCGCCCGGGGTCTGCGGGTAGGCAGGCGGCCTGGCCGCGGAGGCTTCCCCGAGTCCTGCGCCTTCCTAGAGAGGGAGGGGCTCATATCGGCTGGCACAGCCACCACGGGTACCGAAACTTGGGGACGTGCCCGACCATGCCTCCTCCGGTGGCCCGGGGGCCACCCCGCATTGCTTAGAAGTCTCGCTTCCCGTTCCTCCTCTCTGGTTCAGCTCATTACTCTTCCGGTGACCCTGGGTATGCCACGCTTATTCTCCAGGCCTCAGTTTCCCCATCTGTGCTGTGAGGAGTGGAAGGAACGGGATGACTAGGAGCCTTTTAAGACCGAGTATTCGAGGTTCTTTCCGGCCCCGCGGAGCCAGGAGGTGCCAGCCGAGATGCGCGTGCCGCGCGCGCCCTCCAGTGCCCGGTTCCCGCTTCTGCACGGTCCTCGCTGGGCAAGGGCGTCCCAAGAAAGGAGGAAAGGAAGAACTCCATACATTGTCATTATTGTGAACTGATGAACAAAAGAGTCAATAGGGAAGGGAATGGGTAAATAAACCTCAGAATGAAGAAATAATAGGAGAGTGGTCATGAGTGCGCCAGCGCATGAATGAATGGACTCAAAATGAATGCACGCACAGAGTAAATGAGCCTTGCCTGTGACCATTTTCAAACATGTCATTTCTAACAAAAGTCACACAGCAGATAAGACTGTGTCTATGGATGACATGAAACCTGCCCACCCTCTCTTAACTGCCCATCCCCTGGTGTGAAGCTTCTCTGTGTGGTCAACCACCCCAAGTCCTCCTTTTTTTTTTTTTTTTTTTTTTCTCTCGCTCTGTCGCCCAGGCTGGAGTGCAGTGGCGCGATCTCGCCTCACTGCAAGCTCCGCCTCCCGGGTTCACGCGATTCTCCTGCCTCAGCCTCCCGAGTAGCTGGGACTACAGGCGCCCACCACCACGCCCGGCTAATTTTTTGTATTTTTAGTGGAGACAGGGTTTCACCATGTTAGCCAGGATGATCTCGATCTCTTGACCTCGTGATCCGCCCGCCTCGGCCTCCCAAAGTGCTGGGATTACAGGCGTGAGCCACGGCGCCCAGCCCCAAGTCCTCCCTTTATTTCGTACCTCTGCATCAACTTTTCCTCTACTGGAAAGCCCCCTCCCAACTCATGTGGCTGCCCTTCCTTATCCTTGAATTGGTGCATGACCAGCCCTGTGGGTTCAGCCACTTCATCCCTTCCTGGGGATCCCTGCTGAGGAACTTCCGTATCATCAGGGTCACACCCTCTATGCATCTCTCCCTCCAAGCCTTATTCCCCACCACCACCAGGACATCTAATCGGCACATCCCCAGCGTCTTAGGTGTTTGGCACATAAGAGGTGCTCAGGACGTAGCTGAGGAACAAAGGTAGTAAAGAGGGCAGTTTGCCAGTGACCCGCCCACATAGAAGCTGCTGCTCCCTGGAGTGAGCTCCCACTCTCGGCCCCATCCACCTGCCCTAAAGCTGATAGCTAGAATCCCTGGTCCCAGGACAGGACAGGAGAGCAAGGCGTGGGGAGAGCCAGAGGCACAGGATCCCAGCCAGGAGAGTCCAGCTGGGGCCATTGGGACTGGCAGCTTTGCCCACCCTCATACTGACAGTGTTAGGGGTGGTGCTGGGGGAGATGCCAGTTAGTAAACAGGAGCCCATTCCTCCCCAACTGGCCTCACCATGATTCCCCCAGGCTGGGCCTCACCTGGGACAGCTGGTTCAAGGAGCTGTGTTAATTAGCTTTGATGGTAATCACAGAGCAGCAGCACAGGGTGGTGCTTTCAGCCTCCAGTGATAACAGCATGACCTCCCTCCTCCCCAGGTCCTGGCAATCTACTTCCCCACTCCCTTTGTTCAGGGAGCCTGCGGATTTCAATACAGCACAATTAAAGGGGCTAAAAATAGTGTCTGATTCCAGAAGGGCTTCTTCGCTGTGACCCGACAATGTCTCTGCTGATCAAAGCAGGGGCAAGGAGGCCCTGATAGCTCATTTTCTCCTCCTTATCTGTGTAGTCAGATCTGTTTCATCTCTGCTGTCCGGCAGGCACCATCGGTCGCCTCAATTTTCTGGTTATTGCCCTTTCTGAATGTGCACACAGGAGGGGAAGACATGCCAAATCACCGGGCTTCATTTAACCAATCATCGCGGTGCCTTGGGTGGCGACAGCCCCTCGGGCAGGCCTCAGGAGCAGCTCTTGGGTGAAGCAGACAGGCTAGCTGGGAGGCTGGAGACCTGGTCTCCTCACTGGACCAGGCACTCATTGTGTGGCCTCACCAATCCCAGGGAGGCCCTGAGAGTTGCTTCTCACCAGCAGGATGGGGAACCAGAGTGCAGACTTGGAGGGCCATGCAGTGGCTGTGCAGTAGCTGGGGAGAGCAGGGAGCCAGTGGCATTGTTTCTACAAACCTGTAGGCTGCTCCTCCACTCAGCCCCTCGTGGTGTACTCCATGTGTCCCAAGCCCAAAAACCCATGTCCTGAGACAGTAAACTTCTCCTCTTTTTTAAGGATGAAATATCTGCAGCTGGATGGGGACTGGAACCAGGGCCACCTGGCCCCAGAGCCCAGATTTTCCAGTATGTAAATGTCTATTTCCTCCTGCAACCATACAGCCTCCAATAGTCTCCCTAAAATGCCAGCGGGTCTCTCTTTGAATTCCTCCAGGGATGTATGGTATTAATGGTATACCATATAATGGAAGGAGGGCAGCTCCTTCCATTAATGGTTCAATGGATAAGACTCCTTCTTAGCAAATGGTTCTTTATGTGGAGCTGAGAACTGTCTGCTTGTAATGTCAACTGAGAGCGCCCATTTCACCCTCAAGACCACGTGGTGAGTCTACTCCTGTCACTCACGGTGACCCTGTAAGTAGTAGATAGCCACTGCCTGTCTCCCCTCCCCTGCACCCCTCCAAGTTCAGCACCCCAGGTCCCTTCGTGGGCCCCCAGTGTTAATGTCTCACCCCTCTCAGCACCTACTTTGTCCCACAAGAATTGATTTCTCTTTTCAAGCAGGGAGTCAGGATGGCTGGACTCCCAGTGAGAAAGCCATCTCCTCTGTAGTGAATGCTGCAAAATCCTTGGTCATTTTCTGTCCCAGCTCTCATGTCCCAGTGACACACACTGTTCCCAACATCAAGCTAGGGAAGGGATAATCCTTCTCCAGCACCTTCCTTCTTCCAAAGCCCCGCCTCCAGTTTCCACCTGCCTTTGGCCACTCTCCCGTGCCTCCCTACAGTTGCTTTCAATGCTGTGTGCAGAGTCACCTGTGGCAGCGTGTGTAACAGGAGCTACTCAACCCTTGCCAATAGGAGGGCCTGCACCTGCCTTCAGTCATCAGTTTTCTTCTCCTAACCCAGCCTTCAGTCTGAGCACCCCAATTGATCATCACACATGTTACATCATCTCTCCAGGTAACTGGTTCCAGGAATAATGACAGGTGAAGTGCCCCATTTCCTCCACCACCACTACTACCACCCATGTCTAAAATAAGAACCAAGCCTTTTCTCTCTCATCGTTTTAAAATGTAATTGACAGAAATTCCACAGTAGCACCTACACCAGCCAAAAGTGTCTCAACACGGGAGACACCAAGCGGTCTCACCCTATAAAAACCTGTTCCCTCACCCACCCCCAACCTGAACAGGAGCCTTGGAATGCTGGTTCCCCGTCCAACGCCACTGTCCAGCACTACATGGCAGCCAAGACTCTCCCAGCCCCAACCTGTGAGCCCCAACCACCTCCTCCAGCAGTGGCCCCACAGTGAGTGAAGGTCCTGAGGTCCCACCCCAGCCTCTGGAAAGCCAGAGCCCACAACAGCTGCAGTCCTGCTCAGACCTCCTGGTTCACCAGGCAGATGCATCATTAGAACCTTCTGGGGCCTAGAAGTGCAGGGGTAGGGGCAGGGTGCTTCTCCTTTTTGGGCCAACAAAACTCACTTCTTACTCTGGCAGATACTGAGATGCATTACCCAGACCCCCTTCAAGAAAGGACTCACTGCTCAGCAGCACAAGGAGTGTGTTCCCTGGCACTCAGATGCTAACTCCTTCAGGCGCTTCAGTTTTCAAAGCAGTCATATTTCTCTGGGTCATCCATGGCCAATAACTGAATATGCCAGGGGCTTGAGGGCCTGGCCATGTCCCCAGCACAGACCTGGATCAGGCAGGAGCCAGGACAGGCAGGAGCCGGGACAGGCAGGACCCGGGACAGGCAGGACCCGGGAAAGGCAGGACCCGGGACAGGCAGGACCTGGGACAGGCAGCCATTGCTCTGGAACCCTCCCAGTGTGGATAGAGACTCGTCAGGCCTCACTGGTCTGGGGGCCCCTTGCCTGGTCCTGCTTCACTCTTTTCCTTCCAGTGGTGCTACTCCCTAGTCAATCTTTTTTCTTTTTTCTTTTTTCTTTTTTGAGACGGAGTTTCGCTCTTGCTGCCCAGGCTGGAGGCTGGAGTGCAATGACGCGATCTCAGCTCACTGCAACCTCCGCCTCCCAGGTTCAAGGGATTCTCCTGCCTCAGCCTCCTGAGTAGCTGGGATTACAGGTGCCCACCACCATGCTCAGGTAATTTTTTTGTATTTTTAGTAGACACAGAGTTTCACCATGTTGGTCAGGCTGGTCTTGAATTCCTGAGCTCAGGTGATCTGCCCACCTCAGCCTCTCAAAGTGCTGGGATTACAGGTGTGAGCCACTGCACCTGGCCCGCTGGTCAATCTTTTATTCCCCTTGCTCTATCCATCCAACACATTGCCCTGGGAACACTCTTCCTGGCCGTCCCTTCTTGCCTCACCATCCCACATCCCACAGTTCACCACCTCCAGCCTTGCACCTGTCACCCTCCCTCCTTCTGCACCTGGGTCTCCACAGACATGGCACGGCCCCTCCCTGCTCTCTGAAATGACCTAATCCTCATCACTACCAGTCAAGCTAATTCTCGCCTTTGGGTGGCTCTATCTCCAGGCCCTGGAGCACTGCCAGGCACGTCCTTACCCTCTCCATAAATACTGTTGAACGAATGAACAAATGGATGAATGACCGAATGAGCAAGTGCGGCAAGGAGTCCTGCCGAGGAAGGGGAGCACTCTTCCACAGCGATGCCCAAGGGGACGGGAGCGCAAGGCAGGCACCCGACTCCCGCACAGAGGCCTCTCAAAGGGAGCTGACTTTAATCGCCATGAGAGGGGGCAGGGACTCTTCACCAGTGACAGGTTTTAATTTGTAATTGTTTCCATCCACTGACAGGCTGCCTGTGCTTAAATCAGCTTTGTCCTTTCTCCCCAAGGAGAAACAGACTTCCAAGAGTGAGCCGGCGGTTTGTGAGGGGGAAGGCCTCCACAGGGAGAGATGGACATGGGTGGCAAGGGGAGGCCGCTGGACACAGGAGGATCTGGGGTGATGCAGATGCACCCTGTCTTAGTGGCAGGGGTCGTGTGCATCCACTTGTAGAATCTTATTACATGCAGGATTTCCCTGCACAACGAGATTCTATAAGGATGGTCTTATTACTTCCATTTTTAAGATAACAAAACTGAGGCACAGGGAAGTTGAATATCTCTCATGAGCCCACATGTGGAATGCATGCTGGGGGTGGGATTCACGCAGGGGCTAACTGACCCCAACAGGAGCATCCATGAGGACCGAGACTGTGGCGGTTCCTTGCAGGGTATGGTTGAAGTTTGCTAAAGCTGTGGTCCCCACCCCCCACCAGTTGCTGAGAGCCACCCACTATCCCAGCATTGGTGCTGTGATTGTGAGCTCTCAGATGGGCATTAACCAGATTCAGTAATTCTGCTGAGCACCTACTCAGTGCCAGGCAGTGAACAAGGAGACACAGGCTTGCTCCTGCCTCAGATGCCAGGGCAGAGGATGGTTACAGGCAAAGCCTATGCACCAGGCAGGTGTGTTCTGCAGAGACAGGCATTAAAAGCCGTCTGGGGAGGCAAAGAGGGGAAGGCAAGTCTTCCCGAAAGGAGGATCCAGAAAAGTTGATTTTTAAAAATCAACAGGATCTGGCCATGCACCATGAGGTCAGGGACCTCCAAGCAGAGGGAACCGTGTCTAGTTCCCAAGGGCGCACAGAGTGGGGAGCAGGCATTCAGAGCTGGCAGTATGAGTTGGGACTGGGGATGAGCCCACCTGGAGAGGAAGGGACCAATGAGGGGCTCAGGGCAGGTGGTGGCTTACAAGGGCCAAATCTTTTGAGATGGGCTCTGATGCTCAGTTCCCCAGGATGGACAACAGGTGCTGGTGGACGCTGGAAGTTCTCACAGGTATCCTCACCCACTCACTGCCCTCCCTCTGGCCCCAGAAGCCAAGTGTGGACTGAAAAGTGCTTAAGTGAAGAGGAGATCCCACGTTGGGTAGCACCTTCTCACTAGCTCCAGACAGCCACATTTAGAAGCCAAGAATGGGGCAGTGGCCCAGATGGTACCTGATGTGTTAAAAGGTGTCTGTCTTGGGCATTGCACAATTCCTAACACCCTGCACAGTGCCAGGCACATAACAGGGACTCAACTAATATTGCATGAGTGCCTAGATTGAGGAATAAATGAATGAACACATGATGGAGCACTATTTGTTTATCAGTCCATTCTGCTACAAAGGAAGCACTAACCTGTACATCCATCAGCTGACACAACTCACCCTCACTGAGACAATCACACACCTGTACACACTCCCAAGTTCATGCACATGCACACACAAAAGAATGCCCTGACAAGTGCACACACACACACACACACAGATTCTGGAGAGGTGGCTTAGTCACAGATGCCAATTCACAAACAGAGTGCAGGGGTGGGGGGCAGTCTGCCAGTTAGTGCAGGTTACCCATCAGTGGCCCTGAAATTGATTTAATTGGTCATAGATAGTGTTCTTTGAAAATGGATAAAGGAAGAACAAGAACAAAATAAGAGAAAGATAGAATAGCCACTCTCAAGAGGTCTAGAGTAGGTGCTGGCTCCAGGGGTGTGTGCACCTGTGCTCTGCTGCTCCTCACAATGGTGTTGCTGTCCAGAGTTCCCAGAGCAACTGACTAGCGGCACCACTTGCTCATGCTCTCGGGTGCCATCTGGAAGGAAAGCAAAGGTGTTCTCTGCCGTGGCTGGAGCCATGTCAGCTGGGCTTCAGCAAGAACCCTCTGGCCGTGGATTCTCTTGCTGTGCTGTGGCCTCTCCGGTGTGGAGAAGGCCATTTTCCCACTGTGTATAGGGACTCGCTGCTTGTCAGCCCCTGTCCTCAAATGTTCACAGTCTAGTTTTAAGATCTGAAAAGGGCAACAAAGCTGCAATTCAGAGTGATAAGTGCTGCTGTAAGCATGCATACAAGGCTCAGTGGGGATGCCAACGGCTGTCTGGGGGTCCAGTGACAATTTCCTGACAATTTTTCATGGATGTGACATGGACATAAGCCCTTAAAAATAGTGAAATTTGAGCATATGGGAAAAGGGGGAGGTGAAGGGGCTGGGGAAGCAGTGGGGATGGGAGGGAGGGCACTCCAAGTGGAGGGAACGGCATGGGAAAAGGTGCAAGAGCTTGAGAGACCACAGTGCTTTCTGAGAATAGCAGGGATTTTTGTGTAACCTGAACATAAGTTCCACTGGGTGTGTGGCACTGAGACAGCAGCTGGAAGGATGGATGGGTTGGGATTTGGCACACACATGCTGTGCCTGCCCACTCAGCTCCATCTGCCTGGCTCCAGGGAGGAAGACAGGAAAAGACAAAGAGATGTCCCACACGTTCCACTGCCATACAGCTCTTGGGATGTCCTCTTCCTCTCCATGCCCCATGCTCTGGATCCCAGTGTGGAGGTCTCTGCTTTGTTTTATAACATCTGTGTCATTTAAGGAAGCATCGAACATTCCAGAGCCCTGAGCCCCGCAGACCCTGTCTGGACACTCACTCCTTCTTATCAATGGTGGCGAAGCAAGAGTAGGCCCAGTCTGGGCCCCAGATAGTGCCCAAACTTTACTCGTTGGGATGCCAACATGGATCATTCATGGCAGCATCCTGGAATGGTGCAAACCAGCAGGCCCCATGTTCCCATGGAGCGATTTCACTGAGTGGAGCTGAGAGTAATTTTCTTCCGAACTGCACCTCAGAGGAATTGTCATGTGTTAGCTTCTACTCGGTGCAACCATGCAGACCTCACCATCTCTGCTGCATGCCTGCTACTGCAGCAACGGTGAAAAAAGACCTGCATCTTGGCTTTCTTAAAGCACACACAACACAGCCACATGGGGCCATGCTGGACACTGGTCAGTCAAGGGCTCTTGTGCAAGGCACTCCCAGGTCCTCAAACCTGTGAGGGCAGCTGGTCCTCCTTCATAGCCTTGGCACCTGCCAACCAGCCCCCCAGGCTGTTGCCCACTTCCCAAATAGTTTTCCATAAAAAACAGCTTCCTCCCTGTATTAATCAGCATTCTCCAAAGAAACAGAACCAATAAGAGATATATAGATGATAGATAGATAGATAGATAGATATGTGCATACATACATACACATGTGTTTACATGCATAATAAGGAATTGGCTCATGCAATTATGGGGTTGATAAGTTCCAAGATCTGCAGTCTGAAGGCCTGAGAACCAGGAGAGTCAATGGTGTAAGTTCCAGCCTAAGTCTGAGGTCAAAGGCAGAAGACTGATATCTCAGCTTGAAGACCATCAGGCAGAGAGTTCAGGTTCTCTCTTGCTCATTCTTTTTTCTGTTTAGGCCTTCAACTGGCTGGATGAGACCCACACTGGAGAGGACCATCTGCTTTACTCCATATACCTATTCAAATGTTAATCTCATCCAGAGACATCACACGGACACACACAGAATAACATCTAACCAAATATGTGGGCACCCTGTGGACTAGTCAAGTTGATGCATAAAATTAATCATCACACTCCCTGAATGAGTGTTCATCCCCTGCAGTTACAATGGGGAAAACACTTAGGACCTGCCTGTGGCATGCTTCCCTCCCACCAGAACCTACATACCATGGTCCCAGGCATCCATCCTGTCTCACTCACTGCTAACCCTGGGCCTGACGCTAGCACAAAGAGCCACCCAAAGATAAACACACACAGCATACACAGAATGCATGTATGAAACACACAACCACAGGCCTGTGCATACATGCCTGAGTCCACGTGCATGGCTGTGTTTGCATGACCCCTGCCAACCAAGCACACACAAACATGCTCATCTAGCTGCACTCCCTGAGTACACGGGTGTGTAGAGGAAACACAGTGGTGAAAGGGATTTGGGCAGAAATCAGGACTAATGACTGCACACCCTGGTGGAGGTGCCTGGAAAAGGTTGGCCAGTGAGTAAATGAATGTGCCAAGGTGGCAGGACCCTAGGTGCTTCTTAAAAATATTCTTCTTAGCATCTTTCTGCATTTTCCAAACGGTTTAAAATGGATTGTATGTTACCTATAAAATGAGAAAACAACTAATAAGCGATCATTATTTTCATTTTTTTAAATGCTAATTTGTGAAAGTCTCTGAGTCCCCTCCCCTGCCAAAGTTTTTCTAGTCTGAGGCCAAGAAAGGCATCTTTCTTTGCCAAGTGACCACCATGTGGGCCTCTTCACCCTCGTTCTGAATAAGTTTCATTGTTTAGAGAGGAATGAAAGGCTCATTTCTTATCAATTCACTCAAGGTGGCATCTGCCCTCTCATTTAATCTTCACAACCACCCATGGGCAAGGCAGGCTGACCATACTTCACAGAAGGGGAAACTGAGGCTGGGGGTGTTCCTTGCCCTTGTCTGGTGCACAGACCGGAGCCGAGCCCCACCACACCTTCCAGCCAGACTCAGAGGTGGAGAAGGCCTGGAAGTGGCTCAGCCAGGGACACACAAGGTAGTCTTAAGTCCTGATTTCTGCCAAAATCCCTTTCACATTGTTTTTCCTCAATACACCTGTGTGCTCAAGAAGTACAGGTAAGTGAGTTTGTTTGTGTGCGCTTGGTGGGCAGGTGTCATGTACACGCAGGCATGCAGGTGGACTCAGGCATGTGTGTGCAGGCCCTGTGGTTTTGTGTGCATTGTGTATTCTGTGTACCATGTATGTGTTTGTCTGTGGGTGGCTCTTTGTGCTTGTGGGATGCATGTGTGTGCCCTGTTTCATACTTGGGGGAAGGCATAGGAGAAAATACAATACGGTGACTATTCCCCAGAAGCTTCCAGTGTCATTAAGGAGAAACATTAGATGCAAGAAGGTGTTCGGGTAAAGCATCACCTGCAAAAAGTTAAGTCATGTGACCTGGCCAGGATGGGGCACTGGACCTGGGTCAGATGGGATGAGCCGAGGACCTCATCCGGCCCCATCATCTATGAGCTGGGAGATTCCACTCAATGGACTGGACCTCTCAGCTGCCTCATCTGTGAGAGAAGGCAGTGAGGGGCTCCCATGAGATCACCCTGACATGGCAGCACCTGGCCTACAGAGAGAGCCAGCAGCATTAGGAGACTGGCCTTGGATACAGATTCAGGGGAGAAAGGAGGTGGCCAAGAGTCAAGCACTCAGGAAGCCCTCCTGGAACAGGCCGGTTGAGTCAGGTCCTGGAGAATCCATTGCAGAGCAAGGTATAGCTCGGGGAGGCCAGGGAAGGCACAGGACGCCAAGATCACATCAAACCCAATCAGGCCTCACCCACTCTGAATGACAGCTGCATCCTGCAGACTCACCTGGAGCCTCCCACCAGCCTCCCCAGACAGCCCCATCTGCTCCTGGCCTGCCTCAAGGCTGGCTGCCCCAGGCCAGCTCCTTCACCTCTCTGAGTGTCCTGACTTTCATCACAAAAGCCCTGATCCTTCCTCACATGATTGCAGGGGCCAGGACCAAGGAAGGATGGAACACATACCTCTCTCAATTTAAAGAGAAAATAAATGTCATAGTAAAAACGAGAGGAGCAGGGCTCTCGTTTGTCTGTGAAGTCCCTTGTACGGGGAGTTTTATCAGCCATGAAATTAGCCCTTCATGCTCTCCTATGCCAACAGCCTGGTGAGGGCTGGTGGGAGGAGCTGTCTCAGCGCCACCTGCGAGCCTCAGGGGACCCCACTCCCCAGCCCAGCCCACCCTGCTGCCCTTGGATGATATAAACACAGGCTGTTTTGTGGCCACCACTGATGTGGGCCACCAGGTCACACACAGGGCAGCATCAGGCACAGCAAAGACACAAAAGTCCTGCCCCTGCCCTACGCTGGCCCCAGCTTCTGCAGAGCTGCATTGGAGGGGCTCCTAAGTCAGGACCAAAATGAGGCCAGTCTCTCCACATCCATGGAGCGCAGCATCATACATACATAATTACAAGTATAAACATACCTTGGAGTCTTTAACTGTTTTGGCTTTGGGATGACAGCATGAGGCAGTAGGAAACCCAGGAGCTTTACAGAAAAATCTGGGCTCAAAGCCTGCTGCCCAACCAACTAAATGTCGCACTGGCCAAGTTCCTTCATCTCCCTGAGCCTTTGTTTCTTCATCTTTAAAGTCAGGATCACATCACCTTTTCTGCAGGTGGAGAAGATGAGAGGAGGCAATGCTAACTCAGGGGCATGCCCTCTGGGTGCTGGGTGCCCGCTGCACCTGTTCAAGGGGCTGCCTGAGCTTTGAGAAGACTGGGAATGGGCTTTTGTGTCACTCAAGAGAATCATATGCACACACACACACAAACACATGTGCACACATGCACACACACATGCAAGCACACGCACACATGCACACAAGTACTCTAGATCCCTGAGCCTTGCAGTGCACGTATCCTGATGGCTCCCTCCACAGGAATATTTTTCTGTGCCTGCCTCTATCTGAGATGAATTCTGGCAGCATCCACAGAATCAACCATCTGACCCAGGTATTTCAGGATGAACGAGCATCAGAAATGTTTTCCTCCTTTCCTGCCCTTGCCTGGCCCAAGTGTTATTCAGGTGATTGCCCCATTCAAAGAGGAAAAAAAGATCCATTCACATTCTCCTTGTTGCTTTTCTGTCTCCCCCAGTCTCTCCCTCCCTCCTCCTTTCTATCCCTGGTCCTCTCCCTCCCTCCCTCTCTCCTTCCCTCCTCTGGGACAATCTTCAGCTGGATGTGGGGTGACCAGAAAGTCCCTCCCCCACCCTCTCTCCTGTAGGCCACTGAGACTTGAGCGCAGGAGCTGACCCACCTGGGTGCGGGGACTGAGGCCCAGCACCCCTCACAGCACTCCTTGGCTTTTTGGACCACCAGGGTCTCCAGTTCTATAGCACATGCACCCAGCCCATCCCAGCTCGTCCTCAGCCCTACCTTGCTAGAGGCTGCATAGCCAGAATTTACCTTCAGTAAATGACAATGGCATAAAGTAAGGTTGAGCCATGGGTACCGCAGGTCTCGTGGACACCCTTGGGCCCAGGTGGCGTCTCTGCACAGGGGCCTCTGTGAGTCACAGCATGATGCTGGACCCTCTCAGGAGCCAGGGAACCTTCCTGTACTGAACAGTCTCAGCCACCTGCCTCTGCTGCTTTTAGAAACCCAAAAGCTGGGAATCTTTTCTCCCGAAAACACTCAGCAGTTATACAAAGGGGACTGTCTTTATGAGATTAAAAATAAATTGGGCCAGGCATGGTGGCTCACACCTGTAATCATAGCACTTTGGGAGGCTGAGGCAGGCAGATTGCCTGAGCTCAGGAGTTCGAGACCAGCCTGGGCAACCCCCGTGGTGAAACCACATCTCTACTAAAAAATACCAAAAAATTGCCAGGCGTGGAGGCATACGCCTGTAGTCCCATCTACTCAGAAGGCTGAGGCAGGAGAATTGCTTGAACCCGAGAGGTGGAGGTTGCAGTGAGCCAAGATCACGCCATTGCACTCCAGCCTGGACGACAGAGCAAGACTCCATCTCCAAAAAATAAAAAATAATAAAAATAATAAATAAATAGATGAGAGTCGTGTGGAGGAAACCAGGTTGTCAAGATTCAGATTCCAACTTCACCACTTACCTGTGTGTGGCTTCAGGGGATTTGGCAAGCCTCTCTGTGTGTCGATGTCTGCACGTATAAAATGAAGATAATAACCATGAGACAGTACCAAAAGGGGCTCAAAAGTATCAAGCACTAAGTATCACTCAAAAATGTAGCTATTGATAGATAGAAATGCATTTCTTCTGTGTTCTCTCCATTTGTGCCTCTATTCTCTGAACCAATGGCAGGTGCACACAGGATAGCAACTCAATGTGGTTAAAGAGGAACCTTCATGAGGATCTGAAATGTTACCAGGCAACACTTACCTACCTCACTGCTTCCAGTGAGCCCATGGGCAATAGCGTCTCTCTCACTTGTAGACCAGGTAGCGGACACTTGGAGGGTGAAGGCTCTCTCAGGAACAGAAACCTGGTAGCTGACAGCTGGCCCTGCTGTCCATATGGCAGCCACTGGCCAGTGTGGCAATGAGCCTTGGAGTGTATCTCCTATGGGCTGAGATATTCTATGAGTGTAAAACACTGGGTTTAGACAACTTAGTGCAAAACCATAAAGAGATAAAATATCTAACTAGTTTAAATAAGGATATAAAATATCTAACTAGTATTTTTCATATTTTAATTTGCAATCATATTTTTATATATTGGGTTCAATAGAATATATTATGAAAATTAATTTCACCAGGTTCTCTTTTTTTTTTTTTTTGAGACGGAGTCTTGCTCTGTCGCCCAGGCTGGAGTGCAGTGGCGCGATCTCGGCTCACTGCAAGCTCCGCCTCCCGGGTTCATGCCATTCTCCTGCCTCAGCCTCCCGAGTAGCTGGGACTATAGGCGCCCGCCACCACGCCCAGCTAATTTTTTGTATTTTTAGTAGAGACGGGGTTTCATCGTGTTAGCCAGGATGGTCTCGATCTCCTGACCTTGTGATCTGCCCTCCTCGGCCTCCCAAAGTGCTGGGATTACAGCCGTGAGCCACCGCGCCCGGCCCCTGGTTCTTATTTTTTAAACATGGCTATGGGAAAATTTAAAATTACATTTATGGCTTGTATTTTATTTCCACTGGGTACGCTGAGCTAGATGGTTCCTTCCTTGGCATCAGCGGCACGTCCTCTCCCGGGATGAGCCCACATAGTGTGCCACTGCTAACAAGAACACCTTCAGAAAGTCCAAGGTCTACCCTCAGCCCCTCAGCTCCTGTGTGGGCTGCAGCTGAGGAGGGCACCAGCACCTGCCTCCTGGAACCTGGGGACCTCAGAAGCAGGTCCCTTTGTTTCCACTTCAGTCCGCTGCCTCTTGGGCTGCAATCTCTGCTACTCGCATGAGTCCAGTGAGAATGAACATACACAAGTTAAGTGATGAGACTTTATTATTCACAGTGCACAGCAAGGGACAGCAGAAGCCTAGGATTCATGGCGAGCCGTTTCTCCAAGGCTCTAGAAGCTGCCTAGGGTGGATGGAGTTTTGTCTGCCTCTGCCTCCACCTGCACCACAGCTGAGGGACCCTGGAAAGCAGCCCGCCCAGGGTTTTATAGCCCAGGGGCAACATGATTGCTGGGCTAAAATGTTGAAGGAACTCCTTTTTCTAAGGGGACAGAGGCAGAGCTGGGCTGTTCCAGCCAGTTTCTCTTTGTCTCAGAACACTGCATTCCCAGGACATTCTACCGTTATTCTTGAGAAGTATGAGTGAGAAAGGAGAAAGAATTGGGCTGTTCCAAGGCCACCCGGAGAACTGTCCTGCAGAGACTTCCCTGGCTGTGACAAGTCCAACCCTCACATGGCTTAACGATCCATCCTTCTGTCTATCACTTGTTCAGAAGGGGTGACCCAAAAAACAAGTCCATTACTCACTTCGAGGGAGGTGCATAAGGAAAGCCCAGGAGACAGAGCAAGAGGGATCTGGAAGAAGACTCCTCTAGAGAAAGGCTGTTTTGGTAGTGCTGTTGTATTTTTCTTACCTTCCCCTTAAGCCAAGTGAAGGGGGCTTCATAAGAACCCTGTAGAGAGCTTGGTGCGCATCCCCAGGGGACACAGGGTGACCCTACCTGGACTCCCAGCCAACACAAACTCCTGGAGACCATGCCCTTCCCATGAGCCAGGATGGAGCCCACGTAGGGAAGTGAGAGAAGGGCCTCTGGGGACACATTTACCTCAGGGGACCCAGAGAACATCTGGAGCCCAGGCCAAGACTATCCATGCAGGGACTGTAGTGAGAGGTCCCCGTCCTGATGCCCCATGCAGGGGAAAAGCCCCCAAAGCCACCTGAACAGAACCCATGACCAGGCCCAGAGCACCTCACTGCTCACCTTTCCACTCATACGTCAGGGCCATGGCGCATGTGGAACTGATGCCATCTGTCACGGGCTGTGGTGTCCCCAGTAGCTCCAGTAACCACTCCCCTTTGACCTCTGAAAGAGAGCTCTGACTTTTAGCTGGGCACAGGGTTGCCCCCTATAAAATGCCCCTTCCTCCTTTCCCTTGCTCTAGGTGTGAGCATGGCAGTGAGTGCCACAGGTGTGTAGAAATAGTGTGTGGGTGCCCAGAAAATCTCAAAAGGGAGCGAGCACAGGAGCCGTTTCCAATTCTACCTGGTTTGGATGGTTCCCCACTGAGTCTGCTGCATTTTCACCCCAGCTCTGAGTCATATTTGCAAAGACAAAGTATTTTCAGGTGTCAGGGACATTGGAGAGGCCTGGGGCCAGGGAAACAGTGGGAGGCAGGTCACAGGGGGCGTGGCACAGCTTCCTAGGAGTGCTGGGTGCCAAGGATGGTGCAGGCAGGACACTGACTCCTACATGTGTCTGTTTCCAGAAAAGCCACTCCACAAAATGGATTCCAGATCAATAGACCTGTCAGGACGCAGTGGCAGTCTGACCTTAGGCACAGGTGGTGAAGATGAAGAAAAGTAGAAAGAGGGGACAAATATTAAGAAGGTTCTAGAAATAGACTTGGTATTGATCAGCCCTGGGTGCTAAGGGAAAAGGTTGGGTCCAAATCCAGGCACAGGCTTTGGGCTTTGGCAGTCTTGTGTCTGCCAGGTCCGTTCATGAAGACGAAGAGGCAGAAGGCTGCAGAGGGAGGTGGGCGGGAAAGGCATGAGCGCAGTGTGGTTGGGCTAAGGTGGGAATCTGGACATGTCCAGTAGGCAGCTGTGTGCACAAGCCTGGAGCTGAGGAGGGAGTGATGAATTGTCATAATAAATTGCACTTAGAGGGTGCTTATTAGATCCAGAGTATTCCAAGCACCTTCCTGCAAACCATTATTATCCTCTTTATAGAGATTTTAAAAAATGAGGCACAGAGAGGTTGGGAGCCCAAGCTCTTAACCACTGTGCTCTGCTCCTCTCCTAGAGGAAAACATGAGAAGGGCTGAGAATGGCCAGTTCCACAGTCAGGAGGCCATGGGTGCGCTGAGCTAGAGCAGGTTTGTTGGGGGTGTGGAGGGCAGGTACCAACTTCAATGGATATGGGAAACAGCAGGTAAGAGAAACACCACAGCTGTGGAACAGAGGCAGGAGGAGAGGAGGGTGACAGCTGGAGAAAGATGCTGAGTGGAATTTTCTCAGCATTGGAGGACTTGAGTGGCTTTAAATGCACTGGAAAGGAACACACACAAAGAGACCTGGAGGTATAGGATAGAGAAAGGATAGTTGATAGCGTCAGTCCCCAAGGAGGGAGGAAGGGCTGGAATCTTACAAAGTGGAGGAATTACCCCCACTGAGGAAGAGAAGAGGGAGAAAGGAAGGGAGGCAGAAGAGAGGAAGGGATATGGGGGAGGGGGAGAGGGAGGGGCCAAAGCAGGACCCAGACAACTCAGTTTGTTAACCTCTGGCAGGGAATTTCTGTCTGACAAAATCTTCTAATCACTCAGCAAAAAAAAGGAGCAACCGTCCCTGAGATGAGGGGAGCATCATGAAGCTGTGGCAGGTGCAGGAAAGAAGCCGGGTTTCAGTGGTAGCTGTGGTGACAGGGACAGTGTGCTGGCCTGAGACCCACTTCTTTCCCTGGGAAACAACTTGAGGCTCACAGGTCTGGGGTTGTGATCAAAGCTTGCTGTGGAGATGCCTGCTGAGCTGGACACAAAAAGTTAAGTTTTCCTCTAGCTCAGAGCTACTAATTAGATCATCTAATAAAATAACACTAAATTATAATTTGGCATTAAATAAGGCACTCTATGGACCTCCATCTGCCTGCCTCTGTGTTGCTCTCTCAGGGAAGAGAAGCTGGGACAGGGAGAGGACAGGATGAGAACTCCCCAACCTGCCTCCTGCTGCGGAGCAGCCACCTGGGGTCAGCAGCCACCTCTGAGCAAGGCAACAGCGACTTGCGGGACTACACGGCCCTGCCTGGCACTGGAGCACGCGGAGAAATAGCCACAGCGCTAATTACCAGGCAGAGCATTGATATCCCATAATTAAATTAATTCAATATGGTCCATAAAATAAAACTAGCATGGCCACTCACCAAGCTCCCCACACAAGGTCGTGATCATCTCATTTCAGGAGTATTTATTCACTCCAGAGCCCCAGCACTTTCCAGGCAACAGGGACTGTTTGTTCCTATAATTTAGTTCTTTTTTTCTTCCTGTGAAAATAAATTACCTAAACAAATTGAAAAGAATAAACAGCTTGAATTGCAAATTATAAAGTTGCCTAGTCCAGCAGTACAGGAGGTCATTATTCACAATATGTCATTTTAAGATAAGTTAATAAGGAAATATAGAAGAGAATCAATTTTTGGTCATCATTAGCGTATACAGTGCAAAAAGCTACAGGGTATTCAATTAATTCTAGACCATAATTATGAAGCAGGAGATTTGCGTATAAATCAACTTTTTATATTTTGTTGTCTTCAGTGTACTAGGAAATCCCATTTCTAACCAGAGTTCAGACAGAGGATGAATGGCTGCTTGACCACAGGCTCAGCGGCTCCAAGAACTTCTGTGGGCACTTCAGCCCTGGAGGTATTTCATAAACTTCTCACATCCAGAAAACCATAATTACCGTCCTTGCAATCATCTCCCATTTTTTTTCCAGCTGCCATCTGTCAAGAAGTGCTGGCCACCTACACCTCATAGAACTTATTCAGTCACTAATTAATCCCAGAGGACAGCACAAGCTATGTGGAAATGCATTATTTTAAAAAGATGGAAGGGAACTAGCTGCTATAAGATACTACATGATGAAGGCAACCCCCGCATTGCTGTGGAAAAACAAAAATGATGGAGGGAATGATTTGCAAAATGCAAACTCAGTCCTTAACATCAAATGCTGGAGATGGCAGTTGTACAGCCCAGTGTTTTTAAATCACGCTTCGGGGACTGCTGGGCTCTGGGGGCATTCCCCAAGGTTTCTTGGTGTGTTTTTCCACAAAGAGTTTGCTTTTAGATCCTTTTAGAAAATCTATATTTTCTGTTTGTCAACTCAGTTTCTTCCTCGTCCACCCCCAAATCATATGGTCCTCTTCTCTCTGAGTGCATTGCTGGATAGGACTTCGCTACTTGATCATGCTTTCTTATTTGCCTTTAAATACACATCTCCCAGGTCTTAAAAACGGGAGAATGTCCCCGAGTCCCATCTTCCCCTTCCTCTGAGGACGGGACTGCAGTTGTGGTGCTACTGTCCTCCAGGGTGGGTCACCTCCTGTCCTCTCTGCTGGCCTGGCAGCTTTTCCCCTCTGCTCCTTCCCTACCTGCCTCCCTTGCCTACAAAGCAGACGTGTCACCAGTCAGGACCTTCTAAGCAGATCCCTACCGACAATGAGGCAGAGAACCCATTAGGCCTGGGGCCGTGGGACTCATCTGTGCCACTACTCTGAGAACGGGCAACTCAGAAGAAGGCCAAGCCACCACATATGAAGACCACCCAGTCCTGGACATCCTCTGAGCCCCCGGACCTGGCCATGCCTAAGCTGTCTTGCCCTAGACTTCCAGTTTTAGGAACCAATATGTTCCTTTTTGTTTTTAAGCTAATTTGAGTAAACCCACTCAAATTGCAAATTTAAAACTTTAAATTTGATTTTAATTTGAGTAGATTTAAATTTTAACTTGAGTAAACCCACTGTCAATTGCAAATTTAAAAGTCCTGCCTGGACAGGACTTGGCCTGGCCCTTTGCTGCCTTTCTCTGTGTTTCTGACCTAGCACCGCCCTCTCCCTGCCCACATAGCAGCTGGAGCCTGGTAGAAGTTGCACCTTTATGATAGCCCTGGATCCTCTCCTGGGTGGGGTCTTCTGCATCCTACACCCGGCAGGGTAAGAGTGACTTCTGGTCCCAGCTACTTGGGAGGCTGAGGCAGGAGAAATGCATGAACCCGGGAGGCGGAGCTTGCAGTGAGCCGAGATGGCGCCACTGCACTCCAGCCTGGGTGACAGAGCGAGACTCCATCTCAAAACGGGCAGATCACGAGGTCAGGAGATGGAGACCATCCTGGCTAACACAGTGAAACCCCATCTCTACTAAAAATACAAAAAAATTAGCCGGGCTTCGTCACGGGCGCCTGTGGTCCCAGCTACTTGGGAGGCTGAGGCAGGAGAATGGCGTGAACCCGGGAGGCGGAGCTTGCAGTGAGCTGAGATTGGGCCACTGCACTCCAGCCTGGGCGACAGAGCGAGACTCCATCTCAAAAAATAAATAAATACAAATAAAAATTAATTAATTAATTAAAACAAAAAAACAGTGACTTCTGGGAGAGCAGAAACTGCCTACAGCCTCAGCAGCACCCCACCCCACCCTATGCTCCCCACTACAGCCCAAAGAGGGGTGTTCTGTGGCTCCCTAGGGTCCAGGAAACACAGTTCTCCCATTTATTCTTCCAACAGATATTGTTGAATGCGCTGGTCACGTGGACTCCCCCAGAAGGGAAGCAGACATGACCATGGCTCTATAGTCTCCCCTCTGTCTGATTCCTCTTCCTCCCACCCCAAGCACAACTTCACTTTCACATGTGCACACGCAGAGACATGCACCCAAA
This sequence comes from Homo sapiens, assembly GCF_000001405.40. NCBI lineage: Eukaryota > Metazoa > Chordata > Mammalia > Primates > Hominidae > Homo > Homo sapiens. The sequence continues at coordinate 126,797,082 of NC_000002.12, forward strand.
GAGCGTGTGTACATACACATATATGCATGCACAGACAAATACACACAACACACATGCACACAGATGTCACACATGTGCACATCATTCACATAAACACAAGTGAACACATATGCTGATGCACCCACACTCATGTACATGTATGTACACACAGAAACCCGGATGCATGTGCACACTGGCACACAGACAGAGGCAGCCACACTGAGCAGCTCCATGTCGGCACACACCTCCATTCTTCGCCACCTTCTCTCTTCCTCCTTCCCCTTTCCCTGGCTACTGCTAAAATCTTTGTGACTCAAGCTCAGCCACCTCTTTTGGGAAGCCTCGCTCTGTACGCGGAGGCCCCGCTGAGGCTCTCACTGGCCCTACACTCCGCACCCCATGCTGTAGCCTGTGGAGGCCCCGTCTGCCCCGGGAAGCTGTGGGCACTTGGTTCCCAGCACAGTCTGCTGCCCAGAAGAAACTGGTGAACCTCTTCAAGTGACCAAGTCCTTGAATTTCTGGAGGTGACCCACTAGGCTCCTAGATTACTTGTTGTGGATAATAAACTTAAAGAACTTGTTTCCCAGACTGGAAGAAGAGAGGACAGCCTCAGGAAAGCTCTGCGGGAGCCCATTCCCAGGCAAGCCCCAGTGAGTTATCAAGCATCTGGGAGCACAGTCACAGCCCTGAGGTCAATGCCATCCACTCACCAGGGGACATCCACCAAGCCCTCCAGGGCAAGCGCCTTGGCCAGCTCTCAGAGGGGGCAGGGGAGTCAAGACCACCTCCCTCAGGGCGGCTGGAGAAGGCAGTCCTGCCGTCCACTGCCTTCTGCTCTTCAGGTTCTGGGACAGAGCCTGGAGCGCCAGGCTAGAGGCGGCTTGGAGACAGCAACCCTGAATCACAAAGCGTCGGCTCCCCAGAGCCCCTCAGGTGAGGCCTGCAGCACCCTCACGTACAGATGGACTCGGCCCAGATTCCAGGGTGTCGGCAGCAGCGGGAGAGCCTGGGTGAGTCACCTGGAGTGTGAGGGACCCTGTGGGGGGGTCACCCTGTGTGGAAGTCATCATGTGTGGGAGAGTCATCTGGTGTGAGAGTTGCCCAGTGTGAGGGAATCATCCCCGTGTGGGTGTCACTGTGTGTGGGAGTTACCATGGTGTGTGAATCACCTTGATGCAACTCACCTGGTATGTGAGTTCTTTAGTGTGAGTACCCCCATGTGAGCCATCCTTGGTCCAAAGACAGACAGGTCCTCTCCCCATGAAGACCCTTAGGCTGCTTCTCCTGGACAACACAAACAGACTCCCACTACCACACTTCCTGCTCAGACCCAACTCTTTGGGTTTCTGTGCTCAGAGAGTTTCCCACCTCACTACCTACCCTCTTGTGAGCCTTTCCTTGGAGACCCAGGATAGGGCATGGACCCTGTCTCTCATCTTTGACTCCCAGGGCCTAAAACGAGGAGTAACCTGACACAGGCTTCAACAAATCTATCATTAGTTCATCAGTTCACTCAGCCCTTGGTTCATTTGTTCAGTGGTCATGTGGAGACTGCATGTGGTGTGTGTCTAGATTCCCGAGAGCCCTGTTAGGTGGGACACCAGACTTAAAGCACAGGGCTCTGTGCCCTGCTCCTGCAGGGGTCCCCATGCCAGGCAGCCACGCAGACTGTTTATGCATGAGTCCCGTCAGCCTGCTCTGCCCCAGAGACTCATGCCCTGCATCAAAGCTGTCTTTCTCCCCCCACACCACACCACCCTCCACCACAGAATCAGGAATAACCAAAATACATGATTCCAGGGAGAAAGGGAGACGCAAGACCCCATAGGATGGTCCGCTGGAATCCCACTGGGTGGCCTTCCTAGAACCCCCCACCCGGGAGGGGCATGTTCCTGAGTTAGGTGCTAATTCACTCCGGCCAGGGCTTCCCAGGGGGGCTTCTAGGCCTTCCACTTTCCTCCTTGGCTGCATCTGAAGAGGGCATTTTTCAGGCTGAGCATCTCATCCTGCCCCCTTCTGCCCACTGAACGTTGGGGTCCAGTGATCATTTTGGCCCAGACTTTTGGTGTCTTTGGCAGCACATCTCTCTCAGAAACCTAAAAATCTAGAAAGCTTCTTACCTATTTAATACTAAGCAGCTCCATGCACCATTGTCATACTAGAGTCCTTGATAAAGGTCTCCCCTCTCTCTGTCCCTCCCTCTTTCTTCCTCTCTTTCTCTCTCTCTCCACCCCCACCCCTTAATTTCATCTACCCACACCCCTCCATCTTTTCTCCAAGGCCCATTTTGAAAATGGTTTATTGGTCATCATCTTAATCCACTCAGAAATGTTAAGCAATGAGTGTGATGAACAAGCTCTTGTCTTGGTACTGGCTGCAAGTCTGGGTTTTAACTGTCCTTTCTTGCTCAAGCATTTCTCAATATTAATTTTTACTGTTTGGAATTGGAAAGCAGTTGCCTCATTCAGAGGTACAAGTCCCCAGATTTCTGAACTTTCTGTTCTCTTTTATTTTCAGCCAACTGCAGCTAACACATACTGCTGCAGCTCTGTTTCGTGAGCTCTTCTCTTTAAACTGGAGTTCACTGGGGAATTATCTATATTTCAAACTATCACAGTTGGTGCCGTTACCAGATATTTCACATGATATGAACCACTACCCTTCCAGTCTCTGATATAGACTTTGTTATGCTCTCCTGTGCTGGTGAAGACTCGGAGAAGAGTAAGTTCAGTGAGTGGGGAGAATAAAATATGCCAAAATAATTTTGAGATGCCTATGAGATGTACACTATAAGTCTGGAATTTGGGGAAGAGATTAATGATGAAGATATCAGCACAGGTGCCATTGCACTTTTGCTTGTTTGTATACTGAGAAGAATGAATAAATAAAATACCAGATGAGTTTATCCTCAATGATTTTTAAAATTTAGGATCTCTTAAACGAGGCATTTTTTCAAACTAAACACAACACTGGAGACTTTGTTTCTCTTATGCAATCCCTACCCCATTTCTCACCCTAACTCTTCAACCAAAGAATCATTGCCTTCGAGAGCACTGTTACTAGGAGAAACGGTGCGGCATCTCTGGGGTATGCTGGAGAAGATAAAAGCTTGTGAATCTCCAGTCGCCCAAGATGATCTACATCCATTTCAGGTCGAACAATCTCTGACTGTATAACTATAAATTAAATGCACCATGCCTCTTTTATTACAGACATTCTGAAATATTAAAGAAGGTTAATAATTAAAGGTAATCTTGAACCAGTTCAAAGCTCCAGCACTACTGATTTGAGCCACTTGACTATTTCAAGATTTCCCTGTCATGCACAAATTTCCCTGTCAGTTCTACCATCATCCCTAAAATAACATTAAGAGCTGCATCACTTTAATGCATCTTTAGAGACATTTCCGGAAACCTGCAGTGATTTTGTTCAACTGTCTGCACTCTTCTAGGTTCAGGTAAACAATCACTTTGAAATGTTTGGGTCCTTTCTTTAAATAGATATGGGTAAGTATGTCATCCATACACACCAGCAACCTGGCAACATGGCATTTAAATATTTCACTGTCTGAGTAAATACATTTGATGCCTGGGTTCCAACTTGGATTAAGTATTTATTGTGCATCTTTTCCCAAGGCTCATTTTAAATCCAGGCATTTATCAACCTGCTCAAAAAAAAATGGCATCACATCTCTAGGACCTTCTAGAGCTCAGTTCTAGGCCCGGGTTGACCCAGGGTAACCTAAAAGTATCATAAAATTCAAAAGAAAACTGAGACTGTATATTGACTACCTGTATGACAAATAGAGAGCTACTTAACAGGAGACTAAAGACCAGAAGGAACACTAGGTCCAATTGTTTAAAACAAATTCCAAACTAAAAATGCAGACCATGGCTAAAGGAGCGCTGTTTTGGAAAACCACAAAAATATTATGGGAAAACATACATTCATCTTGACAGGCGCCTGTTGCAAAATCATAGGTCCTGGAAAAACACTCTCTGGGTATATGATCTGGATGGAAGCTATGAGTTTTCACTGTCCTTTCTTGCTCAAGTCCAGTGAGAAACTGAATTAGTTGGTCCCTGGGCAAATAGTATTGGTATGTAGGCAGAGCCACAAGGCTCAGAGGATGCCCAGAGGAGAAATATGCTCTTCGCATAAGTAACAGGTGGAGTTGAAGTGTGTTTTTGCCCTTTGTTTAGTTTGAAGTTTTTGGAGATTCTTCCATTCCTTCACTTCCTTGATTCCCTTTTCATACTGGCTGACGTGCAGCTAAGGTCTTCCTGCTGCCTTTTCCACCTGTCTTTCTCCATTGCCTTCCTCGTTGCTTTTTCCACAACCGGTCCCCAGCATGTCTCTCCTCCTTCTCCCTGGGCCATCGTATTCCCGCCCACAACTTCACTACCACATCACTCAGTGGTTTGACCTTTCCAAGGTCATTTGAAAGCTGGGAGTTTTCTATTCAGAAATAAATTCACATGCTCACACATACTTACAAAGTTTTGCATTCAGTTCAGGGGAGGCACTGGCTCCAGCTTGAGAATCCCTCACCCACCTGCATATCAGTGACTCCCAGCTCCCCACCCTCCACAGGACTCCCCCCCAGGACCCCCAAACAGACTGCAGGCCTCTATAAGGACGGTGAGGGCCATTGCTCTCCACGGAATCCCCGGCACCTACATTGTAAGAACTCAACGCACATTCGCTAAATGATGAAAGAAGAACTTTAAAATGTAAAAATGCATAAAATATACTTTAAATACAGAGGAAAGTTTGCAAAAAACACCATATAAGGTATGACCTTAACGATGAAAGAATGTACTTGGAAAAAAATTGGAAGCAAACACATCAAAATTTACAAGTAGGATATTTTCAGAGGGTAAAATTAAAGGTGATTTTTATTTTATTCTTCAAACTTTATTTTGTAATTTTAAGAAAAAGCAGAGGCAGGAGTATAGTTTAGTGAGCTTTTGTCCTGTGAGCTATTGTGAAGCATGAAAGTGCAAATCCCGGGTCTCCCCATTGTCCTCTGCATCCCCCTTCCCCTCTTTCTTATAGAACAAGTCCTAATACTCTAAGCTCTGCTCTCTCCCCTTGAGGGTTATGAAAGGCTTTTAAATTTAAGGGTCCCAAACTGAAGCGTCCAGGCACTCCAAAGTTACCTGCCTTCTTTGGGAAACCCAGGCCCATTAAAGCAGGTGATCAAGCTGAGGTGGGGGCAGAGAGGTGGGAGGGATGGAAGCAGACAATTGATAGTGCAGGATAGCTTTCGCCCAGGAGTTTGGGGGTTTCCACAAGAGGCAGACCCATACTCCTTTTGGCTGTGGTCTCCCCAGAGAGCCAGGACCCTGAGAAATGCAGCCCTGAGGCAGCAGGGGACTGAGACCCAGGAGCCCCGCACTGGGGCGCCTCCAAGCCCTGCATGCTGCACCCGAAGCACAGTGTGAACTGTGGAGCCTGCTGAGAGAGCTTTCTGGCCCTGGCCCTGGCTCTGGCTCTGGCCCCAGCAACTCTGGGATGTTCATAGGCGCTCCCAGACAGGAGCAGGGAGCTCCAATGATAACTGAGGAGACACAGCTCAAACAGCCTGACTTAGTTCAATTTAGAGAAATGAAATAAAACAAAACGATGGTTTCTGTGCCCGAGGGCTTACAGCGAATTCCTACCCACCACCTGTGTGGGACTATTTGGCACATTTGGCTAGTAGTGGTCGTTTCCTGCCTCTGAAGGAATCAGCCTTTGGATTCTTAGTGCAAAATACCTAAGGCTGAAAGGCACCTTGGAAAGAAGCTGATCCTGTGATCTGCAAGCCGTGCTCTACAGAGCTGCTTCAAGTCCGCTCAGAAGCGAAAAGAGGCAGAAGGCAGGGCTCCCCTCCACACACCTGGCTCCCCTCAACCCAGCCAGAGCAATTCTGCTTTTGCGTTTCATTTAATACAGTTCCCTATAAGTCCACTGACTACAAGACTGTGGGGTTGTAAACTGTAGGGAAAACACTGGCCTCATGGAGGCCCAGGAGGGAAAGTTAGTCCTTGCCCTGGGGAAATACTGCAGGGCCTGGACTAGAAGCCAGAACTCTTGACCCACAATCCGGGGCTCGTTTCACCTTTGCCGTTTTCTCCCATAAGGATGGGATAGAAGGTATAAGGAGTGTGTCTTTGTGCAATGGGGATCAGCTCGGCTATTTCTGTGACCATAAAATTGCCTAACCCTTTATATCTCTCCTGGCTCAGAAGCAAGTACAAAGTCTCTGGCAAAGAGAAGGGCATTTTGGCAGATTTCCACAGATACATTTATGTTCAAAGAATGGTAAAGCATTACATTTGTAACAGTGATCAAAAGACACACACACTCACCCTTTCACAAATATCCAGCCCCAGGGCCAACCATTGGCATGCAAACCAGCACCAGCACCCTTTCCCAGTGGTGCAGGAGAGGCCTGCTATCCGCCCATTGCAATGGCAGGCCCATCGACTGCCTTGTTCAGCCTCCACCCCACTCCCGTCTAGTCCACCAAGGCTAGAAAATCAAAAACAGGACCATCCACACACCCTCATAGCAAGGGCTCCAGACACGGTTGAAGTTTACCAATCAGACACACTGCCACAGACTTTGCGTTAGACCTGAACCCCACGAGAAGAGAGGCAAAGCGTTCATTGGCTGGAGTACTAAGGCCAGTCGCTGTAGTGGCAGCTTCTCAGTTCACTCAGGGGTTTCCTGATCTGGCAACAGGAAAGGAAAGTGGCAGGTTTCCATATTGTTTTGCAGTGATAGCCACAGACTTCATCTCAGCACAGTGATTCCACGGGCTGAACATTTTTCCTGGGAAACGGATGGAGGTTCTTCTACGGCCCCATCAACCATTCTGTTTTTTGGGTTCTTTTGTTTTGTTGAGGCAGGGTCTCGCTCTGTTGCCCATACTGGAGTGTAGTGGCACAGTTAAAACAGGAAAAGTTCCCTTGTCCCTCTTGCAGGGTGTGAGATGGGGGAGTGGCTCGCTTCTTAAGTGTCCAGCTGCTCAAACCTCTAGGGGAGCATACAGATGGGCAGGTTGTGGGGCTCTGACCCCATGGCAGTGTCTAGGGGTGAATGTTTACAGCCGAAGCCCCAGCGGGAGTTACAGCGTGCTCTTTTAGTTTTACTCTTTTCGTTTTGCCATCTATAGGCGGCTTGTGTTAACCAGCTCAATTAGACCCTCGCCTTATGGCAAGGACAGAGGGCTTTCTGTATCCCGGGGTTATTGCCTTGATGTACCAGAAAACTCGGATCACAAGTGGGCTTGGAGAATGAGTGCCAGGTTTTATTGAGTGGAAGTAGTAGACGGGGAAAGTCAGAAGGGGATGGAGTGGGAAGGTTTTCCCCTGGAGTCGGGCTCTCCTCCAACCTCTCTAGCCAAACTCCACGCCATTCAGCCAGTCAATGGACCGCCGGCTTGCAGGTGTGCTCCGACGCCGATGCGTTCCTCTCGACGTCCAGCCGCCAGTGTGTTCCTCCGCTGATGTGCTCCTCCCGACGGCCAGCCGCTTCTGTCCCTGCTTTGCTAGGGTCTTGGGTTTTTACAGGCACAGGATGGGGGTGTGGCAGGCCAGGGGAGGTCTTGGGAAAGAAATGCAACATTTGGGCAGGAAAACAAAAATGTCTGTCCTCACCCAGGTCCGTGGGAGTGGAGTCCTAGCCAGGGACCACACCCTATCCTAATCCTACCCAGCACTTCCCCTCCCCACTTCTTTATCATTTGAAGGGACCACGCTGTTCCCTTCCCAGCACTTCCGTATCACAATATCACAATCACAGCTCACTACGGCTTTGACCTCCCTGGCTCACGCAATCCTCCCACCTCAGCCCCCCAAATAGCTGGGACTACAGTTTTGCACTACCACATGTAGCTAATTTTTAATTTTTTTTTTTTTTTTTTTTTTTGAGACTGATTCTCGCCCTGTTGCCCAGGCTGCAGTGCAGTAGCAGGATCTCAGTCCACTGCAAGCTCCGCCTCCCGGGTTCACGCCATTCACCTGCCTCAGCCTCCCAAGTAGCTGGAACTGCAGGCGCCCGCCACTACGCCCGGCTAATTTTTTGTATTTTTTAGTAGAGACGGGGTTTCACCGTGTTAGCCAGGATGGTCTCGATCTCCTGACCTCGCGATCTGCCCGCCTCGGCCTCCCTAAGTGTTGGGATTACAGGCGTGAGCCACCGCGCCCAGCCTTTAATTTTTTTGTAGATACCGAGGTCTCGTTCTGTTGCCCAGGCTTGTCTTGAACTCCTGGGCTCAAGTGATCCTCCCACCACAGCTTCCCAAGGGTTAGGATTACAGGCGTGAGCCACTGGGCCTGGTCCCAGCTGTAAGCACCTAATTCCCTGTATTAAAAATATCTGTGCTTAGCCCAGCTAGTTGGATTCTGCTGCCTGCAACTTAACCCTTATTGAACTTTGGCATTTTTGCCAATCTGTTAGGTAAGAAAAAAATATATTCATTTTAATTTTAATTTGATTTTCTCTCAACATTAGTGAAGTTAAAAGTCTTTTTTTAAGTTTAGGAGGTATTTGTATATCATTGTCTGTGAACAGATTGTTCATTTTTAAGATGTCGTTTCCTACCCCATTAGCCATTCTTATTCTCCTATTATTTCTTCTGTTAGCTTCATAGTTTTACTTTCCTCATTTAGGTCTTTAATGCAACTGGATTCCCCATTTGCATATGGGTAAAGGCGGGTAGCCAGTTTCCTCGATCCTATCTGCTTGTTGATGTATGTGTATCTTTCATCAAGTATCACATAGGCATGGGTTTATTCCTGAGCTATTTATTTATTTATTTATTTATTTATTTATTTATTTATTTATTTTTGAGACTGAGTCTCGCTCTGTCGCTCAGGCTGGAGTGCAATGGCATGATCTCGGCTCACTGCAACCTCTGCCTCCCAGGTTCAAGTGATTCTCCTGCCTCAGCCTCCCGAGTAGCTGGGATTATAGGCATGCACCACCACGCCCAGCTACATTTTGTATTTTTAGTTGAGATGGGGTTTTGCCATGTTGGCCAGGCTGGTCTCCAGCTCCTGACTTCAGGTGACCCGCCCACCTCAGCCTCCCAAATTGCTGGGAGGTGTGAGCCACCACGCTTGGCCTCCTGAGCCATTTCTACTCTGTTCCATGGGTCTGTTTGCCTGTTTTTGTGCAGGTGCCACTATGTTTTCACTGTAGTAATGTTGCAGTGCTTCTTTATATATGGTAGAGCAAGTCCTCCCTCCTGGCTCCTCTTTCTCAGTATCATCTTAACTATTTATAAATGTTTATTCTTCTCTTTAAATTTAAACATAATTCTATTGGAATCCTTAGGCTATCAACCTAGACTTTGTATTGGGATTGTATTGGATCAACAGATTAATAGAGAGAATATTAACATCTTTATGAAGTTAACTTATTAAATCATGAGTATTTACTCAGATTTTTATGTCCGTTAAGTGTTACAAATTATCTCCATTGATATTTTGTGTAACCTCTGTTAATTTCTAGGTACTTTATAGTCTTTATAACCACGGTGGATCTCTTATTTTTCTATTGTATTTGTGGATGGTTATTGATGTTGTGGATAAACGCTATTGATTTTTGTAAATTGACCTTGAATCTAGCAAGTCCAATGACTGTGCTTATTAGATTTAAGTATTTTCTGTGATTATCCGTGTATAAAATCATCTGTAAATAGAGTTGTATCTCCTCTTTCCAAATGTTATAATCTTGGTTCCTTTTCTTGTCTATTTTCCAGAACCTTTAAGATCATGTAAAATCTGGCAGCAAAAGAGGTCATATTTAATTTTTTTTTTAATTCTAAAAGTAATGCATCAAAAATGTCTGCATTAAGTATGATGTTTGCTGTAGGTTTCTGGTTTACAAGTTCCATCAAGTTAAGGAAGTCCCTTTCTAGTCTTAATTTGCTAAAATGTTTTTCACAGCTAAATGGTGCTGAACCACCAGAATGGCCACATCGAAAAAGACTCACTGACACATCAAGTGTGGATAAGGAAGGGAACAACGGCTTCTGGGGTATGAATTGGCACAACCACTGGAGCACACACAGTCAATTATTGTCTTTGTCAGCTGTGGCTGCTGTAGCAAAATACCAAAATTGGGTGACTTAAACAACAACCTTTTATTTCTCCCAGTCTTGGAGGCTAGAAGCCCAAGACTAAGGTGGTGCCTGTTGTGGACCCACTTCCTGGTACATAGGAGGTCGTCTTCTCGCTGTGTCCTCTCATGGCAGAGAGAGGAGGCAAGCACTCTTGGGACTCCTAGAAGGGCACTAATTGCATTCATGGGACTCCACCCTCATGACCTCATCTAATTTTTATTACCTCCCAAAGATCCCACCTCTTACTTAATACCATCACGTTGGAAGGTAGGGTTTCAACATATGAATTGTGAAGCGCAAAATCACTCAGTCCACAGCAGTTCTCACCCAGAACCTTCAACCCCTTTTCAGCATGCCTCTCCCCAGTTTCACGGTGCTCTTACCCCCAGCTGCCCATCTCAAAAAAAAAAAAAAAAAGACAGTAACTTTGGAAAACTGCTTGGCAGTGTGTATAAAAGCCGAATCTATGCATCCGCTGCAACCACAGTTCCACTCCTAGGTACACACAGCAGAATGTGTATGTAAGCTTACCAACAAACATGTACCAAAATATTTATAGCAGCATTATTCTTAATAGTCCCACACTGAAAACAGCCCACATGTTCATCAAATTGTCCAAATGGGTAAATGAAATGCCTTGTACTCTCAGAATGGAATACCACACTGCAATAAGAATGGGCGAACTAAACTACTGCCAACAATGTGGATGACTCTGATGGATCTAATGTTGCAAGGAAGAAACAGACACAAAGCGGGCCTACGGTCTGACTCTGTTTATATAAAGTGCAGACAGACTAAACCAATCTATGAGGTCAACTTCATTTTTTTTTCACATGGCTACTCAATTGTCCCAGTACCATTTATTGAATAATACACCTTTGCTATGCTGATTTGAAATCAAGACAGTGGCTGCTGCCCTTGTCAGAGGTGAGGGTTGGTGACTAGAGAAGGCACAGGGTGACATTTAGGGTTATGGAGGATGGGTGCCTGCATGCTTCCAGTTTACGAGAACTAATTAAGCTCTACAGTTAGGATTTGTATATTTTTCTGTTAAGTATATTACTCATCAATACATTTTTAATTAGAAAATGATGAGGCATTGAACTTTACCCATTTTATTCTGCATATATTGACAAAATTTTATTGAGTTTTTTTAATGTTGGACCATCCTTATCCTCTTGAGATAAACCTTCTTTGAGCGTGTTAAATGAACTTGTTAATGCTTTTTGCATTTGTCCATTATTTTTATCTCTATTCTAAAAAGTGAAAAGAGCCTATGATTTTCTTGTTTTATTCTTATACAGTTTTGGAATAGTGGTTAAACTATGAGCTGGGTAATTTGATATCCTTTTCTGCTTCCTGGAATAACTAGAATAAGATAAGAAATATCTCTTTATTGATAGTTTAGTAGAACTCACAGATTATCTGGATTCGGGTCTTTTTTGGTGGAGGAGGAAGGTTAGACTATCCTTTCTATTTGTTCAGTGTCTATTGGAATGTAAGCATTTTCTATTTCTTCTTCCCTCTATTATAACACTTTCTAATCTTCGAAAAATGTGTCCATTTTGCCAGAGTGTTCAAATGTATTAGCATAGTTTCTCCGTGTAATTTCATGGTTTTATTTTTTTCCCTGTTTTAACACTCTCATCCATCTGGAATTTATTTTGAGATAAGGTGAAATTGTGGTTCTAGTTTTAATTTTTTTTCACGTGATTACCCAGTTGTCCCTGAATCACTTATTGGATAAGACCCTTTTTCCTCTGGGAAGCTGCTTGATGTCAGGGCAAGAGCAACGAGTGACAGTTCCATGGCTCACTAGATCAGTGGACTAAGAGGTGCTGAGACAGACAGAAAAGGTGTGAGCCCCCTTGCTATTTCCTCCACCGAGAAGATAGAACAAAAGAAGAATCAAACAAATGTGAGGCTAAGCACACCCAGACGGACCCCCTGCTGGCCTGTCTCCTGATAGAGGGACCCACTGGGGAATGAGTCATTGAGAATCAATCACACAGCCGGAAGCTCAACAGAGGCCGATATTGTGGTACTTAGGAAATGAGGTTGTAAGAACAACAGAGCTGGTACCCCTCTGTTTTCTCCCTCTGCATTTTATTCTTCCATGTCATAAAAAATGAGCAGGCGATTTCCCCAAAGTCAGAAATCACCTGTGACTTACTTTTCAAGGACGCTGGCTTGAAGCTATGCTGGGAAAAATCCCCAAGGTTCCAGGTAGGAGGTACTCGCCTTCCTTGGCAGCAGGGAGAGAACAGGTCCCTGTCTCAGGGATGCAGGGCCAGAGGGAGCTCCCTGAGAGAAGCCTCCAGTTAAGCCTTCCCCGGGCTTGGGCAGAGTAGGGCATATAAAGGAACCCATATGTCAAATCCAGAAATGCCTGGGTTGCTTTTTCAGCACTGACAGTGGACAGCAGAGGAAGAGAAGGGATGAGATTATTCACTCTTATTGGACTACCCCGCCCCCACCCCCGTGTGTGTATCCATTAGGACGCATTTAGTCAGGAAATGTACCCCTTCCAGTGTTCATCAGGACGAAAGGGGAGAAAAAATGAACCTTTAACAACAAACATTTTTCCTTTCAGTCTAACTGGGCTACTTAGACCACTCCTGGACCAATAACAGACCACAACAAATCCCGTGCCTTGATGGGCTTTAACCTGGCTTTTTAGGCCAGTCACAGGCAAGGGATAGGACAATCGTGACTGGACGGCTCTTTACCTGGGCCCGCCCTGTGTGCTGTTTACAGAATACACTCAGGAGGGTCACGTTCCTGAACCAAATAGAAAATGTTCTGGGAAGGAGTGATGGAGTGACTATATGCTGGAGAAGCAGCCAGCAGCACTCAGGACAGAACTTTTTTGTAACTGTTTAAATGTTACGAATTGTGGTAAAATACATATAATGTAACATTTACCATTTTAACCATTGTTAATTGTACAGTCTGGTAGCATTAATTACATGCACAATGTTGTGCAAACATTAACGTTTTTATTTATTTATTTATTTATTTATTTATTTATTTATTTATTTAGAGACCGAGTCTCACTCCATCATCCAAGCTGGAGTGCAGAGGCGTGATCTTGGCTCACTGCAACCTCCACCTCCCTGGTTCAAGCAGTTCTCCTGTTTCAGCCTCCTGAATAGCTGGGATTACAGGCGTGTACTACCATCCCGGCTAATTTTTGTGTTTTTAGTAGAGACAGGGGTTTCACCATGTTGACCAGGCTGGTCTCTAACTCCTGACTTCAAGTGATCCACCCGCCTCGACCTCCCAAAATGCTGGGATTACAGGTGTGAGCCACCACGCCTGGCCTTTATTTCTAAAATTTTTATCACCCACCCCTTCACCCCAGCTCCCCGCCAAAAGAAACTTTTTAACCATGAAGCAATAACTCTCCATTCTCCCCCATCCCCTGCCTCTGATAACCTCTAAGCTACTTTCCGTTCCCATGAATTTACCTATTCAAGATATTTCATGTAAGTGGAGTCATCTGACAATATGTGTCCTTTTGCATCTGACTTATTTCCCTTAGCATGTTTTCAAGGTTTCATCCCCATTGTAATATGTATCAGAACTTTATTCCTTTTTATGAATAAATAATATTCTAAGTAGATAACACACTTAGCTTATACATTCATCTCTTGATGGACATTTAGGTTGTTTCCATCTTTTTTGCCTATTGAGAGTAGTGATGCAATGAAAATTGGGGTATAGGCAGGGCGCGGTGGCTCGCGTCTGTAATCCCAGCACTTTAGGAGGCCAAGGCAGGCAGATCATCTGAGGTCAGGAGTTCGAGACCAGCCTGACCAACATGATGAAACCCCCATCTCTACTAAGAATACAAAATTAGCTGGGCATGGTGGTGCATGCCTGTAATCCCAGCTACTTGGGAGGCTGAGGCAGGAGAATCATTTGAACCCGGGAAGCAGAGGTTGTGGCGAGCCAAGATTGCACCATTGCACTCCAGCCTGGGCATCAAGAGCAAAACTCCGTCTCAAAAAAAAAAAAGAAAAGAAAAAAGAAAATTGGGGTATAGGATCTGAGTTTCTGTCTTCATTTCTTTGGAGTATATATCTTGGAGCAGAATTGCTGAGTCATAGAGTAATTCTGTGTTTAGCTTTTTGAGGAACCACCAAATATCCACAGAGGTCTCACCGTTTTACATTCCTACCAGCAACGAGCAAGGGCTCCAATTTCTCTATGTATTCACTAACACTTGTCATTTTCCTTTTGTGTTTCTTTTTTTTTTCCATCATAGCCATCCTAGTGGGTGAGAAGTGGTTTTAATGTGCAATTTCCTAGTGACGAATGATGTTGAGCAGCTTTGTTTTGTGCTTATTGGTCACTCATGTATCTGCTTGGAGAAGTGCCTATCAAAATCCTTTATTCGTTTTTCCGAATTTAAAAAAATTAGGGTTGTTGGTATTGTTGTTAAGTTGTAATAGTTCTTCATAAATTCTGAATAGTAAACTCTGACAGAAATTCTCTTCTTTGACCAAAACTTCAGCCAGATTCCTAAGTCCTTTCTGACTAAGCCTGACCTTGCGCTCCCTCTCTGTCCTTGTGGAATCTAGTTTGAGAAAAAGATCCTGCTAAGTCAGTTTAATCAGAAGCCCCATATACTTGATATTTCCTCTCAATCATTTTCCATCCGCTGACCTCAACCCTGCTCCTTGGTTATAAATTCCCACTTGTCTTTGCTGAACTCAGAATTGAATCCAGTCTGTCTCTCCCACTGCAAGACCCTGTGGCAGAGCTCTCTGTACTTATCTCCATGGCACCCTTGAATAAAGTCTGCATTTCCACCTTTAAAAGTATCATACATAATTTTTTCCTTAAAACCTCTGATCAGATATATGATTTGAAAATATTCTCTTTCATTGTGTAGTTTGCCATTTTACTTTATTGATAATATCCTTTGGTGAACAAAAGTTTTTAATTTTGATGAAAACTAATTAATCCACTTTATCTTTTGTTGCTTATGCTTTTGGTGTTCTAAGAATTCCTTGCCAATTACACAGTCATGAAGATCTATCCCTGTTTTCTTTTAAGGGCTTTAGCGCTTAGATTTAGATCATTAATATATTTTTTGTTAATTTTTCTATATGGTGGGGTATATTTGTATAGGGAAGTAGAAGTCCAACTTCATTATTTTGCATTTTGAAATCTAATTACACCAATACTATTTGTTAAAGAAACTATTCTGTTCTCATTGATGAGACTTGCCACTCTTATCAAAATTCAATTGCCCATAGATGTATGAGTTTATTTATTTCTGGGCTCTAAATTATATTCCTCTAGTCTATTATGTCTTTTTTTTTTTTTTTTTTTTTTTTTTGAGATGGAGTCACACTCTTCTTGCCCAGGCTGGAGTGCAGTGGTGTGATCTCAGCTCACTGCAACCTCCATCTCATGGGTTCCAGCAATTCTCCTGTCTCAGCCTCCCGAGTAGCTGGGATCACAGCCACCTGCCACCATGACCTGCTAATTTTTTTCTGTTTTTAGTAGAGACAGGGTTTTGCCATGTTGGACAGGCTGGTCTCGAACTTCTGATCTCAGGTGATCCGCTTGCCTCAGCCTCCCAAAGTGCTGGGATTAGAGGCATGAGCCTATTATGTCTATTCTTATGCAAGTGCCACATTGTTTTGGTTACTGTAGCTTTGTAATAAGTTTTGAAATTGAGAAGTGTGAAACCTGTAACTTTGCTCTTCTTTTTCAAGTTTGTTTCGGCTATGCAGAGTCCCATGCAATTCCATATGAATTTGAGGAGTGGCTTTTTTCATTTCTGTAACAACAACAAAAAGTCTGATTTTGATAGAGCTTGCATTGAATTTGTAGATTGCTTTTAAGAGTATTGACATCTTAACAATATTGTCTTTCTATCCATAAACATGGACTGTCTTTCCATTTATTTAGATCTTCTTTAATTTCTTTAAGCAATGTTTTATAATTTTCAGTGTACAAGTTTTTCACTTCCTTAGTTGAATTTATTCCTAAGTATTTTATTCTTTTAGATGCTATTTTATATAAAATTGTTTCCTCATTTCCTTTTTGAATTGTTTATTGCTGGTGGACAGAAACAACTGATCCTTATGGGCTGAGCTTGTGCCTAGATACTTAGGTGTTTTCTACATATATGACCATATTATCTGTGAATAGAAACAGTTTTCCTTCTTTCTTCCCGACTTGAATGTCTTTTATTTCTTTTTCTTGTCTAATTCTCTGGCTAGAACTTCCAGTACAGTGCTGAATAGCAGTGGTAAAATTGAGCATCCCTGTCTTGTTTCTGATCTTATGGAGAAAGCTTTTAGTCTTTCACCATTGAGTATGATGCTATCTGTGGGTTTTTAATAAATATCATTTAAAATATTAACAAGTTTTCTTCTCTTCTTAATTTTCTGAGTGTTTTTATAGTGAAAGGAGACTGGATTTTCTCAGATTACTTTTCTGTATCAACTGAGATAGTCACATATTGTTTTTTCCTTTTTGCTATCCATATGATGTATTACACTGATCGTTTTTCTTATGTTGAACCACCCTTGCATTCCTCAGATAAATCCCACTTAAACATGGTGTATAATCATTTTAATATGCTGTTAGGTTCACTTTGCTATTACTTTATTTATGCTTTTTCATCTATATTAATAGTGTATATTGGTCTATAACTTTCATGTCATTTGATGTCTTTATCTGACTTTAGTGTCAGGGTAATGCTGTTTTCATAGAATCAAGTAGGAAGTGCTACCTCCTCATCTATGTTTTGGAAGCATTTTCAAATGATTAGTATTAATTCATTCCTCTTTGGTAGAACTCACAAGAGAAGCCAACAGGTCCTCGGATTTCTTTGTTGGGAGGTTTTTTATTACCTATTCAAACTCTTGTTATAAGTCTGTCCAGAATTTATATTTTTTCTTGAGTCAAATTTTGTAATTTTGTATGTTTCTAGGAATTTTTCCCTTTCAACTAGGTTATCTCATTTGTATACAGTTGTGCATAGTACTCTTTTATTTCTTTTTTATTAAGATCAGTAATAATGTCCCCACTCTCATTTTCTATTTTAGTTGTGTCCTCTCTCTCTCTCTGTCTGTCTGTCTCCCTCTCTCCCTCCCTCCTCTCTCATCTTGCTGGAAGTTTGTTGTTTTATTGTTCTTTCAAAGAACCAACAGTTGATTTCATTGATCATTTATATTGCTTTTTATTCTCTCTCTCTCTCTCTCTCTTTAAGTAGAGATGGGGTTTCACCATGTTGGCCAGGCTGGTCTCAAATTTCTGGCCTCAAGTGATCCATCCCCCTGGACTTCCCAAAGTGCTGGGATTACAGGCATGAGCCACCACACCCAGCCTATTCCCTATGTCTATAATCTGTGCTTGAATATCTAGTATTTCTTTTCTTCTACTAGCTTTGACTTTAGTTTGGTTTTTTAGTCCCTCAAAGTGTAAAGTTAGGTTACGGACTTTTTTTATCTTTCTTCTTTGTTAATGGGAAGTTTCCCTCTGAGCGCTGCTTTTGCTGCATCCCATAATTTTGGTATGTTTTGTTTTCTTTTGCTTAGGTTTTGGATTTGAGATTTTTCTTCTTTTTCAATGGGAATTTACAGTTGTAAGTTTCCCTTTAAGCACTGCTGTTGCTGCATCCCATAATTTTTGTGTGTTTTGCTTTTCTTTACATTTATCTCTAAGTTTTTTTATTTTCTCAGTGATTTATTATTTGATCCATTGGTTATTTAAAAGTGTATTGTTTAATTTCCACATGTCTATGAACTTTCCAATATTCCTTCTTTTACTGATTTCTATCTTTATGCCATTGTTGTCTGAAAAGATACTTTGTGTGATTTTAATTTTTTTTTATTTATTGAGACTCATTTTGTGGCCTTACGTGTGGTCTCTTCTGGAAAATGTTCCATGTACACTTGAGATGAATGTATATTCTGCTGTTTGGGAATGGAAGGTTCTATATTTATCTGTAGGTCTAATTAGCTTATAATGTTTTTCAAGCCCTCTGTTTTCCTACTGCTCTTCTGTCTAGATGTTCTATCCACAACTGAAAATAGTAGAAGTTTCCAACTCTCATTTTAGGACTGTTTATCCCTTTGAGTCTGTCAGTGTTTACTTCCTATATTTTGGGGCTTTTTTGTTTGATTCATATATGTTTATAACTGTTATGCTTTTTAATGAATTTTGCCTTTTGTTGTTATATAATACTCTTTTTTGTCTCTTGTAGAAGTTTCTGACTTAAAGCCTATTTTGCCTAATATTAATATAGACATCCACCTCCCTTTGAGTTACTATTTGAATAAAATATCTTTTTCCATCTTTTACTTTCAGCCTACTTATGTCCTTAGAACTAAAGTGAATCTCTTGTAGATAGCATATAGCTAGATTATGTTTTTCAAACTACCCTGACAGTCTCTTTTGACTGGATAGTTTAATCCATTTAAAATTAAAATCACTGATGATTAGGAAGGGCTTACTTCGGCCAGGCACGGTGGCTCATGCCTGTAATCCCAGGACTTGGGAGGCGGAGGCGGGCAGATCATGGGGTCGGGTTTGAGACCAGCCTGACCAACATAGTGAAACCCCATCTCTATTAAAAAATACAAAAACTAGCCAGGCATGGTGGCACATGCCTGTAATCGCAGCTACTCAGGGGGGCTGAAGCAGGAGAATCACTTGAACCCAGGTGGCAGAGGTTGCAGTGAGCTGAGATCGCACCACTGCACTCCTGCCTGGGCAATAAAGCAAGACACCATCTCAAAAAAAAAAGGGAGGACTTACTTCTACCATTTTCTATTTGTTTTCTGTATGTCTTATGTATTTTTTGCCTCTCATTTCCTATATTACTGCTTATTTTGTGTTTGGTTGACTTTTTTGTGAAATAATTTGAATCTATTCTTATTTCCTTCTGTGTGTTTTTTAAATATTTTCTTTGTGATTTCCATCATGACCATATTTAACAACCTAAATTTGTAACAGTCTAATTGAATTTATAGCAACTTAACTTTAATAGCATACAAATACTCTCCTCCTATACATGTTGTTGTTGTCACAAATTAAATTTATATATTAGGTGCCCAAGAATGTAGATTTTTAATTAGTTTCTATGCATTTGTGCTTTAAAGGATATAGGAAATGAAAAGTGGATTTACAAACTAATAATATGGAAATAGTGGCTTTTATATTTGCCTGTGTATTTACCTTTACTGGAGATCTTTATCTCTTTATATGCATATCTATTTATTTATTTATTTATTTATTTTTTTGAAACAGAGGTTCGCTCTTGTTGCCTAGGCTGGAGTGCAATGGCATGATCTCGGCTCACTGCAACCTCTACCTCCCAGGTTCAAGCAATTCTCCTGCCTCAGCCTCCCGAGCAGCTGGGATTACAGGCATGCACCACCACCGCCTGACTCATTTTGTATTTTTAGTAGTGTTTCTTCATGTTGGTCAGGCTGGTCTTGAACTCCCGACCTCAGGTGATCTGCCCACCTCGGCCTCCCTAAGTGCTGGGATTAACAGGCATGAACCACCGCGCACAGCCCTATATGCATTTCTAATGAATGTCTAGTGTCATTTCTTTTCAACCCAGAGGAGTCCCCTTGGCTTTTTTTGTGGAACAGGCCTAGTGGTAAAAAAAAACAATAACAACAAAACTTCAGCTTTATCTTTTTATCTGGGAAAGTCTTAATTGTTGTTTATGGAAGGTTTTGCTGTATTTAGAATTCTCAGTTGACATATTTTTTTTCTTTCAGCACTTTGAATATATCATTCCACTCCCTTTGGCATCCATGGTTTCTGATGAGAAATTGGATGTTAATTTTATTGAAGATTACTTGTATAGGATAAGTCACTACTCTCCTGCTGCTTTCAAGACTCTTTGACTTTCAACAGTTTGATTATAATATGTCTCAGTGTGAGTTCCTTGGAGTTTTTCTTTTTTTTTTTTTATAAACAATAGAAATTTATTTCTCACAGTTCACATTTAGGAAGTCCCATGTCAAGAGGCTAACAGATTTGGTGTCTAGTTTGGTGCCCTAGTGAGGGTTTGCTCTTCTGGTTCATAGATGGTGCTTTCTTGTTGTGTCCTCACATGATGGATAGCACAAACAAGCTACAAGTTTTCCTTGCAGTTTGTTGAGCTTTTAGAATATATAGATGCATGTCTTTCAGCAGACTTGGGAAGTTTTTGGCCATTATTTCTTTAAATATTCTTTCTGCTCCTTTATTTTTGTCATCTCTGTCTAGGACTTCGGTAAAATACACACACACACGCACACACACACACACACATACACATACCTGTTGGTGTTCCACATATTCCTTAGGTTCGGTTCATGTTTCTTCATTATTTTTTTCTCTTCATACTTGATATCTTCAATTATTCTATCTTCAAGTTCACTGATACCTGCGTCTGTCTACTAAAATCTTCTGTTGAATATTTCTGGATTGTTTTTAATTTCAGTTATTGTACTTTTTAACTTCAGAATTTCTGATTGGTTCTTTTTAATAATGTCTTTTTAGATATTCTAAGTTTTAATATTTCATGTATTTATTTCCTTTATTCTTTGTTCATGTTTTTTTTTTGTTGTTGTTGTTCTTTGAGTCTGTTTAAGCCAGTTATTTAAAACCTTTGTCAAGTATGTTGAATGTCTGGTCTTGCCCAGAAATGGTTTCTTTTAATTTATTTTGTTCCTTTGAATAAGCCATACTTTCCTATTTCTTTGTATACCTTGTGATTTCTTATGTGGAAAGCTGAATATTTGAATATTATAGTATGATAGCTCTGGAAATGAGATCCTCTTTCTTCCTCAGGGTTTACTGTGTTTTCTTAATTGTTGAAGTCTGTAGTAGTCCTTTTAATGACTTTTGCAAATAATTTTTGCAATGACTATTTTCATGTGTAGTTACTAAAATCTCTGCTCCTTATGATCAACTTGTGTTTTGATGGATATTTTCTTGAGTGCCAGGAGCAGTTTTTAAATTGCCTTTTTTTTAAAATTTAGCATTCATTTGGTTGCTGGGAATTTTTCTGTTTTCCAAAGTTCTGACAAAGTTGGTTCTGACCAGTTTTGTTTGTTTTTCAGTGTTTCTATGAGGATACAAATGCTCATAGCTATCTATTTCACCATTTTACTGACCTCTGAGGTAACAGATTCTTTTGAAGAACAGGTCTATAGTAATTTAATAGAGTTCTAGTACAGCCAATGTCAAGCATCTGAAGACCTACTAATTAATTGAACTCCAATTCTGGGAAGTAGGAGAAGCTGAAATTGTTTAATTTGCTTTGTGTGAGACACCCCACTAATCAACTCTCTTAGTCTTTGCTTCTGAAAATATAGAAGGAAGTGAAGATATGTACAAAGCCTGGGAGTTCATGGAACATAGGATCTATTCAGTGATGTTAGCCTTTAACATTTTTTATTATCATCCTTGATTATCACTGCTATCACCTCACTCCTGAATCTGTCACTACTCATCCACCCCATTTCTCTGATGCAAGAGTAAGAGCAGGTAACACAAAGGCAAGATAATTAAGACCCAGGTTTAGCAGCAGACAGAACTGCAGCCAAACCATATTCTTTTTTTTTTTTTCTTTTGAGACAGAGTTTCACTCTTGCCACCCAGACTAGAGTACAATGGCATGATCTCGGCTTACTACAACCTCTGCTTCCCTGGTTCAAGCTATTGTCCTGCCTCAGCCTCCTGAGTAGCTGAGATTACAGGCATGCACCACCACGCCCGCCTGGCTAATTTTTTGTATTTTTAATAGAGACGGGGTTTTACCATGTTGGCCAGGCTGATCTCAAACTCCTGACCTCAGGCGATCCACCCGCCTTGGCCTCCCAAAGTTCTGGAATTACAGGTGTGAGCCACCACACCTGACCGTCAAATCCTATTATTTCACTTAATTACTCTGTGACCCCAATTAGGATACCAAGTTCTCCATTCTCAGTTTTCTATTTAAAAAGTGGAAATGATTCTACGTAGTGCCTCCTTGGGTTATTGTAAGGACTAAATGAGCAACCCTTAGTACCTAGCATGTCATAAGTCCCCCATAAAAGTTAGTGTTAATGTTTATGCTCCTGTCCATGGTCCTGGGCCCAAATCTTAAAACCTGATAACTACCCTGTCTTCTCACCTTTTGGGGTTTACAAGGGACTGTTTTCTTTTCTTTTTTTTTTTTTTTTTTTTTTTTTGAGACAGAGTCTTTCCCTGTCACCCAGGCTGGAGTGCAGTGATGTAATCATGGCTCATTGTGGCCTTGAGCTCCCAGGTTCAAGCAATCCTCCTCCCACCTCAGCCTCCTAAGTAACTGCAAACACAGGCATCCACCACGTCTGGCTAATTTTTTAAAAACATTCTTTGGAGATGGGGTCCCCCTGTGTTGTCCAGGCTGGTCTCAAACTCCTGGGCCCAAGCAGTCCTCTTGCCTCAGCTTCCCAAAGTACTGAGATTACAGGTGTGAGCCATTGCATCTGGCCCGTTTTTGCTTCTACTTGTTCCTGGCCTCTGAGAAAGGCTCAGTCTTATCCAGTCCTGACATAGGGCTTCATTCTTGGTGAATATGTTTGCGGCCAGGGTTCTTGTAGCCCTTCAATGGAGCTGAGCTCAAGCCCTCTATCTCCCGGGAAACACTTCCTTAACCTCTCTTCCCCAGGCTCTGTACCCTCAGTTTCTCCCCTTCTGGGTTGTGAACTATTCAATTATTTCTTACCTTTCCTTAGCATTTCTCCCTCATGTGACCCAAAAGAGTGCAGTTAGGGGTGGGGTAGGAGAACGATGAAATATTTAAGAGAGTAACCCATGTGTCCCTCCAGTCTGTCTCTTGATCCTCCTATCTCCTCCAGCTTCCTTCCTAGATCATCTAGACTCTTTCTTGATTTTTAGTTTCCAAAGACTGTGGGCTCTGAAGGGAAGAAGAATGGCTTAGGCCAAATATAATAGATTTAGAAGCATCCAGAAGGAAATGTAACAAGAGTTTTCCATTTTCCACCCCTCAAACTGGGGAAGAATGTTTTAGTCTAGGGGGAAGGGGTGAGAGCTGAGATTTTAAAAGTCCCTGAGAAAGAAACCTTACTCCCTTCTAGGTAGAAAACAACAGAACCTCCAGCTAGGTTTAAGATAATCAACAGCCAAGGGAAAAATTTATTTTACTTCCCAGGAACAACACCAGAATAAGGTCAAGGTCTCAAGGAAGAAAGGTGATGTGTTGTGTTTAGAGGAAGAGAGGCAGGCCTGAAAGTATCCTGGAAGTCACAATAAGGGATGGGTTAGCAGTGTCCTCAGCAGAATGACCACTGAAGACAGACAGCTCAACAAGGGCTACTATAAGCAGATCACACTGAGACTTTTTAACTCCCAACCTAATAACCAAAGAAAGTAAGTCCAAATTCAAAGAAAATGGAGGAACACCAGTTTGACTAAAATTATATATGTGCGTCTTCAGCAAAATGGAGTCTCAAAAATTAAGTTACAAGAAGGATGTGACATTTCTGATCTTCCTAGGTCCAACAGGCTACATGATCTTCTACAGAAATCCCAAGGCTTCTGACTTTTATTTTACTTTTTACATTACAAACAGCTAGATGGCTAGCCAGTAAGGAGAGGGAAGAGCTTCCAGAGCCAAAAGAGCTGTATAAAAGGTCACCTTGACAGGAGTCACCCAATCTCACTCTGACTCTGCCTGAAGACCTCCTGCAGAGCCCCCATCAGCCAAATCCAACTGGAAGCAGAAGGCAAGAGGGGCTGGGTGACATAGTGCATGCATATCTGCTTCCTAGGACTAAGAATCGGGTGGAGATGGGTGGAGAATGTATCTGGGGAGCAAAGGGAAGATGTCCAAAATTCCATGTGACAATATTCTCAGTGAAATGAACTAACTGGAAAGATCAATTTCCGGATCTGTTCTCTCCTCAGAGACACAGGAAGAGCTAAGCCCAGGAGGGAGGAGCTGGAGGCCACTTTGGTCAATACAGCCAACACCCACAAGGTCATTTATAGAATCCCTTGTCCAAGAAGGAGAGTTAAAGGTTAGAACCAGGATATGAGCCAGAATCTTAGAAAATGCACGTGGATTACACCAGAAGAATGAGACTGGTAACAGTGGCAGGTGAGAAAATGAAGCGAAGAGTCAGATATGGGAATAGCAAGAAGATAACTCCAAAAACTTGACCTTCCCGTTGGGTTAAACTTCTCTTTGAGATTAACCTTCTCTGTGGGGATAGGAACCAACCTGTTCAGATCTTTCTGTTTGCCAGAGCAGCATCACCCATGTGAAAGAACTGCCTTGTGGATATCTTCAGGGATGTCTCAGGATCTAGCTACACGTGCAGATTGAATCAGAATCAAAGAGCTGCTTACGGAAATGTGGAGTTCAGTTGTGTTGAGTTGCAATCAACTGGTTGACATGCTAATATGCAACTTAGTTAGCTGTTTGTTTATTTATAAGTTGCAATTATTGGAGCCAAAATTGTATTTCATGTCTCAAACATTTTCTTAAGCCTTTGGAAGGTTAAGATAAAAATAGTGAAAGGAAGTTCCTGAGCAACAGCTGTGTGCATGGCCTAGTGCAGCCTGTCTGAATGGAAGTTTGAGGGTAGGAGGCTCCAAGAGGGAAGGTGCTAAGAACTGACGGAGTACCTAATTGCCAGACCAGATTGAGACATTCAGATTGCTCACAAATATGGGAAAAATTAGTCACAGGTACACAGAAAGCTAATTAATTTTATTTTAAAAGAGCCAACAATTTACTCCTAAAAAAGTTATTGCACAAGAAATGCAAAATACCACATGGTATCACGCATATGTGGAATCTAAAAATGTCTAACACATAGGAGCAAAGAGTAGAACAGTGGCTACCAGAGGCTGGGCGGGAGAAATGGGGACATGCTGACCAAAGGCTAGAAAATTTCAGCTAGACAGAAGAGAAAGAAACAAA
This sequence comes from Homo sapiens, assembly GCF_000001405.40. Lineage (NCBI taxonomy): Eukaryota > Metazoa > Chordata > Mammalia > Primates > Hominidae > Homo > Homo sapiens. The sequence continues at coordinate 126,822,128 of NC_000002.12, forward strand.
AGTAAATAAATAAATTGCATATGAGATTAAAAAAAAAAACAGTAGTAGTAAGGAAAGTACTTTTCTGAGCTCTGTGAGCCATTATAGCAAACTAATAAACACGAGGAGGCGGTTATGGGCACAGACTTGCAATTGGCATCTGAAGTGGGGGGCAGTCTCAAGGGACTGAGCCCTTATCCTGTGGGATCTGTGCTACGTCACGGTACTTAGTGTCAGCAATAAATTGAATTGTTAGTGTCTGGACCCAGTTGGTATTCAGAGGAAAAAATCAGATCATAGTATGATCTCAGCGGGGAAAACACCTTCAGCATTTGAGGAATTAAAATTTGAGGCAGCTCAGGCCAGTGTCTAGGTGGGAGAAGACACACGTTTTGTCAGCGCGAGATCCCTAGACCCTTCTGTTAAGAGACTCTTTTATTAAGAACCCTTGTATTTAGTCTGTTCACTTAAATCACTGATGCTTCCTCTAACTTCAGAAGAGATTTGTTTTTTGGAAAGAGGAAAGTGAACTTTAAAGACTGTAGGAAAGGATTAACAGATAGTTGCCTACAGGGCATAAATCCCACAAAGGGAAGGGTGTGGCTCAGTCAGAGCCCCTGGCTGGACCGTGTGAAGAGAGGTGGTCCCTCTGGTCAGGGCCAGCCAGGAAGGAGGACACAGACCTGCCCAGGCTTCTCGGACACCAGAAAGGGGACCAGGGAAATATTGACAATAGGGCACATCCATGATCATGGGACTGGAGACATAGCAAATTTTATTGTATAATAAGCTAATTGTTTTGTTTTGTTCTCTAACTAACATAAGAAAGCTAGAAATCTTTCACAAACATGCTACAAGCCCTGAGGAATGGTCTACACTGGGAAGAGAGGCAGGCCGATCTGCCACCTGGGGCTCCTCCTCCCTGTCCAGGCCATGCATGCTTTCAGACACTCTCCAGCCACGAGGACTCAGCCCCACAGAAGGGCAAGGGCTCACTGCCCACCCATTATTACCAGGGCAGGCATGACGAGTGATCCCAGGTAAACAGGCTTCCCGCCTTCCCACCTCCAGCCCTGTGCAGCCCTCCCAGCCCATGGACCTCCTCCTGGCCCCCTGGACCCCATGGACCTCCTCCTGGCCGTGGGCACTTTGACCCTTCCTTAGTCACCCTGATGGTACTGGAGAAAGCTCATCTTTTCAACAGCTGACCACCTTAGGTGGCTTTTCTTCCTTCTGCCAGCTTCCTCTGAATGTGTTTCTCCACTTCTCACATTTCCTCTCCTCTCTTCCCTCTCCTGGTTCTGTGTTTCTGCCCATCTCTCTCTGTCTCTCTTTTCCTCCATGACTGTGTGTGTGTTTCTGTTTTCCCTCCCATGTACCCCTCCCAAAGAAGTGGGGAAGTGAAGGTAAATCTTCTTTTAGAAGTAAAAAGACTCAAAAAAAGAGGTAGCCCTTCCTCCACCACCACAGGGCACCACACCTGGACACTCACCATTCTTTGGGGTGACTGTGTTTGTTTCTTTTTGTTTTTGATAAATTGGGGGGGAGGCATGGTGTCATCAGCATGCACAGAAAATGTTAAGTCATAGGAGTACCTAGTGTGTGCTAGTTACTAGAACATGCAGCCATCTACATTATCTTAGTAATCACTAGAACACTAAGTGAGTTCTTGTGAGTGTATGCATTTATTCCATGGAAAAGGAAGGTTATGAGCTTTCAATGCCCTCACTTGCCTGAGGTCCAATTGCTCCTGTGTAAGAGCCAGGGTGGGGACCTCCTTTCTGCCCATGGCACTGCCGCACTCAGTCCACCATAGCACAGAGGCACACAGCAAGCACTGAGTGGGGGCTGTCCTGTGGCTACAGATGAGCCTTGGCTTCACCACCAAGTGCTGCTGCACCCCCAGGCCTCCCCATGCTCAGCAACCCCGAAAATCTCCCCCTGGATGGTGAACCGGGCAGACAGGGCCTGCATGTGTTTCACTTCCTGGTGCCTCCCTGGCTATGTGCCCATGGTTGGGGCTCAGGGACACTTGAGAGATGGAGAAAAGGGCATGAGAGTGGGTTGAACAGCCACCCCACTCAGCCCTGCCATCCACCAGCCCTGGACATCCTTCCTACAGATCTTGAGAGTTCCAGAAAGGAAACGGTGGAAAGTTCATCAAATCCCAGGAACCAGAATCACAACTTCTCCCTTGGAATTAATGATAGAACTTACCTGGGAACCAGATTTTAAAAGCACTGTTTGCCCATTGGGAAGTGAATTAGTCAGAACTTCTCACCCAAGGGGTGTGCCATGCTGAGCTGTCCACAAACCTAAGAAGAGTCATGACCCAAATGGTCGTTAATGGGAGCCAGAGAATGTTGGGCTCACATCTCAGTTCTGTCAATACTGTGTCGTGTGATATGCACTGGGGCACCTGGATCAACTAAGAGGCTTTCGGTTGCAAGTAAAAGAAAACACAAATTGGCCTACAAAAGAGAATTTGTGATTCATGTGACTGAAGAAGTCCAGAGTGAATTTGGTCAGTTTAATCCAGAAAATAGCTCCTCTTCTCAGTGATTCTTGGCTCCACCCTCTCCTCTGGGTGACCTTTACTCTCAAGATAACTTCACTTATAGGAGCAAAATGACTGTGACAATCCCAGGCATCTCCCCTGAAAGACCCAGGCCATAGGAAGACACAGAGTATGTGTCCAAGAATTCATGGTGGCGAATCAGGAAATTCACTCTGATTAGGCCCCTGGGTCACATGTTCATGCATGAGTCACCAGCATGACCACGAAGATGGAACATGTGTCTGACTCTGCCGAGGCTGTGAGCCCCTCAAGGGCCTTTCCTGTGGCGCTCATGGTCCTCCAATGGACACTCAGGCTCTTGGGAGGGAAATAGGGAAAAAGCTGGGGCAGGAGGCCCGTGGGAGGCCATAACGGTCCTAAGTCCCTCTGAGACTTACTCCAACTGTGAAGCATGGCTGGTGATAGTAACTGCTCAGTATATTGAGCAGAGCACTGTGGGTTCAAATGACATGAGCAAACTCACTTCATAATGTCTGAAGCTCTGTGTCAATGGCTCCTTATTTTGGGGGGATTCTGATAAATCTATGAAACACTCATTCCAGAAAAAAAGAAAAGAACAAATACACAAACTGATACGGTTTGGATGTGTCTCCTCCAACTCTCCCATTGAAATGTGACCTCCTGTGTTGGAGGTGGGGCCTGGTGGGGGTGGATCATGGGGGTGAATCTCTCAGGAATGGTTTGGTGCCCTCCTCATGGCGATGAGTGAGTTCTCACTCTGTTAGTTCATGTGACAGCTGCTTGTTTAAAGAAGCCTGGCACCTCCTTCCTTTTCCCTTGCTCTTTCTCTCACCATGTGACATATTGGCTCCCTTTGCTTTCTGCTACAAGTAAAATCTCTGTGAGCCTGATCAGAAGCTGAGCAGATGCCAGTACCATGCTTGGCTTCTGGTGAGGCCTGCAGAATCATGAGCCAAATAAACCACTTTTCTTATGAATTGCCCAGCCGCAGGTACTACATTATAAAAATGCAAAACAGACTAAAATACAAACTTTTAAAGGTAATTTCAGTAGCCCATTCATGGTCCCTGCCCATGGGCCCTGAATTCAGGCCTGCTAGCCCCACGCCCGTTCTTTCCGAAAGCGTTAGCATTTTTGGTGCTTTCTGTGTCCCAGGCACTGGCCAGGGTGCTTTATGGATCAATGCAGTCTCATTTAATACTGATGACAACCCTGTATATTATCATAGCCATCATACAGATAAAGAAACCAAGATTCAAAGAGGTGAAGTGATTTGAGGAAAGAACATAGTCAATGAGTGATTGAGCCAAAATCAGATCTCCTGATTCCAAGTCCAGTGCATTTTCCTGTCACTCCCCTGGAACTCCTCTCCACTCTCTCCATTCAAATCCGCTCTGTTCATTGAGATGAGGCTCAGGTGTCCTTCTTCTAAGAAGCCCTCTTTGACTGCCACACAGTGACACTTAATTATACACCATCATACATGATGTGTTACCAGAACATGATAATTAGGCATACCTAATTATACACCATTGTTACCTTCACATGGCTGTGTCCTGCTTCACCAGACACACAGGACAGAAACTAAAAGCAAAGCCTTGGTTCACCCCATCTCCTGCCCAGGCCCTCCTCACAGACAGGTCTGCTGGATCATCAGTGCATTAGCCTCAGGAGCTGAGGGGGCTGTGGCACACCAAGACAAGGACAACCAAAGGTTTTTCTTCCTTTTGGCTTTATCAGCAGCAGCTGGGGCCCAGGATCTGCAAGTTCCCTGAAGTACATGGAAGCACAGCACCCATAACATGGAACACTCAAACCAGGGAGCAGAGCATAGAGTGTGGATCTGGGGGCTCACCATGATGTTGGGGCAGAACTTTCTCCTCTTCCTCTGTGGCCTTGCAGGGGTTGAGCTTCATGCTTAAACTCACTGTGCATCTCTCTTGTCACAGTAGCCCTGGCAATTCCACCCCAACATGCTTCTCTTGTAGGAAGCTGACAGGGTTCCCCATCTTCCTCCTGAGCATATGCAATGAGACTTTTACTCATGCCAGCCAGCCCTATTTAGCAACTGCCCTGAGCCAGGCCCCAGTACACTCTCACTGCATTCCCACAGCAACCCAGAAGAAGAAGGTGGCAGTTTCCATCTGCTGGCGAGGATGTTGAGGCCTGCCCATAGCACACACTAGGACCATGAGGCCCCAGAGCTTCATCCACCATCACAACTCTCTACTCCACTGCCTGTCTGGGTGAGCCTCCAGCCTCTCTCTTTATCCCAGAGCTCCTCCTGCCTTGCATCTCCTATGGCATCATTACTCATTGTCCTCTGCAGAGGCCAGAAACCACATGTGCACACCCAGGGCAGAGAGGTGGTCCCCCACCTGGCCAACCCAGCATGGGCCCATATCACAGCCTAACAGTCTAGCTAATGATGTTGCTGATTATGATGGTGATGCTGCCTCCCCTCTCTGGCCTGCTACTGCAAATGCTACAGGTACCGGCACCGCACAACTCAGCCCTCATGGCAGGCTGTCTGATCTTTTCCTTTTATCAGCTTCTCCTAGATGGCCTGACAGTGCTACCCAACGCTTCCCTAACAAACTCCTTGAGGATAGGGACTCATTCTCACTTCTTATGCCCGAAGTGCATACAGGAATCTTCGGCCATACAGAATTCTTAACAGTTACTATTGTGAGGATCAAAGGAGGAAACCACTCCAAATTTGCAACACAAAGCGTGTCAGTGGACAGGCACCTCTCTGCAGTACACGTCCTCCCTCTCTGGCCACCTTCACGCACACACACAGCAGACTGGTGCTGGGCAGGCAAGCTCAGGGCCTCTGCCAACTCCTCTGATGCCATCCTGGATGCTGGATGCGAAGGGACTGCAGCAGCTCTTCCCAACCGAGCAGAGGCATCCTGGCGCTCTGCAGCCCTTGCTAATCATCCCCCAAAAGCCTGTGGCTGATGAGCTCTAGGGGAAGACAGCAGTGGGCCTGCTTAATTATCAATGGGCTGGGCAAGCTAGCCCCGCAGGCCTGGCTTCCCGCAGCCCTGGAGGAAGAAGGCCAGCTTGGGTTTGTTAATAAAGACAGAATCTCCAGCCCAGTGGGAGCTGTGCTGGCAGAGTTCAAAACTCCAGAGCATATTGTACAAAATGCCGTTTTCCCTAGAAATTGAATTGGCATCCTATTTTTTTCTTTTCTTTCTTTTTTTTCTTTTTTCTTTTCTTTTTTTTTAATGAGACAGAGTTTCACTCTTATAGCCCAGGCTGGAGTGCAATGGCGTGATCTCAGCTCACCACAACCTCCACCTCCTGGGCTCAAAAGATTGTCCTGCCTCAGCCTCCGGAGTAGCCAGGATTACAGGCATGCGCCGCCACGCCCGGCTAATTTTGTGTTTTTAGCAGAGACGGAGTTTCTCCATGATGGTCAGGCTGGTCTTGAACTCCCATCCTCATGTGATCCACCCGCCTTGGCCTTCCAAAGTGCTGGGATTACGGGTGTGAGCCACTTTGCCCTGCTGGCATCCTATTTTTTTTTTTTTTTTAACTACTCTAAGCTCATTACCTCCTTCCCCTCCACTCTCCTTCCTCATCCAGCACCAGGCATGTACACTTCCTAACTCAACAGCTGGCTTCTAGGTGCCACCCTAAAAGGATTAGTCTTCTTTAGGTTCATAAATCAAAAAGAACACGGAAGCCAACTTGAGGGGGCTCCCACTAGCCAAGTTAAGGCAATTCAAACATCAAAAAGAATAAGATCTGTAATGGATTAGAACACTTTAAATATATAAAATCCATGAGTTTAGAAACATCTACAACTAAATGCGGGGTATACGGGAACTTTCTATCTTCATAACGTTTTTGTAAATCTAAAATTAAAAATATATTAAAAAAAGAAAAGTCAGACACAAAAGGCCAACTGATGTAATTTTACTTAAATGAAATGTCCAGATTAGGCAGCTCTACAGAGACAGAAAGCAGTTCATGGCTGCCAGGGGCTGGGGCAAGGGGGAAATGGGGGGTGACTTCTTAATGGGTATGAGGTTTCCGTTTGGAGTTATGAAAAGTTATGCAACTAAGCGGTGGTGATGGTTGCCCAACAATGCAAGTGTATTTAATGCCACCGAATTATACACTTTAAAATGGTACATTTTGTGTTCTGTGTATTTACTACAATAAAAAAGAAAAAAGTTTAAATGTGTACATTGTGGCAAAATATGTACAGGAATTTGTACATTTGCAAGAAATATAGAAGTTGGCATAACATCTTGAAAAACACCAGAATGACAAAAGGAGCCAAATCCTGAATATTGAAATCCTGCAGGACTAATGACCAAGTTTCTTAAACAAACAAAAAGGCATGAAAAAGAGCAGGGGAGATTAAAAGAGGCATAAAAGACAAATCAGCCAAATGTAACAAGAAACCAGCCAACTATAAAAAGACATTTTTGAGACAATCAGAGAAATCTGAACACATTCTGGTATTAAGGAGTAATTGTTTATTTGATAGGTTTATTTTGGTATTGTAGCTATGCTTAAAATAGAGGCTAGACTTACATATGCAAGCAGTTATTGCTGAAATAATATGACATGGAATTTCTATTAAAATGCTCAAGAAGGGAATGGATGAAATGAGATTTGTTTTGTGTAATGAGTATATAAGGATTACTCGTCTCTCAGTTCTTGGCGTGTTTGAAATTATCCATAATAAAAGATTAAAGTTCTTTTTAAAGTGCAGAAATAGTGATCAAAGGAATAATAACATGCATTAATTACTGCCCTTTGCATCTGAGGATACCCCAATAGCTCTCAGGGTGTGTGGAAACATCCACATTAGAGCCTGGACCCCATGGTTAGCTCCAGCCTCTCCAGTGAGCCCCACAGTTAGCTCCAGCCTCTCCAGTGAACCCCCCGGTTAGCTCCAGCCTCTCCAGTGAGCACCCCGGTTAGCTCCAGCCTCTCCAGTGAGCCCCACGGTTAGCTCCAGCCTCTCCAGTGCATGGTGGTCAGGTGGGCTGGTCATGCCTGGGCGGCTCTCACTTGACAGGACATGGTGGGTTTCTCTTGTATTTCTACCTTGCAGATACCCAGGAGGGATATTTAGAATGATGAACTTGATCCAATGAATAGTGTGGGGGGAATCAATACTTTGAAATGAATCAAACAATAGACTAATGTGGGATAGGATGGAAAGTTTGGGAAGAGATGGTATGAAATGGATAGAATGAAATGCGTTGAACTGAGCTGGCTGGGAAAACCTAAGTGGAATGGAATGATTTGGATGGGATGGTTTGAAATGGAATGAAATAGTAATTCAGATTTCTTTATGACAGTGGCAAAAAGATGGAATGGCAATAAAGTAATAGAAATCTCAAAAGACTTGAATGCATATAAGAGTTACTGACTCCAAAGGGATTATTAAGAAGCAACTGGGCCGGGCGCAGTGGCTCACGCCTGTAATCCCAGAACTTTCGGAGGCTGAGGTGGGCAGATCATGAAGTCAGGAGATGAGACCATCCTGGCTAACATGGTGAAACCTCGTTTCTACTAAAAATACAAAAAAAAAAAAAGAAAAAAGTAGCTGGATGTGGTGGTGCGTGCCTGTAGTCCCAGCTACTCTGGAGGCTGAGGAAAGAGAATCCCTTGAACCTGGGAGGCGGAGGCTGCAGTGAGCCAAGATCATGCCACTGCACTCCAGCCTGGTGACAGAGTGAGACTCCGTCTAACCAAAAAAAAAAAAAAATCAGACCCAAAACATAGCTAAACACCTGTTGCATTGAGTTGACTGAAATCAAATCATCCTTAATTTTTTGCAATTGAATCCAAAAGATCAATTGCAGCTTCCCAATAACCGTGATGAGATATTTATTTGCCCACGCTCCTCATCCTCCACTAACTGAGAACAGATTTCTGGGCTGTGGGTTCACATGAGAGAGCAGCTTTGATGATTGTATACCTTAGACTCTTACTAAAGAAAGCTGCCTGCCACCAAGTGCGAGGAGAAGAGTGGCCTCTGTCATGAGCCAGGGACATGCAAGAGAAGCAAGACCCTGGGAGGGATATGAGGGTCTAACATATTTTTCAGTCTTGCGGTGGATAAACGATGCTCACAAATTCTTTGACACACCTTTGGTGAAGAGATGCAATATTTATTCCCTCTCCTTGAATCTGGGCAGGCTCTGCATTTGCTTTCATCCATTAAATGTGTCAGAAGTCATGCTACGCCAGTAACCAGGCCCAGGCTTTGAGACTAGCAACCTCCACATCTCATCTCTGGGCACACCTGTTTTTGGAGCCCTGAGTTGCTGTGTAAGAAGTCCTGCTAGCCTGCTAGAAAGACAACCTGGAGAAACTCTGACTCCACAGAGAGGAAGTGGGGTCCCACTGAGCCCAACCACTCCCTTCTCCACCCTTTGCCCCTTTTAGGCATGAGTGAAGCCTTTTTAGAACCTCCAGCTGCCTAAAGTCTTCATAGAATAGCCAGTCAATGCTGCATGGAGCAAAAGAGTCACTCCAGTGAGCCCTATCCAAATTCCTGACCCTCAGATAATGAGCATAATACAATGAGTAGTTTTAAGGCACTAACTTGGGGTAGTTTCTCATGTAACACTGGATAATTGGAACGCGTGATGTTCTCTATTAACGTGACGCAGATATAGTAGTCCCTGCTCAAGTCCATGTAGAATGAGGCTGGGTGCACACAGCCAGCTTTGTTTCCTGCCTAGCTCCACCTGGTGACCAGGTGGCTGGACCAGAGGAGGGGATACAGGGACAGGAACCAGGGCAAGGACAACAAGACCATTTGGCTACTGAACCAGGGTCCTGGTCTCCTCGGCACTGTGTCCTGAGCCCTGATGCGAGAGGCCACAGAGGTCAGGTAGGGTCTCTGTCATTCACCTTTTCGACAGGAGACAAAGGAAAACTCCAAACAAGCGAAAACAGAGAAAAGAACAATGGGCTTGGAGACAGCCCCACTAGGTGACCTGGAGCAGAGTGAGCCAACTTTCTCCTTCCTGAGAATAACAATGGCTGCTATTATTGAGCTCTGACTCTACACAAAACCCACACAAGCACTAATGTGAGTCACACATCCTCACGGCAACCCTAAGACACAGAAGCTCCTACTTCCACCATACACAGCTGGTGGAGCCATGGGCTGCCCTCTGGGAGCAGCACAACAGAGAGAAAGGAACACACAGGCTCTGTAATCATAGCAGCCGGATTGAAAGCCCACCCCACTGCTGGCCACACCTTCCCCAACCGCAGTCTACTCATCTGACGACAGGATAAGAAGGCTGGCCCCACTTGAGCTTGACGTGAGGATGACATGTCATGGCATATGAAAAGTGACGGGCACAATAGAGGCTCTTGGTAAATGTTGGTCTCTTCCCTTAAACCCTCAGACAAAAATTCCCAAACATTTCCAGGTTGAACTTTATAATTTAGAAAAAAGTGAAATATTTGGTGTGTTGTTTTCATTTTGTTTTTAATCCAGAAAATCCTAAAGGAGACAGTAAAAATCAGATTGCTTTAAGCAATCCTTCCCCACTAGTGCATGAACTTGGCAGAGCAGATGTGCAGAGCTCAGGCTGCTGAGGTCATGGGAGTGAAGGGCCAGCAGGGCTCCAGACTTGGAGAGGGCTGGTTTGGAAACCTGGTTTTACTGCTTATTCAGTGTGAGACTATGGCAACTCCCTGCATCTCCCTGGTCCTCAGTTTCCCCACCTGTAAAGTGGTGCTACTGAGACCTCTCTTGCAAAGTTGTTGTGAGGATTAAATGAAATAATACATAGCAGATGATAATTAAATAGTGGGCATCACCACTACCACTGTCACCGTCGCATCTTCTGCAGAAAGGACCCTCAGGCCTGGGAGGCAGAGAGACATCTGGGATCTCCACAGAGGCAAAGTAAGGAGATCTGGTAGCTTCTATTCACCTCTTGGCTCCAGAAACAGCGACCCTGTATGGATGACTCAGCAGGGAGCAGATGAGGGGAAGGATGAGCTTCTGTGCTCCTGAGGCCCCTCCTCTGGCACACAGCTCTTTGGGGGAGCAGGGCAAGTCCCTCTCACATCTGCCTAATAAGGGCCTCAGAAGTGAGAATGACAGGCAGCGGGGTGTGCCTGGTAGGGGGAGGGCCAGGGGACTGTCCATCACCCAGGCCCTTTTCACTAACGGCCTTTACCCCAGGTCACACCAGGCCTGCCTCCTACTCACTCCCTAAGGACAGAACTCTTCAGAGGTGGAAAGAGGCCTGGCAGAGGTGGTCCCAGGAAGTCCTGGCTCAGTGAGGCCTGGGGTGGTGGGCTGACCTGGAGACAAGGGACTGAGACAAGCCAGGGCTGGGCAGAACTCATGTCCTCTAAGAGAGAGGTCCCGGCTCAGGCCCCAGTCTAAGTATGAAAAGCAGGGGAAACATCTATATTTGACAACCCTGGCTGCATTGTACAGAGGGGGATGAGCTGCACCGTGGGTGGGCCCCGATGAGTTGAGGATAGAGACTTTGAGAACCTGCTTCCTGGTAGCTTTGTTTGGTGGAAGGAAGACTACAAGCTGGATGGGAAGCAAAGAGCAGGAGAAAGGAGAGTAAGGCTGGGTTCTGCGGGACAATGTGCCAACAGGAGAAGCCCTTGCAGATCAGAGATGGGCTGGGACAGGCAAGAAGGGCACTGAGGAATAGAAATGTCCAGTAAAGATGTCTAGGTAGGTCTCTGAGGATTCCAATAAAAGCTCACTCCTGCCTCCTCTATCAACCTTCTGTGAGGTCTACTTTGCTCCCAAACAATATCATGTTGAAGGAGCCTTCTATAGAACTCGAAGGAGTAGATTTTCTTATCTGGCTGTAGGAGTACCATGCCTATAAGGACCAGGGGTTATAGGGCTGAGGGACTGAGGCAATTCTATTTGATCTCACGACTGAAGAGACCACAGCTGACATCTGCGCTGCTCATCCTCTGTAGGGGAACATAGGTGGTGGAAAAACTGGACATTGGTCTCAAACAGGCATGGAGTCACATCCTGATATGCCCGCTAGTGGGAATGAAAGTAGCCAAGGTCACACTAGGCTATGGCTGTCAAATCCCTAGCCAAAGGTCAAGAGCCTTCCATCAGTGATGATGTCGCCTCTTATGTGACACTGTCCAGGCTCCTATGCCCAGGAAGAAGAAGAAGGAGCTCTAAGACCCCAGGTAAAAGTGGGTGGGACACAGACACTAGCCCTCATCCTCACAACACCTGTGAGGTGAGTATTATTTTCCCCAATTTATAGATGGGGAAACAGAGGTACAGGACACTAAGTAATTTACTGGAGCCAGTAATGGAATGCAAGTCTGTCTAGCTCCAGAGCTTGTCTTCTTTTTACTACATCTTCCTGATTCAGAGGCCCAGCACCCATCACCAAAACTACTACCACCATCATCAAAACCATCATCACCACCACAATCATCAACAGCAAAATCGCCACCATCATTACCACCTACATGACAAACAGTATCATCATCACCAAAAATACCAGCACCACCACAAATGTCACCACCACCACCACACACAGCAATGCCAACAGCATCATTACCACCAACACTACTACCAAGAGTATCATCATCAACAGTACCATCACCACCACAACTACCAACAGCCAAATCACCATCATTACCACCAACACCACCAACAGTATCATCAACACCAATCTCAATACCATTGCCACCACCACCATCCTAACCACCATCACCACCACCACACACAGCAATGCCAATACCATCATAACCACCAACACTACCTAGAGTGTCATCATCCCCAACAACACCATCACCACCAAAACCGTCATAACTATCGTCACAACTATTAACAGCAAAATCACCACCATCACCATCACTAACACCACCAACAGTATCATCCTCACCAACAATACCATTGCCACTACCACCTTCATACCCGTCACTACTACCACAACCACCAACAGGAATGCCAACACCATCATGACCAACAACGCTACCGGCAATGTTGTGATCACCACCAATATCACCACCACCATCATTATCACCAACACCACCAACAATGCAATGATCACCACCAATACCATCATCACTCTCACCACCACCATAGCCATCATTGCCACCTAATCAGCAACACCACCACTCTCATTACCACCAACAATATCATCATCATCCCCAGAAATACCATCATTATCACCACCACTGTCACCAGCAACACCAGCCATCACCACCATCATTACCAGCACACTCCTCACAAGCACACTCATCACCAGCACTAATAGCACCCTTACCTGCACCAACGCTAACACCACTGCCAACAATAACACAAAGGCTAGCACTAATATCATCATTAGCATCAAAAAGACAAAGATTTGTCTCAAACAGCTACACCACTTTATGAAGAAAAGGGGAAGGGAGCCTGAGAGAAAACTGAAAAGTAAGAGAAGAATAGGTGATCAAGACAAAAAGAAGAGAATGATAATAAACTCCCAGCCTCCAAGTGACTGATGTCTCAATGTCAGCTGAGTTCAAAGTTAGTTCAGGCCTAGAAGCCTGGAGAATAGGCTTCCTTTGACAAGGAAGGGCCCCTGGAGCCCTGGAGCTGCATATGAGAAGCTGAGGCTTGGTCTCTCTTCCTCCCACTTCCAACCACCTGCCTCATTTTGCTCTCCCAGCCCCTTCCCCATCTGCCCATCTCCAATGGCTGAACCCATGCACCCCAGACCCGGCATTGCTCAGCTATTTGATGAATGAAGCTGTTACGGCCCCATACAGAGGGGCCCAGTCTCAAATCTCACACACTGAGCCCCGGACGGGTATGCTGGAGGCCCAGGTTCCAGCCACAGGGACCTCCAGGAACCTGGGGGACCCAGTCTTGATTGAACCCTGTGCCAGCTCACGAACTCAAGTGAGATAAACAAAGTGCAGGGCCAGGAAATGCTGGAGGGGACTAGAAAAAGACCTCCCGGGAGAGCAGAGCGCCTGTTCACCACGAAAGACAGCCCATAGAACCAAAGGCCTGCAGGTGGGGGAAGCCATCAGAGAAGAGGAAAGACAACCTTGGAGAGGAAAGAGGCCTGGTGTCTTCTTGTTCCTTCACTGGCTAACACCTGCGCTAGGATTATCTGTGTGAGCTTGGGCAAGCCAGCAAACCCCACAAACCCCCTTCAGCCTCCCTATCTGTAAAATGGAGGTGATGCTCACCTGGCAGGGTGAAGAAGCTGTGAAGGTAGAAAGCTCTCCTGACACACTGGACACAGCCCCAGTGAGTGCCTGTGGGATGAATGAATGCGTGAATGAACGAAAGTCTCTGCACTCCGGGCAAGCAGTCCTCCCCACTCAGCAGCCTGCCACCGGGGGCTTTGGGAATGCCTGAGGCACCATCACTCACGGCTGTCACGGCCCTGGCCTGCCTCGCTGAATCCATCGGACAGTCTTGAGGCCAAATTTATGTCTCCAGCAACTCAGACTATTGTGCTGTAGACGCGGGCTTCTGTTCAGTTCAGCCAGACACTGCCTTAAATTTATGCTGCCAGACTTCATTAGGGCCCAAGTTTGCCAGAACCATTAAAGGTGTGGGGGAGAGAAGAGGGTGCTTTGGAAATGGAGTGTGAAATAAGGTAAAGGAAAGTTTAATGGGGCTGGAATCAAGTCTGCAATGTACCTTATTAATAGTTATTTTATTCCTTGTCACACTGCTTATTAAATGCATCCTGGCTCTGATGCCTCCGCGTTCCTGCCCGCAGCTCTCATCTTGCAGTAGATGTGTGCTGAGTTCTGGGGCCCTCTCGTGGGTTCATCTTCTTTCCTCTGGGGCCTGTGGCTGACCCTGCGAAGGTAAGGGCAGCGATCTCCTAAGCAGGCCCTCACCACAACGGGTGATAGAGGGGTTCTCCCTCACCACAGTAGGTGATAGAACATGCAGGACCTCATTCTGTGGGATATAGAGAGAAACTTTAAAAGTAAATCACGGTGTCCAAAGCTGTCACCCTGGAGGTGAGGGTAAGGGATCCTATGGCAAGCTGTCAGTCAGAAGAAGGTGTTAGCAGAGGCACCAGGATCGTGATAAAACCTCAGAAATGGGAGTGAGAGCGGGAGACACCTTGATTCTCCTCCAGGAGAGAGGTGTGGGGCACCAGCACATGGCATACATCTTCCTACGGCGTGCCAGGCCTACGCTAGGGGAGTAGGATTATGGCCTGCCCACAGCCAGAGGCACCGCGGAGGATCCCCCCACCAGCCCATCTGGGCAAGAAGCAAATGCTTAACATACCTTTGTGTTTTGGGCCTTGGTTCGATCAGACCCCCCTGCCGGGAGGGATCACAACGTCCACGCCAGCCCTCCGGCCCAGTTCCTGCTTATGACACTGGCATGAGGGTTCTGTTCTTTGGTGGGACAGCTACCAACTGGGCTGACGTCTACACACTGGGAAGTTCAGTGCATGGGAGTCGGCCTCCCTGAAAATGGCAGCTTTGCTGTTCCTACTAAACAGAGGCTCGAGACTGCAGGGTGAGGACCAGATAGGGCACTGCCCACTCCAGGCTCTGTCAGCAGGGACAGCCAGCCGGGTGGCAGCGTCCAGCTGGCTCTGGGCTGCACAAAGAGGTTCATGAGATCATCAGACCAAGCTTCCAAAAAGCAGATGGTTGGTACCATGGAATCAGAAGGGGACAGAGCCTGGGGCTGGGGAGAAGGTATCCTGAAGAGGGTGGCAGATGGACAGGAAAAGTCACAGCCCACTGGGGTGGATGGGCAGCCCTGAGCTACCAAGACTGCCTGCTGCCAAAGCTCTGCGTGGCCCCCAGCTCAGCCCGAGCTTCCGGATTGGGCATTGCCTCAGGCCCTACACTGTGCTGGGCTGGCCTATGCTTGCCCGGGTCAAGTTGAAGTTGAGAGTACAAGTTGGAGCCTATGTGAGATGTGGGCCAGCCTGGAAAGGAGAGAGTGGCTGCAAGCCCTGGGACCTTCCAGGCTTATCATTCATCAGCTGGTGCTTCGGGCAACCACCATTACTGCACAGGCAGAGGAAAAGGTGCCAGGCCCATGGCAGGGTGGGGGAGCTGAAAGGCTCCTTAAAGATCCCAGGGCCTGGGATGCTATTCTTCTAATATTCTAATATCCTAATTGTCCTGCCAGGGCAATCCTAATACTGAACACTTACCTATTGCTGCCCCTGTCACGTGTGGTTGATATACCTTAACCCCCGAGGTAATTCTATTGTTAAGCTCACATTATACATGAGGGAACTGAGGCGCAGAGAGGTCAAGTAACTTACCCCATCTCACACAGCTATGAAGTGGCAGACCCAAATGAGAGAGGCAGAATGGCTCCAGAGTCCACTCAACTCTACAGCTCACCACCCTAATACGCTGGCTGACAACTGGCTGCCCTTAGGCACTTCAAAATTGACTGGGGGGCAGAGTTGAGCTCGGTCAGATATGCAGGCATGCGGATACCCAAGATACCTTGAGGGTCCTGCCTGCCTTGCGCCTTTGGCCTGGCCCCTCTTAGCTCAAAGACATTCTGTGGACACCTCTGAGATGAGAGCATGATGGCTATTTCTGGGCTGCAACCTCCTGCCTCCTCATCCACACCCTGAGAGTGAACTCCAAGTGCTCAGGCACACTACGAGTCCTCCAGGTGACACATATTCCTCCTAAAACATAGGAGACACTTCAAATTGCTGCCACAGATCCATGTCCTTATCCTGGTCTCGCCCCCTCTCAGCTATGCTATCAGATAGCGACAGCTGCCACAGGTCAAACGCCTATACCGGGTGTACTGAGGGCTCACACACAGCCATTCTCTCTTTTACCTTCACCACCACCTGGAGACTCGGCTTAACTCCCTGATCTCAACTGAGGTCCAGGGAATATAAATGACAGCATGAGCTCTTGCAGCAGCTCAGGGGAAGTGAGGCTAGGAAACGAGGCTGTGAGATTTCAAAGCTCCTGCAGCTGCTCAAAAGCTATATGAGGATTGTGTTACAGTTACTGTTATGTTCTGCTTAGCAACTTCAGCCTTCCAGAATATTTTCACATTCATCTCCCATTTGGCTCTGCCACTCACCCTGAGTTACTCGCCTCCCCTGGAGAGAAGTTCCCTGGAGAGTAAGACAATGAGATTCAACACAGCATACTAGACCTTCATTTCCTTATCATTTTATCAGCCAAGAGGGGACGAGCCAGGCTTTACCATCTCTACCTTACAAACGAGGAAGCTAAAGTGTGGGCAGCTCATGCAATCTATCAGCCAACATACTGCAGTGACCTACTAGGAACACACAACAACAGCAAAATAATACTAGCAGCAGTTTGAATTATTGAACCACTGTCAGCCACATGCCAAGCACTGCACTAAGTCATTACAGATATTAGCTCATTTAACCCTCATGGCAGCTATAAGTGTACTGTTACTCAAGATTATTACCCTCAATGTAAAGATTAAGAACCTAAGATCAGGACTCAAACCAGACTCCTAGTCATTTATGGTGTCTAGTTCAGTTATTTTTGCTATTCTTTGTATTCACTCACCGATTCGTTCATTCCACACTTCCCTGAATGCCTATTCCAGGCACAGGACTCAGTCCTGGGAATACAGTAACAAACAAGAAAGACTGGGTCCCTGCCCCAAAGCAGCTTGCAGACCAGGGTGTCATGAAACCAGGTGGAGTCCCCTAAAATCCTGGCAATCCCTGGGTCATCAGGTGGGTCCAGGAAGAGGTAGAGATCTCAGCTCATCATCACCTGGCTTTCCCCAGATCTCCGGCAGGATATATGGTTTAGCAAGGCTCACTAAAAGATGTGCTTGTCCTCATAACAGGAACTTCTTGTTCCCTTAACTGCCTCTGTCTTTTTTTTTCTCCACAATCAGCCTTATTTTAATCTATATACCCAAAGACAGAGACAAAATGTCATGCACTTAACGAAGAAGAAGAAGAAGAAGATGATGAGAGCAAAGAAGGTGCAAAGTAGCTTCCTAAATTCCAGGCTGGCATTTAAACCCACTCGTGTGATTCAAGTTCATTTACTTCTCTTGAAGTTGGATGACAAGAACATATATTTCCCTGGAAATGTAGCACACTAAAGCCACTGTAAATAAGGGCCTGAAGATTCGCACTTTTATTTATGCGATGATTTATGAGATTCCCCATTTTCTCCAGCTGACTGAATCCCAGACTCTGGACAGGGTTGGCCATGTTGACATTTCAAACCCTATCTGTGTAATGCCAATTCCCAAATTCATGTATCTGAAGTCCAGCCCTGTGAAGTCATCTGATCTCAATCTGGATAGGCTCCAGTAACCATGGCAACATAACAATGGGAACATCATTTTCTTAGCTCATCCCCACCTACCACCAAAACTCTTACTCCTGCTGGATCCCCATTCTTAGAGAATGGTACCAACATCCATTGAGGCCCCACACAGAGCCTCATGAGTCATCTAAGACATCATGCTCTCATGCCCCTTTGTCCTCATCTGGTTGTCAGCTGATCCTCAAATGATACTTGCTCAGATGCCCTCAAATGCATGCTTTCCCCTCTCTCCAACCCAGGACCAGTCCTGCAACAGTCACCTGCTTTCAGATTGCTCCCCACCAATAAGTCTACAGTGACTTTTAAAAACACAATCTGCTCATAAAAGATAAGTTTCTCAGCCCCGCTTACAGTCTCAAATACTCCACTTTTGCACTCACGTGTGCATGGCTCCCAAAACTCCTTAGTCCCCTTGCTTCTGGGCTATGTTTGTACCACTCCCTCTTTGTAGAGCATACTTTTCCCATCTTCTTTGCTGGATAACCCCTATTCAAACTTCCAGGCCCAGTGCAGACATCACCTCTTCCTAGAAGTCTTCCAGGACCTCCAATCCAGGATTCGTTAGGCACTTCTGAATTGCAACTACATCTCTACCATAGCATAGGATTCATCACACTGTATGAGAAATATCTGTCTACCTGGTTCTCTGCCAACTGAATTGTGAGCTTCCTGGGAGAAGGGACCATGTCTTGCTTTTTTTGTATCATTAAAGATACACAGTATGCTTAATCAGTGGGAGAACTCAATAAATGCTTGCCACATGAATCAACAAATGGATGAATGAGGAAACACACAAATGGATCACTCATGTCCATTCTTCTCTCCATACTCCTCCCATCTGTTCCAGAGATCTCTGGAATACAAGACACTTTAGTCCCCTATCAGCTTGGTTTGTTCCTGATCATTCTATGAAATGGAAGACTCCAAAGGTCTACAACATGGTGTAGTGTTTTTCAAACTTTCATGAATGCAACTTTGAAAATACATTTTTAATCATAATTCAAAACACATACACATACAAAACCAAACAAAGTATTAAAAACACTTAGTCGGCCAGGTGCCGGTGGCTCACGCCTGTAATCCCAGCACTTCGGGAGGCCGAGGCAGGCAGATCACCTGAGGTTAGGAGTTGGAGACCAGCCTGGCCAACATGGTGAAACCCCATCTCTACTAAAAATACAGAAATTAGCCAGGTGTGGTGGCGGGCACCTGTAATCCCAGCTACCTGGAAGGCTGAGGCAGGAGAATCGCTTGAACCCCAGAGGCGGAGGTTGCAGTGAGCAGAGATCGCACCACTGCACTCCAGACTGGACAGAACAAGACTCCATTTCCAAAAAACATGTAGTTATATAGTATGCAATGCATCTACTATTTCCTATTGTTTGCTATTATACACTATTTTATTCTATTGTATTTTATATCACTTTTTAATATGCTGGTCATAGCTCACCAAATTGATTTTATGGCCCACTATGTATGAAATACAGTTTAGAAAAACATTGCTGAAGAGTACAGTCTTAAAGATTTTGACTCCAAATTTCTTGGAAGTATAAGGTTACAATCATTCATCCATGCTTTGGTAGCATATTTCAAATGAACTTATAAAAGTGTGGGTTTGAGCAGCACCACTTCCTAGCGAATTTCCAAGAAAATATTAGTTGCACAATTTACATTAAATAATTAAATATATTTTTCACTCTATACAGCAGTTAGATATAAACTAATTACATTTCAGAGGACAGCTGCCCAAAATGACAAGCCCAGGTATCAATCTCTTACACTGTTCCTTCATGAAGATTTTATTTTTTACTCTTTGTGCTTTCATTCCTTCTCATCCGAAGGTTAAATGTCAATTCATAAAAGCCTTGCCTAAGTGATGTTGGTGGCATAGCGGTGAGCATAACCACCTTCCGTAAAAGCCTAGCTTAATCATATTATTCCTATTTTATATTTCTATGTTCCTTTGAAATGGTATCATGGACAGTGATAGTCGAAATCTTTGTATACTCTTTGACCAAGGAAGAAAACATAATTCAGGCATCTGTCAGTGTGTCATCACAATGTCTAGTATACAATCAAAATTACTAAGCTGGGTGCAGTGAGTGGTTCATGCCCCCAGCTACTCAAGAAGCTGAGGATGGAAGATCACTTTAGCCCAGGAGTTTGAGACCAGCCTGGACAATATAGCAAGACCCCATCTCTAAAAAAAATTTAAAAGAAAAAGTAGCCAGACATGGTGGCTTGTGCCTATAATCCTAGCTGCTCTAGAGGCTGAGGCTGGAGGATCACTTGAGGCCAGGAATTTGGGACCACCCTGGGCAACACAGTGAGAACTCATTTCTAAAAAATAAAACTAAGCAAATAATTAGCTGGACATAATAGCACGCACCTGTGGACCCAGCTACTCAGGAGGCTGAGGCAGGGGTAATGCATTAGCCCAAATTACTAAGCATGAGAGGAAGCAGGAAAAAGTGAGCCAGAATGAAAAAGAAAAGTCAATAAAAATAGGTCCTAACGTGACCAAGACGAAGACTTTAAAACAGTTAACATGCTGTAGTATGTAGTACATTTAAGAACACAAAGGAACCACATTAACATAATCAGTGAACATTTGTAGGATGCAGCTAAAGTGATGCTTAGAGAGAAATTTTGAGTTTTAAATGCATACATTAGAAAAAAAGAAAAGTATAATTTTAGTCATCTAACTTTCTAAGTTAATAAACTCAAAAACATGAAGTAAATGAAAACCAAAGTAAACAGAAAACAGCAAAGTATAAAGATAAAAACAGAAATCAATAAATTAGAAAATAAAAAATAATAATATGACCAAAATCTATTATCTTAAAGAATTGAAATTGAAAAAAGTCTGGAAAGACTGATCAAATAAAGAGAAAACACAAATTATGAATATCAAAAATAAAATAAGATGTCCATAAAGATCCAATAGCTATTAAAAGGAAACTAGCAGAATAGTGTGAAAAAATTTATGTCAATAAATTTGACAACTTTGGTGGGATAGACTCATTTCTTGAAAAACATAAATTACCAAAACTGACACACACAAAAAGAGAAAATCTGAATAGCTCCATTGTATGAGTTATCTATTTCTGGGTAATAAATATTATTCCAAAATAGAGGAGCTTAAAATAAGAAACATTTATTATTTCATAAATGTCTGAGGTTAAGGAACCCAGGAGTAGCCTCACTGGGTGGTTGTGTCTCAGCATCTTTCCCAAGGTTGCAGTCAAGTTGCCAGGCAGGGCTATAGTCATCTCAAGGCTTGACTGGGCTGGAGAATCCACTTTTACTCTCACTCACAGGGTTGTTGGCAGCCTCAGCTCCCGGTTGGTTGTCAGCCAACAGCTCTATTTCTTTCCACAAGGGCTTCTTCACAAGCTTCCTTGGTGTTCACACAACATGGCTCTTGGCTTTCCTCAGAGTAAATGATCTAAGAGAGAAACATAGCTAGAAGCTGCAGTCCCTCATAAGTGACATATCATTAAGTCTGCTGCATGCCATTGGCCACACAGGCAAACCCTGGTACAATGTTGGAGGAGACTACACAACTACACAAGACTGTGAATACCAGCAGGTAGGTATCACTGATGGGCTCCTGGAGATTAGCTACTACATCTACACCTATAGTTATTAAAGAAATGTAACTCATTATCCAAAAACCCCAACAAGAGAATTACAGACCCATATAATTCTACTGATAATTTTTTTCAAACATTAAGAAGAAATATTTCAGAAAATATAAGAGGTAAGAACATGTGCCTACTCATTTTATCAAGTCAAAATAACTCTGATGCCAAAGCCTAACAAAGAATTAGAAGATAAGAAAATTAAAGACTCATCTCCTTCATGATTACATACACCAAATTCTTAACAAAATATTAGCCATACATAGCATTAAGTTCACCAAGTGGAGTTTATTCAAGGAATGCCAGGTCAATTCAACATTCAAAAATTAATTAATATAATTCAGTACATTCACAGAATTAAACGAGAAGCCCTATCTGATCATCTTTATAGTTAGAGAAAAAGCACTTGAATAAAAATTCAACACTTAACAACAACAGCAAAACGCTCTTGGCAAACTAGAAATTAAGGAAAAGTTACCAATCTTGTAAGGAACATCTACCAAAATTCTACATTTAAAATCAAACTTAAGGGTGAAATATTAAATGCTTTCTTCATAAGCATGCCTGCTCTTACCACTTCTATTTGATATTGCTCTAGGGGTCTTAACCAATGCAGTAAGGCAAGAAGAATAAATTAAAAGGCAAAAAGATCACAAAAAATAGAAGTAAAAAAGTTTCTATTTTCAGATGACATGATTGTTAAAAGGAAATCTGAAGAATCTAAAAACATAATGAAATGAATAAGTTAATTTAGCAAAGTCACAGGGACCATGTCAATAATCAAAATTAATTGCATTTCTATATATTGATGGTAAACAATTTAAAAATTAAGTTTGAAAAAAAATACCACTTGCAAGAAATTTTTAAAAATAAAGTACTTGAAAATAAATATATAAAAGGACATGCAAGACCTCTGTACTTAAAACTATAAGGCATTGCTAGGAGAAATTAAAGACCTAAATAAATGGCAAAATATATTATGTTCATGATTTGGAAGAGTTAATATTATTATAATGTTAATTCCCCCAAATTAATCAATAAGTTCAGTATCATTCAAATCAAAATTTCAATAGACTCTTTGACAGAAATCAACATCTTTATTTTAAACTTTATTTTGAAATGCAAAGGACCTAAAGTAACCAAATCAGCCTTGAAACAAAAGAACAAAGTTGGAGGACCCACAACTCCTGATTTCAAGACTTGCAATAAAGTTACAATAATCAAGGCAGTATGGTATTTACTTAAACATAGATTAATGGAACTGAATAAAAAGTCCAGGCATAGACTCACACACATATAGTCGATTTTTGACAAAGTCGTCAAAAAAATCTTATGGAAAAGTCTTTTTAAAAATTGGTGCTGGAACTGGAAAAACACATGGTAAAAAAATTAATCTCAAACTCTACTTCATACCACACACACTCACACAAATTAGTTCAAGATGGATCACAGATCTAAACAAATAGTTTAAACTGTAACACTTTTAGAAAAAAATATGGGAAAATACCTTCCCAGCTTTGGGATAGGCAAAGACTTTTTATAAAAGACACTATTTCTAACCATGAAAGAAGAAAAATGATAAATCAAAACTTCATCAAAATGTTTAAATGTTTTAGCTACAAAAAATATATAAGATAGCTAGAAATAAACTTAACTAAGGAGCTGAAAGATCTCTGCACTGAAACTTTAAAATATTGATGACAGAAATCGAAGAGGGCACAAATAAATGGAAAGATATCCTGTGTTCACAGATTGGAAGAAATAATGTTAAAAAGTCCATATTACCCAAAGCAATCTACAGATTCAGTGCAATTCCTATCAAAATACCAATAACAGAAATAGAAAAAACAATTCTAAAATTTATATGAAACCACAAAAGACTTTGAATAGCGAAAGCAATCTTGAGCAAAAAAAAGAAAGCTGGAGGCATCACACTGCCCAACTTCAAAATATGCTACAGAGCAGTAGTAACAAAAACAGAATGGTACTGGCATCAAAACAGACACACAGACCAATGGAACAGCACAGAAGCCCAGAAATAAATCTGTACATATATACAAAAAACATATGTACCTACACACATACAAAAAGCAGCCAACTGATTTTTGACAAAGAGGCCAAGAACACACACAGAGAAAAGGACAGTCTCTTCAATAAATGGTATTGGAAAAATTCGATATCTGAGTACAGAAGAATGAAACTGGATCACTTTCTTTTGCCATATAAAAAAATCAACTCAAAATGAATTAAAGGCCTAAATGTAAGACTCAAAGCTGTGAAACTACTAGAAGAAAACTTAGGGGAAATGCTCCATGACATTGGGCTGGGCAAAGATTCTTTTGGATAAGACCTCAAAAACAAAAGGCAACAAAAGCAGAAATAGACAAATGGGATTACATAAAACTAAAAAGCTTCTTCCCAGGAAAGGAAACAATCACCAAGGTGAAGAGGATGTCTATAGAATGAGAGGAAATATTTGGAAAGTATACATCTGATACGAGGTTAATATTCAGAATATATTTTTTAAATTAACAACAAAAAACTCATAACCCTATTTTAAAATGAGGAAAAGACCATAATAGACATTTATCAAAAGAAGACACACAAATGGTCCACAGGTATATGAAAAAATGCTCAGCATCAGTAATCATCAGGAAAATGCAAATCAAAATGACAATGAGATATCATCTCACTCCAATTAGAATGGCTATTATCAAAAAGACAAAAGATGACAAGTATCAGTGAAAATGTGGAGAAAAGGGAACACTTATTATATACTGTTGGTGGGAATGTAAATTAGTACAATCATTACGAAAAACAGTACGGAAGTTCCTCAAAAAATGTAAAAAGGAACTACCGTATAATCCAGCAATCCCACTACTGGGTATATATTCAAAGGAAGTGAAATAAAATCATTTTGTTGAAGAGATATCTGCACTTCCATGTTTATTGTAGCACAGTGCACAATGGCCAAGATACCGAACCAACCTAAGTATCAATTAACATATGAATGGACAAAGAAAATGTGGTATATACACACAACAGAATACTATTCAGCCTAGAAAAAAAAAAAAAAACAATGAAATCTTGTCATTTACAACAACATGAATGATCCTGGAGGACATTATGCTGAGTGAAATAAGCCAGATGCAGAAAGACAAATACTGCATGATCTCACTCACATATCCCACTCACATATTGTATTAGTCCATTCTCACATTGCTATAAAGAACTACCTGAGACTGGGTAATTTAGGAAGAAAAGACATTGAATTGTCTCACAGTTCCTCAGACTGTACAGGAAGCATGACAGGGGAGGCCTCAGGAAACTTACAATCTCGGGGAAGGTGAAGGGTAAGCAGGCACACCTTACGTGACTAGAGCAGAAGGAAGAGAACAAAGAGGGGATGTCACACACTTCTAAACAACCAGATCTCATGAGAACTCACTCACTATAACGACAACAGCAAAGGAGAAATCTGCCCTTGTGATCTAATCACATCCCACAAGGCTCTTCCTTCAACACTGGGGATTATAATTCAACATGAGATTTGCACAGGCACACATATCCAAACCATGTCACATGTAGAATCTTAAAAAGCTGATATCATTTATAGAAATAGAACATTGGTTACCAGAGGACAGGGAGAGGGAGGGGAGGATGGAGAAAGGATGGTTAATGGGTACAAAGTTGCAGTTAGAAAGGAAGAGTATGTTCTGGTGTAGGGTGACTATAGTCAACAATAAGGTACGTGTATCTCAAAATAGCTAGAAAAGAAAATTTTCTATGTACTCGTCACAAAGAAATATAAATGTTTGAGGTGATAGATACTCTAAATACTCTGATTTGATCATATCATAAGATATGCATGTATCAAAACATCCTATTGTACCCCAAATATATGTACAATTATTATGTGTCAATTGAATTTTTTTTAATTTCTGAACAAAATTTTTAAAATTCCTTTAAAAAATCACTAGCTCCTCTGATTTATGGTGTTCAAGTTTGGAATCGCATGCTACTTAATGAAAAAAATTTAATTTTGTTTATTCAAAGGCACTATTCAGAAAATGAAAAAGCAAGTCATAGACTGGGGAAAATATTCACAAGACATATATCTGATAGAGGGCTTGTATTCCGATTATGCATTTTTAAAGCCCTACAAATCAATAATAAAGAGATAAACAACTTAATTTTTTTAAAGACCAAAAGACTTGAGCAGGTGAAGATATACAAGTGGCCAATAAACACATAAAAATTTCTCAAGATCGTTTGTATTCAAGGAAATTAAAACTAAAACCACAATGAAATACCACTTCATGTTCATTAAAACAGCTAAATTTAGAGAGACTGCCTTAATCAGTTTCAGGATACTATACAAAATACCACATATTGGGAGGTTTAAACAACAGACATTTATTTCTCACAGTCCTGGAAGCTGAAAGTCCAAGATCAAAGTGCTGGCCAATTGGGTGTCTGGTGAGGACCTTTTTCCTGACTTCTTGTTGTATCTTTGTATCTTCACATGGCAAAGAGATAATCTCTCACCTCTCTCTCCCTCTCTTTTTTTTTTTTTTTTTTTAGACAGAGTCTTGCTCTGTCACCCAGGCTGGAGTGCAGTGACGCCATCTCGGCGCACTGCCACTGCAACCTCTGCCTCTCCAGTTCAAGCGATTCTCCTGTCTCAGCCTCCAGAGTAGCTGGAATTACAGGTACATGCACCACCACATTCAGCTAATTTTTTTTTTTTTTTTTAGTACAGATAGGGTTTGTACTAAACCATGTTGGCCAGGCTGGCCTCCAACTCCTGACCTCAGGTGATCCACCCGCCTCAGCCTCCCAAAGTGCTGGGATTACAGGCATGAGCCAGCGCGCCCGGCCTACACATCTCTTTTTATAAGGGTACTAATTCCATTCCTGAGGGCTCCAGTCTCATGACCTCATTATCTTGAAAGGACCCACCTCCAAATGCCATCCCACTGGGTTTCTGCATGTGAAATGCAGGAGGACACACGCATTCAATCCATAGCACAGACTGACAACACCGCCGCTTGGTAAGGATGTGGATGATGAGAATTCTCACACACTGCAGGTGGAAATGTATAGCAGCACAACCACTTTGTAAATCTGTCTGGAAGTTTCTCTACACTTCCACTACCCCATGATCCTGCAATTCCACTCCTGGGCATTTGCCAAAGGGAAAAGAAAATACATGTCCACAAAAAGGACCTGTAAAAGATTGTTTATGGAAGCTTTGGTCATACTATTCAAAAACTGGAAATAACTGAAGTGTCTACCGACTGGAAGAGATTTTTTCAAAGTTTCCATATCGTCACATAGGCAACAACATTCTATTCAATGAAAGAAACCAGACACCAAAGAGCATACACTGTAAGCTTCCACTTATATGAAGTTCAGGAACAGGCAAAATTGATCTTTGATGATAGACATCAGAAGAGTGATTGTCTATGACAGGTGAGGATTGATTCAAAGGGGAGCATGAACGAACTTTCTGGAATGATGAAATTGTTCTTTATCTTGATTGAAGTGTATGCATTTGTCACAACTCAGTGGCTCATAAAATTATGATTTATGCAGTTCACAGGATATAAATTTCATCTCAATAAAAAGTGCGATGAGACCATTGTATTTATGCTGAGCAAGCAATCATATTATCTGAAGCATAATATTCAAGATGACATAAAAAGAGCTTGTCCCAGCTGGCATGCCACCATGCAGCCCCCACCTGTATCTGCTTTCTCATTAAGCAAAACCTTCCCATAGGCCAGCTGTGGTCTGCAATGCTTCCATGTAGACTCACAAAAGCAAAGGCAGTTTCTTGCTTGTTCTCTCCTTCCCTCAAATGCAGCCACTGAGGAGGCAAGACCCCCAAACTGTCCCCTCCTGTCTCTTCCCTTAGCAATAGTAACTGGCTTCTGATCAGCCCCGCTGGCTGTCCAAGCTCTGCAATTTGCACTAGGGCCTCCCCCCATCCCTTTAGAGTCAGTGCTATCATTCCCACCTTTGAGAAGACGCAGAGATGGCAGCTGCAAAGGCGTCAGGCCAGGTGTCACAGCTGCCCTTGACTCTGTGATCTCCAGCAGGGTCCCTTGAAACTCTGGCTGAGAAGGCACAATCATATGCCCATGTCATGGTGGAAGGAGGGTGAAGCAAATTTTCCGAGCTGGCTGCAGCCCAGTCTGGTCTACCTGGTTCTCCTCCTGGCCTTCTGAGCCCCAAAGATGGATCTGGGACTGATCCACCACTGGGTCCCCCAGGAAAACCACCTGAGTGCCTCCCTGGTGCCTTTCATACAGTAGAAGAGAGAAAGACAAAGGAGGAGGAGGAGCAGGAAGGGATGAGTCTGTCAGCTACCAGAAAAAGACAAAACCGCCTTCCTACTTCTTGGGTTCACACCATCTCTGACAGAATTGGTTTCTAAAGCAAGTGAGCCTGACTTCTGGAATCACACAGCCCCCAGGCATTGCCAAGAGTAAGCAATGGGAAGAGAATTTCCAGGCTAAGGGCAGTGTCCCGTCTTCTGTTGGTGCTCTGTAGTCATGGAAACAGGCTGGGCCAGGATTGCAGGACAGAGATGGGAAGGATCACGGAGTCTGTCCTAGATGTCACTAGGCTTTGCTCAGCCTCGCCCACTGCAGAGCACTCTCAGAAGGTCTCCATCACCCACTAGGGGACAGGGTGCAACACAACTCCTTGCCTTCAAGGAGTCAAGCCCAGCTCACCCACTCTAGTAGAACCAGAAAGGATGGCGACCCTTAGGAACCCAGAGACCCGCCTGGTCCCATTCAAGAAACAGAGCTCAGACCCACAAGTAATGAAGGGGGATTCACTTTACTCACAACTCTTGATGAATACCAGACTCCAAATGCAACACATGCCTCCCTGTTACTCTCACCCTTGCTCCAGCGCCCGTGCCAAATCCCCTTCTTCCCCTCCCGGCCTCAGTTTCCACATTGCCTCCTGCTCCCTCTGCCCAACCTTGCTGGTGAGTCCAGACTTTAATCATCTTCTCTCCGTTCTCATGATTCTGCATCACAGAAGCCAAAACATCTGACTAAGGAAGGGAGACCCCTCCTCATGGGGCAGAGGATGGGATAGCTAAGAAGGTGGTGCCCAAAGATCAGATTCTAAATGGTGCATGATGGGCAGGAAAGAGCTGGGAGCCTGGGAACAACTGCCAGTTCACTAAGATGGCCCCAGCACAGACAGAGTTGTGGGGTGCAGCTCAGTTTCACGGGCTCCAGAGCTAAGACTATGAGGAAGCAGGCCTGGAGAGGACTTGGAAGATGAGAAGGGTGAGGGGTGCAGAGAGAGAGAGAGAGAAAAGAGAAAGAGAGAAAGAGAAGAGAGGAAGAGAGAGAGAGCATCCTAGGAGTGGGGGAGGGCAGCAAGCACAGCACTCAGCTGTACCCAGGACGGATGGAGCATGACTGTCCATTTATACACTCAGTGACAGGCAGCCTCCCAGGAAGGGCTGTGTTTTATTTCATGATTTGTGCTTTGCTGAAGCAGCTGAGATTACACCTGGCTCCCTCGGCAGCTGCTGCTGGGGTGTTCCTGAGTGTGGAGCCAACAGAAGGCTGGGTGGGGCAGAGGCAGCCTCAGTCACTTTGGGGAGAGTCAGAAGAGGGCGCTGGGCCATCGAGGCCGCATGCAAGGGCTTCTCTTCTTTGGTCAGGAGGGTGTGGAGGGAGCTATTCCCAGACAGCCCTCAGCTCAGGACACCATATCCTTCAGACTAAGTCTCTCCTGTACACCTGAAGGCTCAGGTGTAGGTTCCTGTCCACCAATGAGATGTTGAGGAAGGACCTCACCTGCCAGGTCTCTAGGCACACCTTTATCATCTGTCAAAGCTGCTGATGGGAACATCAACCAAATGCCCACACACTCAGAGCTGACACTCAGCCATCTACTGCGCAGGCAAACACTGCAGCCCTGTTATGGGTCTCAATATCTTGATGGACAAGTACCATGACTTCTTTTAAATATATGGCACAGCACCTCCTGCCATTCACTTCTATCAAGTTTGCTAACCTATGACCACAGCCTATAGCTTCCATGTGTTAAGGATCAGGGCTATGGTGGTCTCAATGTGAGGTGGTGAGCATCCTCTCTTCTTGCCTACATTGCAGTTCTTACAGGCATCAAAGCCTCTGTTTTAAACACTGAGTCTATGGCCTTTCTCCCCACAATTCTCCAGCTGACTCCCTGATGTGGATGTGGCCACACAATGAGCTGCCCGCTGCAGGAATCCCTTTGTTTGACTACAGGGCCCTTTCAACCCTCCCCTGGCACTTCATCCCCCAACCTACCCTATCAGCTCAACCTACCATGTCCCTGAGTCTATCCCAACCATATCACATGCACCCCATTCCCACCACCAGTCCATCCAGCCTTGGGCTTTTAAACTAGCAGATGACCCCCATGCCAGGAAGAGCCCTCCAGGAAGAAGAACTCTCTGCCAACTCCCATGCAGCTCAATCCTGAAAGTGTCCAGAACTTGTTCACTGCCTCCATATTTGTTTTTTTCCCCCTAAATTGTCTCATTTTCCCGAGTCCTAGATCCCAGATTCAGCTCCAGTCCACAGCAGGATGCTTGGTTCATCACCCAGACCTGCACCTTGGACACCACACATCACTCAGCTCTTTGTCAACATGTATCCCTCAGGCTGCATCTGCTTGCAGCCACCCCAGGGACTGCTCTGCAACCCAGCCTTACTTTTCTGCACGTTTGGTGTCCCCATCACATCAGATCCCAGACATTGCACCTTTGCTGGCAATAGCCCCCACCCTCAACCTCTCTCACCAACCTACCACCTCCACCCCAGCCCTCCCCCTTCTCAAGCCTCCACTTGGCTCTCCTGCTCATTACTCACCAAGACAGGGCCTTGCAAAACTCGTGGCAGGAGGCATGTTGAGGGCAATGGCAGTATCCCCAGATCAACTGCCTCTCACTCACCAAGCCAATTCACTTTAGTAAGGGGAGCTGAACTGGGCTCATCCAGCCATGCCTGGCATGGCCATGTTCACAGCACAAAGTGTCCCTGTGCTCTGCAATGTAGCAGTGGTTGGCATTGATTGATCATGGATACCATGCCAGATGGTGCAATAGGCTTCACACAAATTCACCTCCTCTTCACCACCAACCTATGAAGTTCATTTCCAGATGAGGAAATGGAAGCTTACAGAGACTGAGTAGCTTTCCAGGGTCACATGGCCAGAGCTCAATTCAAACCCAGCTCTGTCCAGGCCAAGGCCTGGGTTCCGAATCGTTCACATATAGGGCTTCTTAGCATTCCCCCTTAATGGGAGATGTATTCATTCACTGTTTTCTTCAACAAACATTTGTTTAGCACCTACTATGTGCAGGTCTCTGTGTTAGGCCTCTGACATTAGGAACAGAGCGAGCCAGTTCCCTCCCCGCATGCCCTCAAGAGTGTTTAGTTTACAGGGATATTTATGTCCACAGACAAATCGTGAACAAGTAAACAAGTGAGTAACATAACTTCCAGAGCCACGAGTACTATGAAGAAAATAAAATCTGTTGGAGACAGAATGAATAATGAGAAGAGAGAGGAAGTAATTATTTAAGCAGATTATGGACAGAGGCCTGTCCAAGCAAGGGAACCTTCAGCCAAACACACAATATCTAGGGGAAGGTATTTCAGTCTTAGGAGCCCCTGGCACAAATTCCCCAAAGCAGGAAGACTTCGCATGGTAGGAAAACAGGAAACCAGTGGGATTGAAGTATGCAGACTAAGAGATGGAATCATATGAGATGATGTCAGAGGAGTAGGCAAGGCCAGTGTTGAAGGTCTGAGAGGACTTGGTAATGTCGGATTTTATCCATTTGCAGTGGACTAAGCAGAAGACTGATACTATCTTCTATCTACCTGTTTCAGTGGAAAGGGATTTTAAAAGATCCTTGTGATCACTGTGTAATGCATGAATGGGGCTGTGGATGGGGTATAATAAGATGGGCCCTATAAGACCCTTGCAGAGAATTTTGGGGTCAGGTTTCAAGAAGAGCCAATGACCTACTGATGGGTTAGACATGGGAGGAGAAGAAAGAGAAATTGAGGGAAAAGAAGAGTAACTGCTAGAATGTGTGCTTGAGAAATTAACTGTATGGATGGTGATAAAATTAGCTGAGATGGGAAAAACAGAAAAGCAACAAGTTAGGGTGGGGAGTGTTAAAATCAAAGGTCACAGTAAGCATGTTAACTTTGGGGTGCCTCTCAGAAAATGAATGGAGAGACAGCACAGGTCCACAAAGCCTCATTGAATGTATAATTCCAAAATCTACAAACCACAGAAAACCAAACAGTGTTTCGTAATTCATTTACCAGCAAATTTTGACCTGATATGAAATGAAGCTCAGAGAAGGAACCTGATATGGTTTGGCTCTGTGTCCCCACCCAAATCTCATGTCAAGTTATAATCCTCAATGTTGGAGGAGCAACCTGGTGGGAGGTGATTCGATCATGGGGACGGACTTCCCCCTTGCTGTTCTCATGATAGTGAGTGAGTTCTCATGAGATCTGGTTGTTTAAAAGTGTGTAGCACCCCCTCCTTCGCTCTCTCTTCCTCCAGCTCCCACCATGTAAGACGTGCTGGCTTCCCCTTTACCTTCCTCCATGATTGTAAGTTTCCTGAGGCCTCCCTAGCCATGCTTCCTGTACAGCCTGCAGAACTGTGAGTCAATTAAACCTCTTTTCTTTATGAATTACCCAGTCTCAGGCAGTTCAATAGCAATGCCAAAACGAACTAACACAGATTTTTGTAATCCCACTTAGAGTGAATATCCACGTTTCACTGCAGAAATATCAATATGTTTGATTACAGGATGCTCTAACAGATCCTGCTGGAGCTATTAAGTTTCTACAGTTTAAAAATTCTGAATTCTAAAACACATATCTAGTGCACAGAATTTCAGGTAAGAAATTATAAAGCTGAATGGAATTGAAAATACAAGTCTAGAGCTCTAGGGAAAGGCCAGGGGCTCAGTGCTGAAGATTAAAAAAATTAGGACCATCAGCGCCAAGGTGATATTTAAAGCCTTGACACCAGACTTTACCTTGGGAAAGACTGTACATACAGGAAGGCCAGAGCCTGAGCCTGAGAGGCACCAGTATTTAGAGGGTGTGCAGAAGAGGTGCAGATTTTTACTCTGATTTACAGAAGTGAGCACTGAGGCTTATGGAGGGAAAGCAGTTTGCAGAGGCTGCAGAGCTGTGCAGACATCAGCAGGTTCCAAGTTCTCGGCCCACCTCTGCATGGTGAGCTGTTCGGTTGGCCCTGAAACCCACTGAGGTTAACTGGCCCCTGTGGGGTGAACCTGCTGTATCTGAGCACATCCACTTTGAGTTCTAAATCTTCACGATCTTGGGTATGGTATCCCTGCTGCCAATCACTGCTCATTTCCTCCCTCCCTGAGCCACCAGTGTGCCCTGTAGACATCATTCATCATATTGAGTTGTGATCAGCTATTTGTGGTCTGTTCCTCCCACCAAGTTGTGCAATAATTGAGGACAGACATTGTATCTTAATCATTGGAAACTCAGTAAATATGTGTTGAGTTGTCCTAAAATCATACAGGTGTTCAAATACGTGTAGGAATCCCCTCAACTGTATCAATTCAGCCAACAGAGAAGTCTGTGGCATAAACATGAAAGATACAAACCACGCTGACCCCAGCTGAGCCTGGCGCTCCCCCCGTGTTACATAAATGAGCCAAAGATGACTTTTGTGTCTTGGCCCCTAGGTTGGTTACTTCTTCACAGCAAGCTAAGACCCATTAGTTCAAAAGCCTGCTGGAATCACATTCAAATGTTTACACATTCAATAGTTTTAAAAATAGCCCAAATAAGTAGATTCTCAGCTGTTTATAGCCTGCTTGCTTTGCACACTCTGCAGAACTGGACCCAGCATCTGCAGCCATAGATAAGATCAACCCAAGAGCTATTAAGACCTCAAGCTGTTGCTGCCCTTTGGAGCTCTCTGATCTAGAAAAGTGCTGAACAACCTCACCTAGACACATGACGCCCCTGCGTGAAGCCCCCTCTCCCCCAGGGGTTCCCTTGTCCTCCTCCTCCTTCAGGTGGTAACCCTCATACCATAGCCTCTAGATGACCTCTTGCTGTGAGGGACATGCGAATCTGTCAAAGCACCACCCACATAAAGCTTGTGGTGCTATTGCCACCTCATGATCAGCCCCCAAATCCTTCAAACCTACACCAAGGCTGTCAGATTCCCCTCCCACCTTCCCTACACAGAGGCTGTCAGCCAGGAACTCTGCTGAGACCAGAACCTCACCCTGTGGCAGTGAGCTGCTCCAGCATTTGAAGGAGAGTGTCTATTTTCCAAGAGCTTCTCATGACTTTCTCACGCCAGATCATTACCCTTGCCCAATAGATGAGCATGGCACAGGTCCATCCATCACACATTTTGAGCACCTACCATGTCCCAAGCTCTGACCTAAGGCCTTGAAGAGTCGAGCCCAATAAGGGAGACTGACATTTAAACAAACCCTTTCAAGGTGGGATGTTCATATCCTAAGGGGTGAAATATTCAGAGAACAGGACTTTTAAGGTAAAAGTCAGTACGTTCCAGCCAGGCATGAAAGGAAAGGGCATTGCAGTGTGTGCTCAGGAGGAACCTGGAGGGTTTGGGAAGCTGCAGGTGGCTGGAGTTGGTGGGAATAGGAGGCAGTATGTGCCATGAGTGGGAGCACCCAAGTCTGGAGACCCTCTTCAACCAGACCAGGGGTTGGAGTAACTGAAGGTTTTTGGTAGGGAATGATGATCAACTGTGCGCTTAGGTCAGTGGCGTGGTGGGTCAGCCTTCTAGAAGACTCTCTGGAACTCCGTTTGCATGAAGATGTCATGTTCACCATCTTTCCAAGGTCTGTGCCTTCCATGCCTTACCTAGGCCTTGGGAGGGGGATGGCTCAGGTCTCTGTAGCTGTAGGACGCTCAGCAGTGCCCACGTTCCAACTCCTTCTCAGCACATGACCAGCTCACAGGTGGCTAAAAATAGTCCAGCCTTAGACACTCTAATTGGTGCTTGGGGGCAGGGGAAGGCCAGAGTAGATGAGCTCGGGGATCCCACAGGTCCCAGCTGTGCAAGCATGACCCAATTTTCAAGGCAGGTAATTTCCATGAGAAGTGGCTTCCTGGCATTCAGGGACCAACACTTGACCTACTTCCCCACCAACCCTTCCCACAGAATGGGGATGTTTCAATAGGGAGCATTCCCCTCCTCCCCGACTTTATTAAGACAATTCATCTCACACCTGCCCCTGGTTAGTCTCCTAAGGGTCCTGGGCCTTTGGGCCACTCCTGTACTCTGTCCTAACTGAATGCAGAGGCCAGGCTGCCCAACCAGTCATGGGTCACTTTTGTGGGCTGGCCCCTGCACAGCTAACAGTCGCCCCATCCCAGTCCAGGTAAGGAGATGACTGGAGGGAAGGAAGAAGGAAGTAGAGAGCCACTGTAGGAATTGAGATAAACAGAAGTGCCATGTAGGGACATTGTGCCCACAGCCACTGCCCCTCCCCAGAAAAGCTGAAAAGTGAGAGGTTCCATGAGTACCCCTCACAGACTGGGGACACCCCCAGGGAGGAAGCCTGACACCCTGCCTGGCTAGAGGCTGAGTGCACTAGAAGCTGCAGGGTCCCCGTGGGCTAGCCCGGAAAAAAGAGGCTTGTGGGAAGACACTTGGGGGAGGACTTGAGATGTACCCCCAGAGCTGGGGGGCTGAATGTGGATGTGGAAACCAGTGCACATTTCTCCTTTGGGGATTTCTGAAGGCAGAATACTCATTGAAGCTTATAATGGTGGCAGAACACATTGAGGGCACACACCACCAGGTCCCTGTGCTCCTTGGGAGGCAGAGTTGGACCCTGGCAGTTCTCAGGCTTCGTGTCAGGGAATTTCAGGGGCTAGCCTGAAGGAGGCAAGGGCTGTGGTGGCTGCTGAACCCAGACAGGTGGAAACCCACCCAGAGAGGAGTCTGGGATGTGGACCCTGACAGGGCTCAAGGGAAGCTTGGCCATCCTCTCTTAGGGAGTCTCTGAAAAGGTGGAGTCTAGGGTAAAGCAGATGCTGACCCTGGGCAATCCCACACACCATGCACACAGAGTCCACCTGGCAGAAGACGAAGCCAGGCCAAGCTGGGGCGGCCTGGAGCTGTCCCCCACCAACAGGTGGCCCATCCCCTGAGAGTCTTGTGGCCATGTCTCCATCTGGAAGACAAGAGGTCCATGACTCTCTCACATTTCCGATGTCTTACAACTGAAGCATGGACTGACCGTTTGTTCCAGAGGTGCAGACCAACATTATCCCTGTTTTGCAGATTGGGAAACAGAGGCACCCACAAGAGAAGGGATGAAATCAAAGCACACAGCCTGGGAATGCCAGAAGAAGCTTAGATATCTGAGGTTTGCACTCCTAACCGCTGCTTCCCAGGGCAGCTAGAATGCCTGGGCATGGCTAGGCCCCTGAATGTACTCCCGTTCTTGGCAGCTGTTTCTAATAATCCAATTTTTCCATGAAGCTGACACACAAGTCATTACTCACAGGTCTAGATTCCCTGCAAATAGATGCTCTCATTGCTTGCTGGCTGAATGGGATATCAGGATCCCTGTCATCTGTCATCTGGCCAGGCTGCTGCTCTGGTCCCTCCCTTCCCCCACCTTGGTGCTACACGGTCTATCAGTGCCCATTCCTCCATTCTGTTTCTTGCAACCTCAGGGCTCCCCGGACAATTCCCATGTGCCAGTCTTTGCATCCCTTTGCCTAGGGCCTTTCTCTGGCTGCTGAAGCACAGAGGTGCTGGGGAATGAATCCCCCTAGAAAGCAACCCCCAACCAATGACAGGGTGCAGTGTGCACATACCCCAGCTTCCTCACCCTTGGATGAGGTACTTGTGAGGTGTGCATTCTTCACTGGCCCCAAAGTTCCCCAGTGGGAGTAAACCCAAGCGTCCACAGTGCTAATTTGTTTTACAACCAAGGCGTCCTGCCCTTCCAGGCCTCCCCTCCCATTTCCTACCAGTGTGGCTTGGGATCACTTCCAGAAGAATCCAATCTTTGTCTGAGGATCTGTTGCTGGGGAAGCCAAACAAGGGTAACCCGCCTCCCTTCCTCCAGCCCAAACAGAAAAGAAGTGGGTGCTACCTCATCTGCCCCCTTTAAGGCCCATTCTCCCTGCTTTCCTCCAGCTCCGACTCTCCAGCCCCTCCTAAGCTCCTGCAGTGAAGAGGTCCCCCTCCCTCCTGCCCCAGAGAAAAGCCTGTTGGACAGATGAAGAAGCTGAGGCCCAGAAAGATTCAGTGACCCTGTGGAGAGCTGTCCCCACCAGCCCCCTCCTCACCACCACATGGGCAGGAAGATTGCTTGGGGCTTCTGGGACCTGAATACATTTTTATTTCTTTGGGTCTCCTCACCTGGCATCTTTCATTCCTGAATAATATGTGAGATATTTCTCCCTCTTGTTCTCTCTGCCTGTTTCATCTTTCCAGGCCCAGGAGGGCGTGCTGGGGTCTCCAGGTGCCCACCCCCGCGCAGGCAGCTTGCCCCAGAGCACACTGGGGCTGAAATGCTGTCTGTCCTTCCTGCCCGGGATGCTGACCTGCAGCTCTGCTTGGCAGGGATTTGTGGGCACACATTAAAACTCAGGTAGGAT
This sequence comes from Homo sapiens, assembly GCF_000001405.40. Classification (NCBI taxonomy): domain Eukaryota; kingdom Metazoa; phylum Chordata; class Mammalia; order Primates; family Hominidae; genus Homo; species Homo sapiens. Next base: position 126,859,306 of record NC_000002.12, read on the forward strand.
GTTCTCCTCCTTCTGTCACCCCTGGCACCTTAAAAATCTCTCGTCTAATTTGTTTTGTAGCTTGAATTTCACTTCATTGTTTTCAGCCCATTCTCATAACCACTGAGATTCTGTTGAATTCTTTCTGTTATTCTCACTGGTGTTTATGTTCCCTCCCAATTTCATATTCTCTCTAATGTAATTAGCAGACTATGTATCCAAATCACTAAAAAGGCTGTCAGGGATTGCTCATGGTGAAGGCCGATGGCCTTGCCTCTCTCCAGCCCCACTCACACACACACCATGCATGGGCATTGCCAACTGCCCGGGTGCCTGGGCACCGCTGTCTTCTGCCACCCTGGCAACTGAGGGTGCAGCTTTTTGAACAGGGCTGAGGGGAGCTGCTCCAGCTGAGCCTCCAGACTGCCCCACACTGGGGGGGACCAAGGGACACTTGCAGTCAAGGTCATCCAATTGCCCACACCACATTCCTTCCCCATCTCTGTGCATGTGGTTAACCTCTCTGAATAACAGGCTTTTCCTCTGTGCAGGAAGGACAATGGCACCTGCTTCTCACTCTGTATGCATGGAGGGGAGGTGGGAGTGGGATGAGGTGAGATGATATGTCCACAGCAAGCAGCCTGGAGCTGGGACAGAGGAGATATTAAGTAAAAGCTTACTTCTTCCCCCCATTCCTCTGAATCAAGAACAAATGTGCACTGTGGGCTTGGGTGAATCTCTCCACTTCTGCTATGGCTAATGTGATCACAGGGAGATTTTTGGAAGAAGATGAATTTGTCCAAATCCCTCCTAAAACTATAGCTTTTTGAGTGTCCATTCCTGGGTACCAGGCTCTGACCAGGACCACCTCCAGGGACATGCAGCTCTTGGGGTCATATCTAAAATGGGAAGGTCTCATTGGTTCTTTAAGAAGGGGCTCATCTTATTTTGCTTCTGCAAGTATACCCAGCAGCTCACAATGCCTGGCACACACTGGCTGTGGCACTAACAGCCAGCAAGTCAATGTCCGCAGCCCCCTTTTTCTTTAACAACAGAACACCTGGATTTCAGCTAGACCCCAGGTCCTCTTGCAGTTGGCTGTGACCATATAACCAAGTTCTGGTCAATGCAACACATGCAAGTTTCAGGACAAGTCTTTAAAGAGAAAGAGATGCCCTTCCTTGCCCCTGCCTCCTCTGCTGCTATCCAGGATGCGAACTTGAGGGAAGGAGCTGGACCTGTTCCCTTGGACTATGTGATGGAAACTGCACATTGAACACATCAGAGCAGAAAGGGAGGAGTCTGAGTCCAATGCTGTCAGGCTTCACAGCAGCCCTGGCCACCTGCTGGACACCCACACAAGAGGGAAGTCGAGTTCTAGCCTATTAGGGCACTGGTTCATATTTTGTATATCTGCCCAAACTGTATCATGACTATTACAGGGAGTGTTTAATCAATATTCACTGACTGAATAGCAAACTTTAGAAATCATGAAGTTTTTCCAGAACAAAGTCACAATAAAAATGAAACATACCTTGTATTAGGATTAACTGCAGGAGACTGACCTCTGGGATGGAGCAGTGAGGACTGGAGCACATGTTCTCCCTAGCAAACAACAATTCACCTAGAGAAAGTATAAAAACAATCATTTAAAGTCTCTGGAAATTGCTCCCGTGGCATACCAAAATAGAGAAGCATTTATTCAAGAAATCTACCAAATCTTCATAAGAATAGGGAGCATCTGCGGACAGAACTAGCTCAGTCCCTCAGTCCCAAGCTCTGTCTTAGAGAAAGCACTCCAGGAGCTAGAATTCAAGTGGGTACCACCAAAAAGACAGGGATCCTCCTCTCTCCAGCTCCCAGTCTAGAGCTACAGTTTCTCTTGGTTACTGAGCCCTGCTCAGGGCAGGTATGGCCAAGAGGACAGGTTCCTTGAACTCAGCCTGTTTTGGATTCTGATGTTGTGACATCTGCGCCCTTAGTAGCTCTGAGAGGCTGCCTTTCTCAGCCCAGGGAGAGGCAATCCCTGGAGACAGTAAATGACCAGCTGTTGTAAATTGTGGGTTTTATTGTAACTCAGGTACAGTGAGGCCAACAGCCTGGACACAACTGCCATTGAAAAGATAACTTGTTACTCACAGTCATGGGGAACTTTGAAAGAGGAAGCCAGGTTGAGTTGGATAAAGTTGGCCCAGGTATATGTCATATCAGTCAAGGTTTTCCAGAGACACGGAACCAATGAGATAGATATAGATATAGATAAATGAGAAGGGATTTACTATGGGAATTAGCTCACACAACTATACAGGCTGAGATGTCCTGTGACCTGCTGCCTGCAAGCTGGAGAACCAGGGAAGCTGGTAGCCTGGCTCAGTCCAAGTCTGCAGGCCTGGGAACCAGGAGACCTGATGGTGGAACTCTCATCTGAGGCCAAAGGCCTGAGAACCTGAGGGTCGCTGGTGCAAATCAGGAGTCTGAATGCTGGAGACCCTGGAGTTCCAATAAGCAGAAGGAGGGTGTCCCAGCTCTGGAGGAGGGAGGGAATTCACCTTTCCTCTTTTTGCTCTATATGGGTCTTCAATGGATTGGACAGTGTCACCTATATTGGGTGAGAGTGAACCTTCCTTTCTCAATCTACTGACTCAAATGCCAGTCTTTTCCAGAAACACTTCACAGGCCTACCCAGAAGTCATGCTCTTACCAGCTATCTGGGTATCCATTAACCCAGTCTAGCTGACAGCTAAAATTAGCCATCATATGCCAAAATCCCTAGCAGAAGAAATCCATTCATTGCACTGGCAGTGCCAAGAGTGGGGTGGTCCAGTACCTCCTCCCCCAGCCTCCTCGTGGGGTGGCATAGAACAGGGCTGCCACCTCCAAGAGGTACTAGAGTGAGGCGAGTGAAGTACTCACTTCAGGTACAAAATTTAAAGGGGCACCAAAAAACTCAGTAATCAAGGAAAATACTATTTCTTGTATCTATATTACATTATATATTGTATTATAAATAAATATGTAAGAAATTAGAATTTTGTATTTATAAATAAATTATAAATAAAAATATTTTTTAAAGTCTAAATTAATGCAAAAAACACAATGAATAAAATAACAAAATGAGAACAAAGATGAGATTCTAATTTCCAATTTTTCCTTTTGCCCCAGGCTCCAGAATGACCCCCCATGTATATGCCATTAGTGAGGGGCCCAGAGCCAAAGGGAAATAAGTGAGCAGCGCTTGGGCCTCTGCGATATCATTTGTTCTGTGTTGAAACTCACTAAGAGGAAATAAAGGTAGGTGGAAATGGCAACATTCTAAGGGGGTAAAAGGCAGCCTCAGAAGGAATGAGGCCAGAATGCTCCCAAACACTCAGTCTCCACATTTCCAACCACTCATAAGATAGAACCTTCTTTTGGACACTGAGATGACCTGTCCACATGTAAGGGTGCATGTAACCCTCATAACAACCCCAGATCTTCAGTGTTCTTACTATCTGCATTTTATAAATGAGGAAGCAAGGTCCTGAGGCACTCTCACACAGCTGGCAAGGGGCAAGCCAGGACTAGATCCCAGACCATCCACCCCAGACTCCTGCTTTCAGCATCTACACCCCACTACCCATCATACATGGCCACAGTACCACTCTCCATGGTCAGCCTCCATGCCTGCACTCTGGCTGACCCCCCTGCACCTGGACCACTGGTTCCTGGGTTCCTTGTCACCTCTCAGATTTGGGCTCGTTGAAGGATCTGCATTGATTAGGATAGGGAATGACCAAGGAAGGGGTCTAAAAAGCAAATGCTTTCCCATTTGGCCAAGGAGACAAAGTAGGCATGAAACCTCCTGGGTCCAGGTAGCCAAGGAGGCACTGAGAATGAAAGATCCCAAAAACTTGAGCTGAAAACAACTGTCCTCTGTGCCTGAGTAGTTCCTGACCCATCACTAGTAGTCAACAAATGTTTGTTGAACTTCCAGTGAATTAATGCAGGGTTTCTCAGCCTCAGCACTGTGGACAATCTAGGCTAGATGCTTCTTTGTTGCTGGGGCTGTCCTGTGCATTTTAGGACGTTAAGCAGCATCCCTGGCCTCCACCCTCTAAAGGCCAGTAGTACCTTCCAGCTGTGACAATCAATAATGTCTCCAAACATTGCCAAATGTCTCCTGCAGGGCAAAATCACCCAGCTGGGAGCCACTGTGTTAATGAAACAAAGAATTAAAAAATGAACAGCTATTGGCCATCTTAAAGAAGAAGGGGGCCCAACGTGGCACTGAACAGACCCAGAGGAGAGTTGGTGGGCAGGAGGAAGGCCCTGGAACATCTCTATTAGGAGGCTGAAATCAAGTCACTGTGACTTCTTTTCCCCAATCATCAAACTGCCTATCCATAGCAAATCTGCAGAGTGTGACACTTTGAGCAGGAACAAATGACCTATCAGAGACCCAGCCCAGGGCTATGAGGACTGTCACTGTTCCACATGGCTGCTTGACTTACGCTGGGACCAGAAACAATTCACTACTTCTCCTTAAAAGAGCAATTTCCCCTTAGAGTGATGGATGGCCTGCCAGTCACCAACCACAAACCAACCCTATTTCTCACCCTTCACTGGGCTGTGCCACTCCACGGCTTTACGGTAAATTAATCAACATTTGAGAGCAGGTTGGGCAAAGATGCAGGGTGGGGAGTACAAATCTCCAAATTCAAAGAGACAAAGCCAATCAAATTATGTTTCCAGCCTCTGCCCCATCACCCAGGGCTAGCTGCTGTCCGATTAGGAAAGGCAGAGGCAGACAAGCCTCATATATTTGGGACTTGGCGTCACACATCTCCAGCTGGAGTTAGACTTTACATTGGTCCTTGAAGTTTCCTGTAAAGAAATAGTATGGAAACCACAATAGGATGTATTCAACACCTTTCAGATTGGCTAAAATTAAGCCTGACAATACAAAAGTTGATGGAAATGTGGAATAATGAGAGCTCGTTGCTTGTGGACATGTAAACAGGGAAAGCACCATGGAAGATGATTTGTGACTGTCCTGCGACTTGAACATATACGTGGTGTGTGGCCCACCCATCCTCTTTCTAGATACCAAATGGGAATCAGCAGGAATGTGTGAGTAGGATCACCACCACACATGCAGAAAATGCAGCGTTGCTCACAAAGACAGGAATCCCCCAAACATCCATCCATAGGAGGATGAATGAACAGAATACTATATCAAATAGAGACAGATTTCACAAATGTAGTATCCAACTGAAAAAAACAGCCCAAAGGGAATGGGTACAAAATTATTCCATTTCAGATAAAACTCAAAAACCTGCAAAACTAAACATTATA